>NC_000010.11:123496116-124121200 GCF_000001405.40 Homo sapiens | reverse complement strand
TATACACACCACACATACCACACACACCCCCATACATGCACCACACACACTATACATTCATTTACACACCACACACCACAGACACCACACACCCCCATACACACACCACAGACACCACACACACCCCCATACACACACCGCAGACACCACACACACCCATACACACATCACACACACTACATTCATTTACACACCACACACACCACACAAATGCACCACACACATCACACCACACATACATCTCTCACACACACACCACACATGCACTCCATACACACACCACACCACAGACAGCACACATACCATACRCCCACATACACCACACCCCCACATATACCCCACACACCCATATATACACCCCACACAGACTACATACCCATGTACACACCACACGTACACACACACCACGCACACCCCCATACATACGCCACACACACTATACATTCATTTACACACCACACACACACCACAGACACCACACACACCCATACATACACCATACCCCACACACACACCCCACACACACYCCACAAACACACACCACACACTCACCACAAATACACATGCCATACACTCATACACATACCACAAGGACACCACATACCACACACATCACAGACACCACACACATCACAGACACCATACATATACCACATCACATATTACACACACCACATATCCATACCACAAATACACACCCCACAAATACACACACCCTCCACACACCACCCCCCACCACCCCCCGCAGACACCACACAAATGCACATACCACACACCACACCACCCATACCACAAACACACATCCACACACAAAGCACACGCTAGACACACACCACAGACACCCCACACACACCGCAAACACACACCCCATATCCCCCACATCCACCCCACATGCCGTGCACAACAGAGACACACACACCACACACACACACCCTATATATGCACCACATGTCACACACACATCAGACACGTCCAACACCCCCGACTTCCTGCACCGGTTCCTGTTTTTTTACTGTCAGGCCCACCCTCTTGGGCCTCCTCTCCACACCACCCGCATCTTCTATGCAAGGGTCCTGAACAATTGGGCAGGATTCGGGCAGCGTTCCCAGGCCCCCTCATTTCCGCCTATTGTTCCCGGGGACTGTGTCTGGTGCACGTGGGTTTGTAAGGCGGAAGCTGCAGCAGGATGGCCTGTGTTTGTCTGGTTTATCAGTGATGGGGACAGTGGCTTCCAATTCTAATTTCTGGAGAAGGAACACAGAGGGGAGGCAATCCCAGTTCCTTTCTTTCTGGGCACTTTTTAACACATTTAACACAAATTTGCAAAATATTTGTGCAAGTGCCTGGCCAGGCACTAAGAAATGCTGGTGGGAACTAGGAAATGCAAAGGGAACTGGGAAAGGCCTGGCCTCAGGGGCATGAGGGGCTGCCCATGGTCACGAGGGGCTCAGGGAAAACAACACCGTTTGCTGGGCACTTGTGGTGTGCCTGGGACTGTGCTGACCACGCTCTTCCCCGTGCAACCCCAGGAAGGTAGGCTCCGCTTCATCCCCACTTTAGAGATGATGATGAGGCTCTGATAGGAGGCTACACAGCTACTAAGTAGAAAAGCTGAGACCTGAACCCGGGTCTGCCAGGGCTGGGTCACCAGCGGCCCATGAGACAGGAGCTGGGGTACAAACAATTTACCCCAGCAGCCAGGGTGAAGAGCAGGCTCCTTGGCAGAGGAGGTCCTGAGGGAGGTGGAGCAGTGGCCAGTTCTGTGTTCAGAGGGGAACCTAGGAGCCCGGGGTGGTGGGAGTGCCCATGCCAACCATGAGGCTCCTAGGGCCAGGCCCTGCCTGGGGTCAGGGGCTGAGTATCCCCTGCTGCATCAGGGACCTTCCTTCCTGGCCTAAAGGGGCTTGGACCCAGCGAAGTTTCCTCCCCTGGCCTGCCTCCCCTTACCTCCTCCTCCCCACCTCCCACCCCTAGCCTGCCTCCCCGTCCCTTCAGGCACAGGTGGTGGGTGCGGTGTGATGAGCTGGGGCTCTTCGTGTCTGGAATGAGCTTAAATGTGAATGTTTCCCTAGAAAATTGCTTATTTCACTATGTGACAAAGGAAGAGCTATCTTTCTCCAATGTATGGAGCCCTGGTCTTAATAATACCCTCCAGTGAGAAAGGGAGATGGCTCTGAGCCATCCTTCAGAGCACTGGCATACGCGGGCTGACTCACCTGCAGTTGGGAAATTAAAATGGCACAGGTGGGCAGAAGCTCCGCTTGGGCCACAGCTCTGTTACCAGGGAAATCAGGAGGTCGCCTCCCCCTCGGATCCTGCGTGCTGCTCCCAGAGCCTGGCCCAGGCAGTGCAGGGAGCTGGGTCCTGCTCAGGCTCTGAGATCAACTCATGGTGTGACCTGGACAAACTTCTCTCCCCTCTTGGCCTCGGTTTCCCCACCAGTTCAGTGACGCAGTTGGACAAGACAATGGCTGCATGTTAGAATCTATGAGGAGCTTTAAGAACACGACTAAGCCCAGCTCCAGCCCCAGAGATTCTGACTCCATTTGATTGGGGTGGGACCTGGTTATTAATGTTTTTTTGTTTGCTTGTTTCTGTTTTTGTTTTCCGGGATGGAGTCTCACTCTGTCACCAGGCTGGAGTGCAGTGGTGTGATCTTGGCTCACTGAAACCTCCGGCTCCCTGGTTCAAGGGATTCTCCTGCCTCAGCCTCCCAAGTAGCTGGGATTACAGGCACCTGCCACCATGCCCAGCTAATTTTTGTATTTTTAGTAGATTCGGGGTTTCACCATGTTGGCCAGGATGGTCTCAATCTCCTGACCTCATGATCTGCCCACCGCAGCCTCCCATAGTGCTGGGATTACAGGCGTCAGCCACTGTGCCTGGCCAATTAGCACTTTTAAAAATGTCCCCCAGCAGATTCTATCATGCAGCCAGGGTGGAGGGCCACAGGGCCAGATGGCTGCTCCCGTGCTCCCCCAGTTCACCTGTGGTGGGTGGGGTCTTTTTCTTGGAAGGAGACATGAGTCCATTTGAAAATCAGAACTGCTTCACCTTCCTCTGCATCTTTATTTTGTTGGTCAACTCAGAGAGTTTGCAGGTAACGTCATTGCATGGTTGGCTAATGCTATTGCATCATTCTGGAGTGTTGGATGAATGGCCAGCATGGTTAGAGTTGTGCTGTCTGACACGGTAGCTACCAGCCACATGCGCCTACTCAAATTTAAATGGATAGAAATTAAATAAAAAAGCCAGTTCCTCAAGTGCTCAACACCCACATATGGCTAGTGACAGCTGACCTGGGCACACAGATGTACAAGTTCCCATTATCGCAGAAAGTTCTACAGCACCGTGATGACCTAGAGGTTATAGTCCAGCCTTTTCACTTTACAGGTGGGGAAACTGAGGCCTGAAGCAGCTAAGTGGCTTCCTCTCTGTCTCAAAGCTGAGTGAGGCTGGGAATCCTGGGACCCTGACATTCCGTGCCAGAATCCTTCACTCTGGGGGAACTGGGGAAAGAGTTTGGACATGCGAGACTCAAGCCTTCCTGATCTACACCTTGTTTTTCTTCCTATCTGACTCACCCGCTAACATGTACACTCAGTGTCTCTTCGCCCCTGCCAGGGCCTGGCCCAAAGCGGGTGCTCAGATATCTACTGATGGAATAAGGAAGAGCAGGAAGCTGGATGGAACCCTGCAGGGGTGTGCATGGTGCGAACAGGATGGGAAAGAGACCAAGGCAGAGAGGGAGGGTGGCCCCTAGTGACAAGCGCTGTCCAGAGGCTAAAATCAGGACCAAAAGTGTGCAGGGGCCTTGAGGGCATTTCATGGCATCAGGGCTGAGGGCAAGGACCAAGGCAAAGGACCGAGTTTGGGTGAGGCCAGGTTTGCACAGCCCCTGGCTCCATGTTTGGCTGTGTTCCTATCCTTCTGGAGACTTCTGTGCCAGGGTGTGTCCCAAAAGGCTTCCACTTCCTTGCCCTGGATCCCCATTCAGCTGAGGCCGGCAGAGCACTGGCCTATGAGGGGAGCAGACCACGCTGGTTAGCTGAAGCGCTGCCCTCCCTGGCAGCTCCCTTTCCTGCCACACCGGGTGAGAAGAAAGTGGTTCTTCCTCCAAGGTCCCTCGGCTCTCAACCCCAGAACCTGGAGCTCCAAAGCCTCCTGACAAAAGGGTGCTGATTTGATCAAGCGTGGCTCAGAGCCAAGTCTGTTATCTGAAGAGAGGCCTCAGCCGGGCTGCTGTTAGCCCACGGCACCTGGAAACAGCCTCCCACTGCGGCCTCCTCCTCCTCCTGAAGGCCTGGCCCAGGCTGTCCCCTGGAGCCCCCACAGCCATGTCTTCACACTGAAATGAAATCTCAAATGGAAGGTGTTTTTAGAATAACATTGAGTGGTTTTGTAAAAGTACAATTTCATTTCCTTTTCTTTTTTCATATTCTCAGTGGAACATATAACTATTAGTATTTTGGGGTTTTTTTAGTATTCAGGGGGCTGAGCCATGGCAATTAGAACAGTCACTTCAAAAATTCCACCCCAATGCTCTACAGTGGTGTGCTAATGGTGATCAAATTATAAGTGTTAGCAGGCTTCCTGCTGGAAGGAGGAAAAGAAGGGAGCAGCTTTGCGAGTTTATGTTCTGGTTTACGAGTTGGGAGCAAAGAAATAACGCTGGCGGGAAGATGCCCTCGCCCCTGCAACAGGGTTGAGATGTTACAAGCCGACAACACAAAGATGTGTGCTGGCATCCTTCACATCCCCATTGCGAGGTGGGAAGGGGGTTCTGACCTCCTCTTGAGAAGCAAGGATGCTCCGTCCTTAGAGAAACCACACAATGTGCGCAGTGGATGGGCTGAGGTCAGATGGCTGGCTTCCCTGGTTAAGTTGCCAAGTTCAGCTGAGAGCTGGAGTCACTTGGTGTCATGCCACATCCATATAGACTCCAGTGGGGATGGCATTAGGTTTAAGAGGCCAAAGAAGAGACCCAGAGCCAGTGAATGAGACATGGGGTTTTACTGGGGCTACATACAGAGGAGAGAGTCCAGGGCCAGTGGGCTGGACAGGAGAGCCACAACCGCTTGCAAAAAACATGCACTTTATGTAGCATTTTCACTTAGCACCCTCCCTCTAACGACCTCCACCTGGCAACCTTCATGTGACCCAAAACAAAGGGCCTCAATTCCGTGTATGGCCAATACTCCACGGGACAGGCCGGAGACTCAGATGTTCCTCATAGATGAGGAATGAGCCTCTGGGTTGGGCATTCCCGATTCCTTAGCTCAAACTCTGAACTGCATTCAGGTGCGTCTTCCATACAGGGTCATTCTCAGGGGATGCACAAGTTATTGCTGTCAGGTGCATTTACCATACACTGGGGAGATCTCTCAGCCAATAAAGGTGAAGCTAGGATTTGAACCCAGATTTGGGACTCTAAGTCACGCAGGGTTTTGCCTCAATGCACTGCAAAAAACCATCCTTTGGGAAGGCTTCCTCCTCTTTGTGCCTCAGTTTTTCTACCAGTAAATGGGTTTATTGGATAGACTCGATGAATAGTTTGTAAACGAGGTAGGATCACTACCTCCAAGCAGGGTGGGGGTTCCACGTGTGGAAGGGGTACTGGGGAGTGGTTAAGAGCCTGGAGTCAGACTGCCTGGGCACATGTCCAGCTCTGAGGCCACCTCTGTGGCTGGGAGCAAATTACTTAACCTCCCCAGCCATGCCCATGTGACTGGAGAATGGTATTAATTCTCCCTTATTATCTTGTTAGAATTAAGAAGGACAATCTATGCACAGGGCTTAGAACAGGGCCTGCTGTGTGTAAACATGTGAGTAGTCCCTGCAGCACTATTTGTCAGAAGCTCCAGGAAGGTGAGTGATTTGAAAAGTACCCCAAAGTGTCTTCTTCTAAAGGGACCATAGGAGCCTGGAGGGGGTTGCCATCCATCTACCCATCCACCCAACCATGATCTCCTCACCTGATTGTGCTTAGGGGAATGTTGGCCTCATAGGAAAGCCCAGCAAATACTTGAGTGAAGATTTGCCCAAACCAGAGCCACAACTGGTATTTGAACAACCACCCCCTGCCTAGGTTTATTCCCATCCAACGATCCACTGACCCATCAGGAGGTTCTGTCCCTTGGTCCTTCTCACTGTTCCCCACCCCATCCTCACCCAGCTTGAATTCCCTGGGCTGTCATTATGACCACTGCCTCACATCCTCTTCCACGCCCCAGCCCCTTTTGCTTTTTTGTGCTTTCTGGGTCAACTACACCCCTCTTGAATCTACCTTTCGGCTACCTACCCTGGCCTGCACTCTGGAAACCAAATGTGGCTGAAGGAAGACACAGCCACAGTGCCTGGTCTGCCTTGGGGTGCTGGACCAGGACCACACACAGCTGGCCATATGTTCACTCTCCTGTCCCTGCAAGCCCCAGGGCCTCTGCCCCATCTCCGCTCAACACTGAAGGCCTTGTACCTACTTTAACGAGAAAATTAAAGCAACCCAAGAATGTCCGTAAGCGCCCCACCCACCAGCCTGTTGGCCCTCATGATCTTCTCTCCTATTACTGTGGACAAACCATCTCTGTGTCCAGCTAAGGTCAATCCCTGGTGCCAGATCCCATCTTCTCTTTCCTGCTCTAAAGGACACTGTTCTAGAAATTTCCCCCTCCTCCTCCTTCAAGGAGGTTTCTTTCTTCATGGGTTCATTCCCATCAAAACCCGAACATGCCATACTTTCTCCTTGTAAACGTAAACCCCTCCCATGACCCCACCTGCCTTCCAACTCTAACCCACTCAGTTCCTTCCCTTCACAGCTAAACTCTTGGAGAACCTGGTCTCTACTCACCGTCTCCAATTTCTGTCCTCTTATCCTTTTATTTCTCCTTCCCTGATGTATGTTTTCTCTTTATATTTTTTTGCCACTGAAGTGCTACACATTTTACTTATTCGTCTCATCACCTGCCTCCCTACTAGAAGCCAATCTCTCTAAGGGCAAGGATTCAGTCTGGTTTACTCATGACTGTAAGCTTAATACCCAGAACAGTGCTGATGTACTAGGGCTAAATATATATATTTAGATTTAATATACATTAAATAATATACATAAATAATATATATAAATAATATATATATATTAGATTGCACCATTGCACTCTAGCCTGGGTGACAAGAGCAAAACTCCGTCTCTCTCTCTCTCTCTCTGCTACCTACCATTTTGTGTCTTTAAGGGGTCTTTAGAAAGGGCTATTCATCTGTCACTGCTCACTGAGACATGTACATTCCAGCATCATCACAGAGTTATCTCCTTCCTTCCGTCTCTCCCTCCCTCCCTCCCTTCCTCCCTTCCTTCCTTCTTTCTTTCCTCTCTTCCTGCTTGCCTTCTTTCCTGGCTTCCTGCCTATCTTTTCTGTCTCTCTCTATAGAGAGAGAGAGAGAGAGAGACGAAGTTTTGCTCTTGTCGCCCAGGCTAGAGTGCAATGGTGCAATCTCGGCTCACTGCAACCTCCGACTTGCGGGTTCAAGCAATTCTCCTCCCTCAGCCTCCTGAGTAGCTGGGATTACAGGCATGCACCACCACACTTGGCTAATTTTTGTATTATTAATAGAGGTGGGGTTTCACCATGTTGGCCAGGCTGGTCTTGAACTCCTAACCTCAGGTGATTCACTTGCCTCGGCCTCCCAAAGTGCTGGGATTACGGGCGTGAGCCACTGCACCCTGACAATAAACATTTTTAAATGAATGAGTAGATGCATTCATAGATTACAGAATGCTTTCATGTACAGCAATGAGTTATTTCACTGGATTTTCACAAATGAGGTGGTTCTCAGTGAGTCTCACTTTGCAGCCAAGGGGACAGAGACATAGGGGGTCACATGGGGTAGGATGAGGGTAGGATGAGGGTGGAGGCAGCCTCGGATGCACATCTCTGACTCCTAGTTCAGTGCTCCATTCTTTGCCCACAGCTCGCTCCAGCAAAGTGCTCCCATCTCTGTTTTCTAGGGCCCTGATGGGAGGGGCTTCCTGCCCACCAACTTTATTGATGGCCAAAAATGAGCAGGAGGCGCTGCATTGAGCCCACTGCCCGGTGCTTTAGTGCTCCCCTGCCCCCGCCCGGGGCTGCACTGCCATCGCCTTCCGAACCTGCCTAGTTCGGCAAAGCATCGATTGCGTGGTGCATTGGTTAAGATATTACATGTGGGGGTGTCGTTAATTCAAAGGCAATTAGGTGTTCGATATTTCTTATTCTGCCTGCCAGTAGGAATTAATAGAAAACCTTTCAATCAGCAACAACTGCAAAACAACTTCTGGCCCCAAAGATAATCAATATTAGCCAGCAGAGCCTTCTTCCGTCTTCAGGAGGCTATTCATTTCTGGTACTTTCAAAACCAGAAATGGACATTTCCATTTCCATCTTCTTCAGAAGCCCCTGCCCACACAGTTCTTTAGACACAGTCTTTAAAAAGACACAGTCATCTATACGGCTCTCTCGGGCCCTCCCTCCGCATGTCATGTTCCCAGTGCTAGGAGTATTCATAGAATAGCCTGCCCAGTGGGAAGCAGGTGAATGATGTTTGAGTTCTTTGGAACATTGGTCGCCACCTTCCCCTGAGCATCCCGACCAGAGTTGCTGGGGCCCATGATGGGAACCTAAGGATATAAGATGCTAGTCTTGCCACTAGGTAGTATGTCCTGGAAGTCCTCCAGAGCCAGTGAACGTGACATCATCCCAGGAGACCCTCTGGAGCACTTGATGGTGTCTTCCCTTCCCTCTGCTCTGCAGGCCCAGTCCCAGGGCTGGCCTCTGCCTCAGTTTCCCTGCTTGGCACGGTGCCTGACATCCTATCCAGCTCTTGCCAGCCCTCCCCCCTGGATGGGGCTGAGAGGAGGCCGTGTAGAAAGTTTATTGTTGAATTCTACTCCCTCTATCTCTTATCCCCTGACTTTTCCTGAGCTCACACCAATGTTCTGCTCTCAAGCCTGCAGGAATTATGAGATGGACTCTTGAATAATGTCCATCAATGGCCTGGGAAGGTTTTTCCTCTGCTATTAGGGGCAGTCGATCTCAGACCCCCACATATACAACAGGGTAAGGGGGACTCTAGGTCAATCAGGTCAGAGAGGAGATGCAGAGAATGATCTAGAACAGAGGCATCTTTTGCACCAGCTTCTCAGATATGTGGATTCATTGGAACCGACATCATTTATGTACTTTCTGTCTTTTTCCATCCTCTTGTGGAAACTCCACAGGGTGAATACCCAATACTTTGGGTTCATCCTAATGCTGGCCACATAGGCTGCTGTCTTGGAGACACCATGGGAGTTTTGAAAGCTGATGGAAAAATGACCATATAAGCACCTCTGCTGAAGCTCCTCACCTCCCCACTCCTTCCCTGACCCTTACATAAGGGCAGGGGACATACGGGGCTCAAAGAGTGTGAAGTCAGAGGTGAACCGTGAGGGTGTCCCTGGCCAGCTGAACCTGAGGGTGCTGGTGAAATTGGAGGAAGCCTGTGAATCCATCAGGGCACTGACAATTTTGGTTTGTGATAAGGTGGATTAGGGAGGGGTGTGGCTCAGCTCCGGCCAACACAGAAAGTGCTTCATTGGACTTTCACAACTGAGATAGGCCTCGGTGGGTCTCATTTTGCAGATGACTGATAAATAACCTGTTTAAGCAGAACCCAACAATGTAATATTGAATCTATGGCAGAGAATAAAATTTTAGGAGGCTAAAAATTGTGGTGAGAAAACATGAAAAAGCCAGCCCTTCTGTCACCTACACATTATACCCTCCCTCCCTCCCAACTGAACTCCCTGCTTTCAATTCCTCCAGGGAACCCAGCTCCTCCGCTCTCCCTGACATGGACCTAACCCTTACAAAAAAGACCCCCTCAAACCGCCATGTTACACTTGCCGAGGAGAGACCACCTCAAGATCATCCAGGCGGGAAATGACAGAGCTGTGATATAAGCCCAACCAAGTGTGATTCCCCGTTCCTGCCCCAACAGGGTCTCCCAAGAGATTTCAGATGAGCTCCACACCAATGTCCCGTAAGCACCCTGAGCATCTGTTGTCCATGACCCAACAGTTAATGAGCATTTAGGATAAACAAGGTGGCTGCCTCGGGCAGGGTGGCTTATCGGAGTAGCAATCATACAGGAGAGTAAATGCCCTAATTTTGTGATCTGTTTTCTTCTCCCAAGTCCCCACACTGACATTTCTTGGGCTTTAGGTCTGAGATTTACTTCTTCATTTATTAAAGGGAATAGGAGGTGATGGCTGTGATTATGTGGTTGTGTTTTCAATGAAACATGCTTTTTAATGACTGTGCTGACACAGTCAGACACACGGACACTCCGCTTGTCTCTGTGGGTGGAGAGACAATGCATGTTGCGTCTCTGCAGAGTTTTACTCATGTCGGCATGACAACAACAGTGGGAGCCGTGTTGCACGGGATGCCTGATGTCCCTCTAGGTCATGGCGCCATCTCAGCAGCTGGATGGGCTGACTGCTCCATGGGGGGGCTTCCCATCTCTGGTGAATGTTCTTTGCAAAGGTGGGGCTGGCATGGACTGGTAGGCCCCTAACTCCTACTAGATTCCAATCCTTCCTGCTTCTGGCTCCCGAAGCCTCCTCCTGACAATCCATTTCCTTTATAGCAGCCTCATATTTTTTGACCAGGAAGTGACCATCATCCATCCATCCATCCATCCATCCATCCATCCATCCATCCATCCACCCACCCATCCATTGATCCATTCATCCATTGATCCATCCATCCATCCATCCATCCATCCATCCATCCATCCATCCACCAGCATTCATTATCTATTCTCCATTGCCCCAGGATAAGACCCAGACTCCCAAAAACATCCTTAGGATGATGTTGTTATAAGCAATAGAAGGTCTCAACTCAAACTAATCTAAGACTTAAGGACATTTGTCATCTCACAGCCCAGAAATCCTGGCAGGTCATGCTCCAGACAGGATGTCAAAGCTCTGACTTCACTTCTCCTGGATCCCATGAGCTCTGCCCATTGGCTGCATCTTCAGGGTGGAGGTGAGGTGCAGCTGCTCTGGGCATCACAGCTAGACACAAACATGACAGTATCCCAAGGGAAAAGAGGGGCTCTCTCTCTCTTCCACTGTCTCCTTCCTGCAGATGGTGGAGGTGGGTGGGGCAGGAGATGGCTTTAGGCTGTGGATTTTCTAATCCCCAGGAGAAGCTGATCATGAAGAGTGAATTCAAACCCCACAGGCTGTCTCAGTGGGCCTTCAGGCAGGCCAGGCAGAGCAGAAAAAGACAAACAACTACCTTCAGTGGGTTCCCGAGGCCCAGTGACTGGTCAATTGGGTACAGCCATGCCGACAAACCCATGCCCATGGAAGGCAGAGTCCCTCTCTTCTGCCCAGAGCTTGACACCATGCCACCAGTCATGGAAGGACAAACTCCAAACTGTCTGCTCACCTTGCAGCCCTCCTCCTTCCACCCAAACCACCTCCCGGAGCTGACCGTCCACCCACCCCCAACTCCCTGGGGACTCTCAAACAGCCTTCTCACTTGTCACCTTGGCTGTGCTTTTCTTTTGCCCAGGAAGGAAGACAATTGGCCTAATGGTTCTTTGTGCTGGATGTGTCACCAGAGCAGAGGCTGCCAGAGCCCCTGCAAGCTCCCCTCTTCATCCTGCCTCCCAGCGCCCCACCCACTGCCTCAGGCCCAGCTCAGACATCTCGTCCTCCCTCCCCCAAACAGAGGTGGTGAGGGGCAGGGGCAGTCACATGGGCGCTGCTGCCAGAGGTCCTGAGGCCAAACCACAGCCTTCAGATGAGTGTCAGGGTGGAAGCAAGCGATGGGGGCTGTGGCCAGCCCATCCTTCTTTGGTTTCCTTTTGAACAAAGAAAGGAAACAAAGACCCCATCACAAAAGTAACCTGCAACTTGAGTTGAGGGAAAATGTCTGGAGTCACCTGCCCTGGATGTACCTTCCTGGGCACAACTTGCCATTTGTCCCCAGTGCCCATTGGGAAACCCCCCCCCACTCGCCCAGCCCCAGGCTCCACTGCGTAAAAGGAAGGTCGGAAGGTGGAGCATCTTTTAGGTATTCATTCAACGAACTTCACCAGGCACCCACCGTGGGCACCCCTGTGCTAAGTGCTGGCTGTACATACTGATGTGGAAAGCATGTGGGCTTGGACAGGCTGTCCCTCAGTAGCGGGGTGGCTAAACAAGCCACTTAACCTGCGAGAACTCAGTTTCTGGGTTGGCAAAATGGGAATAGTATAGACCTCAGAGGGCGACTATTGGGATTAGATGAGATGTGTAAAGCATTTAGACAGAGCTCAGAACATGGTAGGCAGTGATGGCGGCAATGACTGTATTAGTCCATTTTGCATTGCTATAAAGGAATACCTGAGGCTGGGTAATTTATAAAGAAAAGTGGTGTGATTGGCTCATAGTTCTGCATCATTCTGCAGGCTATACGAGAAGCATGGGTCCAGGATCTGCTCCTGGTGAGGACCTCAAAGAGCTTCTGCTCATGGAGGAAGGCGAAGGGGAGCTGGCATGTCACGGAGTGAGAGGGGAGCAAGAGAGAGGGGAGGAGATGCCAGGTTATTTTTTTTTTAACAACCAGCTCTCATGAAAACTCGCTCGTTACTCTGGTGGATGGCACCAAGCCATTCATGAGGGATCTGCCCCCGTGACCTGAACACTTCCCACCAGCCCCCACTTCCAATATCGGGGATCACAATTCAACATGAGATTTGTAGGGGACAAACACCCAAACTCTATCAGACACAAAGCTCCTTCCCTCAGGGAGATCACAGGATACTATGGAAGCACTGCTTGGACTTGAGTTTAGCTGGGGGCTCCTAGAGGAGTGACTGAGCTGGGCTTCACCAGGCATAGCAGTCCACGTAGGCATAGCAGTCCACGTATGCGTACTTGGCATCCAGGTGTCTTTGCAGTGACTCAGGGACCGTGGCTGCTTTGCCCTTGGAGGTCCCTGGTCTCATCCTGAGGGAGACAGCACTTGGGGATCTCCGCCTGCTCCTCTGGGCCTCAGCTGGAAATGACACTGACCATCCTGCTCTCCGTCCCTGGATCAGGACTCGCCACGTGGCCCCGCATCATTGCAGAGGGGCTGGGAAATGCGGGGAAGCACATGGATACTCGACCAGCAGTAAATGTGCACCACTCAGAGGGTGGAGCCAGGGGGCTTCCAGGCTGGGGGAGCTGGGACAAGAGGCAGAAGGGCATCTGGGAGCCATCAGTCCTCCGGGTGCCTTCAGGGTGATGGCAAGGAAGGCGGGGGGGCGCTGCTTGGTGGCAAGGATGAGACAGTGGGTCGGGCTGGGCTGGGCCGGGCTGGAGAGCTCTGGCTACAATGAAATGAAGGCAGCGGAGCGTATAGGACACAGAGACCTTTTGGGAGGCTGTTGCAGAGATCTACACATGGGGGATGGACTCCTGAACTGGGGCTATGGCAACACAGCAGGGGAGGAAGAGGAAGGGCCTTAAGCTATCAACAGTGGAATCCAGCTTGGGACGGGGCAATTCCCAGACTCCTCACTTGGGCGACTGTCATTCACTGAGCTTGCGATCAGGGAGACTAGGGCAGCTTTGGGGAAAGATGATGGGCTTCTTGATGGATTGCCCCAACAGGCAGCAGGATACAGCATTAGAGGGCTCAGAGAGACCTGGGCCAGAGTCATCAACCTGCTGAACACCAGGTGCCCTGGCCACCTCCCCTCACACCCTGCAAAGCACCCACCACCCTTCTGCCTCTGACCCCTGCTGGGCACTGCTCAGCAGCCAGTCCCCAAAGAACAAAGGGGAGCCTGACAGATTAAAAAGCCCCGTGTGTTATCCTGGCAACAGAAGCTCGGAAGCCAGTGATCAATTCCCAGTCTGAACATAAGTAATCCCAGGACAGGCAGGGGTGGGCCGGAGGGGGCAGACATGAAGGTGCTCGTTATGGCCAGTGGAAGGATGCTTTTAACACAGAGATGGCCAGGGCACATCACATAAATATCATGCTTTGCAATTGTGGAGGTAATTGAAACATGATTAACCCCCCTGGTCTTTGGTCGTTGGGATTTGGAATCCAATATATTATGAACACTCTGTTCTGAAACTGGCTCTGTCGGCCTCTCCTCTGCAGACAGGAGCTGTTCTCATAAGCATCATAAAAAGCTTCGTGCATTATTGAACAGTGGAGGTAGTTTTCCTGTGCCCTGAAGTCCTTTGCCATTTTCTCTGTTGCATTCTGGCATTTATTTCAAACGCTCCTTTCAAGTCAACACAGACCCACCCGTTCAGCCTCCAGGAAGGAGCCCCCTCAGCCCCAAACACAAGCCCTCGCCTCTCACTTCTGGGAAGAATCAGGTTATCTGGAGGTGAATCAGAGGCTAGCTCTTTACAAATCAAGCAGCGTCTACATTACATTCTAGCCATTTCACAGATGGGTAAACAGAAGTGCAGAGGAGTTAAGTCATTTGCCTAGTTCGCTAAGCAAAACCAAAATAGGGTGAAAATGGAAACCGAAAAACCTGTTCTGACTTAGGTAAATCATGGCCACACCCTGTGCTCTGCAGAGGGAAAACACAAGCTCTACTGGACAAGTGAGGATGAAGCTACCCCTGAATAATCCCAGTGGAAAGTGGCAGGCTTGGGAAATAGAGTCGTGCTTGCTGGAGCCTCTCTGCCTCACCGAGAGGCCTGAGTGCCTTTTATTAAACAGAGGACTATTCAACAATAAATATTTCTCACACAAGGCCGGAGAAGTTACCACACTTGGCTCCCTCCCAGCCTGGCTGAGTCAGCAGGGAATTTGCCAAGGTGCGGAAACCTTGTGTTCTGTGATTTTGGTGTGTTGATATTTTTTAAATACTGAGCTGGAAAGCCTGAGGACTGCAAAACACACACGGATGCACCAACCCCATGGGTTCTGATCCTGAGAAACATGGGTTAGGCTCCTAGGGTGCTGGGAAGCTACAGCGGGGAATGGGTGGGTGGACGGATGCTACGGGGGATTTGGGAAGGGGTCAAAAGCAATGCTGTCTCTCAAATACAAGTTTCCTTTTCTATAGAATGGTTCGAATAAGGTGTAGACCCAGGGATGCTGTGAGATTAAGATTTTCGAAGTTAAGGGGCTTTAGCAGGGAGAGCGCTGGACTCGGATTTCAATCCTTCCTGATACAGTTATGACTTATCGGCTGTGAGTCCCTGGGTAAGAGGTTTCCCCTTTCTGAGCTTATTGTTTCACTTATAAAATGGGGCATTAATATTTCCTACACGAACCTTTAAGAGATAGGTACCAGGGCCCAAAGAACTGCATGAATATAAGTGCGTTTGCACAGAGATACTTACGGCATGATTATTTTTGGTGTGTTGCTACTGCAGCACTTTGCCTGGGGCAGGTCCTGTTCAGCCTTGGGACCTTGTTTATTTGTATTAGGCTTTTTGATGAGACTGGGGAGAGCTCCTTCACTAGGACTTCACAGAAAAGAACTCGTCTGTCTTTCCCTTCACATAATTAATATTCCAAATAAGAATTACACAGCCATTTCTATTAATATTTGATTCTTTGCCTCTTCAACTATCGGCTTAGTTTTCTGACTGAGATGAAAGAAGAAATAATTGTTTTTACAGCCACTCCTACTGAGGAGGCAGCTGTAGACCCTGATCGCAGCCAGGGAAGTAACAACTTTGTTTGGCCTGAGGACAAGAGGTGGGATGACGGTGTTAGCCTCAGTGGTTCCTGTGGGGAGAGAGAAGCCCCCCTCGGCTGCTTTTGAGGCAGATCCTGAAGGAATCGGCTTCTGAGTTCTGAGTGCCTTGGAGGCATGGGGAAGGCCTGCTGGAAGGCTGGTTCAGATGTGCTCCCTGCTGGGAAGAGATTGGTGCTCCACTCCCAGGACTTATAGAAGCCCAGCCTGGGGGAGGCAGATAATTAGCAGATGGGGCCAGAGGGTGACTTTCAGCTTCGACTCCAACACAGCCCCTGTTGGGCACCTGCAGGAGGCAGACAAGTACCTGGCTCGGAGGACGACTGGGCACGGCCTCCTCATCTTGGTAAAGACAATGGGGCTTCCCACTCTGGAAGGACAGAAGCCAGCCCTACACATGGTGCAGTGCCTGGGGGCCTCTGTGGTCCAGGAGATGTCCTTCTCCACTCCTTCACTTCTCAGAGGCTGGGCTCCTGCCTCCTGGAAAATTGCCACCACCCGGGGCCCAACCAGAGGCCAGATATCCCCAGAGGCATGGGGATAGTGAGGGGGTAGCCCCTGATCAGAGTCTCCACCTGGACTGAATTCTTAGAATTTTATGTTGCCCCAGCATCCATTTTGAATATAAATTTAACTTTCTCAGACCAGAGGTAGAGCTTGGACCCACCTGACAGTTTCCACTTCTCTGGCTCCTCCCAGTTCCTCAATGTGTTTGATCCAGACCTCTGCCTTATACCAGGCCTCCTGGTGACCATGTCCCCCACCACCTATGGGACAGCTGGGTACAGCCTACTCGATTCACCCCACTGACGTCCAGACTGCATGGACTGAGCAGATATGCCGCAGCGACCCCCTCTCTACCACAGCAACCCCATGGAACGTGTGCCTGCTTGCTCTAAACCCACCAGCTATAACTCCCATGGGAAACCTGCTTAGATAAGGCCCTGGACCCCAGTAAAGGTTCTGGCCCATGGGTCCCCCCGGCCCTGCTCCCGACGTGCTGGTGGAGCCTGTGTGCCCCAGACAGCTCCCTGCTGCCCGCTGGCCCTGAGGCATGCTGCCCTCTTCTCTCTGGGACCTGTAAGTAATAACACCTGGTTCTGTTATTTCATGTGTTTTGCTGAGTTACCTCCTCTGTGTCTCACTTGACTGACACACCCAAATCTACCTTCCCTTTTGCTCAGTGCTGTCCTAGAGAGTGGCTGTCCTGGTAGGAATAAACTGGACACAAGTCAGGCAAGAGTCACAAGGGCATCTGCCAGCACAAAGGACAGGGACACCTGGTCATGGGTCAGACACTTAGGCCTCAATCAAGCCGTTCCCCAGGGCAAAGAAGCATCCCATGAAAGGTACACAACCACCTCCCCTGCAGCGCTGTCAGGGCAGGGCTAGAGCTTATAGCTGCTCTCCTAGGAGAGACCTGAAGGCCACATTAGGGGACAATATAACACCAGCCTTGGAGCCTTTGCAAACTCTGTTCCAAAGCGAGAAGTCATTGTGATGCCATGTTTAGAGGCAGGTGGCCCCAGGCAGCAGGGACACCATCAAAGGTGGTGTCCACCATCAAAGGTGGTGTCCACTGTGAGTTGTGCCCCATCTGTAGGCCCTGCTCCACCTCTGTTTTGTCCTAGTCTCAGCTCCATCACCCCTCTACCCCCTCCCGTGATAGAGCCTGGCCTGGCTTGGGAATAAAAGGAGAAAACAGGAAATAGCAAACCGCCCCAAGGATTGTAATTGTGACACTGTCATCTGAAAATGTTTGCAGTCCTTGTTGGCATATGCTGCTGGAGCAAAAACATGCAAATCTGGAGCAAGGTGACAGGTGGCCCTTAGGATCCTGGAGGAGACCCCTGGGTTCCAGTTTGGTTCTAGTCTGCTGGGGTGGGATTCTCAGACAGCATCTGGCCCATTTCTGGGTTGGATGGTACTCTGAACAGGGCACTGATTCAAGGGCCAATGAGTCCCATCCCAACTCCTGCAAAGCTGTGTGCATTTTGCCAACTGCATGAGCTTGTAGACGGGGCAGTGTCCTCTCAGTCCTACTCAAACCCTTGCAGGCTCAGCTTAGCTGGAGCACCTGGAAGCCATTGGTGCAGAGCCACAGACTCAGCCGCTGGTGTTTATCACCCCAGAGGTTGCAAAGTGATGGCCTGTGGGACTCTCCTGCAATCTGATGGCATTGGTTCTCACTGTGTTGTACAATTATTTTTTCTGATTTAGTTGCCCATCCAAGATTTATTTTTTAAATTGGGCTATTTCACAATAATGTTCAAATTTCAGACTCCCGTCCTCCATCCAGCGGGAGCTGAGACATAGCTGCTTCCTTGGATGGGCTGGTGTGCTCCACCGTGCTGAAGACCCGTTCCCTGTTGGCCACCTCAGGTCCTCTCATTCATTTCCCAGCCCCCCTCGCCTGGGTAGGTCAGGACTGCCCAACCATGCTCTACACTATCTAAGAGAAGCCAGAACAGGGCAGGTGGCAGGCTGCGGTGTCTTTGCCTGAGCTAACAGGCATGCCCTAGTATAGTGCCGGGCACAAGGTCACTGTGGGATGAGCATTCTCTTGCCCTGTCCCTTGCAGTGAGGTCAGAAGAACACTCACTGCCCCTAGACCCTGTGCTCTTTGAGGGGGATCAGCTTCTACTCCCATCCTTCCCCTGTGGCTTCAGCACAGCCAGTAGTTTGCTGTATCCTTGCTCAGCCCCTGTCCTTGGAGACTGGGGTGGGCTGGAGACCTGGACTCAGAGAGGCCAAGAGGCCAGGAGGGCTGGCTTCACCAGGGACCAGAAGGCCCAAAGCCCAACTCTGGATGGAGGGACCAGCTGTGAAGCTGGCCTCCCTCAGGGTTTCAGGGATGTGGCCCACAGGTGTAGGCCCCTGAGCTGTGTCTGGGCTCAGAACACGACACCTCAACCTCCTCAAATGCTCAGGACATAAGAGGCTTAGCAGACAACAAAGTAGTACCCTCTTAGACCTGGGGATGGCGGGAGGGGCAGGGTTTTCACTGGATGCTGGAACCAGGGTATGGAGGGCCCTTGGGCCCTTTCCCAGAGCAAGCTTGGGGCAGAGGGTGGGGAGCATGAACAGTGCTTCCAGGTCTTGAGTCTTAAGGGCAGGGGGATTGCAAGTGGGACCCAGAGAAGAAGGTCCAGTCCTGAGGTGGGAGGAGGGGCCTCAGAGGCCATCTCTGAGCCCAAGCTTCCCTTGCCGGAGTAGTTTCTCCCTGGCTGCTTCTGGTGCTCTCTCCATCCTCTGGCCCCTCTCCCACCTGCATTCCTCTTCCCCCTGCACACATGCAGTGTGCCCAGACAGGGCTCACCCAGACCACAGGGGATCCTAGGCGATGCAAACATCTAGCACTAAAGACAGCACGGCCACAGACTAAGAAGGGCATTTTGTTATCAGCTTTCTTAAAATCAGAAAGATAAAAATAAAACTGATGCATGTTCTTAAAAACTGATCCCTGTGAGAAAGCCTGCTGGACCCTGGGCCCTAAACTCTGGCACTCACTCATATTCCTGTTAACAAGGAAAAAGGACTCATTAGTACCTAGCTGGAGTTGAGTAACCTTTGTTTTCTTTTCATTGTATTTACTTTGTGATTTTTTTTATGGTAAATGATGGTGGTTTTTCCTTTGTGATGAAGACAAAAATTGTCATTTAAAATGCATTTTTAAAACCCTTTTTTAATGAATGTTTCCAAATATAGACCAGAAATAGGGATGAATGCCAGCATGCCACCAGCCAGCCTCAATGACCTTGGCTGGTCTCATTTTTTGACACCCCCAGCTCATCCCACAGCCCATTATTGAAGCAACTCCCAGCCACCATAGAACTCCACCTGTGTATATTTCAGTGTCAACTGCTTCTGTGTGACTATATCAAAAGAACATGGTGAGTCAGTCATTGCACAGGGAGTCCCTGTGTAAAGCAAATCCCTGAGCATGGCCTGGAGTGATGTGGCTGGGAACACTTGCCTGGGCTGGCTTCTCACTGAGTGCACAAGAACTTGCACCTGATGGGGGGCAGCCACCTGCCCCAGCCCTGACGTGCACATGGCACCTGGTTCTTCCCTGTCTGTAGCCTTTCAGACCGTGGGCCTCCCAAGGGTGGGTGGGAGTCCTGGAGGCTCATGTGTGATGTCCCTGGAGCCTGCTCAGAAAATATTTCCTGAAGAAGTGGGACAAGCTAGCTGGTTGGAACTCCTAACACAAAGGGTGAGGTAGGCCGAATTTTAAATGACCCCTGGGATGGTTAATTTTTGTGTCAACTTGGCTGGGCCATGGGGTGCCCAGATATCTGGTCAAACATTTTTTTCTGGGCCTGTCTGTTGGGGTATGTATTAGTCCATTCTCACGCTGCTAATAAAGACATTACCAGAGACTGGGTAATCTAAAAAGAAAAAAGGTTTAATGGACTCACAGTTCAGCATGGCTGGGGAGGCCTCAGGAAACTTACAATCATGGTGGAAGGGGAAGCAAACATGCCCTTCTTCACATGGTGACAAAAAGGAGAAATGCTGAGTGAAGGTTGGGGAAAGCCCCTTATAAAACCATCAGATTTCATGAGAACTCACTCACTATCATGAGAACAGTACCAGGGTAACGGCCCCTGTGATTCAATCACCTCCCACCAGGTTCCTCCCAGAACACATGGGGATTATGGGAACTACAATTCAAGATGAGATTTGTGTAGGGACACAGCCAAACCACATCAGAGTGTTTTGGGATGAAATTAATATTTGCATTGGTAGACGGAGCAAAGCAGACTGCCCTCCCCAGGGAGGGCGGGTCTCCTCTAATTCAATAAGGGCCTTAATAGAACATAGGGCTGAGTAAGAAAGAGTCCTCTCTCTCTCTGCCCCACTGTCTTTCACCTGGGATGCCGGCCCCCTCCTGCCTTCAGAGTCGGACTCAGGCAGAGACTTGTGGGCCAGGACTCCTTAGCTTTTATGATCATGTGAGCCAGTTTCTTATAGTGCACAAATACCTACATGTGTGCATTTACACATACATCCTTATTGGTTCTGTTTCTCTGGAGAATTGTGACCTTTTCCCCCATCACCTTTACCTGTGCCCTGGTGTCATGCTCGTGAATATGTTGGGTTACGTAAGAAACGAGACTCTACAAATGTAATTAAGGTTACTAATCAGTTGACTTTAGCAGAGGGGGTTATTTTCGAATTATCCTCGGTGGGCTTAATGGAATCACATGAGCCCTTAAAAGCTGGCAGAAAAGGAGGGCAGAGGGGTTTGAAGAGTGAGAAAGACTTGAAATGCTGTTGCTGTTTGGAAGGTGGAGAGGGCCACATAGAAGGAATGGGGGTGGCCTCTAAGCATAGAGAGTGCACCTATGTTGGCACCCAGCAAGGAAATGGGGACCTTAGTTTTATCAGCAGCTAAGACTTGGATCCCTCCCCAGGACCGGTAGGTTTGAGCCTAGCCTGACCGACACCTTCCCTTCATTCTTGTGAGACCCAGAGCAGAGACTCCACCAGAATTCTGGTCTACAGGCTGTGAGATTAAAAAAAAAAAGGATGTTGCTTTAAGTCATGAAGTTCTGGTAATTTCTTACTCAGCAACAGAAGGTCGATTCAGAGAGGGAGGAAATCCCTTTCTGTTCACTTCTCACAATGAGTGATACCGATTTTGGGTGACCCTTGACAGGGGACAGTCCCAGAAGAGAATCCTCTTCCACATTTCATGTCACGGGGAGGGATGTGAGGCTCAGAGGGGGTCACAGCAAAGGAGGAGTGGAGCTGAGGTCAGAGCTGGAGTCTGGGTGCTTGCAGCCCATGTCCCAAGTGCTCAGGTGAGCCTAGCACGGGTCTGGTGGGGGTGGGGCACACCCCTGAACAGGTGCTCACACCACTCCCCGCCCCCAGCTCTCACCCACACCCACAGCCATACCCACAGCAGGCTTCAATTTTGTCTAAGCAACTCCTAAGAGCCAACCCCCATCTAAGAGCAGGGAGTCCCTGGAAGCAGACACCAGTGTTCTGTGGTGGCATTGTCACAGGACTCATCTTTTCAGAACCACTCTGTCTATTGCCCCTGAGCCACTTTGGGAAGCCATGTGGATGGAGCTGATGGGTGTCCAGGAGCCAGGGAGGGAGACGGGCCCAGGGAAGAGGCAGGACCACAGCTGCACAGCCTGGCAATGTGGACTCGGACCTGGCTAACCTTGTTGGTGCAGGGGAGGCGCTAAGGATGGGCATCAAAGGTGTTTAGTCATGGGGCTGACAGGATCAGATCTGTGTTTTGGGAAGACCCAGGCTGTGTAAGTAGAAAGAACCAGT
The DNA here is from genome assembly GCF_000001405.40 of Homo sapiens. Classification (NCBI taxonomy): domain Eukaryota; kingdom Metazoa; phylum Chordata; class Mammalia; order Primates; family Hominidae; genus Homo; species Homo sapiens. The sequence continues at coordinate 124,099,171 of NC_000010.11, read as the reverse complement.
TAGCAGATGTCGGGAGAGGAGGCAGGGAAAGTAGCAGGAAGAGGCTATTGTGACAGCACCGAGGGATACACGAGACCGGTCCAAACCAGCAGCTCTCAAAGGTCAATGCGCGCTGAGGGAGCTTGTTAAATCCACAGGTGCCCAGGTGCCACCCCAGACACTCTGATTCAGATGACTGGCCCCACCCCACTGTAATAGAATCTCTGGTACTGGGGCCTAGGCATCTGCATTTTGAAAACTGTCCGGGTACTTCCAAGATGAGCCAGGCTTGGGAAGAGGACGGTGGCTCACTGAACTGGGGTAAAGGAGCAGCAGTAAAGATGTCATGGAGACTTCTCCCACAGGCGCCACCTGAGAAGGTGCACAGTGGACACTCACAGAGCCCGGGGTGGTGGGGGTGAAGCAGGTCTGGGTTGGAGCTGGCAGCAAAGCTGGGCTAGGGAGGAGTGCCCGTCGTGATGCACTGCTCGCCGCGTCTGCCTGTGGGTGTTCATTTCTATTATCCTCCTAAGCACCGCTTTGTAACATTTCACTGCATTAAATGCTCAACCAGGAAGATGAAATTTATTTAGAAGGCTGAGGTATTTCACATCTAGGGCAGGCGACGCTGCTCTAAATTTACCAAGTCAACAGCTCATTTTTGCTGTTGAATGGGTTGTAGATCTTATGACAGAAGCAAGTAAGTGAGAACGCTACCAGCTGTAAACTTTATCTTATTGGCGAAATGTCTATTATGCAGCTAAAAACATCTACTTAATAGGTGCTGTCCTTCAACAGTTGGTAGCAACAGAGTCTTACGTGGTGATAACAATGACATTATGTCTCTTTTATCACCTGTAGGTTCTTTGTATTGTCAATTACTGGCTGCGTATTCCTTCCGGCCTCAGAGGCTGTAGGATAAACAGGTTGCACCATTATGATGATGTGGTCATCCCTGGAGGCACTGGGGGTCTGCATCTGATTTTCCTTCGGAGGCTTCTGCCTGTATTTTAGGATCCCCAGTCTTCATCAGGACATAGTGAAAATCATATGAAGCTAACGAAGTCTGACGGATGAGTAAGTGCTAATCAAGCCAGGTGATTCCAACTGGGTCATTCGTAAACATTTACAGGCTCTGAGCTAGGGGAGGGGCATGCAGAGACATACAGGACTCCGTTCCTCTGGAATAGAGTTCTGAAATCTTAAAGCTGCAGCAGCACTTTTGGAACAAGCGAACCGCCCCTCAGGGGGACCCTGTAAGAGCAGACGGCGCTCGTGAATATACAAGTCTGGACATTGGTTTAAAACAAGCCCCATTCCTTTTTTCACTGAAGGTTTGATGCAGAGCCGAAGTCTGCTGTTCTAAGGAACCACTAGTTGTTATTGTCCTAAATCCGGTAGAGGTTTTGGATGGGGTGTAGGAAATTTTCACAAGAACCCAAATTTCACGTGGATTTGTGATGGATTAGCATACCAAAATGGGCTTAAAGTGCACTTAATGGATGCATTACTGCAGAAGGGAGCCGCCTAACCAGAGCATTGCTAAATTTATGAAATTGAAATGCACTTCAGGTTATTGAGCAGTCTAAATTTGTCAAAGTCACAGAGTGGGAGGCAGGTCGTTACTGGTGGCAGAGGTGGCAGAAATCTGAAGCCAAGGCTGCCAAAATGAATTTGAAGTCCTCCGCAATGACCCCAAGGGCTCCCTCACACCCAGGTGCAGCCCTTTTCAGTGGCAGGAGCAGGACCTGGGGCTCCTGAGCCTCAGTGTTTACTGAGCCCCTCCTAGCATGCAGGAGGCAGAGAGTGACAAGGTGTGTCCGTTCTTTGCCCTGCCCCACAGCGCTTCCCTAATGGGTCTGCCCACTATGAATTTGAATTCATGGGCACTGGTGCACACTCATGGAATAGGCATGGCCTTTTGTCTTTGAGTGTTTGGTTTGTAAGCCTCAGTCTCCCGGCCTGAAAAATAGGGATAAGTAATACTGGCCTCATAGGCATGGGAAAGTGCTTAGCACAGTGCTTGTCACAAGGTGGGACTTTGAAGGTCCCTTTCTTCAGGAGGGGGCTGAGTCTTAGTGACCTTAGTGGTTCCCACATTCAGCCCTGTGAGTGGCACACAGCAGGTGTTCAGAGAGTGTCTGCTGAATGAATGAATGAATGAGTGAGTGAGTGAATGTGATTTTAAGGATTGTGGCAAGTCCCTGACATTCCAGGTTGCTGGTGTCCTTGTAGCATCTCTTACAGAATCTTTATTCAAGTTATACTTATTCATGGATTCAACCTCATTACGTAATTGCATGTTAACAAACATTCAATTATGTGACTATCATGGGTAAAACTACTTGCAATAATAATGATTACTAATAAGAACTACTATTTTCAACTCTTACTGTGTCCTAGGAATTGTGCTGAGTATTTTTAAAATACTTTGTCTTCAGTCTTGACACTAGCCCACTGAGGCCATGTATCAGCCAGCTACAGCCACAACAATGCTGTGTAACAAAACACTTTGCAACATTCAGTGGCTTGCAACAATAAGCATTTTCCCTGCCTTGCTCATGTTCTGTAGGTTGCCTAAAGCAGCTCTGAGTCCTGCTGTATGTGGAGTGACATGGCTCCAGACAGCGAATCAAGTTCAGGTTTCTTCCTTGTGTGTTCATTCTGAAGCCTCTCTGGAAGAGGCAGCAACATGTTCGTCTCATGGTGGACCACCAGAGCAGAGGAAAGCAGGTCTGGCCCTGCAAGCACATTCCAAGCCTCTGATCCAGTTATATTCCCCATTATCTCATTGTCTAAAGCAAGTCCAAAGTCAAGGAATGGGGAAGTACAGTCCCTGCACTGGAAGGCTGTGACAAGGATGCAGACGTGTGATAACCACCACGGGAGAGTGAGGAGTTGGGATCAACAGCTCAATTGACTGCTCGTAGGTGCTACCAGAAGCCTCAAACTGAGGCATGGAAAGAAGTGACTTGCCCAGGGTTGCTCAGCTAGTGGGTGGCAGAAGTAGAATTTGAACCCAGGCAATTTAAATCCACAGTTGTGGGGGCCTAGAGTGCACACACGGGAAGCGGGGATTTATTTTCTGAAAGTATCTGCATTTTTTTTTCTTTTTTCTTTTTTTGAGAGGGTGTCTCACTCTGTCACCCAGGCTGGGGTGCAGTGGTGTGATCTCGGCTCACGGCAACCTCTGCCTCCCGGGAATCTACGGGCTTGCGCCACCACGCCTAGCTAATTTTTGTATTTTTAGTGGAGACGGGGTTTCACCATGTTGGCCAGGCTTGTCTCGAACTCCTGACCTTAAGTGATCCACCCGCCTCGGCCTCCCAAAGTGTTGTGATTACAGGCGTGAGCTACCGTGCTTGGCCGGTATCTGCATTTTTTTCAGCCGTGACTTGCTAATACCATGTTGGTATCAACCTCTCTTGCAGTTACACATTTATTTGTCTATCCTTCCACCCATCCACAGGGACCTGGCATTTGGGTGTTCTTTCAATTCTCTGCAGTAACAGGCTCAAGTGCAATTCTTGGGTAATTTTTTGAAATTAAGGTTGAAAGGAAAAAAATCACCTTCTAGTTAATCTCAGGCACGTGTATAAATACCTTTGGAAAGTCCCTGGTGGAATTCATATCAAAGCGGCACCGTGATTTTTACTTAAAAACAATTTTGCTCCATGTCAACCGTGGTTTCTGACACCTGAATTTGAAAGTGATCTGGGTGGGCCCAGCGCCATCTCCATAACGGAGTTATGTGTTTACTTGGAGGGAGGAGAGGAAAGGCATTATTCCCTGGCAGTATGTGTGGCCCTGGAATAATGTTCCACACACCCTTACAGAAGGGGATTTCCTCCTTGCTGTTTCCACAGACCCTTCCCTGTGTTTGTTTAAACCCGTTGCACACTGGTCTGACAGCTGCCTGGCCCAGGGCCTTCCTTGCAGACGCATGTACAACCAACCCTCTTTAACAGCAACCTGCTCTGTGTCCCCTGATGCAATTACTCGAGTATATAAACCTCACTGAAAGGCAGGCTTTTCTTGGGAGCTAATAAATAAGCCCCAAAGCCACAACGTGTGTGAGACCTTGAAAAATGGCATCATCATCTATTGGGAATTGTGAACCCTGCAAAAAGCAGCTCGTTGTATTTTCAGAAATAGGTTTTTGTTTAAAAAAAAAATAAAGAACAAAAATCACTAAGTGGAGTCTATATGGAAAAAGCAATCTAGTCTGAGATTCTAAGGCAAGTCTCTTTGCTGCATTCATCTTTCTTCGCAGATTTTATGTAAGAGGCATTATTTGCAGGAAAACAAGACAGGATTTTAAAGAACTCCCCTCTCATCCCGGTTTCCCATCTGCAGTTATAATCCTCTGATGGTGACCTCTGCATTAGTTGCCATGGGTGCTGAGCAGAAGTTTATGACCTCAGGGTGGACTGTAGCTTCAGGGGGGCGAGATGAAGCCTCCGGCAATAAAGAGATAATGGGGAGAAGCCACTGTCAGGAATGACCCTTCGGTGGCATGTAGTCTACAGTTAACGGAGCACTTTCATTTCCACTTCTGGTTGCTTCGAGGAAGAGGGTGCTGGACTCTGGCCACGGGGACACAGGCCGGCAAGAGACTGCAGATTCTTTTTGTCCCTTGGACCTCAGTTTCCTGAGAGGCTGGGCTTGGTGCTCCAAGCGCCCTCTGAGCGAATCTGCCAGAATTTCATGTGTCTTTTCTTTAACTGATGGCATCTTCAGCCCAGAGTCAGTGGAGTCGGCCACTGGTGCCGCTTTCTTGCCCTCGGGCTGTCCAGGTGGTTCCCTGGGGCAGCCGACTCCAGGCCACTGCGGCAGGCCGTGGCGATCGGGGTCCTGCAGAGCTTTACCTCCCCCGCGGAAGCAAAACACGCCGGGCCAAAGAGCCGGGCCAGCCTTCCCGGGATGCAAAAATACAACAGAGGGCGCCGAACTCACCAGCGCTGTGGCCTTGAATATTAATGTACGGGCTGGCTCCAGACCGCCAAGTTCCTTAAAGATGTCTCTGGCGGCCGGGCGCGGTGGCTTACGCCTGTAATCCCAGCACTTTGGGTTGGGGGGGCGGACGGATCATCTGAGGTCGGGAGTTCGAGACCAGCCTGACCAACATGGAGAAACCCCGTCTGTACTAAAAATATAAAATTAGCCTATTTTGCGTGGTGGCGCATGCCTGTAATCCCGGCTACTCGGGAGGCTGAGGCAGGAGACTCTCTTGAACCCGGGAGGCTGAGGCAGGAGACTCTCTTGAACCCGGGAGGCGGAAGTTGCAGTGAGCCGAGATCGCGCCATTGCATTCCAGCCTGGGCAACAAGAGCGAAACTCTGTCTTTAAAAAAAAGAAGTATCTGGCAAGGTGTCACTGCCAGATTTCAGGGGTTTCGATGTGCTTTTATTTGGAATCACCGCAACACACAAGCAGTGTTGACTCGGAGGGGGAGGGGGCAGGGGCCAAACCCACCGCTCGGCGCACACGCCTTGATCTCACATTCCAGACTGGAGCTGATGTGTGTCAGCGCGACATGGGGCGGGGGGAGGGTTCTCCTCGGATGTTTCATTCGCCGTCTGCACGTCACTCCCAAACTTTTCCTCCCAGCGCTCGGGGAGTCAGGTTGACGCGCCCTGGATGCGGGGCTAGAGGCTCGGGGCTGGGCGCGCTCCCGCGGAGCCGGAGCCGCAGAGGCTCCCGGGCTGGACTCAGGCTTCTCAGGTACAAGTTAGGTGCCAGACGCCGAGGTGGGGTCGGCGAGGAGCGGCGGTAGGAGGTCTGGCCCTGGGCTCGGGGCTCCGGCGCCCCTCCGCGGGTTCGGGCCAGGCAGCGCCGGCGGCGGCCGGGGCTGGGCGTAGGGAGTCCGGGCCGGCGGAGGCGGCGCGCAGCCTCACTCCCCGCGGCGCTCCCGGCGCGGTGGTGGCGGTGGCGGTGGCGGCGGCGGCCCAGGCAGACAATGAACTTGCGAGCTCGACGAGCCGAGGCAGGTTTGGGCCCCGGGCTCCTTGGCCCGGCCTCCCCGAGGCTTCAGCGATCCCCAGCGGGAGGAGTCCCTTCGCCATTGGTCCTGGCCGCGCTCCGGGCGCCCTGCGCGCTTGAGGACCCCGCGGGAAGGGTTACCCAGCGGCGACACACGCCCCCTCCCTCGCAGAGAGGACGCGGCCGGAGCGAGGGGACAGGGGACCGAGCAGTGGCGTGGTGGCGCCGTGGATAGCCGGAGGCCGGCGGGGGGCGCAAGCCGCGTGGAACGCACCGGCGGGCTGTCCGGGAGAAGGAGCCCAGTAGTCGGAATCGGGGCGCCCCTGCACCGCCCAGCTCTGGGAGCCGCAGGCGGGGGACCGACCGACGGACAGACCAGTGCTTTCACGGTGTGAGCGCGCGTCGTTTGGCGGTAGGGGACGGGGATTCCCCCCAGCCTTGCGCTCCGCCCCCACACCCCTATCGCACTTTGGGGAAGTTTCCAGGCGCGGCCCGGGGCAGGTAAGTGGGCATCCGCCACTCTCTCCCCGGTTGCGAGCTCGGATGCGCTTCCAGAACCCTGGCTCTAGCCTTGCGGCGGTTCCGGGCGGGGAGGCCAGAGCTCTCCCGCGCCTAAGCCCGTGGGACCCGGTTCAGGGAAGGGGGATGGCGGGGGCGGGCCTGGGAAGAGATAGGGGAGCGGCTGAGCCCCGAGCGGTGTGAACTTTTGCTCCCCGCCCCCTCCTCCTTCCTCCTCCCCGCCCCGCCCCCACTGCTGTCCCCTCCCTGCGCCCCGCCGCGTCTCGGGAGGCGGCGTGACTCGGGAGTTGCCGGCGCTTCCCGGCGGTGGCGGCGTCTCTGGCCGGCCTTGGTGCGGCGAGCCGAGCGAGGCAGCTCTGAGCCGCGCGGTGAGGCCAGAGGCGGGGAGCCGGGGCTGCGGGGCGGCGAAGCTGGGGAGCCGGATGGCAGCGGCCGGGGCGCGGAGGCGACGCTGGCGGTGGAGATGTAATGCGAGTCTGTTGGGTTGTGTGTGCCGGGAGATAGGACGCGGTGGCTGTGGGTGGCTGGGTGGCGGGCTGTGGCGCAATTGGCCCCCTGGGATGGCAGGATAGAGGCGCCGGGGCGAAGGGAACCTTGCCTTTGGGAAAATGAATGAAGAGCCGTGGAAGCACCTTCCCGACTCCTCCAGGCAACCGATGGGCCGGCGTGCGCGCGAGTGTGTGCGTGTTGAGGCTTCGGAGCCGCCCGGGTCCTGGGCACAGCTGCTTGACCTCCCCGTCGCTGTCCGGGTGCCCACGTTCCCGCCCGCCCTGCGCCCGGGGCCGGCCGGCGCGGCTGGGACGGCGGGTATAGAGGAGGAAGGCTGGGGCTGGGTTGCCGGCTGCTGGCGGCTGGAGGTCCGCGCCCAGTGTAGGGAAGTCTTCGAAGGAGGCTGCCAGGCTGGAGGCTGGGACCAGCTCCTGGGGGCGGGGGCCCTTCTTCGTCTGCCTGCGTGCGCGGAGCCGCTGTGACAGCTGGGCGCCTTCGCCTTGTTCACGTTGGTTAAGTTAATTGTACCGAGTTCTCGGGAATGAAGTGTGGCTCCGGGATGCCCCGCAGAGGGATGTGACAAGCCGGTCAGTGAGGCTGAGCAAAGGGGCTAACCTTGCCTCTGGGCGCCCTAGCAGTGCCCCCAGCCCCTCTTTATCAGCTGCAATTCCTGAGTGTTGTGGGATGCCTCGGTGGGTTAGGGTAGCCACCCAGCGTTGGGGCAGAAAGGCCTCGGAGGGCATCTGCACCCCCGAGGGGCCCTGAAGTAAACTGAGGCCTAGAGATTTGCCCAGCGTTTCTCCTGGACCCTCCTTGGACCTTCCTGGACCATTATCCATCCCCCGCTTTCCTGCTTCTCCTCCCAGGACCGGCAACCTTGCAAAATCAGGAACCCTCCCTTCCAGAACATGGCACTTACTAATTTTACAAACTGAATGTTGAACTAGGATCTCTTGATTGATACATAAAGACATACATAGATCATATATGATTTTATTCAAAGTAGTATAGGAATAAAAATGCCTTCTAAGTAGGTAGGTTTTTGCAAACAAGTTTTTCTCCCCCAAGTTCCTGAGAAACTGTCAGAAGATTTTCTTTCTTGCCACCTCCTAGATGGGCACACAGAGCTGGTGAGGTAAAGTGGCTTGTTATGGCCTTCCTGTGGGCACATAGGTGAGCTGGAGGTGGAGCTGCAGGTCTGGGCTTCCCTCCAAAGTCCAGCTCCGGAGGAGAGCCAGCTCAGGAGCCCTCTGCAGAAGTCCAACCCTGTCTTTGCGGCTCTCTCCTCTGGGCTTTGGATGATTGCAGTGAGCTGGCTTGTAGGTGAAGCATGCAGGGGTAATTCATCCAGGATATTGTCCAGGGGGGTGGCAGGCAGGTCGGCCCACAGTGGTCACATGTGTGCCTTGCTTTTCTTGGATGATCAAAGCTCGCCATGTCTGAGCCACTGTCCTGGCCAGGGACCCAGCACGGTCACCGTGGCTGCTGTGAGGGCTGCAGTTTCCTTCCACACCTTTGTCATCCCTGGTTGCTGCTGCCCCTGGCCAGGAAAAGTGAGATATCAGAAACATTTGATTTTTCACATGCCTGGAAGAGAGAAGATTAATTCCTGCATCAAGAAGAAGTGTTTGGGGAAAGGTTGGTAACGTGGGAAGCGGATTCTACTTATTTGGCGTCTTGAGAAACAGCAGACAAGAAATTCCAAGTTAACTAGCTGGGCCCCAGGAGTCTGCAGTAGGGGAAGCTGTAGATTAGTGCTGGACTGTGGTAGTCCAAGCCATTTCGAGTTCGGCTGGAAGGTCCCCTGCTAGTGGAGGGGGCTGGGGAGAAGAGGGAGACCCCAGGGCTGTCCTGAACAGGTGAGCACATGCCCATCTACAGGGGACAGACTAGACTCAGCTCCAGCCAGTTGGGGGGAAAACAGTGTCAACAGGTCTTGTGAATTTTCGAGAGGATTCTCCAGCCTGGGTATTTAAATGTGGGCTCAAATTCTAGAAGTATGGTAGAGGGTTAGGGGTGAGTGCCCTTCCAGGAGGTCTGAAGCTTGCCATCTGGCCCGGTGCTTATCTATTGGGAAGGGTGTCACTGCATCAGAGAGCAGGGCACAGGAGCCACACCCATTGTGGGCCCAGGGACTAAGAACTGATGGCTGCCCATCATGCCTGCGGCCAGGTCCCTAGGCTGGAGGTGAGGCGGGCAGAGCTCCTTCATGTACTCGTGTGCCATGTGTTCATTCAGCAGCTGTTGAATGAATTGCCATGATGTAGAAAGTCATCTGCATGAACCTTTTCATATAATTCCTTTCACCAAATAGATCCTACAGCTGAGCCTCTGGGATGATTTGGCGGGGCTAGGACAGACAGGGTCCCAGCCCTCATGGGATGGGGACAAGCGGAATTGGCTGTGTAGACAGACAAATGGTCCAGAAGCTGCCATAAGAGCCCAGAAGGGTGGTGATGCAAAGCAAGGCTTGGGAGCAGGGGTCAGGGAGTGGAGGGTGGACTCGGGGGAGTGTGAGGAGTCTCCTTTTCAGGTGTGGACATTGAATTTCAGAGCAGTGGGTGGGAGGCACCCACCCCCTGAACAGGGGATGCTCAGGTATGATATTAAGTTGGGAGTGACTTGCCCAAGGTCACATAGCCAGTAAGTGGAAAGTCAGGGGGTCTCTGATCTCCAGCTCTTGGCCAGCTCCTTCATCTCCACTGTACTGGGCTGAGGCCTCTTAGAAACTCCCAGAGGTGTGGACACTCCCTGTAATTGGCAGCTGTCATTTTTCCCATCTACACGTTCAGGCCCTGTCCCCGTTCCTAGGGCCTCAGCAGGCCCAGGATTGCAGAGATGCCATTTGGAGCATATTTGTATGAAAGAAGAGTCGTCTAAATTCTAAAAGCAGAGACTGTTTTTAAAAGTGGTAGCTGACTTGGGAGTGTCATTGATCTGAGCAATCAGCCAGCGGACTTCTCTTTAGCAGCTTGTGATTTGGAAGTGACTCAGTCACTGGTGAGAATCACGCAGCCTCCCTCCCCTTCTGGTCTGTAAAGGGGATGCTCAGGTATGAGATTAAGTTACTTCAAAGGGTCACTCTGTTCCAGTGCTGTGAATGAGGAGATCATGTTTGCACTTAGCTGGCTAAGTGTTGGGAGGCTGAGTGTTTCCACTGCTCAAGGCATTTCTTCATTGGCCTGCAGTATGAGGGTCTGATTTCTTTACTGAGATAGTTTCTCCTTTCAAATAAAGCACTGGGACAAAATGATTTATGTGTAGACCTGTGTCTCCACAGCAGGAGATGGACCATAAATGGAACAGTTATCTAATTAGTGTGTCCAGTCTAGGTGTCTAGTTAGGAGTGTCCAGGAAGAAGGAGAAAGGTTTTGTGTCCATTTGGGCCAACATAGATTTTTTAAATTGTAACTATGGGAGTTGGGGAGGAAGACAGTTCATCGCAAGACCTATCACGTGCTGCGTCCCTATAGGTTTGAAGCTGGCCCTCTGCTAGACAGGTCACACAGGTATATCCCTTTGTGTCCTTTAAAGGGCTGGGAAGCTGTTGGAGATGACACACACCAAGCTCTCAGCCATCCGGATGTGCAGGAGGAGGGATTGGGAATGACGGTAGAGGCAGGAGGGAAATAAGGGGGTGAGGGGAGAAGAACAACTGTGGCTCCAGAAGGAGGAGGCGGCGTGAATCAGCAAGTGGTTAAGTTGTGGGGAGGTGGCAAGTGGGAAGCAGTTTCTCATCTTCGCTGATTTCCAAAGGGATGGAGAGGAAAGGAGGCTGTCTGCAGCAGGACCTGCAGCGTTTCTGCCCTGCAACCCTGGGCCAGGTGCATGGGGGCAGAGAGCCAGCGCTCAGCACAGAGCACAGCACTCAGATCAGTGGGCGAGGCGGAGCTCGTGCAAGTCAGAGTTATGTAACGCCGTTGACAGGCACCTTATGGGGCTTGGCAAAGTGCAGCAGGAGCCCGGGGTAGCGACTTTGAGATTGGAGTGTTCCGGGAAGACTTCGCCCCCTGGCTTGAGGGCGGGTGTCTTTTCAGAGTTAATACCTGCCAGTGCTTGGCACAGTGCCTGGCATCCAGTAAGTGCTCAGTAAACACTGGCTCGGGTGATATTCTTCAGCCCCGGAGCTCCTAACCGTGCATGTCTCCATATTTGATTCCAGTATATTCTACCTCAAAGGATATAGGCAGGAGCCCCTGCAAGCCTTGGCTCCAGCTAGGTTTCCTTAGGGTGGTGGCTTCACTCTCTGGACTCTGTCTCCTCATCTGTGCGAGGAGAACACTGGTAAACAGCTACCCTTCAAGACCCTTCAGCTGACCTTGCAGCCAGGCTGTGGAGCAGCTCCGCTGTGCCCATATTTGATGCAATTAACCAGAGAGAGGAGACCGCGTGGCTCTAGGTGGAACTGTGCTGGTGTAGCTCGCTTGTGAATGTTACATCTCACCCCACTCTCAGCTTAAAAGAGCCCAGAGGGGGCCTGGAGGGCGGGGGGGTGGGGGCTCCTGGCTTCGGCAGGCTCTCCCTGATGCCTATTTTACATTTCTAGAACTTATCGTGGCCCAGGCCTCTTAGATCTCTGAAGAAAGTAAGGCTGGCAGATCCTCAAAAGCAGAGGGTATCATTATAATGGAAACTTGGACACTTTCCAGAATTGCATTTGTGGTAAAAATATTGAAACAGACAGTCCAGGCACCCAGGTGCCTGGAAAATACCCCAACATGGGCAAATAATTAGATACAGGCCAGGCACAATTATGTTTTTCTGACAATAGGCTGGAACTCGGTGGCTTAGCATTTTCTCTTGAAACAGAATACGCCCCTGCCGGACCCTTTTGCTCCCTGTGGTCAAAAAGATAGTGGTGTGGCCAGCAAGGGGGAGGGCATACAAGGAGAAGTGGCGATCCCATCCCTCCCAGGGTGGCCCTGGATCTATCTCAGGGAGGTTCTGTCCTGCTTTTGCTTTTCTGTGTCCCTGTAGGTAGCTGTCCCGAGGGACTGGGCCCGTGGCACCTTTGCTAGGAGGCCAGAGCCTGCATTTCAGAGTCTAAGAGGTCGAGAGAGGTGTAAGATGTATTATCTTACCCTTCCACGAAAGTGGTCTGGGCAGCTGTGTTCCCTTTTGTAACCCCTGGCAGCTCACTCATGCTGATGGCGGTAAGTTCACCTGTACCTTCACGTTTCTTGTCAGCCAAATATTTGGCGCCCGTGACACGGAAGCTCTTTTAGCCCAGGTGTTAGATCGCATAGGCACTGGGTGGGGCAGGGCAGGTAGTGGGTTGAGCCTGGGATCCACGCTGACTCAGGTTCAAGTTCATGCAGTGCTGCTTCGTCCCATTACTGTGGCTCTGAACAAGTGGCTTAGCTTGCATCTCGGTTTCCCCATCTGTAAAATGGGGTTAATGATCTCTACCTGGTTGGGTGGCTTGAGTATTTGAAATAGTACAATTCAGGGTTCAGGGGAGCTCCCCACATGGAATCACTTTTTTCTGGGTGAGGTCTAAACCTATGGAGAGATAGAGGAGGAGGAGGAGGAGGAGGAGGAGGAGGAAGGCAGGTGGAAATCCACATGCGATGGCTGTTCCCGACTGCAGCTGTTGTTGGAGAATGTGGCTGAACCAGTGGGCAAGGAAGTGGGGAACAGGGGCAGTCAGGCAGACCCGCCCACCCCATTGCCTGCGGAGCTGGAGGAGCCTCTCCCAGCAGGGCGAAGGGCCTCCTTACCATGGGGAAAGGCAGGGCTGGGCTGTCATGTCCACGCCCTCCTTCCATATTCCTGGGATGGTGTAGAAACCACCACGTATAGACAACAGGAAAGTTACACAGGGGAGCTTCCTCCTCATGGAAGGAAACATCTGGGGTGGCGGAGAACAGTCGCCCTGTGGCAAGGAATATGATGTGCTGGGCTCCGTGCCCGGCCCACGGTTGGAGGGTGGTCAATGGCATCTGTTAGGTACGTACTTGGTAGAAGTGGCCACAGTGTGTCAAATCGGTGTTGTTGTCTGCTGTAGGAAATAATCTGGCTTTAAATTCAAGAACATCTCTTTCCTACTTGTTGGCAGAGCATGATTGAGGTAATGGTGATCCATGGATCTCAAGGTCACATTCTAAGTTGAACGCAATTCACAGGGAGCTGAGGTAGTGGTTGACTCCTAGCCTGGGCCTGGAGAAGCTTCTCTGCCTCCTCTCTCTTGGTCCCAGCCCCCCACAGGGCCTGTGCTTTTACCAGACCTGGTTCTGTGTTTGCAACGAGACGCCTGGCCAGCCGGGCCTGGACCTGGCTACACTTGGGTCCCCCGGCCACTGGAGAGGGGGAGCCCCCACATTTGCCTACTTCATCATCGAGCCCCCCACCCCCACTGCCTTCAGGAAGCGTTTGCCAGTCATTCTTGCTATCTGCTCCCCGTACCTCCCTTCCCCAGCCAGGTGTGGATCCTTCCTCCTCTGAGCTTCTGCAGTTTTCCTCTGTTGTATTTCTCAACCTTGACCCTGTCCCACACTGTGCTGGGCTCCAGTTTCCTGGGTGCAGTCTGCTCTCCCAGCCTGATGAGGCTCTCTTCAGGAGGAGGGTGTCTGGGGCTCACGGTACATCCATGTAGCTGGACTCTCACTTAGTGGCCAGTGACTGCCATGTGCTGCATTAACGCGTCAATTAAAAATGATTCTTCCAAAGGCTAGGTTCTCCTGGAGGTTTTATGTGAACACTGAGTTTGATAGTGTGGCACAGGAGAGCTCACACTTGTCACTCAATTTCCCAAGGAGTCGAGAGTCTAATGGAATAACCTTGGATTTCCTGGCATTAGGTTTTGGGGCTATTAAAACATAGTGACCACAGTTTTTTGTGTCTTGAGAGCCTTAGGGGAAAATGTTATGGAAATTTGGTTGTTGTTTCAGGAATATAAGCGGAGCCGTCTACTCAGGCGAGAAATGTGGAGGCTGCTGGTGTTTCTTATAGCTGGTATAAATAGCTTGGCTTCAAGTTCCATGCTCCTTTGTTTGGAATGTAAATATTTGCATTAAAAATATAAAGTATGTCCTGGCATGTATTTTTAGGGACTATAATTTCCAAACCCCAAATCAGACTATGGGTCTACTGAGGATTAATTTTCTCTGCTTTGTGAACCTGTGTATGTAAAGAGTCTTCCAAATGTACACACCAAACCCTGTTTGCTTTGTGCATGGAAGGAACCGCCAGGATTACAAGAAAGCAGGGTTGCCCCGGGGAGTGTGGGCCGAGGGCTTGTGTTTCTCTCCACACACTTCTGATGGTTCTGCCTGGTAGCTGCAGCGGCTCAGGGCGGTGGGGTGGAGGAGTTTTGGCCGAGATCTTGTGGGTATCATCAGGGGCCTGGCTTCTCTGTTGTTGGTTTCCTGGACATCCAGGTGGGGATTTGGCTGCAGCTGGCTGACCTCTGTGTCACGTAACCAGACGCTTGACTTTGGAGTTGCAGTTGCTCTAGGAAGATGTTCGGGAGTTTTAGTGCCCTTTCTGTGGTCTGGTGGAGGGAGCAGGAGGTTCTCATGTCCGGTTCAGAGGTGAACTGTGAAGGCCTCTGTGTGGTGTCTTCCTCCACTGGATTCCTGGGGGCTGTTTAGCTTTAATTTTTCTATGAAGGACAACCTGGATGATTGGTTAATCCCTTACTGTGGGTGGGATGTCATCTCTGGTCTGGCCTCGGCCTGTTCTCGGTAGTGGGGGGCTTGATGGGCAGCAGGAGCTGGGCAGGCCATTTGCCCCTGGTATGGGGGAGCTTGTTCCTAAGGCTCTCTGGGCAGCCTTCAATGGTCACCTTCTGGCCCAAAGGCTCTAACGGAGAAGGTTGGGCCATGGAGGTCAGCTGGCCTGCAGGGGAGGACCGAATGCAGGTGGGCCCCCAACTGGCAACCTCCCTCTTGTCTCATCACAGGATGAAGGGCAGATGAGAAGACAGCCAGGAGGGTCCTGGGCCCTCAGCTGTGACTCCCCGAGAGGCAGGTACCAAGGGCTTCCTTTGTCCTTGCTTCCCAGCCAGCGCGTGGCCCCTGCCCTTGGGAGGGTCAGCTCCTCCTCCGTCCCACTGAACACTGATGCCTCAGGACTGGACTCCTTGGGGCAGCAGAGACCCTTCCGTCTTTCCTTCCCTAGCTCTGCCTTGCAAAGGTGCAGCCTCCTGAGCCTCAGAGTGTCTGACATCTCTCTGCCTAGGCACCCTCTCTGAAACATTGTGTGGGCTTAGAAACCGTGAGCCTTGGGAAGGACCATCTTCCTCTGAGCTCTGGGCGTGTTGAACTGCGGAGGCTTACCACTTCCTCGCCTGTGGTCATCTCCAGCCTGACCCATGGTGGCGTGATCCTCTCTCATCATCCGTCACAGTTTTTAATAAAGAAAATATGTTCCAGAAAGGCCGAGTCCCCATGCCGCATCAGGTCAGTGATCCAAGTGCATTATAGTGAAAGTCAGAGGAAATAGCTGCTTTTAGGACACGCTGAACTTGCCTAAGAAAGTTATTAGTGGGAATAAATGAGGGGGAAGAAAGCATGCTCCGACTAACGAGAACAGTATCAGCCTGACATTTTGTGTCGTCCTAACTTTGAAAAGCTATTTATACCCACTTGCTAGCAGTTTCTATGAGAAATTAGATATGAGGAGATGTACAGAAGAGAAGAGTGGGAGCTGGGTGACTGTGAGCTCCTCCTCAGAAACATCTTCCAGGCAAAAAAAAGGAAAAGAAAAAATCATTTGCTCACCTATCGACAATAGAAAATCCAGGGATCTTTTGCATTGTATAAAATTTGGCTCAGAGAAGAAAAATGATGTATTGAAAAGAAGATGAAGCTTCAGTTGCCATTTGAGTGGTGGAAAATAAATTTGCTTTCGGCCCTTAAAATGGAAATAAGTCGATAGAAAAATGCAGGCCTGCCCCCTTTTGAGTCAGCAGTTTTTTTGGTTGATGAAAGGGTGAGAAGACGTGCTCACTGGAAGTCACCCGCTGGATCACTTAGGAAGCCGCAGAAGTGCCGAAGGACATGCATGTGTATCTTTCAAAGTTCTCAACTGATTTATTAAAAAAAATCATAAAGCAGACTTTTGAAAAACCTGTTCAATCTATTCTTCTTTAACAGCTTTACTGAAATGTAATGCACACACCATAAAATTCACCCAAAGTATACAATTCCATGTTTTTTAGTATATTGACAGATACGTGCAACCACTACCACAGCTAATTTTAGAACTTTTTTTAATCTCAAAAAGACATCTTGTACACCTTAGCTATCACCCCTTTATCTCCCCATTCCCCTACATGTACCCTTCAGCCTTGAGCAACCACAAATCTACTTCTTGTCTCTGTCCAGCCCAATTCCTCTATTGTGGACTTTCGTATGAGCAGAATCACATAGAATGAGGTCTTTTGTGACTGGCTTCTTTTACTCTGTGTAACTGTCATGGTTCATCCATGCTGTGGCATGCGTCAGCACTTCCTTCCTTTTCATGGCTGAATAATATTCCATCGCAGGGATAGACCACAGTTTCATGGATCCATTTGTCCATTGATAGACATTTGGGTGGTCTCCACCTTTGGCTCTTATGAATGAGGCGGCCATAAACGTTTGTGTACAAGCTTCTTTGGGTGTGGACATGTGTTTCCGTTTCTAGGGTTATGTTTTATGAGACGTTTTCACTTTCTTCTAATAATAAGATTCATTTTTTAAACAACACTCTTTCCCTGGCCCTAGAAAAGGCTTTGTTCTTAGATGGGATCCCGATCCCCCTGTCAGTGATCCTGGCTGAGATACTGAATTGTCTGAATTTTAGAGCTGGAAAGGCCTTCGGGCGAACGTGGTTCAGCCCCTTTTTATAGATGGGGAAGCTGAGGGCCAGAGAGGCCACACATAAAGAGACAGGATTGAATACCGGTTTTTGGAGTTACAATCCAATTACTCCAAAAGTTCTCCCTAAACTCTTACTAAAACCCCAGGTTGCCTTCTTGACTGGCCTGGGGCAGCAGATTAAGGTGGGTTGGGTGAACAGATGGTGGTTAGCTTGCCCTCTTTTATGTGATTATGGGTCAAGGTTTTCAGTCATCCAATGTACTCTTGCCTGTTTTCCTTTCACCCATCTGTCTGTCCATCCAATGTCCATCTGATGTCCGAGGCCCAGAACATCTCCCCATCCACCAGCGGCCGAATAAGAACAGCACCTTGTGGCGCCAGCATCTTTCTAGTTCTTTCTCCCCTGCGGTGATGGGCGGCCCGGCTGCTTATCCGGGGAATAATTAAATTAGGAACCAATTCAGAGAATGAAATTTTATCTGATTTGGCCAAGCCCGTAATAAGCAAGGGGCTGTAATTGTGACTCCAGGATACATTAGGAAGTTGTTTTTTCAAGGGTACGCTGGGTGAAAGCATTGAAAGAAATATGTGGAGACCAGGCCGGGAGATCTCCCTGGGCCAGGTTTCTTGCATGGCCTGGGGGTGTGGTCCCACAGGGCGGCTGTGTCCTCAGGCTGGTCCTTCCAGCGTTTATGTTTCCAGGCACCATTTAGCTCTGATGAGGTAGATAAAAGTGTTTTGTGGCTGGAGTGTTCTCTGTGCTTAGGAAAGTTCTGTTAAAATCCTTATGGATATCTATCTCATTGTTATCACTGATATTCTAAAGCACCTTTACAACTGTAATAAGAAGTAAACTTGGCAGAAACTCTGTGGCTATAAATCAGGGGTGCCGCTTTGCAACCCCCACGGAGCTTATTGAAAGAAATGCACATACTTTGGTCCTACATCAGCTGTTACATCAAGTCTCCGGGGATGGATGCTGGGCATTTGTGTGTGTGTGCACGCGTGTGTGTGTGCATGCGTGCATGTGTGTGCATGCGTGCATGTGTGTGCATGCATGGACCTGGATTCGTTAAGCTCTTTAGCTAAGAAACGCTGAGGGAACTTAGCAGTGATTGTAATCATTCTTCTAATGAGAATTTCCAGTTCTCCTATGGCAAAGATAAGGGACAGATAATTAGCACAGTGGTCTCAGGAATGAGCCTCATTTGTCCTCAATCTGTGATGAGACTTTGTGACTGTCTTTGAGTTTCATGTTCAGATTCCCTGATTGTAACTAACACACATTGTTCATCACTTGGTAGCAGTGGTGGAATTTTAGATCTGTTTTTCTCTTGGGGAAGGACCCCATTCTCATCCCCACAGTGGCCCAGGCTGGAGGCCCAGGAGTCTCCTTTGACAGATAGCTGGTCAGTGCAGAATTGCTTCCTTTGTGTCTCTGCCACTGGAAGGTTATCTGTTCCTTCAGAACAGGAAATGTGTCTTATTCAACGTGGCATCCCCAGGGCCTAGTCCATGGGAAAGAATGATTGGGCCGATGGACAGACAGATGGGTGAAAGGAAAACAGGCAAGAGTATAGTGAATAATTGAAAACTTTGACCCATAGTGCAGGGATGGTGAGTGTCTTTCAGATCGTCTGTTTATAGCTGGGGAAACGGAGGCCTGCAGAAGTCAGTGACTTGCCCTAATCCTTCAGCTTTGATCAAGAAGAACATTGGGGAGCCTGGCCCTTCAATGTCTTCAACTCTTCTGACTCAGGCTCTGCACATCCTCTTGAGAGTCACCCTCCAGTGAAAAGAACTCTTTATTGAGGCCCTGCTGTGTACCCCATGCTGTTCTAGGAGCTGGGGATCTAGCAGTGAGTTAGACACACAGGGTCCCAGTGCTCACAGAGGGCATATCCTCATGGAGAGAGACAGGCAGCAGACAAGGTCGCAAATATCAGAGAATAGACAGGCATAAGGGCCATGTGCTGGAGTGACCAGCTGGTGTGCGGGAAAGGCCTTTCCACAAAGGTGACATCTCCGTTGATTCTTGAATGTTCAGAGGGTGCTGCTGTCTGATGCTTGGAAGGAGGGAACAGTCAGTGCCAGGACCCCAAGGGGAGAACCTGTTGATGGGATGGGATTCATTTATGCTCGGGAGAAAGAGACTTGGTTTATTGGACGCCTGGGTTGATTTTCTTCTCTTCTGCATCCTCTGCACTGACATTTGCAGCTCTGCCTTCTCCCCGTCCCGTCTCTGGGTGAAGAACACCTGTCCGATGCTCGCTGGCCTGCAGCTGCTGCAGAGTTTCAGAAAACAGGGCTAGCAAAAAACAAAGCAAAACCCCAACATCCCTGTCCTCTCACTAAGGGCTTGGCTGGGGAGGCAGAGTTATTTTTATGTAAGCACATGCTTGAGGGGGTACGTCTTGGGGTGGGCAGCTGAAACCACACTCATAAAAACAAGACCGAAATAGGACTGTGAATTCCCAAAGGTGAACACAGGCCGTTAACTTGAATTTGGTGACAGTTCCATGCAGCCTAGGTCCTGGAGCGGGAACCCTTTGGAGGGGGATGAGGCATGGAAAACTGTTTGCTGATTTGGCCTCTTCTTTAAGCATTGCTTTCCGGCCCTGGCTGTGACAGAGACCTGGCCCTTGCTCAGGATTTGAGCCCCCTCAAGGGGAAGTTCTTCCTCCCTCCTGGTGCTGCCTCCAGCTGTTTCTGTCTCCTCGTCAGTAAGAACCTCTGTTTCTTGAGGGCCCTCCTGTTGGTTGTCCTCTTGTTGCAGCCACCTCCCTACCTGCGAGGGAGTGGGCCCCAGGCTGCCTCTCCATCCCAGGTCCTGCTGTTAACCTGGGTAACCGTGGTCTCCATGGGGCAGCACTCTGGCCTCCCAGGTCCTGCATCAGGACACCCTGAACCTTGTCTACTCCTGGACTGCTCCATACCACATGGAGTCCGTCCTTGTTAATGACGTGTTAATGCCAGGCTTTCTTGTGGAAACCACACCCAAGACACCAGCTGGTCAACCTGACACACAGTAGGGCCTCAACGGATTGTGTCATCAGTTATTTTCATAAACTTTAAATCTCTTTCTGGTCTCCCCAGACATCCTTAAGAGTGATCCTTTGTCACATTGCAAAGTTTTCCCAATAAATATTGGTCAGTAGTTGTGACAGTAATATACATCTCCATTTTATGTTGTTGACTAATTTTTAAATGGTGGACAAAACATAAATTTTTCTACATTTTAATAAATGGAAAGATAAAAGAAATTTTTTTTTCTGAGTAGTTTGGTTTAGAATCATTCCAGTTGTTCATTCAGCATCTCTTCCCAAGTCACATGAGTCCTACACCAGGCAGCTGTGGCTGTATTGACATGCTGAATGCTTGCTCAGAGTCCCCATAATCTCTTGGCACTCCTATATGCTGCCTCATACTTTTATTTTAATTTTTTATTTTGAAATAATTTCAGACTCACAAGAAGATGCAAAAATAGTAGACTCCCTGTGTACCCTTCACTCAGCTTCCCACAGGGAGAACATCTTATGCAACCCTCAGACATGATCAAAGCCAGGAAACTGACACTGGTACAATAGCATTAACTGAGCTGCAGACCTTATTTTTCTTATTAAACCTAGGGATCTACAGCATTTTAGAAGCATTTTAGAATTTCATAAGCTTTAGCATTGTTGTTTGTCTTTTAGAGGATGTTTCAATCCCTTCCAATTGACAATCAGTTAAAATTCGTTTCCGTAAGTTCAACAAATACTGGAGGATGAATTTCACAGGTTCCACGGGTCCACATGGCGCTCTATGGGTGCATCGTCTCTGATGGGTGCACAGAGGTGACCTTCTACCTCAGATCTGAGAGATTCTGAGACATAAAGAACCTTAGACAGTAGTTTGGTTTATAGGACAGACCAGGGGAGCTGGAGTTCTGATAATGGAAACCAGGCTGCATTGAGTATTTAGTATGCTTTAGGTTTTATCTACTTTATTTCATTTCATACACTCAGCAACCTTTGAGGTAGATACAGTTAACATCCCCATTTTACAGATGTAAGAACTGAGTTCAGAGGAGTTCACCCTGCCCACATTCCTGCAGCTGGATGGTAGAGTTGGGCGTGGAATATAGGCAGTGTGAAGTCAGAGACTGCTTGTTCTTAACCTTGCCGGGCTCCCTCCTTGGCTCAGGCCTGCACAGTGACTGCTGTGTGCCCTGGGGCTGTCCTGACTTCTCTGAGTCTCTGTTTCTTTACCTGCAATGCAAGAGGCTTGTGTGAGATCTGCCGTGTCCCTTCCATTTCTGAGTGCAGGTGGTTTTATTGGTGAAAACAATTCTACCCGTAGAGCTAGAAACACCCAAGCAACATCCAAATGAAATTTGTACCTTGCCCCTTGTAGGTGCTTTTAAGGTTGGTAGAATTTCTGCAGCCTAGTTTGGTTTGATGGGAGCCTCAATTCCAATTGAATTATGCTCTGGTGTATTTTAATTAAACCATCTACAAGCTGATTTTATAAAGAGGCAGAATCCCCATGTAGTGAGCTGTGCCTGCCTCCCTCTGTGCTCAACTCTGGAGCCGAGTGAGGCTCGTAATAACCAGAGGACTGTGCGAGCTGCTCAGGCTCGGCCTCATGGGCAGCATTAATTGTGAGATGCCACCGGAACGAGATGCGAGGGCATTATCAGCATATACTTAATTGATTTTGCATTCTCCACAAAGGAAGGTTAAAATTAAGCTTGTTTGTAAATGGTGTTTAAACTGCACAGGCTTGGGGATGAGTTGCAGAAACTAACAGAGCAGGGCACTGGTTGGAGGGCCTAATTTTCTCTTTAGGTGGTGGACAGAGCACATCACTCAACTAAGGTAAAGATTTTCCCATTTAAAGGGGCTGAAAGAGTGTAAGCCTCGGCTCGTAAATTTGACAGACAAGGCCTCCGCTTGAGTGCCTCAGGGATGGTCTGGACTCTGGGGATGAATGTGTAATCACATTAGCGTGATGAGTTAAAGGGCCCCATATTTTTAAATCCTCAGGCAGAGCTGCATTAGAGAAGATGCTGTTCGAGATCAGACTTATGATAAACAGGCTCATGGAAACAGCCTTTGCTATCCTCATTCCTGGTATAGAATGTAAGATTCTGATTGTCATTCTGACATGCCCCAGGAAAGGTCTCTGCTCAAACCCAAGATGAGCTTTAAACCTGAGGTGGAATGCCGTTCTCTAAGTATCTGTTCTTTGGCTCTAACATATACCAGGAATGAGAACAGCACTCTGGGTGTGTTCTCACTCTCCTTTAATCCTGATAAGAAAACATTTTAAGTATCTCCAGATCCATCTATATAATTTGCAAGACGCAGTGCAACATGAAATGCATATTAAAAATTATTAAGAATTGGCCGGGCGCGGTGGCTCACGCCTGTAATCCCAACACTTTGGGAGGCTGAGGCAGGTGGATCACGAGGTCAGGAGATTGAGACCATCCTGGCTAACACGGTGAAACCCTGTCTCTACTAAAAATACAAAAAAGTAGCCGGGCGTGGTGGCAGGCGCCTGTAGTCCCAGCTCCTCGGGAGGCTGAGGCAGGAGAATGGTGTGAACCCGGAAGGCGGAGCTTGCAGTGAGCCGAGATCGCACCACTGCACTCCAGCCTGGGCGACAGAGCGAGACTCCGTCTCAAAAAAAAAAAAAAAAATTAAGAATTTAAAAATAGGGAAAGCAGAACAATACATTCTGTATAGGGTGTTTCTGAGCAAAGGGCCCTGTGTGATTGACCATGGGTCCACGCCCTTGGAGTTGGCTCTGGGATCTTGTAGGATGCTGATCCTAGACCAATGTGATTTATAGCAACTTGTGTGAATTGTGAACTCCCCGGGGGCACGGGCTGCAGCTGAATCACCTTGGTGTGCTGGGAGGGGTCTGGCTGGAGGCCTGACCTAAGCACACGCTTAGGAAATGCCCGTTGAGCTGAATCAACTAACTCATGGAGCCATCAGCCTGGTCTGC
This sequence comes from Homo sapiens, assembly GCF_000001405.40. Taxonomy (NCBI): domain Eukaryota; kingdom Metazoa; phylum Chordata; class Mammalia; order Primates; family Hominidae; genus Homo; species Homo sapiens. Next base: position 124,076,399 of record NC_000010.11, on the reverse strand, counting down.
TGGGGAAATTTCATGTGACTTTCTCAGTCTCCACGCATCGGGAATCTGGGACAGTCTACCGCTAGGCTCTTCAGAACAGACAGGGACAAGGACCAACATTCTCTAATGAAACTCACTGACTTGACAGCTCAGCTTTGAGAAGAGAAAACCTGAATACAAAACCCATCTACATTATGTGTGTGTATAAGCCTCAAGTCCTGGTGATTTTTCACTGTAAAATGGAAAAGATTGACACACAGTGGCTCTCCAGTACCTCTGTGTGGTTAATGTGTGTGTCTGTCGTGACTCTGTGGCTCAGTCCCAAGAGAGGGGCAGCCCATCTCCCCTGGCTTTTCATCCCTGATGTCCTCCCTGTGAGCTCTGCTCCTCCCAGTGGAGTAAAATGCTCCTGGAGACAGTCTAGGATTTTAGGGGCCACTGTAGGTCATCCTTGTCATTCTGGATCCCGGAGAATGCCACCTTGCAAAGTTGAGGGGGGCATAGTGCATCTTGGTAAGGAAATAAAATCCCGCCCAGGAAGCATCTCTCCCTGGAGCAAGAGGCTTGGAAGGGCCCGGGACTCCTTTGTGCTGACTCTTTGTTCCTTCCCTGCAGGCTGGCCCAGACTCAGAGTTGCCCTTTCCCCTTTGCCAGTGGAGAGGGAGAGAGGAGCATCCAGGGCCAGCTGCCAAAGACAGGGGAGGTTCTAACCAAGGAAAGCCCGGACTTTTCAGGTTTTAAATTGGAAGAGGGCTTCTTGAATGAGCATTAAAGTTACTTTTTTATTGGAAGGGAGTGTAGGGGGTGGATGCTGTGCTCAGCATACATCAGGAGAGAGCTGCCCAAGTCAGATCTCTTCCGAGCAGCGTCTTGGGGGAGAGACTGTGCACCACCGCTAGATTTTCCTCCCTTTGTCCTCGGTTTGTACAGAGGTCACTGGAGATGTGAGCTCAAAGGGAGCCGGGACGCTGTGCTCTCCTCTCATTGTCACAAGTCGATGGGCCTGAATAGGCTGTGACACTTGAAGAAAGAAAGAAACCATCCTTTATACCTCCTGGCTGGGGAGAGACAGCAGGGCAGGAAGCCTGCAGTGCTGGAGGCCAAAGCTACTCCCATGGAGCCTCAGATGTGTGGAGGGAGGTCTGTGCTGTTCCTGGGTGTCTGGGATTGTACCCTCCCCACCGTGGGGATGCACAGCCTGTTCTTAACTTATTCAGCAAATAACAAACAGCACCTCCATGTTCAAGCAAAAGCTGGCTTTATTTATTTTCCCCATTAAGCTATCCACAGTCATTGTTTTCACTTTCAAAAGCAAAATAATAGGAAAAAACTTCACAGTATTTGTATTACCTGATGTAGGAGTCTGAGAGAACTTGAATAATAAGTCTGGCTTAGAAGTATTAGGGGAAAAATCTTGATACACAAAAGAGAAACAGAAACATGAAAAGAGGAATGTGCTGAAACAGTCCTCCCTGCAAAACATCATTAACTCCGCGGGGGCTGGGAGCCTGTCTGTCTTGTCCACACACTGCACCCCACTGCCTAGCACAGCCGCATTCAAAAGGAAAGTCAGCCCTGGCTGCTGGGAGGCAGTGGCGAGTGAGACATGCCCAGGTCCTGTCCTCATGGAGGTTAGAGTCTAGGAGGTGAATGAGGTGGAAACACTTAGGCAAAGGATCATTTAATTTCAGTTGTGATGAGCTGGGGACAGGAACGGGAAGTGGTCTATGAGCAAGTTTGCTGATGCCGTGAGCCCAGTCTGGCAGAGGCGCGGGGTGCATTGGAGAGCTCCAGGTCATAATGGAGGAAGCTGCGCGGAGGGAGAGGAGGCAGAGACTGCAGACGTGGCGAAGGTGTTGGGTGTGCAGGGGGATGTTATGTAAGTCCCCAGTGAGGTGCCTGGACCCAGAGTTCTCATTTTAAGGCTTAGAATGTGCTAGAATCCTTGTTTCTAGAGACTGGATTGATGATCACAACTGGGCGATGCTCCCAACTAGGCCCCCGCCCCTACCTGCCACCTGAATTGTGCCCTTTGCAGTTGGGTGGCACACTGTTTAGTGTCTCCTGCTCACTGCCTCCAGGGTTCCAGGGACTTGCTGATTTTCTGTCTCTACTGAGAGATTTGAGAAATTCTTGAAGCAACTTGCCAAGTAGAAACTGTCTAATGGCATCAGTGCAAGGGTTCGGTGTCTTTCCCAGCCGGGGGGCACTGGCCCTGCAGAAATGAAGTGGAAAGATCTTGGGAGGGAGAGCAAGCTACCTTCCCTGGGGGTGCAGCAGGCGTGACTTGAGCTTGCGCTAATCACACCCACTTCTGTCCTGAGAAAGTCTTCTATGGAAAGAGGCTAAAAAGACTATGTGGAAAATATCTCTTTTAAAGCCCCCATTTGAGACCTCTCCCCTGCCCTGTGTGTGCCTAGCCCGTAGGTTGCTGCCAAGGTGAGCAGGCCCGGGATGTGGCTGGGGAAGATCTACAGCCTCCTGGCCGAGTCCACCCAGGAGGAGCCATTTAAGACCCTGGAAACCCATCAGACCTGGCAACTGGAGGTCATTAGCCGTCTGACTGAGAGGCGGGTCGTAAAATAAGCCCTAAGTGGTTACGAGCTCTGTTAACCATTTTAAAATGCACAAACAGAGGAGCTTTGGTTTGGCGCCTCTGAAAGGAAATGGGCGTCGTCTGATGGGAGAACATTCGCCTTCATGGTCAAGGCGCAAGGACCAGCCTGCATTGGCTCATTCATGCGCCTGTCGAATGGTTGCTGTGCCCTTTGCCTCTTCCTTGGTTTCTGATGGGGCAGAAACTTACCACCATGTATCTAGCTTTCTTTTTTTGGTGAACTTTTAAGGAATTGGAGTATAACCTTCATGCATTAAAGAGCATCTATCCTAAGTGTGCTGCTTGATGGATTTTCACAAACAGAACTCACCTATGCAACCAGTACCTAGATCAGGTATACAGACAGCACCCCAGGACCCCTGGGCTCTGTTCTGGTCATTAACCACCTCTCAGCACCCATGCAAGGGAAATTGCTATCCTGACTTCCGCGGCCTGGGTTTTTGGCCTGTTTTGTGCTGTCTCTAACTGGAATCCTGTGTGGTTCTCCTTTATATCTGGGTTCTTTTGCTCAGTACTACATCTGTGAGATTCTTCCCTGGTGAAGCTTGTCCATTTTCGCAGCTGAATTGTATTTGTCCGTTCTACTGTGGGTAGACACTGTGTGATTTCCAGTTTTTGGCCCTACAAATAGTACAATGAACATTCTAGTTGATGTCTTTTGATCAGCATATGGATGCCTTTCTGTTGGGCACGTAGCTAGGATTGGAATTGTGGTCTTTGGGAGTGAGTACGCCCAAGCTTCAGTAGATAATGCCAGTGTTCCAAACAATTGTACTCATTTACCGTTCCCATCAGCAGCGTATGAGTCTCTGGAAAGATGAAATAAGAGCCTGGAAAAAATGTAAGGTGAGACTGACTCCCTTTTGTCCTCTGCCCAAGTTCCCAAAAAGAAGAGACCCTGGGGGATAACAGCTGGCCCTTTTTGCATTGAATGGGTGCACTGGAAGAGATAAGGCTTCTGGGATGCCCCAGAAAGATGCACCTGTCCCTCCTGGGGTTCTGCCCACGTGGTCACGTTTCACTGGAAGCCAGTCTGTTTCTGAACTTGCGGATGGGGTTGGTTGGTCTCTGAGAAGAGCCCAGAATTCAGCATTTTAGTCTCCATGCTTTGGGTGTCTGCATGCAATGAAGCAAAGCCTCCAGGCTCATCTTTGAGATGAAAGTGGCTGGCCTGGTGGCTGGCCTGGTAGCTGGCCTGGGTTTTCTCTTGGGAGGGCTTGAGAGCTGCCACCATTTAATGGCTCAGTCAAGAAAGGTTTTTATTTGTAGATCAGTCCAGTCTCAGAACCAAATGGTTCTGCACCCACCCCCTGGACTTCCAACCCAGTGTTCTAGGTGGAGAAAGAGCTTTCCCTGTGCCAAAAGCTGTTGTTTGGTGTGATGAGGGGTCCAGAGCAGTGGGAAGAGGCAGCTGACATTTACTGAGCCTCCTGCATGCTCAGGAGAACTCCGAATGCAGGTGTGCTGGTCTCCCCAACCACACAGGAAGTGGAAGAAGAGAGGACTCTGCACTGTCCCTGAGCAGCAGAGCCCCAGCTGGGGTGTGTGTCCTGCCCTGGCTCTGTCAAATTTGTAACTCACAACAGTGGCAGTGGCTGGCTAAAGGAGACTTGGAAGGAAGGAAAACCTGTGCCCGGGTTATTGCCCGGCTGTCTTCCCTACCCCAAGTAGATTCAGTAAATCGGGGGCAGGGCTTGGAAGCTGTTGGTAACAAATGCCTTAGGTGAGTTTTACTCAATTTGGGGAAGCAGTGACTTCCCAGACCCTTTTGATGAGAGGCTGGGTAAGGAGAGGAATGGAGGAAATAAGAAACAGATCTCACGCTCCAGGAGCGCCTGGCCTGAGCAGCCTCGTGCAGGAAGCTCTCTGAGGAGCTGGACAAGCTCTGTGTCTGCTGCTCCACAGGGTCATGCTTGAAATGTGACTAGGACGGCCGAAGAATGGAAATTTTACATCTCATTTACTTTTAACTAATTTAAATTTAAAAGCAGATACTTAATTCAGTTATTAGAAAACTTTTAAGAATGTTTGGAACAGCTTGGGTCCATAACTCCTTTTCCGACTCTAAGTCTTATGAAATCTAGATACAGCTCAGGTACTTCAGATGAAAATGTAGCATCCAAATTGAGATGGACCTAAGTGTAAAATACACACTGGAATTTGAAGACTTAGTATGAAAAAAATGCAAATTTTTAATTAATAACTTTTATACTGACTACATGTTGAAGTGGTTATTTTGCGTCTATTCGAGTTGAACTACATGAAAATTAACCTCACCTGGAACATTTAACCTAGGTATGGGCTCACACTCTGTTTTTGTTGGGCAGTGCTGCTCTGAGGCACTTTCTTGCTGGAATTTGACTCAGAGTGCTAGGGAGTTGGAGGAGAGGAGAGAAGCCCCAGCTGTGGCCCCTTGTTTGGCTCACGTGGGAGCAGGGTTTCAGGCTGATGGCACACCTGGCCCTATAGATGGCCACAAGGCCACCTGTGATGGGTCTGTTGGGCTCTGGCTGGCCTGTCCATCTCCTTGGGTACTTTGCCCAAAGAGGGAAACTGCCCGTTCCCTCCAGGTAGTGCCTTTAGAAAACGAGAATCTTCTCTAACGCTCTGGGCTAGGAAGAGAGAGCTGAGCACGTCTCACCCTGGGCTGCACTGCATCTCACACAAGTGGGACATGGCCTGCTGCTGGTCAGGGTGAGAACTCTGCCTTTAAGTTAGAATCAGATCAAATCAAATCAAATTGAATTCTTTACCCCAGTGGGGTAGAGAGCACCGCCAAATACTAAGCTACAGGAATGTGGCCCAGAAAGCAAATTAGGTTTTATTTCTGCCTCCTGCCTTTGCCCCGCTGTTTCTGGAAGAGACCCCATAGACAGTGCCGTGAAGGGCAGCCTACGGAGTCTGTGGCAGGCAGGGACTCGCAGGTGAGCCTGGTAGTGGGTCGGCGGGTTCTCATCCATGGTGCTCAGCCCGTCTGAGGTCATCTGCCCTCTTCTTCATTGGATTCTGGAAGCCTCCCCACCAGCCTGCGAGATGCAGCTGAACAGGGACTTGTTTTGTTTACTGCTGCATCCCAGGGCTCTACACTTGAGCCTGACATAGAGTAGGGCTTTAATAATCTTTATTGAGGGCCGGGCACAATGGCTCACTCCTGAATCCCAGCACTTTAGGAGGCCCCGGCCAGACAGATCACGAGGTCAAGAGATCAAGACCATCCTGGCCAACGTGGTGAAACCCCGTTTCTATTTAAAAAAAAAATCAGCTGAGCATGGTGGTGTGCACCTTTAGTCCCAGCCACTCAGGAGGCTGAGGCAGAAGAATCTCTTGAACCTGGGAGGCAGAGGTTGCAGTGAGCCGAGATCGAGCCACTGCACTCCAGCCTGGTGACAGAGCGAGACTCAGTGTCAAAACAAAAACAAAACAAAACAAAAAAACTTTACTGAATGGGTTCATTTGGAGGATGCCCCTTAAATCTGATGGTCAAATATGGCCTTCATGTTGACCTTCCTGAAGTGACATCCCCGTAGGTGGGCATATGCATTTCCCTTGGGAGAGATTCCCAGAGGGGCCTCTGGCTTGGGATTGGCTAGGAACCTCAGACCTACATTGTGTTTTTACTCTAGATCTGTAAGTGCAGATTTTTCTTTTTTTTCCAGAAACTGTTTCTTGGACAACACAGCAACTACTTTCCATTGCAAAGAAAAATCCTGTCCTTTGTGTGCTCTCTACAAAGCACTCACACAGCCAGGCTATATCATTTGTTCCTGACAACGTGCTGGGGGGGACATCACCATTTTCTGCATGTCCCCAGGAAATGGGCGGGACCACTTGTCCAAAGTCCTACAGCTAAAGGGAGGCACAGTGACACCTTAGATTCAGGGGAACTCCCATCTTGGGGTGACTTCTTTGCCCTCAGTATATTCCACATGTCATGGAACCTAATGGATAAATCTGGTTTGGTCAGGCCTGGAGCGCAGAACTGTTAAAGGCAGGCAATGAGAGAAAAATCTGCGTCCTTCCTCGAGGGATGAGCTGGCTGACTGGGAAGGTCCAGGCTCAGGCTGGCCTCTGCCCAGGTGTCCTATGGCAGGGGCTCATGGAGGAGCACTGTTCCTGTTTTCTGGGTCCCCTGCTCTGCCTCACCTGTTTAAAGTCAGTGACTCAAATTTTTAAAACTGTGAAACCGTAAACTGTCCATCCCTGTTCAGCCTTCCCCAGGCCACGGGCCCTGCACGTGTCACTGCTTGTTCATGGTTCTCCCCTGTGTTGCCTTTGAGGCTCACTCATCTTGATGACTCAGAGACTTGCCAGAGACCCTGGACTCCCCGTCCCAAATTCCCCGAGCCTGGCCCCGATGATTCTTGCAATGTTACTCTGTTCATGGTGCCTCTGCCCCATTTCCATCTGTGCCATATCACCAATAGTTGGGGGGGGGGTCCCCCAAACAACAGGGACTAACTTGAACTTTGCAAGACTCTTGAATTTCCTGGCTATATTTATTATCTGTATGGCACTGATTTGTACTAGAGCTGAGCCTGCAGAAGTCAGTTGAACCCATCCTCTCTATATTCAGGAGGACTACAGGATGTAGGAACTCAAACGGGATGTTGATCTGTGGGAGTTTGCAACTTTGCCTAGCAGCACAGACCTGCCTCCTTGGGAGAGGCCTCTGGGGAGGGATGCTAAGCCGATGGATGTCTGTGCAGAGACAAGGGACTGTCCTTTTCACCTGAGAGGCCATTCTCATCCTGCCTAGTCCTGTCTGATTCACATCTGACCCCAGCTTAGCCCAGACAGAGACATGCTAAAGCATGTTCTGATACTTTCTAGCTTCGATTATCTCCTTGTATGCTTTCTTTGTATACTTAGGGCCCAAAATACCATAAGGTGGAACATTCTAAAGTAAAAATGATCCCCTTTTTATTGTTTGAAAATTTGTGTTTCTTATTAAAATAGAACATTTTACAGTTATTCACAAGATAAGGTCTTACTTTAAAAATCACTATTTTCCTCTGTCTTTCTGACTTCTTTTTTTAATTCAAGAACAGGGATATTAAGGCAGGTGATGAAAGCAGAATTTTTAATAAGAGCATAGTGATGCTTTTCACAACGGACTTAGAAGACATTAAAATATATGTGTTTTGATCTTTTTCTGGATTTGAATATGAAGGACTAGTTATTGCAACAGACAGCAAAGTAATTCATTTCGGATGCATTTCAGCAAGCCAGCCCTCTAGGAGACGCTGGAATAAAATGTGGAAGTGTGTGACACAGACCAGACTGGACATGTACCCGGCCCATCAGCTAAAAAGCCAAAGAGCAGGTGGAAACAGGAATAACAGTGACAGTGATGGTTACCATGATGAGGAGCACTGCCAACGATTCCTGAACTTCCCAGGTGCCCTGTCCTTGCTTGGTGCTTCCCATGGATTATCTCAGTCTTCCCTGTGGCTCCATTAGACTACATATTGTCACATCATCCCCATTTTTCAGATAAGGAACTGAGGTGGGCTAAGTGTCAGGCCGTGGAGCCAGGATGAGAACTCCAGCTGTCTAGATAACCCATGTCCTGGTAACTGCCACTCTGCTCCCGAGTGGTCAGCATGTAAACCACTGCAGCGTGGGGACTGACTTCACCATCCCCTTGGCTCTGCCTCTGACCCCCCGAGCAGGTGAGAGCTCGAGCCAGCTATTCCGGGAATTAGGCATATACTCATTTTTTGCTTCAGTTATTTCACTAATTAAGGCAAAGTTTCTGGTAGTTTGACATTACGTATCTGGATAATTGCCTCAATGTATCATTTTCACTTTGCACCCGCAGACACAACCTTTAATGAAACTTGAAAACCCAACTCTCCTTGGGGGAAATGATACTCACTTCTGTTTCTAGGCCAGGCGCAGTGGCTCCCGCCTGTAATCCCAGCACTCTGGGAGGCCGAGGCCAGCGGATCACGAGATCAGGTGTTCGAGACCAGCCTGGCCAACATGGTGAAACCCCGTCTCTACTAAAAATACAAAAATTAGCGGGGCATGGTGGTGGTCGCCTGTAATCCCAGCTATTTGGGAGGCTGAGGCAGGAGAATCGCTTGAACCCAGGAGGCGGAGGTTGCAGTGAGCTGAGATCATGCCACTACACTCCAGGCTGGGTGACAGAGCAACACTCCGTCTCAAAAAAACCAAAAACACAAAAACCATCTGTTTCTAAATCTGTTTCTGAAAGTAGTTGAGGGCGCAGACTTCCACTTATAAGCTTAATTGCCCAACATGCAGAAGAAGTCTCCAACTTCCCTGTTTATCAGGCTTGAAAGTCAGCCTTGGTTTGGGGCAGATGGCCTGCTCCTGGTCCTTATCTGGGAGATGAGAGGTTCCGACAGTGTGATCTCTCAAGTGCCTCAGTTTGGATCTGAGCTTCTGTTCTAGCGGCTTCCATGCCCAACTGGATTGCATATCTTAGGAAGCAGGACAGAAGTGCACCTGCACTGATTACTGAGCAAATTGGTCTGAATAAGTGCAGTAGATGCCAGAGATTTCCACGAATGATGTGAATGTGATCACTGGCCAGAAAATATCCATGGACGATAAATATCTGGGCTTCATGCTCTGAAAAATGTTCCTAATCTCTTCTTTGTGATCCCCAAAGAGATTTTTAAGGGAGTTTGGAAGTCTGCCACTTGCAGAAGTCCTGGTGTTCCCAGCACTAAGTGCAGGATGTGGAGTCTGGGGTGCGACTGTCTTGTCACTCAGATGGGGCTGCATGCCCGGCACAGTGCTAAGTGCAGCCAGTTACTCTGGAATGTGCAAATGGCCCCTCTGCCCCAGCTGCAGAGCGCCTTGCGGGTGGCTCAGGTCCTAGTGGGGATAGGAAGAATGGGACAAAAGGAGGAGGCTAAGCCCAAGGCATGTGCTGTCACCAAAAGTGCTGGCTTCATCTCAGAAAGCTGTGGCTGGGTTGGGCTTGGTTGCTCAGGGGAACAGGGAGACGCAGCCCAGGAAATGAGCTGTGGCTGGGCTGGAGCCCACCTCCCCAGGAGGGAGGTGCATGGCAGCCCAGGTGGGGTGCCCCCATCCTAAGATGAAAGGTCTCCACCTCTTGCTTAAATTGTAAGGTGAACGCTTTTGGCCATTTCTAAGGAAAAGCACCTTTGGGATTTGTTCATCATCCTTCATTTTTGCTCAAGGTTTTGGGTGTGAAAACCTCAGAAAAACTAAGTCAACCAAAGACTTTCCAGCGATGTCATCGACTGTGTTGTCATCCAAAGGGGAAAATAATCCCAGCTTATGAATATTTAGAAAGAAGATAATTGCAAATTGCTTTGTGACCGTGTAAACTCGTTTTTTTTTTTCTTTCCCCCAGCCAGTTACATAAGAGGAGGTGTGGGTCAGTCCCAGAAATAGATGCAGAAGCAGTGACAGAACACGTCTTGGCGGTGGTGGAGAGAGACAGCCCTGGGTTCGAGTCCCAGACTCGCAGTGTGTTAGCTAAAGAAGTTTGAGAAACATCCGTCTCTTTCTTTCCATTTCAGCCTCCTCCCCCTTCCCCTAGCTGGTCGACGCTCAAAGCTCTCCTAGCCCAACACTCTGTAACTTGAGGAATAATGTTTTAAACCCCCAAATCTAGTCCTCCCATAAAACCCAGTGAATCTCTCAAATTGATTAAATGGAGGCACTCATTTTATTAGATAGGTAACTGGTATTTTGCCTTTTCTGAAGGGTAGAAGAGGGGAAAAAGTGACTGAGGGGACCAAATAAGAAAAAAAAGACAAAAAGACAGAAGAATTCGGGTTTTTAGTTGATTCCGAATACTCGATGCTTTTGAAACGTTTCCAAGTTTCCTTTACGGGAAAGGAATGCAAATGATCCAAAAGGGAGGAGGGATTTTTTTCCCCCTTCTTTTTTGTCCTGAGCTCAGTACCTGGGATTTTGCGGCATGTGCTGAAAAATTATATCTTCTGGGTGCAGAAATTTGCCTGAAAGGGTTATACGAAACTGAGAATGGGTCAAAACAAAACAAAACGGAAAAAACAAGACTTCTGGCCACAGGTAAGAATCATATAATTTACTGAGACATATCATTTTGGCATGTTTTGTTAAGGGTGAAAGCTAATTTGGAAGAGGCAGGAAGGGGCTCTTGAGGTTGGTGGGAATGAGCTGCCGTAATGGGGCCCGCAGAATCACCCTTGTGTCTGCTCCCAGCAGGACTGGCGGGGGAGGGGCAGGGAGTAGCTCTCTGTGGGTGTCGGGAACCCCAGGGCCAGTGAAGCCTGGGGCCAACCCCCAGCAGTCCCACAGCAGGGTTGGGTGACAACAATTTGCCTGAAAGTCATGGAGAAACAGGTTTTCAGTGACATAGAGACTAAGCCTAGAGGCAGAATTGTAAAACCTACCAAGTTTTATTACTTATTTACTTTTTTTCTTCTTTTTGAGATACGGTCTTGCTCTGTCACCCAGGCTGCAGTGTAAGTGGCATGATCATGGCTCACTGCAGCCTGGATCTCCTGGTTCAAGAGATCCCCCGACCTCAGCCTCCCAAGTAGCTGGGACTGTAGGCACCACCACTATGCCTGGCTAATTTTTAAATTTTTTGTAGAGATGGGGTTTTGCCTTGTTGCCCAGGCTGGTCTTGAACTCCTGGGCTCAAGCCATCCTCCCACCTCGGCCTCCCAACATGTTGGAATTACAGGCAAGAGCCACCGCGCTCAGCCCAAATTTTAAATTTAACCCCCGCCCCCAACATGTATTGGGCATTCTGTCTTTATGACTGGGCTATGTTTTTATGTGTGTTGCCTGCCTACCTTTAGAATTTTCTTCAGGACTTTTTTTTGTAAAAGCGAACAAAAGAAGAGACTCTTTTGCCTTCACAGAGCTGATAGGACTGTCAGCTGGTTAAGGCGGATGCTAGTCAGACAAGCACACACAAAAAACGGAAGTGGGAAGGGTTGGAGGATCAGGGCAGGGCCAGTGTGGTCTGGGGTTTCAGGGAAGGGGTCCTTGCCTGAGATCTGAAGGGTGAGCAAGAGCGAATGCATCTAGCAGGGCCAGTGGTGTTGGGGAAAATGGGATCTGGCTAAGGAGGCTGGGAGAGGCAGAGATGGACACACAGAGACAGCGAGATAAAGGCCGCCAGCAGGAGTGGGGGCTCGGGGGTGGGGTTGGGGGGATGCAGTGCTGCAAGGGGGATTGAATGTTCCCAGGTACAGCCCAGCAACGAAGAGGGGCTCAGGGCTTGGGGGACCTGCCCAAAGTCACAGAGTGGGTATGGTTGTTTCATGATCTCGTGGTGTCTCCCGGGCCGCAAGCCCCACAGCGCCAGGGCTGTGCCTACGCTGCGCACCCTGAATCCCCATGGACTCCCAGTCAGGGGCTTGCGTTCTGCTCCGTGGCCACTGCTGTACCTTTGCAAGGATGGGGAAGGCCTTGGGGATGGGGAGGCCATCACACAGGCACTTTGACTGCATCAAGCGAAATTCTTACTTAATCTGAAATGACTTCAGGTCTGAAAACTGTGTGCTTTGATCAAATATTTACTTTTCCGAAACAGAAACCAGAGCAGGTCTTGATTGTACCAGTCAGCTTGAACCAGTCAGCTACAATGACTTTTCGTAAGTCTATTTTTTTTTTTGAGATTTCGTTTTAGCCCAGGAGGAAATCTGCTATCTGCAAGAAAGTCCTGGCCTTCATAATGAGGCCTGAATTCTTTCCAGATCTTATGAGAAAGATTCCACTCTTCTGTGATTAATTCAGAGAGGTTACTAATTTCTCATACCATAGATCGTTTGCTTTGTGGGAGATGACTGTGCCTCAGCCAAGATCCACTTATTATTTTTTGAACAAGTTTTTTTTATTATCATGTTTACATAGCACTGAGGACACAAAACAACGCTGGAAGCTCAGCTGTCTGATTCATACGCTGTATTGCTGACTCTCACTTCTCCCTTCCCCTCTCTACTCTACCTCTCTGCAAAAGAAGGCTTTCCTTCCAGAGCTGGCAGCTGCCCCTGCTTCTTGACAGGATGAGCAAGACAGCGGTGGTTTAAGCAAGGTCTTCGCTGTGCTCCGGAGAGATGTGGGTATTCTGGGGGAACATGCCTTTGTTATAATATTTATTGAATGTTCACTTTTCCAGCTCTGAATACTGAAACTTAGTGAGATTTTTTTTTTCGAGCCATGCCCCATCAACACTTTTAGGTTGTCTCTAATGGAAAAGAGAAAAGAAAAAGATTCATTTTTGATGGACTGGGCATATCCAAGTTCAGTGTCTTGGGTGATAGGTCTATAAATAAATACTTGTTTGACCTATTTTACAGAGGTTGGAAATCTAGATTCTAGATCTGAGTGGAGTTATCAGAAACTAGGTCTGTTATCTAAAAAGCTAGAGGAAATTGACAAGGAGAAGGAGGGTCTGAAATGACCTTTTTTTTTTGAGACGGAGTGTCACTCTGTCCCCCCAGGCTGGAGTGCAGTGGTGCGATCTCAGCTCACTGCAACCTCCACCTCCTGAGTTCAAGCGATTCTCCTGCCTCGGCCTCCCGAGTAGCTGGGATTACAGGTGCCTGCCACCACGCCCGGCTAATTTTTGTATTTTTAGTAGAGATGGGGTTTCACCATGTTGGTCAGGCTGGTCTCAAACTGCTGATCTCAGGTGATCCACCCGCCTCGGCCTCCTAAAGTGCTGGGATTACAGGCATGAGCCACTGCGCCCAGCCTGAAATGACCATTTTTTAATTAGTTTCTTGTCTGGATCTCTCTCTCTTTGCCTCCTGGTGTCTTGGTGGGACCAGCGTTTTCATGGCCACATCAGGGTGGAGAAGGGCTCTCTCCCAGCCTCTCCAAAGCAGTTTTATTCAGACATTGCTGGTCTGCATGCAGCTTTAGCCAAGCCCCCCAACTCTTGAAAATGGGAAACTGCTTGATGAGTGAATGTGAAAGTACATGTCCCCATCCTCCATGAGGTGAGAGGTCTTCAGCTTGCGTTTAAGTCCAGCCCTGCCTCTTACTTGCAGTGTGATTTAGGGCCAGCCACTTCACTGTCAGAGCCTCGGGCTCCCTTCATCCTTTTTAAAAGTATTCGGCCACTGATTCCGGCTCGGCTGGGTCTTTATACACCAGGCCAAAGTCCTTACTGTTGAGCTGAGATCCTGTTTGCAGAAACGGGAGGGAGGAAAGAAAAAGAAATGAGGCTGCTGGTGGTGGTGGTTGCCGTTTGTTGAGCAGTTGGAGTTGGCAGGCACTATGGGCATATTTTTGTGGGGATTTTCCCGTCTAATCTCCACGCCTGTCCATGGGGTCGGTACTGCCGTTAATCTCCCTGCTACAGATCAGCGAAGGGAGGCACCGAAGTGCAAAGCAGTTTGCCCGAGGGCACACAGCCGGTAAGGGGTTGATACAAACCAGATGGCACGTGTGGATGTTCACCTGCCTCTGGGTTTTGGCTTTTCATCTTTCCTCCCCGCCATGTTTCTCTTTCCACAAGGGTATGTGCCCGTTCCTATGTGCCCAGCAGCTGTATGGGATGAGATCCTAGGCTGCCTCTGTCAAACGCTCTTTGGGCATTGGTGAACATTCATAAAACAGCATCCTCTGGGGTCACATTGTCCCTTTTGCTCTTGGACCTGGAGTTCCTTTGGTCTGTGCGTGTGTGTAAAGATGCATGCCCACTCCAGGGAATTCTGTGGTCTGCTTGGGGTTTTCCATTGCAGTGGCAGAGAAGACAAGGGAAAATGTCCTTCCCGGCTGCACTCCCAGGCCTGTCATTTGGAGTTGAATGGTAATAGAAGGGTTTTTTTTTTTTTTTTAATGATTTATAGTATGTCTGGAGGAAAGATGTTATTAATTCAAAGATAACTTGAGAAAGGAGGGGACACAGTGCAGCTTGGACAGAGCTTCCCACTGGTGCTTTGCGCAGTCTTTAGCCCACCTCTGCCTTGCCTTATGTGGTCCTATGGCCTCATTTCAATTCCCTATTTCACCTGATCTGACGAGGGAGGCAAGGAGTGCATGCATTTTCAACAGATAAAGAAACTGAGGCTCAGAGACGTGTCTTACTGGACGTGAACTCACGTCCTGGAGGCCTAGGCCCAGTCCGTTTTCTATTTGCCACACCATTTTTTGTGCAACATTTATTATTTTTTCTTTATTATCTTTGTAGTTACAAAAGTGATGCTTGCTCTATGTAAGTAAAATTGGAAGCAAGATGGAATGTGTAAACAGAAAGCATAGCCCCCCAAATGCTACCCACAATCAACAATGGGAAACTGTGTGGGGAGTGTATTAGTCCGTTTTCACGCTGCTGATAAAGACGTGCCCAAGACTGGGAAGAATAAGGGGTTTAATTAGACTTACAGTTCCACCTGGCTGGGGAGGACCCAGAATCATGGTGGGAGGCAAAAGGCACTTCTTACATGGCTGCGGCAAGAGAAAATGAGACAGAAGCAAAAGCGGAAACCCCCGATAAACCCATCAGATCTCGTGCTTATTTACTATCACGAGAATAGCACGGGAAAAACCGGCCCCCATGAGTCAATTACCTCCTCCTGGGTCCCTCCCACAACACGTGGGAATTCTGGGAGCTACAATTCAAGTTGAGATTTGGGTGGGCACACAGTCAAACCATATCAGGGAGTGAATGTGAATGTGCATGTCCCATCCTCCATGAAGTGAGAGGCAGTTTGGGCTTCAGCTTGTGTTTAAATCCAGTTCTGCCATTTACTTACAGTGTGATTTAGGGCAAGCCACGTCACCCCACCCAGAGCCACCGTTTTCTTATCTGCACAATGGGGCGATTACACCTACCTTTAGCGTTGTCTAAAAGTCAGAAAGAGATGAGAGGAAGCAGGTTCCCAGCTTGATGCCTGCCATAAAATGGCAGCTCATCCTGGTTCCTTTCCCTTTCTCCCTACACCAGTGCTTCTCAAACTTTCCTCTTCGTACTCAAAGGTGAAAGACAGTGAGAGCTCCCTGGGGTTTCCCAGGCTGGCCCCGACAGCTTGCAGCCAGCAAGGCAAGCTGGATCTCTGCAAATTTTGTGTCAGTTAGTATATACGTGGATATAACTTCATTTGAAAACAATGTTTTCAATGTTTGAAATTTCGAATATTTTAAACATGGAAGCTTCAGTTTGTCTTACAGCTTCATACAGCTCCTGGCTAACCTCTGCACACTGGAGGTAGAGGGGCTGGCACACCTCCACATGCCCACATGCCCCTGGGGGAAGCACACCTTTGCACACTCCTGGTGGGGTTGGCACACCTCCACATACCCCTGGGGGTCTGGCACAACTCCACACATCCCTGGGGGCCTGGCACACCTCCACACACCCCTGGGGGGCTGGCACACCTCCACACACCCCTGGTGGGGCTGGCACACCTCCACACACCCCTGGTGGGGCTGGCACACCTCCACACACCCCTGGGGGGCCTGGCACACCTTCGCACATTCGGGGGGGACACACCTTTGCACATTCCTGGAGGATCCTGGCACAACACGTTTCTGGGGGGGCAGACACACCTCTGCACACTCACTCCTGGGGGAGGTACACTTCTGCACACTCCTGGGGGCGGGGCTGGCACATCAAACACTCCTGGGGAAGACCAGCACACACGGGGGAGGGTTGGAACACCTGTGCACACACTGCATGGGTGCTGGCACACCTGTGCACACACTGAATGGGGGCTGGCACACCTGTGCATACACTGCATGGGGGCTGGCACACCTCTGCACACTCCTGAGGTCCCTACAGCCAAGCTGGGTTGGTACTGGAGCTGTTCTCCTCACCTCTTGGCAGGCTTAGTAAGGGCTGGGTCTGTCTGGGGGCAGAAAATGAATGTCAGCTGACTTCAGGTGACCCCCTGGAGAAACTCCACTCGCCTGGCTCTAAAACCCTCCAGAGGACCTCGCCATTTATTTGGGTTGCTTGGTCTTTCCATCAGAAAGAAATAAATTCCAATGAAGGGTTTTCAGGCCGTTCTTCTCATTGAAGGGTTAACCAGATTCTTATTTTGCTCATCTTTGGAAATAAAACAATGTTTAGAACTACCCGGATCAGCAAGGCCATCTGGTGGGGAGTGTGCAGCTGCTCCCCTTTCAGTCGCGCCGCCTGTAATGGATTCATTCTAGGGTGCATCGTGCATCTGCAGAATCATGATTTGCAGTTGGTTTTGAACGTGTGAGCTATGTGTCCATGCGAGACCTTTCTCCTCTGCCCGTCCTGAAGGACATCTGGGCCGGGCATCTTCCACTGTCCTGCAGCCTTTTCACTCTTCGTGAAGTCAGGTCAAAGTGGGCAAGGGGACTCTGGGGACCTGAGAGTGGACAGAGTCACCCTGCTCCTTCTGTCCTTAATCTGTAGTCTCTGTGCATTATACTCTGGGCTGCTGCTTTTCATTCATTTCTCTATCTGTGTCAAGGAAAAATTGTTGGACAGCAACTAGAATGTACCACTCATCTTTGTAGTCTAAATACACCACAGCCAGAATGACCCCTATTCTGAAAATGGGTCACTTTTTCCTGGTAATTGAGGTTTGATGTTGCAGGTGTTTGAGCCCCAAAAACGTGCAAAAAGAATAATTATAACATGTATTAAACATCCTGGGCTCCTGAGATCACTGCACCCATGGAACAATGCTGAGCCTTCCACATTGACTTTGAGATGAAGAGAATGAGGGTCTAAATGGTGAAGGGGTTTGCCTACTGTCATGTGGCTGGTTAAACCGTGTGGCCGGTGTTCAGCCTAGGCCTTGAGTCTCCAGTTCATCCCTAGGCCAGCTCGCTGTCCTGTATTCTGTAAGTCATTTGGGGGAGGAAGTGTATAGCATTACATTCTCTGGGCCACAGTTTCCCCACCTGTAAAATGTAAGTAGTAATTGTACTGTCCTCTTAGATTATGACATTTAAATAGAATAATCCATATCAACCCCAGCCTGGTGTCTGGACACAAGGAAGCCCTCAACACATGTTAGCTGGTGTCACTGTTGTTGTGACTCAGCAATAAGAACTCTGTTCTGGATATTTGCTGGATATTTGCCATGCTTTCTGGAGCTTGTTCCCTGACTCTTTAATTTAAAAGTATTTATTGAGCACTTACTCTGTGCTATTCAGGATTGAGCACTACTGACCCTGGCCTTTTATGAATCTTGTAGTCCAGCCTCGCCTCCTTACAAGGGAGACGGGTGGCCGGTGGGCTGAGTGATGGCTGACCGTGCTCCACTGTGAGCCTTGAGTTCTGAGCAGGTTCCCCTACAGCTGCCAATAACAGCTTCGTTCGCCTGCTGCAGGAGAAAGGTCACAGGCTTTGCAGCCACACAGACCAGCGGTTGGATTTTGGCCCCACCACTGGTGAGTCCTGTGACTCAGGGTTATGTGTTTAACCCTGCTGTGCCTCAGTTTCCCATACATGACTCGGGGAATCTCAGTGCTGACCTCAGAGAGTGCCTTCAAGAAGGGACCTAGCATGATCCTCTGCAAGTGGCAGACACTGGACTATCAGGCATTTCCTTCTTCTTTTGCCGCCAACCCTAAACTGACTCCGTGTGCTGCTGAAATGCTTTGCAGCTATATGACTGTCCTCGCTTTGTTCCCTAGAGCCATTTTGGTAGACGCGCTTCTCGGCACACCCTGTAAGCTCCTCTTGAGTGGCCTCTGCCTTATTGGAAAACCGGAGTCAGTAGATATACAAGCATGAGAAAATCTAGTCCCTACACTGGTGTGATTTACTACTGGAAATAATAAAATGAGCACTCTGAAATAGTTTTTCTCTCCACTTGGTTTCAGAAAAAATTATTGATTGTGTCACAAAGACCTTTAGAGTCTTTTGTGCACATTGAAATCATTGGGGGGGAGAACTGCAGCATGAACATATTTGAAGTCTCTGGTCCACCCTGCCCCTTCGCTGAGAAAACCTGATTATTTTGTGCATTTCAGAGAGACTGGGACATCTGCTGTGTTTGGCCCATATCTCGGGTGGTTGCACAAGGGAGGTGGAGCTGATTACCCTATTAGAGAGCAAGCTATCACAGAATAGGAAAAAGACCCCATTCTCCCTCCTGCCTGCCACGGCCAGAGGCCCTGGTTCACTGAATCACTGCTGTTGTTACCACGCTTGTTTGGCTTCCTGGAGCAGAGCTAGTTCTTCTGCAGATTCTCTGGGGCTGGGTGGGCTTCACGGCTGTCCTTGAAATGGGATATACAGTCCCGAATGTGGGCATTTTTCTGGAGCCTCTGGAGTCTTTGTTCTGGCGTTAGATGGGATGTTCCCAGAGGACCCAGGCTGTTCATTTATTTGTCTGTACGAACGGACACGCTGCAGCCCAGGCCTGTACGACTGGACACGCTGCGGTCTTTGTCTTTGGAGCCCCAGCAAATGCAAGCCCTGCACATAGTAGGTGTTTAAATAAAGAGGTGCAAAAGTGCGTGGGCCACTAATCTGGAGAAAACCCTGTGTCTCTTTTGGATTAATTATCTGGCTAATAAAGCAAGCGCTGCGCCGGCTAGTCAACGCTCACTGCAAAATCACTGGCCTCTGAGCAGCCCTGAAAGACATAACAGATGAAGATAATGAGTTTGTATTAAGGAGAAATTAACTTCAGATCATACACCCATGAGTGTTATGGCCAAAAGGGGTAGTCCCAAATCCATATCTTATATACGGAGAAACAGAGGCCCTGAGAGATGAAGTGATGCTCAGGGTGACCAGCCAGGTTAGTGATCAGGACACCAAGTAGCTCCCTGCCTTGCTGGGAAGGTCCCTCCTTTGCTGCTCTGAAGTTTTAAAATGCAAATTATCATGGAAGCCACCACCTGGGCCGCAGCGTGTCCGGTCATACAGGCAGGCCTGGGTCAAAGTGTGTCCGGTCGTACAGGCCTGGGCCTCAGAGTGTCCGGTCGTACGGGCCCAGGCTGCAATGTGTCCGGTCGTACAGGCCTGGGCCGCAGAGTGTCCGGTCGTACAGGCAGGGCTGGGTCAAAGTGTGTCCGGTCGTATAGGCCTGGGCCGTGGAGTGTCCGGTTGTACGGGCCTGGGCCGCGGAGTGTCCGGTCGTACGGGCCTGGGCCGCAGCGTGTCCAACTGCACACAGCCCAGGCTTCTTTGATGTGCGGGGACAAAATAGGAGTTGGGGGCTGCGCACCGGGGCCTGCCTCCTGTGCATGGGGCCAGTTCCATTCCTGTCCATTGTCTCAGCTGCAAAGGTAACTGACAAGGGACAGCCCCGCCTCTCCTTCCTCCCCTGCCCCTGCCCG
The DNA here is from genome assembly GCF_000001405.40 of Homo sapiens. Classification (NCBI taxonomy): domain Eukaryota; kingdom Metazoa; phylum Chordata; class Mammalia; order Primates; family Hominidae; genus Homo; species Homo sapiens. Next base: position 124,056,571 of record NC_000010.11, on the reverse strand, counting down.
CCTTTCTTTCTGTCCTTCCTTCCCCTGTCCCCACACTTGGCACCAGGCCAGCCTCTACACATCTCCGTTCCCCCATCCCTTGTCTCTGTCCTGGAGCTGTACCTGTCTCCTAGCACACTTTCCTGGCTGCAGGAGACAAGCCTGAGTGATGAATAGAGTCTGAATTGAGACAGGTTAAGACTCAATGCCCCAGGCCGACAGGGCATTCAAAGGAGATTGAAGGAGGTAGGGGAGTTTCATCCCATCAGCTGCCTCCTGGGATGCTTCCCTCACCTTCCTGTCCTGTGTCTCTGGGTGAGACTGCAAATCTGTATTCTCGGAAGGGATTCCTCAAAAGATTGGAAGGGGGAAGGGCACCAAGGGCCTGGAGAAGCCGCTGGACTGTCTGAGGCCAGGCCTGGGTGGTGGGGTAGAGGTTAGGATGGGCTCCCTCTTGAGGGATGGTGGAAGACTGAGTGTCAGGCTCCTGAGGCCTCTTGACCCATCTTTCTATAATGGGCTGCATGTCCTTGGGGAAGTACAGACCACACTGGCCTTGGTTTCTCCTCTATAAAAGGCAGGCTGGATGCAGGTACCCGCAGGTTTGTACTGGCAAGCTGATGATTTGCTGGAGCCCACCTGGGTTTTGCCCTGGGTCTGAGTGTACCCACCATCATTGTTGAGGGGTTCCGGGTGTTTCTTACTGTGAATGACTGCAGTAGAATCCTCAGGGATCCCAGGAGCTTCACTGTCTTGCATTTCCCATCTGTACAGCAGTGGCTGGTTTACCCTGGATCTTTGGGGATGGGTGCGTTTCTGGAAAGTTGGCCCTTGTTGTTGAGCACTGAAACAAGTTCTGGATGAGCATGGTCATTTGGAGGGGGGTGAGCTTTTCCAGAATTTTCCCCACAGCTGCGCCAGGCTCGCCAGAGCTACGGGCCCTGGTGACAGGGGTGCCCGAATGATCCTGGCCAGCTCAGCTTTTTAGTACCTTGTTCTACTGTAGAACTTGGGTGTTACTTCCTGCATCTGTGTGGCCACCTGCCTTTTCCAGGGCATCCCCTCAGATAAGTGGCAGACAGGAAAATTGGACACCGGTGTCTGGAATTATAATATATGCACACTGAAAGCAAGTAACCCTGGAGTGAGGACCCAAGGGTCTCTCCAGTAATAATGCAAGGAATCCGGGTCATTTACCGAGAGGCAGGGGAGCCAGAGATCACCTCCAACCCCCTCCTTGTGAGCTCTTACGTGGGCTCCTGAACTGCATCTAGAAGCCAACTTGACACCAGGCAGACAAACAAAAGGGAAGCAAACACACTTTGTTAGTTTTACCTGGACCTAGGAATCTTCACGAGAGAGTGAAGTTTGAAGGAGTGGCCAAAGCAAGATGTTTTTAGACCTTTTAGACAAAGAACAATCCATTTCAGAAGAGACAGAACAGAAGGGACCTGGTGGAGTAATATACATTTCTAGGGGAGTCTCTGGGAGATCTATGGGATGTGTAACGGCAGTGGAAGAGAAGGGTTACTTTGTGAAGTGTATTTATCCTGGGTCATTGCAGCCCCAAGTTCCCAGGCTGTGCTGAGGAGGGCCATTTTCTTGGCCTGGCAGGGGAAGGGTACTCCTCCCAGAGGAGTCTATGGCTTGGAGTATGCAGGAAGAGACAGGTCAGCTGGCCCTTTCTGAAACTATAATTTCTCCAATGTTTTCGACTCAAAATAATCAACATATCAATTTGGCATGTTTTGGGATGGCTCATCCTTCCACGGTGTGCGGGGTACTAGACTCTGGGTTAAGCATTTTGTGTATGTGACCTCATTTCTTCCTCACATCCACAGTAGGAGACTGAGATCATTTTATTCCCATTTTACAGATGAGGAAACCTAGTCACAGAATGGTTAAATTCGTTGCCTGAGATCATAGAGCAGTTACAGACTTGATTCGGGTTGAAATGCAGGTCTGCCCAACTCCCAAGCCTGGCATAATGTCTTATTTTCGACTGCTTGGAAACCATTTTTCCTACATCCCATCTTTCTACCAAGTTGAGAATCAGTGAGCTCAGGACGCAGGGGAGGCGCTGGCTGCATATTGTAGAGATCTGATCTTGGGGAAATGCCTGTTTATTATGGATATGGCTTATGGACTAAAACAATAGCATTGAATGTACGTTGTATGCATGTAAGGTAGTTGTGATTAACCAAAACCAATGTTGATGACGAACTTAACAGAGAGTCAAGTGTGCTTTAAAAATAAGCTTAAAAAACTGCCTGGGTTTTGTATGCACAGATTTTGGGCCAGCCAGGAAGATCCCTCAGGTTGTGGTTTGAGAATACCTGTTTTAGACAAAGCACGGGTGATGTGTCCCAGTCATCAGGAAGGATGAAATCTGGCAAGGAAACCGTAAGGATCAGATTACAGGAAGGGCTTGCTCAGGGAGAGGAAGGAAGCAAGGAAGAAATTAGTAACTGAAAAGAGGCAAGGAGGAAGGCCTCTTCATCAGGAGGTGGGGGAGTGTGGGGCAGTGGATAACTAAAACAAAACAGCTGTGGTTGTCATAAACACATTTTGTCAGAAAATAACCTGGTGTGTTATTTTCTGATGTTTCAGCCATTGTGTCTTGATTCAGGAACAGCTCCCTTCCGAGTTTCTTTTTGTTTGTTTGTTGGTTTTTGAGAGAGGGTCTCACTCTGTTGCACAGGCTGGAGTGCAGTGGTGTGATCACAACTCACCGTAGCCTCAACCTCCCCAGGCTCAAGCAATCCTCCCACCTCAGCCTTCCAAGTAGCTGGGACTACAGGTGTGCACCACCACACCCAGCTAATTTTTGTATTTTTTGTGGAGACAGGGTTTTGCCATGTTGCCCAAGCTGGTCTAGATGACCCTGGGCTTGAGTCATCCGCCTGCCTAGTGCTGGGATGACAGGTGTGAGCCACTGCGCCCAGCCTCCCCTCTGAGTTTCCATCATTACATTGGCCTATCGGCTGCTGGTGGTAGCCAACCTCTGGGAGGCAGAGGTTGCAGTGAGTAGAGATCACACCACTGCGCTCCAGCCTGAGCAACAGAGTGAGACTCTGTCTTGAAAAAAAAAAAAGAAAAGAAAAATCAACCCTTTATTATGTCTCTGGTGTCTTTAGGAATTGGCTGGGATCCAGCGGGTATTGGCTGCTCTGGGTGGGCTCAGCCAGGTGGCCCTGCTCCACCTGTCTCCCCCTCCTCCTGGCCAAGCAAGTGTGCAAGAGGACAAATGAGTACACAGGACATGTCTTAGGGCCTGGCACGTGCCAGCTTTAAGCCCACTTCTGCCTCATTCTGCTGGCCAAAGTGAGCCACCCAACTCAAACCGAAGGGTGGAGAAATACGTCACTCCTGTAGCTGAAGGCCCTCCAAAGTGGCAAAGAATGTGAACATGGGAAGAAGAAAAAATTGAGACCAATAATGCAATCTATGGTAAAGAGTAATAAATGACTATCAAATTCCCATTGTGGGCCAGGACTGTGCATCTGTAATACCAGCTAACATTTATTGAGCACTGACTATGGGCCAGAGACTCTTTTTTTTTGGCAGACTCTTGATCTGTTGCCCAAGCTGGAGTGCAGTGGTGCCATCTTGGCTCACTGCAACCTCTGCCTCCTGGATTCAAATGATTCTCCTGTCTCAGCCTCCTGAGTAGTGTGGATTACAGGTGTGCGCCACCAATCCTGACAAATTTTTTATTTTTAGTAGAGATTGGGTTTCATCATGTTGGTCAGGCTGGTGTCGAACTCCTGACCTTGTGATTTGCCCGCCTCAGACTCCCAAAGTGCTAGGATTACAGGCATGAGCCACCGCGCCCGGCCGGGCTAGACACTCTTTTAAGCACCTTACATGAATGAGTTCACTGAATGCTTACAGCACTGCCATGATACAGGTCCTGTGATTATTCCTAAGTCGTATCCAAAGAAATGGGGAGAAGAGACGTTTAATATCTTGTTCAAGATCAAACCTGGGCAACCTGGCTCCAGCACTCGGGCTCTTAACTCCAGTGCTGTACGTGATCTGTTGCTAGCGGGGACTTCTTTTGAAAAATACAGAGGCCCAGAAACCTTAAGTGATTTGTCCAAGGCCGCTGGGTGGACATGGACTTGGAATCCTAATCCATGTGACTGCTGTGTCCTCTCCGCTGTGCTATGGGCCAGTGAATGTTGACGGAGTGGTGTGGCTTTATTCTGCTTATTGACTGGGATGTGATCAAAACTGTCGAAGTCCAGATAGAAGACTGAATCTGATGATTTATAATTTGTACAGAACTCTTCAGTCTTGTTGGCTTTCTTCTCAGTCTCAGCAACAACCTTCTATCTTAGAGCTACATGTGAAAAATGTTCCTTCTCCTACTTGTTGATGAATAGTCCTTGAAAAAATATATTTCCATATATATAGCCTAGAGAGGAATGTCAGCAGTTACACATACTAATCAGAAGAAGGCTTTGTGTTTTAGTAAAGGTTAATTAAGACCCATTGAATTTTTTTTCCTTAAAACATAAAAGAAAAATAATGTAATTAGCTATTTTTTTCCCTCTCTGTCCCCAGAGGGCAAATGTAAATGTTCTACCTAAATGAAGCTATTTGTTTAAATCCATCCAGATTTCTTCTGAAGTTTCATACATCTTTCTTCTGCTATATCAGCTTATAGCTACAATAATTTAATAAGTTTTTCCTAGGGTGAAATTGGATGCCCTTTATCGATCTTACACTGAGGGGGCATTCAATTACTTAATCTAAAGTGGTATTTCTGGGTCTCTCAATTACAATTTTGTTATAAATGGCTTGCTAATGATGCTTGGGTGCATAGGTTAATAGGGGGTGTCCAAGCAAGGGCTGGGTAATTGAACACTTTCTATTTTGGGACCCGTTATCTGATTTCTCTCCTGGTGCCAGGTTCCCACAGTGATGGTCTGCAGCCATCAGGCTCAGAATTGAGCCCAGGTGGGAAGCAATCTCACTGAAATGTATACCTGAATCCTTTGGTTTAATACATGAACGGAAGTGCCAAGGGCCCCGTCTTGTCTGAGTCGACCGGCACCAAATGTGGACATTCCAGACAGGTGAAGTGCAGGGGGCATACATGACTCCTTTCTGAAGGAAGAACCACTTGAGTGTTAGGTTTCTGAATGACTGTTCTTGGGATAATTTGTGGCCTACGGAAAAGGCCAGATACAGAACGTAACAGCAATCCATTTTCCTTTCAATACCACCCCATTAATTGGATTTTTCTTCCCTGAGTTATGTTCTTTAATAGTTATACATAGTAAACTATTCTATACATATTTTACTATGTATATTTACTATACATAGTAAAAATTCTTTTGAGGCCAGGCGTGGTGCCTCATGCCTGTAATCCCAGCACTTTGGGAGGCCAAGGCGGGCTGGATCACTTGAGGCCAAGAGTTCGAGACTAGCCTGGCCAACATGGTGAAACTCCGTCTCTATTAAAAATGCAAAAATTAGCCGGGCGCAGTGATGCATGCCTGTAATCTCAGTACTCGGGAGGCTGAGACAGGAGAATCGCTTGAACCCAGGAGGCGGAGGTTGCAGTGAGCCAAGATCGTGCTGCTACACTCCAGCCTGGGCCACAGAGTGAGATTCCATCTCAAAACAAAAAAAAGAATATGTAGTATGCCTTCCTTCTTGCACTCGAGCAAATCCCACCCCTGACTTTGGCCTTCAAGACTCTACAGAGCCTGGTCCCTGCCTCCTCTCCCATCAGGTTTCCACCCCCACCAGCCTGTGCCCCAGGGCCTACCCTGCCAGTAGCCCTCATGGGCTGGGACTCCCCACAGCGTCTCTCTACGGGGCCTTTGCTTCCCCTGGTCTCCACGTGACTGGCTTCCTTCTTGTTCAGGTTTCTCCTCCAACGTCCCCTCTGAAATCAGGTCTTCCCTGTCACCCTGTGTATCATACCTCCCACTTCTTTAAGGCAGTAGCTCCAACCCAGGGGTGATTATGCACCCCAGGGGGCACTGACAATGCCTGGAGACATTTTTGGTTGTGACATGTCAGGGGAAGGGGTGCTATGGCATCCAGTGGGTGGGGGCCAGGGTGCTGCTAAGCATCCTACTGTGCGCGGGACAGCCCTGACAACAAAGCATGGGCCAGCCCTAGGACGGCACAAAGAATTCCAAAACCCTGTTCCAATGGTTGTATTGCTCTCTCCCCCTTTTCTTTATTCTTTTCTGCATAGCCTTTATCTAGCAGCATCTGTGATTATCTTATTCATTTGGGACTTCTTTATAGCTTGTGCCCTGCAGCCCCTACCCCTGGTGGGACAGAAGCTCCACTTGGGAACAGGCCTCCTCTCTGGGTCAGCCCTGCACCACTCGCGCCCGTCAGGGGAGGTCTTGTCTGGAAGCCGCCGGGCTCTAGGGCCTTCACTTACAAGGGACTCACCTGGTCTTCAGATTGCTTGTCCATCTTACTGAGTATTTGACATACTATACAGTGGCTATCGATTTTGGTAAAAACTTGTAAATGTAAGACAGTTTTATGTTTTTTTCTCAGAGAGGCCCCCACCCCCACGCCCACCGCAGCCCAGGGGTATTTTCCAACACCAGCAAATCCTCCAACTCCAGAACCTAACTGATTATCTTACCATTCAATTCAAGTCTGCCCCTACCAGAGGCAGCCTCAGACTCTACCGGTTTGAGGGCTCGGTCTCACCAGACTGCCCCACTTCAGATGCCAGTCCCAAGTATTGGGTCCCCAGGTTACCCGCACATCTGTCCAAATTGGCTAAAAAGGCAAGAGTGTCCCACAACCTCCTCAGGTTCAGTAATTCACTAGAATGACTCACAGAACTCAGGAGAGTGCTTGACTCATCATCAGTCTATTATAGCATAGAATGCAGAAACAGCCAGCAGATGAGACGCATGGGGCGAGGTATGGTGGAGGAGGGTGTGTGGAGCTTCCATGCCCTCTTCCTCCACTCCACCCTCCCAGCACCTCGAAGGATCCACCAACCTGGAAGCTGCCTGAGCCCTGTGGTTTAAGGGTTTTGATGGCGGTTCCATTACAAAGGCCTGATTGGTTAAATCATCAGCCACTGGTGATTGACTTAATCTGCAGCCCTTATTCCCTACCCGGAGTTTGGGGGGTTTGTTGAAAGCTGCTCACTGAGGCTTGGTCTTTCTGGTGACCAGCCTCCATCCTGGAGCTATCCTGGCCCGCAAAGTGTCACCGCATCAGGATACACTCAGGTATGGCTGAAAGGGGCTTGTCATGAATGACGAAAGGTGCTTCTCTCACCCCATCATTCAGAAAAATTCCAAGGATTTTAGCACCTGTGTACCAGTACCCGAGGATAGAGACCAAATACTCATCTCTTATTTCCACATCACATCCCTCATCTTGTATTGGCTTTTGGTCTCCCCCTACCTGGACATGCGCAACACTCAGCTGTTCTTCAAAAGGTATTTGTTGAACAAATGAATGAATGAATGAAAGAATGCTAGGAGCTGAGAAAACACTGTATCTGAGTGTTTTGCTAAGGCTCTTGCAGCATCTCGAATTGCCTCCTCAGGTCTTTCTGTTTAGGAAGCGGGACTCGCAGAGGCCGGGCTGGTTGGTGGGGGCAGCTGCCCCGCAGACATGCTCTGTGGACCCGGTCCGGGCACCCCATCTTCCCTCCTCTCTGTTGAGACTGTCGGCTGCTCATGTTTTTACTTTGCTTGAAATGAGCTGCCCCTGCCCTTGTTTAGGAATGTTTTGCCCATTCGTTTGGGTCCAGATTATGTACATTCCTATCTTGGAGCTTCAAAGTCCGTGTTTTGTTTGCTTTTTAAAGAATCTAATTCGATTTTCTGCAGCAGAAAGACAGGAGGGTGCGAATTCCCTCCCCGCTGAGCTGCTGGTTGGAGTCTCATTTTTAACCCCGGCTTGGCCCTGTCTTGGACATGTGAAAAAATGTTTTCTTGGCTTTAATGATGGAGTTTCCAAGTAGGGGATCTTGCCCTTTTGTTTCTTTAGTTTGGAAGAATTGTTTGTAGCAAGCGATGGGTCAGGGGTGGTTGAGCAAGTTTGAAGCAGAGGTTGATCCTTGAGGTTTCTGACATGTCCCTCCAGCTGCCCTCAGGGATAAGAGATGGGGGTAGGGCCTGAGATGTCTGGCCTGGCTTCCCAGAACTGGCCCCTTCTGCATCCCCGCCCCAGCGCCTCTGCAGGACTCAGGTCTCAGCCTCTACTGACCAGCCTTTCTCAAACTGGCTCCTTGATACCCTAGTGAGATTCCTTGGCCAATTAGGTACTTCCAACTTTGTGTATTATATTCCTCTCTTGTGGATTCACAGGGCTTATTAGCATATCAAAGGCCCTGAAAAGTTCAGCTGTAAAGAATTCTGTGTAATTTTGTCCATTCCACATTTTCTCCAAATAATTTAAGCACAGAACACTCACCAACGGCAAGCAGAACATTTTGTGGGAGGAAGACATTTTGGGAAACACAGCTTGGCTGTTTCTTGGCCACCATATTTTGAGAAAACATGAAGTTTTCAGTCCAAGGGGCATGAACATTTCTTCTGTTGAGTTCTGATTGTTTAATCCTTCAGCCAGTACATGGCGATCTTGATGCGCGGTTAGTTAATGCTGCCTCTATGGAGACAGTGAGGGTTGTTTGAGGGGTGGCGTGGGTAGAGTTGGAGATGAGTCTACCACTCTTGGGTAATTTTCAATTGCTAAAGAATAATCATGTGGTATAGGATCTCTCATCTTTGATTCCATTTCAAATGTTTTTGGCATTCACTGACAATGAAAAATCATCATCATAATAGTTGATGATGCTATTATTATCAATGCTGTCTACCTTTTATGGTATGCTAAATATGTGGCAGGCATTATTCAAACTGTTTACATGTAGTAGCTAATTTAGCACCTGTTAAGGTGTCCTTATTATCCTAATTTTACTATTGAGGAAACCAAAGCTCAGAGAGGTTATGTGGCTTGCTCAGGGTCACACAGCCAATTAGTGGTGATCTACCACTGCTAGAAACTGAGTAGGTCTCCTTTTATGCTTATCCATGGCTCTTTCTACGACATCTACAAAGAAGTGTCATTTGGGCAACAATATATTTTATAACCACAGGATTCTATTAATGGGTTTTTAAGAATCATATCTTGCTCGAGATGATGAAAGTGAAAAATTATGTCAGGTTCTGAAGCTCTGTGTCACTCGAGGGAATCCTATACATTGGATTTAATTGCTTAATAACTTAAAGTCAAGTAGTTTTTTAATATGATACATTCTACTGAAGGAGAGACTCATTTCATTGTTTCTAAATTTTCATTAACTTTTGCTTCCTAATCTGATAATAAAGGTTAACTCTAAGAAAGAGACTGCTGATGCCAGTGAGAGGGAAAAAACACATTTTCTCTGCCTGCTCCCTTTCTAACCATCCTCCTTAGTATTCTTGAGATTTTTCATTGACTGAAAAGCACTGATATTTCAATCCATCCCTCAAATTTGTAGTCATTGACTGTGCATGACTCTGAGAATGATCACAACATCCTGGGATTCAGAGATCCTGTACCTGAGAAGTATCAAGGCAGAGGGATTAGGGGAGATGTAGACTATGCACAATGTGAGACGTTTGATGTGGCGCTGGTGGTGCTGGGATTGGGGCCATGTTTGGTGGCAGAAATTGAGCCCCAAAGCCAGCTGCAAGAACCTGAAACCTCTTCCTTTATGCTCGCGATTTTCTATGACTTGCTTAGAACCAGGCTGGCTTGGCTGGACTTAGAGGTGGAAAAGAGAGTGAGCATCTGTCTCTCCTTGGAGGATGAGCTTTGGGTTATTGCTATTACCACACAATGTAATAAAGCTTCTTGTCTTTCTGTGTAGGAAATCTGGCATTTTTTAAAGTTTGCGCCCCACAAAGAGGAAATATTCCAAAGGTACTCAGGATGTAAAAGGGGAGATCTTCACAGATGCCTCCGTGGATGGCATGGCAATCCATCCATCAATGAGAAGACCATGATTTCTTTTAATTTTCTGTGTGTTTCCACATTCCCCAGTGAGAATTCTTCCACCTTTTTTTGTGCCATGGGAAAAACCTGAAGGGCAGGCAGAGCTGCTCCCGAACTTGTGACCTTCTCTGAGGTTGCAGCGGCTCTTGTAGAACATGACTCTGGGACATCACTTCCTTTTGTTTTCTTTCGGAGCTGAACCAAAGAATGTGCACCCTCTTTCTCTAGTGCTGTGGTGTCTGCTTATTTTTGTATTTGTGCTTTCCATCCATCTTCTGTGATCACAAGGCATTCTTAAGGTTTTCTAGCACGACTTGCGGACATCCAGACTCGTGGGGGGCCCACCCATGGCTCGGTAAGCCAGCAGCCCAGGGCACTGGCACTACCATGAGGCACTGCATTAATTGCTGCATACAGCTGTTACCCGACGGCGCACACAAGCAGCAGGTCAACTGCCAAGGGGGCCCCCATCACGGTCACCAGGCGTGCCCCACGTGCAAAGGAGAAAACAAAATTCTGTTTCGTGTGGACAGTAAGCAGATGAACTTGCTTGCTGTTCTCGAAGTGAGGACTGAAGGGAACGAAAACTGGGGTGGGTTTTTGCGCTTCAAAAAGGGGAAGCGATGTAGCCTCGTTTTTGGACTGATAATAATGACCTTGGTAATGGCTTCTTACATCCTTTCTGGGGCCCACCAAGAGCTTCTGATCTCATCACCTTTCCATTACGGAGGCTTCCCCAGCAACCCCAGCTTGATGGACAGCGAAAACCCAAGTGACACAAAGGAGCATCACCACCAATCCTCTGTAAATAATATTTCATACATGAAGGACTATCCAAGCATTAAATTAATTATCAACAGCATCACAACTAGGATTGAGTTCACGACCAGACAGCTCCCAGACTTAGAAGACCTTAAGAAGCAGGAGTTGCATGTGAGTAGCTTTGTGCTAATCTTGACTGATTGGTTGATTTTTAGAAATGAGTGCTTTTCTTTCTATCACCATCTTTGGGAACACAGAAGGAAAATGACTAAAAAATGTCTTAGATGTAGCAAGGATCATTTGACAGCCTTATGGATTTGAATGCACTGAGAGAGTGCTGTTTGCTTACGCTATGGAGTGCCAGGAAGGGAATCTGCTGTCCTGAACGCTGGGCTAGGCATGTTCAAGGGCCGCTGGCTCTCATTATTGCATTCCAGGACTTCTTGCTTGATATGTGGTCGTGGTAGTTAACAGTTGCTTTTGCAGATCACCATCATTTGGGATTTTAAAGTTGCGTTAAATTTGATTTTCTGCTTCTATTCTACATTTTAATCTCTAACGGCAATTTAAATATACAACTAGTAAAAAGATTCTGCTTAATTACCGTGTGTGCGTGTGTGTTGTGTAAGTGTCAGAAAGGTAAATTATGGTAGAATGGATTTTAATTAAACTTTTATCTTTATTCTCTCCAAGTTTTTTTTTTTTTTTTTTTTTTTTTTTTTTTTGTGGGGCGGCGGGGGAGAGGAAAGCACAGTCATTGACCGTCTACCAAGTTTTGCTTTATTTGTTAATCATTGTCAAATATTAGTTCAAATTTGAACACGGTCGTCAGTCTCAGGGCAGGTTCCCATTGCGGTTAGATTGTGTCTTTGCTCATTTTCCCCTCCTCTGTGTCTCTCCTCCTCTGTTTCCTTGCAGATGTTTTCAGTCATCCCCAACAAATTCCTTCCAAACAGTAAGAGCCCCTGTTGGTACGAGGAGTTCTCGGGGCAGAACACCACCGACCCCTACCTCACCAACTCCTACGTGCTCTACTCCAAGCGCTTCCGCTCCACCTTCGACGCCCTGCGCAAGGCCTTCTGGGGCCACCTGGCGCACGCGCACGGGAAGCACTTCCGCCTGCGCTGCCTGCCGCACTTCTACATCATAGGGCAGCCCAAGTGCGGGACCACAGACCTCTATGACCGCCTGCGGCTGCACCCTGAGGTCAAGTTCTCCGCCATCAAGGAGCCACACTGGTGGACCCGGAAGCGCTTTGGTGAGTGCTGGGTCCCAGGGCTCCTGTCTGGTCTCGTTCCTTCATTCGTTCATTCCTCCCGCAACGTTAGCGCTGGGGTTGGGGGGCGAGGGCGGCAGAAAGAGATGGCACAATTCCCTTGTTAGGAGGCTGTTCCCAGGCAAAGACCCAGCAGGGTCTGGAACTCGGTTCCCAGCCATGCAGTGAGCATTGATTGCCAGCTGTGTGCAGGACACGGGGACGAGTCAGAACTGGCAGCTCTTCTTGTTCCGAAAGCCCGGGCACATGACCCGAGCAGTCAGCAGTAAGTGCCAGTGGCCAGTAAGGGCCAGCAAGAAGGGCGTGATCCGGGCTCTTGGCTCCCAGCTCTGTGCTATTCCCTGCTCTGTGCCGCTCCCAGCTCTGTGCCGCTCCCAAGCTCTGTGCCGCTCCCAAGCTCTGTGCCGTTTCCTGCTCTGTGCCGGTCCTCTGCTCTGTGCCGTTCCTCTGCTCTGTGCCGTTCCCTGCTCTGTGCCGCTCCCTGCTCTGTGTTGTTCCCCTGCTCTGTGCTGTTCCTTGGCTCTGTGCTGCTCCCTGCTCTGTGCTGCTCCCTGCTCTGTGCTGTTCCTCTGCTCTGTGCTGCTCCCTGCTCTGTGCTGCTCCCTGCTCTGTGCTGTTCCCCTGCTCTGTGCTGTTCCCCTGCTCTGTGCTGTTCCCCTGCTCTGTGCTGTTCCTCTGCTCTGTGCTGTTCTCAGCTATGTGCTGTTCCAGCTGCAGTCACTGCACCTGGGGGAGACTGAGTTGCTTCAGGCCTCAGCTTCTCTGACCTGCCCCATCTGCCTTATGGGTTCCATATGATAACCACATGGAGATCATTCTGGAGGCCTTGCTCTCAGCCCTTTGCCGCAGGCTTACCATGACCACTGCCCATCCCTCTCTGCTCCAGCTTAACCCCATGCACCCTGCGGTCCTCAGATCACTGTTTCCTCTCTGTAACCTTTTCCTTGTGCCAGGAGAGGTTTGGTCACTGGAGCTGAGGGGTGATACGTGCCTATTGTCAACCAGAGTCCTGGCAGGCCACGAGGGTGTTTTCCAGTAATGGACTCAGGTTGACTAGAAGGGAATCTTCAAAGTTTTCCCTAGACCAACTCTTAATGTGTTTCCTGACAAACGTTTGCTTTCATCCTTTTGATGTTCGTCCTACAGTGAGCTAAAGTGTAAATGTTTCTTTTGTGGTTTAGCAGCCGCCACTGTAGGAGCCAGGGTTTCACATCCCTATGCATTTGCTGGACGTGTCTGAACACACTCCCTTGCTGTAGGGTGCTCCCCCGAGGCTCACAGTGATTTCCCCTTAATGAAAACCAGCTTTCTACCGGCAGGAAAGGAGGAAGAACAGAGGCGGGCCTCTGGAATCTAGTCTTCAATGTCACCTTGAACCTCTTGTTACTTTGGCCACGGATGTTCTCTTTCCAATTTCCATTGACTTCAGGAGTTGTGGTGTTGGGAAGTGGATTTTTAAATGTTTGCAAGTGAAATTTATTTATTTTTCAGGCAGGGGGTGAATTTAAGCTGTATGTGGCCGATGCCAGAATCCATGTCTGTCTAGAGTATGATCAGTTCCCCTTACTGTTTGGACAAAGGGCAGGGTATTTGATTGAACAGGGGGAGGAGAGAGAACATCAGGCAGGTGCTGGCTGGGCCCCATGAGGAAGGCATCATGGAGTTTATAGGATACTGCCCTTCTCTCTCCTGTGGGCAGCCCTCGGTCCTCTCTCCCTGTTTGACACAACACATGCATCCTGGGTGTCATCGCTGCCCAGCCACTTACGAGTCCCACCTGTGCACAAGTTAACCAGCCCCAGACTTTGTCCCTCCAAGCAGACATGTTTCTAGCTCTTGAGTAGGTGTTCCAGCCTTTAATCTGCCACTGTCTAGCTTAGTGGTGGTATCTTCCAGCCCTTGAAGCATGCATGGATTGAAGTGGGTAGCCAGGCCGCATAGACCCCCACCCCCATCCCCAGCAGCCCTTTCTGAAGCTTACCTGGGCTGAGCCTCTTGCTGCTGTCGCCAGGCCCTTTAGGCCTTTCCATCTCTCTTTGGTTGCTGTCTGGGAGGCCATCGCTCCAGCAGTAGCAACTTTGTCCTCAGTATCTCCTGCTTCTTGGTTCTCATAGGAATCGTCCGCCTAAGAGATGGGCTGCGAGACCGCTATCCCGTGGAAGATTATCTGGACCTCTTTGACCTGGCCGCACACCAGATCCATCAAGGACTGCAGGCCAGCTCTGCAAAGGAGCAGAGCAAGATGAATACAATCATTATCGGTAAGGCGTCTGTGTCACTCTGGCAGGGCTAGCACCCTCCCTGGGGTCCTGGCTCTGGCTCCAGGCCTAGCCCAGCTCTGCTTCACCTCCAGAACATTTACATGGTGGCAGCAAACTTCTTTTGAGCCTCCACTTCTCCACCTGGCTGTCACTCTTACCACTACATAAAATGTTCACATCACTTGAACATTACTATAAAGTGGAAATGTTGACTTTCTAATTCTTTGGAGACTTAAGGACAGCTGATGGCTTTCTTGAGAAGTTGCCATTTCTTTGTTTTTAAGAAATTAAGCAGGGATATTGACTTCTTTTCCTGATGTACTGATCTGATAAGTTTGGATGGGGGAATTATAAGTGCAGTTAACTGGTTAGTCATCGATTTGCTGCTTGGGGCTTTTGTAATCCCTGGCCACTGGGACCATATAAGACGGAGGCAGCTTCTCCTGAAATAGACTCAGCTCTGACACATCGCCTATAACTAATTGCTGTTTAAAAAGCCTAGCCCCTGTCAACCTCATGCCTTTGGGCATTCAAAGTGAGGTTGATTAATAATAATTTGTTTTAAATATTCACAAGAATATTTTATAAGTAAACATACATATTTACTCTTTAAAATTTATTTTTTATTGTATAATTTAAGGTGTACAGCATACTGTGATGTTTCGATGGAAATAGAGACAGTGAAATGATTGCTACAGTAAAGCAAATTAACATAGCCATGTTTTTTTCACAGTTACCTTTGTGTGTGGGGAGGGGGGCGTGTGTGTGGTAAAAGCACCTGAAATATACTGTCTTGGAAAATTTCCAGCATGCAATACAGGATTAATAGGATTAATAACTACAGTGCACATGCTCTACCTTAGATCTCTAGACTTGTTATTTGCCTGACATAATTCTTTTTATTGGATTCAGCTTAGAAGGCGTTTATCCACTGATGCCTTCTAAAAGAGAAATTGAGTCACGTTTTGCTTAAATTGTTTACCTTAGATAGTGATCTATTTTTTAATTTTCCTAGATCTGTTATATTTGCAATCTCCAAATTAAATAAATCTATTAGCAACTAAGAGGAATTATAATCAGCCCTTCGAAAGATGACTTTTTAACTTAAGACTCTCCTGTCCAAGGGGACAGACTTATGTGCCTAAGTCCTGACTTAACTCTTTTTTTTCTTTTAAACTCAAAGAAATTAAGTCACTGGGAGTCACCTCCAGTATGATTTGGCTGTTATCTAGTTTTTTGCAAACTTGGGAGTCCAAACTCCCCAAATCTCAAGTCTGACTTACATTTCATTGTGACTCCTATACCATATGCCTCTGGGAAAATCACATGTTCTTATGAAAGAGATGAAAATATGTATTCTCCGGCCAGGAAACAGAGACTAAGATAATGAATGAAAAAGGAAAGCCTCAGTTTGGTCTCCTAATTTTGCTTGCTCCAAGATTTTAAAAAGAATGAAAAATAAAATCACTGTGCTGATATTTACTTAAAGCAGAGTTTGGTGAGTTCTATGGTAGTCTTGTGGTGTGACAAGTATCTAGCCCTGCTTGGGCCAGCGGCCAGCTCTGTGCCTTGCGGCCGTTCATTTTTCCTGTTCCTGGACTCTGTCTGCACCTCTGCAAAGTGGGATTGTTGGACCAGGTCAGTTCTAGACTCCTTCCAGCTCTGAAATGTGACTCAGCTCTGCCCCAGCGCTTCCTCTTTGTTAGATTCGGGGCAGAAACAGCAGGATCTTTCATCATCTTGGGCCCCTAGGTCAGAGAGGACCTTTCTTCTGCTGTCTTTTTGACAGCTAGAGTCACACAAGAGGTTCAGGATTCAAGTGGCCTGAACGTGATGGCTGAACTTGAGGCCGGAGCTTTAGACATGTTGAAAGTCTCCTGCCTCTACTCCCAGGTACCCATCGTGGTACTCTTTGTTTCTTGAATTGCCATCGTCCCCCTTATGTCTTAAGGTCCGAGAGAGGAGGGGCCGTGCTTTCCTCCCCTGATCTGTCCCTGGTGCCAAGCACAATGCTGAGCACGGATTAGACACTAAGTTAATGCTTCCTGGATGGACGAAGGATGGATGGTGGCTGGATGGAAGGAAGACAGTCAGGTGGATGGACAAACGCCTCCATGGCTCTAAAACCAGTTCATTTTTGAGATCTGACAGAATTTGTGCCAATTTAGCTAGAGAGTTCACTTGTCCTTTATATTCTTATTCATTGTGAGTAGAATTTTCAAGGGACTTCTGATTGACTCGTTTTTTCTGTATCCTAGGGTATTATCTCTTTAAAAAAAGAAAGAACAAAAGGCCAGAACAGAGCTGTTCACCTGGATGTGATTACGCATCCGACAGAAATGATAGGGGCCTGCAGGGATATGATACACTTGTCACTGACCAAAGAGACTCAGTCATCTGGCTCAGTCTCTCCCCAGATAAGTAACTTTCAGATGTGTCCTGTGGTCCTTGGCAAACTGTCAGGAAATCAAGTGTAGAGCTGATTGATGAATTTCCTTTTTCCTAAACACACACATATACACACACACATACACGCACACACACTGTCTCTCCTCAAACCCTCAGGAAATTTGGCTTCATCCTCTGAGAGAGTCTGTGCTGTTGGAATGCCTGCCTGTGTCTTGGCATCACCTCTGTGCTGGGACGTGTGTTTGCCATTTACATCCTTCACTCGTGAGGACCATGATGAAATGTGAAACTGGCTGGGACCCAGTTCCCGTTCACCCAGGCTGCACTGAGTAGGCGCCAGCTGCGTGCAGAGCAGTCGCCTCGCAGGAGACAGGGCGTGTGAGCCCTGTGGCAAAGCCCCTCTCTCTTTTAGTCTTAGAGTATGCTCTGTGATGAACAGTTACAGCTTCAAGGAAGGAAATCACACTCAAATTCCTCATAAGGGTTAGTGTTCCCACCCTCCTCCTTTCTCCTGACGCTTTGGAAGGAAATCATCTAGTACCAGCTCCAGGCTCCTGGTCTGCTAGACCAGTTCTCGGCTCCTCCCGGCTCTGAAATGTGGCTCAGCTCTGCCCCAGCTCTTTCTCTTTGTTAGATCCTGGGCAGAAATGTCAAGGCCTTTCATCATCTTGGGCCCCCAGTTCAGAGAGAACTCCATCTATTATTACTAGAACCATCTACTGTATAGAACATATATTGGAATACTATACAGGAAAACCATTTTCAAAACCACCTATAATTTCCCACCTAGATAACTGCTGTTTATGTTTTGGCGTGTTTTTCTGACAGACTGCATTCTCAGTGGGCCCTTAAAATGCCACAGAGCTGTGCACTGTGAGCAAAGTTAAATACTGTGAAACTGGGGGCCCAGGTGCTAGGGAAGGTTTCATTTTTGCTCCCCTTGGAAAGAGGAGCTCAGGGGTGGGGGCACTCAGTGTTGCATGGATCGCCTGGACTTCCAGACAGAAGTTTTTGGGGTGGAGGTGGGGTGTGGCTGTGGCAGGGGGGGGCATCCAACCTTCTCTCTTTGGAGTCCCAGATGCCCGCAAAGGCTGACAGCTTGGCCTCTCCCGCTGCTTAAGAGGAAGGCATCGGGGCCAGGTGTGGCCTCTGGCACCTAGAGCCACTCCGTGGGAGCCTGAATCACACCCCTGCTCACTTGGAGTGTTTTCTGTTTCCAGGGGAGGCCAGTGCCTCCACGATGTGGGATAATAATGCCTGGACGTTCTTCTACGACAACAGCACGGATGGCGAGCCACCGTTTCTGACGCAGGACTTCATCCACGCCTTTCAGCCAAATGCCAGACTGATTGTCATGCTCAGGGACCCTGTGGAGAGGTGAGCAGTTTCTGTGTGTTGTATTTGGGGTGAGAAGAGGAACTTTTGAAGAACAGTGTTCCCCTCTCATGACAAATAAGATTTTGTCTCCTTTAGAAAAAATTAAACAGGTCGGGTACAGTGGCTCATGCCTGTAATCCCAGCACTTTGGGAGGCCGGGGTGGGTGGATCGCCTGAGGTCAGGAGTTCAAGACCAGCCTGGCCAACATGGTGAAACCCCATCTCTACTAAAAATACAAAAATTACCAGATGTGGTGGCACACTCCTATAGTCCCAGCTACTCGGGAGGCTGAGGCAGGAGAATCGCTTGAATCCAGGAGGCGGAGGCTGCAGTGGGCCAAGATGGTGCAACTGCACTCCAGCCTGGGTGTCAGAGTGAGACTCCATCTCAAAAAAAAAAATAAAATAAAATAAAAACAAACAAAAATAAACGGAACTTGCAACGTTACTGCTGTTTCTTACGTAAGTGTTATTCTTGAGGCTGTCCCCACTGAGTTGACACATGTTGCAGATGGTTTTCTTAACCATTCTGATCCTGGTCTGTGTGACTTCAGCCCCAGCAGGCCTGACCAGGGGCACAGGACGGTTCCTTGGTACTGTCAAGGCGAGGGAAACACCCTTAGAATCAGGGGTGTAAGCTTCTCCACGTGGTTTAACTCCTAGAATTCTGTGTCTCTCCACGTGGTTGATGCCTTTATCCTTGTCTGCGTTGAATGTACAGTTTCCAGCTTTCCTTGAGAGACCAAAAGGAAGAACAATGCTGAGCAGAGCAGCTTTGCTTTAAGATCAAGGGTTTCCCAGTGTGGGTGAGGCCAGGGTAGTGGGATATTGAACAGCCACTATGGGGCGGCCTGGCTGGCACTGGGCACTGCTTGCATCATTTATGCCTGTGTGAATGCAGAATCTCAGGGCTGCCAGGACCTGAAAATTATTTGGTCCAGTGCTCCCTCCAATACTTCCACATCAGAGCTAAGGGGGCACCTGTCTAATCCGAGGCCCTCTGAGTCAGGGAATTCTCCGCGCAAGATGGCCAGTGTAGCTTAGGACAGCTGTGTTCCTATTTTGAGACCAGGTCTGTTTTGGGGAAACATCCACTCATTGGTCCTCTTTCTTCTCCATAGAGTCAGACAGACCAAGTCTAATCCTTCCAAAACAGGAGAGGCTGGCGATATTTAAAGACAGGGACCACAGCCCTTTGTGTCTTATTTTCCTTTGGGCCAACTACATCTTCTTATGGATTGAATTGTGCCCCCCAAAAAGATAAGCTGAAGTTGTCTCCCCCAGTGTGTATGACTGTGACCTTATTTGGAAATAGGATCTTTCTTTGCAGATGCACTCCGGTTAAAATGAGGTCATACTGGATCAGGGTAGACCCTCACCCACCCTAAGACACAGGGAGCATGCCTCTTGACGAGGCTGGAGTGATGCTGCCACCAGCCAAGGGGTGCCAAGGAGTGCCGGCAGCCACCAGAAGCCAGGAGAGGAGTGGAACAGATTCTCCCCTGGCATCCCAGAGGAACCACCTCTGCCCCACACCTGGGTTTCAGACTCCAGCTTCCAGGACACTGAGGGAAGAAAGTCCTGTCATTACGCACCACGAGTTCGTGGTGATTTGTCCTGGCAGCCCCGGGAAACTGACCCCTGGGACCCCTTCTTCAGGTGGCATACCTTCCTGGCCCCACGTATTTGCCAATTATAACAATAAGGCGTGTTTGTTGTGGAAATTTTGGAACATATATTGGAAAACTGTTTTCAAACTATTAATTTCTCACCTAGATAACTACTATTTATGTTTTGGTGTATTTTCTTCCAGACTTTTCTATGCAAATAAGTGTGTGTGTGTGTGTGTGTGCACATGGGTGTGACAGGACAGTCTTATGTCCTGCTTCTTTCACTTTGCATTGTTGCCCCCCAGAAACATGCTTTAAAGTCTGCTCTGGTCACACTTCTGAGCTGATGTCCCTCTTGTGGAGTCTGCATGGCTCCCGCTGCTCTGAGTATGACCTGGTCAGGGAGAGGCTGGATCTGCCCTCCCTCAGCCCCAGCGCTCTGAGCCTGAGCTCTTGGTGGCTGTCCCGGTGCCATGCCTTCTAGCAGGTGCCAGGTGTGGTTTCGCTCCCTGCTCTCTGCATCTCCCAGCCCAGGACTTCTTCCACTCTGTTCTGAGGCAGGCACTGACTTGCCGTCCCTTGCCATGTCCCACCTGCTGGTTCCCGTGTTTTGGAGGCAGAAATCGGCCCTGCTGAGTGGTCTCCCTCCATCCAGCAGGGCTGACGCACACTAGCCGAGCTCTCATGGTGACATAACTGTCACCTCGAGCTGACCCCTCGCCGCCCCCGGAGGTGTTTGCATAGCTGCTCTGCCTCCCTCCCCGACACGGCCCCCAGCTGAAGGGCGCAAGTGCTCGGTGTGCTCATCAAATGTTTTCCTGTCGCTGCTGCTTAGTTCCTCATTCTGAGAAAGGTCAGACCACGCCTTAACCTCAGGGGCCGAGAGTGCACACAGCAGCCTTGTGTACTGTCTGGGCACAGAGAGGTGGGGGCCCATCTGTCGGGACTGGGTTTGGTGTGTGTCAGCCCTGCTCTGGGCCCTGGGAGACTGGAGCTCCCAGTGGGGACGTGGGCATGGCTGTGGTTGGTTGCAGTTCTGCAGAGTAGGAGGTGAGGAGAGTGGGGCTCCAGAGTGGGGAGATCCAGAAGGAACTGACCTGGAGAAGACTGATGCCAGACTGGGTTTTGAAGGATGAATAAGAGTTTGCTGTGTAAACAAGGCAGGAAGGTGGGTTAAGATGAAGCCTTCCAGGCAGAGAGGAGGACAGGTGCAAAGGAAAACACCACATGTTCTCCTGTTTAGGGTGGAGCCAAGGTCCCTGTTAGGGGTTGGAGCCAGGGTCCGTGTTAGGGGATGAAACCATGGGCCCTGTTAGGGGATGAAGCCAGGGTCCCTGTTAGGGGTGGAACCAGGGTCCCTGTTAGGGGGCGGAGCCAGGGTCCCTGTTAGGGGATGAAGCCAGGGTACCTATCAGGGGTAGAGCCGGGGTCCCTGTTAGGGGGTGGAACCAGGGTCCCTGTTAGGGGGTAGAGCCAGGGTCCCTATTAGGGGTGGAGCCAGGGTCTCTGTTAGGGGGCGGAGCCAGGGTCCCTGTTAGGGAGTGGAGCCAGGGTCCCTGTTAGGGGTGGAGCCAGGGTCCCTGTTAGTGGGTGGAGCCGGGGTACCTATCAGGGGTAGAGCCAGGGTCCCTGTTAGGGGTGGAGCCAGGGTCCCTGTTAGGGGATGAAGCCAGGGTCCCTGTTAGGGGGTAGAGCCAGGGTCCCCGTTAGGGGTGGAACCAGGGTCCCCGTTAGGGGGCGGAGCCGGGGTCCCCGTTAGGGGGCGGAGCCGGGGTCCCTGTTAGGGGGCGGAGCCGGGGTCCCTGTTAGGGGTGGAGCCGGCGTCCCTGTTAGGGGGTGGAGCCGGGGTACCTATCAGGGGTAGAGCCAGGGTCCCTGTTAGGGGGTAGAGCCAGGGTCCCTATTAGGGGGTAGAGCCAGGGTCCCTATTAGGGGGTAGAGCCAGGGTCCCTGTTAGGGGTGGAGCCAGGGTCCCTGTTAGGGGATGAAGCCAGGGTACCTATCAGGGGTAGAGCCAGGGTCCCTGTTAGGGAGTAGAGCCAGGGTCCCTGTTAGGGGTAGAACCAGGGTCCCCGTTAGGGGGCGGAGCCGGGGTCCCCGTTAGGGGCGGAGCCGGCGTCCCTGTTAGGGGGTGGAGCCGGCGTCCCTGTTAGGGGGTGGAGCCGGGGTCCCTGTTAGGGGGTGGAGCCGGGGTCCCTGTTAGGGGGTGGAGCCGGGGTCCCTGTTAGGGGGTAGAGCCGGGGTCCCTGTTAGGGGTGGAGCCAGGGTACCTATCAGGGGTGAAGCCAGGGTCCCTGTTAGGGGGTGGAGCCAGGGTCCCTGTTAGGGGATGAAGCCAGGGTCCCTGTTAGGGGATGAAGCCAGGGTCCCTGTTAGGGGTGGAGCCAGGGTCCCTGAGTATGTTTCTTTCTTCCTGGAGTTCTGGTCCCACCTCTGAGGATACCAACACCACAAAGGTGAGTGCTGGAACAGAAGACAGCAGCACCGTGCAGGTGCAAGCGGCTCAGCAAGGAGCAAGACCTGCCAAACTCTTCTCTCTTACCCCAGCCTGAGTCTGCCAGCTAGAAGGAGGCTCACAGTTCACAGCATGGTCCCCCCAAGTAGTCACCGTGTTTTCTTCTTTTAATAACAAATACTCTATGTATCCTAGGAACTGAATGTGAAAGCTTCTTGCCTCCCTGGTCCTCAGCCTAACAGAAATAGTTGGTCAATTCAAACACATATTCAGCCCCTGCCACAGGCTGGGTGCTGTGCTGGGCACTGAGCATACGTGCCCTGGTGAACAACAGTGGCGACCCAGTGCCTACCCCCTGGTAGCTGGTGCTTTATCAGAGAAGTGGGCGGCGGCTTCGTCATGGCTCATGTCCTGGTGCTGAGGGGAAGGGCAGGATGCCAGGGCAGCAGCGTGTGTTAGGACGCTGACCCAGGCCTTGCATTGCCTGCTGTACTAATTAGTACTGCTGCGGAAAAAGTTTGCCAAAACTTAGCAGCTTCAAACAGTTTCTGGGGGTCAGGAACCTGGGTGCAGCTTTACTGGGTCCTCTACTTAAGGTCTCTCATGAGGCTGTGACCTAGCTGTCATCAGGCTGGGGGTCGTCAATATGCTTGACTGCAGAAGGACCTGCTCCCAAGCGCACATGGTTGTGGGCAGAATTCAGCACCTCAAGAGCTGTTGGAATGAGGGCTTCACATCTTTGCTGGCTTTTGGCGAGAGGCTACCCTCCATACCTCACCACAGGGCCTCTCCGGTATGGCTGCAGGCTTTATCCAAGCCAGCAAGCTAGAGCGTCTGCTAGCAGATTAGAAGTCACGATTTTTTCTAACCTAGTCATGAGTGTGAAATCCCATCGTCATTGCCATATTCTGTTGGTTAGAAGTGAGTCATGAGGTCTAGCCACACTCAGTGGGAAGACACTACAGGGTGTGAATACCAAGAACCGGGGATCACTGAGGACCGTCCTAGGAGTCAGCCACCTCCCGTTCTGCACCTGATCCTCAGGAAACTGGGGCCTGGGCTTTGCAGCCGGGAGAGTAGCTTCCAGCTTGATCCCAGCTCTAGTGGCAGAGGAAGTGTGTTTATGTGCATATTTTCTGTGTAAGTTACTGACATAGCAGCTGTTTCATTTCTTCTTAAACATTTATAAAAATAAGTAACAATAGGAATTTCTTCTTTTTCGAAGCCCATGACCCATGGCCTGTCTGAAATGGTTGGCGCGTTTCCCATCTCAGCCAGAAAGGATGATAAATACTGTGTGTTTAGGTCACTCTTGAAGAAACAAACACTCTGAGCCCAAGTTCCATCAGTCTAACGGGATCCTGGGCCATTAGCCCTGTTCTGTGACCTTGCACTTCTGGAAGCAGGAGATTTTGGGGGTTGCTGGCTGCAAGTTGGATTGGTCCAAGTTGTTCTTTTCCTTCTATAAATTGGCTTGGAGAGGGGAAATACCACTTTTATTTTTAGTTTTAGGTTCACATTCAGCCTAATTGATCCAAAGTAGAGGGTTTGAAAATGTTGGAATTTTAAGCAAAGTCAAATCACTTTTAAATTTCCAGAGAAGGAGTCAAGTGGCAAGTCCATTTTTTTTTTTTTTTTCTGGAGGAGAACAGAGGAATAATGGAAACAAGTGGATGGGATGGTTCATATGGCCAAAGAAGCCAGCCAAGAATTCATGTTCCAGTTTCCTCTCTGTAAGAGATCATGACAATTTAAAACTAGCTTGATGCATTCCTATGCTAAATTGGCCCAGTTAATTAAAAAGAAGCCACCAATTGCAAGCAGAATTTTTCTTTATTTAATCCCATTCGTAAGTGGTAAAGACTATTCTTTTCAAATGCATCTCACATTAGCCTCCTGCCTCTTCATTTGTGAGACAGTTGATAGTGTTTGTCTCTTAATTCAGAGGCAGTTATAGCCCCCGTTAAATGTGAAAAATGCGTGGAAGGTGCTGGCACCTCCAACCTAGTTGCATTCCTCCTTTATTCAAGGGACATTTGGAGTGGGGTCATGTACCATCTGTTAAGGATTTTACCGTGTCTATGTTTGGGGTTTGATTCTGTGTGTAGTCTTAATGCAATGCCCAGAAACAACCCACCACAGGAATGGTTCATTTTCCCATTCTGTGATGATGAGTCCAAAGGGAAGGAGAACTCAGCTTGGCGAAGAATTCAAACTCGATTTTGACCCAAACCCCTGGAGTCTTGGAACCTGGCTAGTTCTTTTCTTCATCTGCTTATATAAACTGATTTTTTAAACAACCCGTTGGACTGGTCAAATGATTCAGTTATGACGATAAACTAGGAAAGGAAGCAGGCTTTTAATGAAATGGATTCTGTTATAGGCAGTCACTCATGGGGACACAGAGGAATAGCAGGGCTGAACATTTGGGCAGGAATCCTGGTTTCATCAGTTTCACTCTGTCTGCAGAGTGTGTGAGGGGGCCTCAGGGTGGTGCACAGCTTTCACCCGCTGAGTGTCTGGGAGGTGTACCGGGGTCATGGTGGCAGGAACACAGGCATTGGAACCCCAGCCCTGTCACTTACTGCTCTGTAAACTGGGACAAGAAACTTAACCTCTCTGTGCCTTATTTTCTCATCGGTAAAATGGGGGAAGATAGTCCTACCTCCAGGGTAGTGAGAGTTAAATGACTTAATATTTGTAGTAACGTGTTTAAACAGTGCTTGACAAATGGAAAATATGTAACTATTATTATTATTAGGTATCAGTTATTACTAATAATAACAATAAACTGATCACTCATTTACTCACTCCCCAGAGTTGCAAACCACATAACCAAGTTTTGGTCAACAGTGGACCCCATATATGATGGTGGCCCCGTAAAGTTATAATCCCGTGTTTTCATTGTGCCTTTTCTATGCTTCAATACATAAATTCTAACTCTTATGTTACAACTGCTCACAGGATTCCTGCGGTACAGGCTGACAGCATAGGAGCAGTAGGCTGTACCTCGCCACCTAGGTGTGTAGGGGGCTGTGCCATCTGGGTTTCTGTGAACACTCTATGACATTCACATAATGACATCACCTACTGATGCATTTCTCAGAACATATATATCCCTGCTGTTAAGTGACGCCTGGCTGTATTTATTGAACACCCTTGATGTGCTAGATGCAAGCTGTACATAGGAGAGGAAAATCCATCCCGTTTGCTCTCATGGAGCCTCTGTCTAGTTGAGGGAGTAGGGCCAGGCTTCATGTAAATGACTGAGCTGGGGCAGCCCCTCAGAGCTATCTCTGGGTGAGGCTTCTCCCATCCACCCATCATTGGACAGGACCACCTGTGGAGGCTTAACCTTGGTTGCTGCTGGTGGTCTCTTCAGCTGAGGCTCGTTCCCAGGAGGGACTGGGCTGTGAGTTATTAGCAGGATGGCTCCCCAGTTTTGCAAAGCTCTGTAAATAGGAAGGACCCGGTATTTGTGGATGCCTAAGCCTGGATGCACCTCATTCACCTACTTCCACATCAGAGGGAGCAGGATGCCCGCCCTAGGGCAAAAGCCAGCACACACAGAAGGGAGCTGAGCCGGATTCATGCCTTCGAACCGCAGCGGAACTTTGACTTGAGAATCTCTCTTGCTATTCAGGCAGCACCGGAAGCCCCTCTCCAAACAGCTCAACTTCCCCCAGCCCCTAGAAGCACTGATTGAAAGCCCTGGATGTGTTCTCAATCAGAAGAGAGCCTGGCACTGGGAATGTCATGCGATGTTTTCTCTAGAACAGATTTGCACAAGGATTAAAACGCAGGCTGTTCCTAGCACTGAGGGATTCATTATTGATTTAAACCATCTCAAAGGGAAATTAGGAGAACGCCTCTGTGGAGAAGAGACGGAATGAGGAGAAAGCCGTGGGGATGTAGAGGTTGCAGCAATAGCCACGGATCGATTTCTCTTTCTCACCTCTCCCTCCAGCTCTCACTCTTTCCTTTCCTCTAAGATTTTGGAAGATTAAGAATTACAAGGGTCCTTGTGAGGACTACTGTAGTGCGGTGTCTTTATTGAAGCTGCCTATTGATTCCTGGTGGGTTCAGGCATTTTGCTTCCCAGAAGCTGCCTGTTGACACACCTTGATATGGGCCCTGGAAGCGGCACGAGGTCACTTTAATAGGACTGAGCTGTTGAGCCACCTGAGGTCAAGGGGGTTGGCCTCGATCACAGAGCGGGGAGGGAGAGCTGGCAGCGCCCAGGCCAGAAGGACAGCTCGGGTCTTTGTGAAGGGGTTCTCTGAAGACTGTTCAGGAGGGACTGCCTGGTGAGGCGCCACATCTTGTTATTGGTGGGAGAAAAACCACCAAGCTGAAAACTCCCAAGTGCTGAACACTGTTTATGTTTTGGGGAAATGTTTGTGAAGTCCTTGGCAGTCCTGTGTATTCCCACATGATTGTTTGGAAAGGACGGTTCCGAGCAGGAGGAACACTATAGGGAAAAAGAGCTCCGTTGTGTCTGTATCTGCAGAGATCCTAAGGTGAGATGTGTGCCCGCTGGGCTGGGATCAGGGAGGGCACTTAGAAACGACCCTGGGGCAGCCACAGTTCAGGGACCTGTCTCACCCGGAGTTCTGGGCTGCTTAGTGAGGTTGACGCTGTTGAAGGAGGGGGTGGCAGCACATGTCACATACTGGCCCCGCCCCGGTGTGCAGTGGCCATTGCCCTGCAGTGAGGGGCCCACACCCTGCGCCTGGCTTTATAACCAGGGGTAGCCCGCCAATCCTCAGTGCACCCCAGTTTTCTTGCTTGTAGAAACATCTGCCATGAGAGTCACTGGTGAATCACGAGAAGGTGCTTTGTAAACCACGCCAGGCTCGGAGATGTCAGGGATGCTTGGTGTCGCCTCTGAGAAGTGCTGCCTCCCAGTCTGTGAACAGTTACCGGGGCCCTGTGATTGGATGCTCTGGAAGGAACAAAGAGGGGCTGGGAACCCCACTCGTGCACAAGGAACCTAGGGCCTGGTAGGAAATAGAATGGCCCCAACAAACAGGGCACCTGCCATTCATTTGGGCGTTTTTAGGACCAAACATGGATGTTTGTAACTGGCAGAAAATGAGCCTCACCAGTGTCACCCCTGTGTTCAGTCTAAGGTGACCTTGGACATTCCCTCCAGATCAGCTGGCCTGGCCAGTCCTGTCTCATCCAGCCTCCTGATGAGACAGTCACAGTTTGTGATTCAGTGGAACAAAAGGGCTCCGTCTCAGCTACATTAAATGGCCTTTTTTTCCTGGTAGGAAAAAAATATATAATCATTATTGATGGCACCATATCACAGGCTGGGAATTATTGATCAGTGATTTAAATTCGGATGCCAGCAAATGGAGAATAACAAGGCCAGGTGCCCTGGCTCCCTCTCATTACAACCCTCACGTGGCCACAGCACTGCAAGATGTTGTTGAGGGTGAATTGGAGGACATGAGTGTGTCCCCATCTCGGGTCCTCCTGCCTGAGGAAATGGGGCCGTTCCGGTAACTGTCATTGAGGAGCCAGCTGGGGGGTTGGGGGGTGTTTGAGGAGCACGGGGAGGTGGGGCCAGCGTCACCGGGGTGAGCCAGCCCAGGGATGGTCACCTGCTCCCAGCCGCCTGCAACTTCAGCACCAGCTTGGGATCTTTTCTCAAAGGTGGCCCTCTGAGAAGTCCCATACGTGGAGCAGTAACTGGAGGACATGTCAGAGCTCAAGGCCACCAAGCGCCTGCCCTTGTCTGAGCTGAAGCTGAGATTGAAGCTTGTGCGTTTGGGTGCCTTTTGAGCTGGGTGATCTCAGTGACTTCTGACATGAGTCCCTGTGGGAACTGCTGTGTTAGAACCAGCAGTCGCTCATCAGGGTGATGAAAACATCTTGGGACTGGGGAGTGGTGGTGTTCACACAGCTGTGTGGTGTATACTAAAAACTGGCGAATTGTTCACATTAAATGGGTGGATGCTACGGTACGTGGATCATTTCTCAATATAAAAACGATATGAACAAAAATACAAAAGGAGGAGGAACCCACTATGGGGAGAGGTTTTCCCAAACTAGTGGCCTTGGAGCCAGGTCCTGCAGAGTTCTCCACATAGAGGCCAGGCCGATGAACAACCACATCATCACTTAGGAACAGGAACCATCAAACTCTAATGAGCTATTGCGATCACCAAGGAATATTAGCTTTTCCAAGAGATACAAGATCCCGCAGTGTGTTCCGGCTTCATGATAGATGCCTGAATTCCCTTTTGCTGTTGCTGTCACTTTTCTAGATGCCGGATGTGATGTTCCGTAAACACATTTGCTGTTCCCGACCGTGGCATTGGAGTTCCTCACGTTTATCCTAAGTGTTTATTTGCCACTCTATTACATTTGTAATTGTTTATCAGTCTCCTGTGACTTATTAAGTAGTTCTGGAGAAGAATTGACTTTCTCTTCCAAATCACCGTGCACCTAAAATAATAAAAACACCTAAACAAACAAAACCCGAAAACTATCAGTGCAGACGGCCAGCACCCACTCTAGTCAGCCGTGGATTCGTCTCCTTGCCTAAGCTCGGAGGGCAGGGGCCACATCCAGCTGGGTGAGGCGCTTTGGGGTCAGGCAGGCCTGGGTTTGTTTGGGTCCCAGCCCTGCCCTGGAGCTTCCTGGGCTGCGTGACCATGGGCAAACTCCTTAACCTCTCTAGTGTCAGCCTTCTCCCCCAGTAAAATGGGGTGGCCCACATCTCATTATGGGGTTGTGAAGATAGACGCAGAGCATGCATGCAGCACCCTGTACAGGGCATGGTGGTGGTGGCCCTCCCTACCCCCCAGCATCCACATCAGGAGTGGAAACTGAGAACATTGCAGGTACTAAACCCGGAAAGCAATCACACAGAGCCCTGGCGGGAGGAGCAGCAGCAGCTCCTGCTTTAATAGTGATCAACTCACCAACCTCTGCTCGCTGGCTCAGAACAGCACGCTGTAAGTGTCCCTGAATGAATCCAGCAGTGGTCTTGGCTGTAAGTGTCCCTGAATGAATCCAGCAGTGGTCTTGGCTGTAATCATCCAGATTTTACATAGTAGGGCCTTGCCACTGCTGGCCTCTCCTTTGTCCCTTGGGGAGAGACATGGTCACTTTCAGAGGCACTGGATTGATGGAGCCCTATGCCCCCTAACATACATTTCCCATCCCACCGCTCCTCCAGGGGTCCCAGGACCCCTGCACTGCACAGGAAAGGGGCTGAGCAGTACCCCATGAGCACGGGCCCAGTGTGAGGGGCCGCGCCGACAGCCTTCTAAAATAACCGCAGCACAGAAGGCCTGGAATGCATTTGGACTTATATTTGGAATTGTCGTTGGAAACAGTCCTGGCCAAATGTAATACCCATCTGTTCGGGATGGTTTGAGAGTAAGAAAATGAGGTGGCTCAGCTGGAGGGGGCTGGGCAGCCCTGAAACTCAGGGCTGGGAGGGTATGATGTCCCCTGGCCCCCACGCTATCCTGGAGCCCTCCTTCCCTCCAGCCTAGGCTGCTCCTGCCTTCTAGGACCATCCCCTCGTGTTAGCCTGCCCTGACTGGAGGTATTTCCCCTTGCCTGCAACCAGGCTTTCTTCCCGAACCTTCTGCCCGCTGGTCAGTCCTTCAGGAGTTCGGGACTGGGCTCCTTCCTGCTGAGTTTTTGCATCTCCAGGGAGAGCAGCCAGGTTTGGTGCCCAGCACTGAAAGCAAGCATCCGCTGAGGCCGTGAGCTGCCTGTCGCCTGGCTCCACCCTCCCACATTCCTCATGCCGTGCCCCTGTTAATGCATCCTGGGGTTGCATCCGTGCCCCTGCAGTTCTGTGATGATTGATCGTGAGCTGTGTGTTTTCCATTACATTGGTCTCCTTCCCCCACTTCCTCATGGGATAGTGGATTTTGAAGACTAAAAGGTAGACATTTCAGTTTGTTTCTGTACGTTTCATCTTGTTCCACAGTGTGCCTGTCTGGCCTTTTGACGTCCAGTGGATACTTGTTCTTGATATGTTTGCTGTTCTCAGCATTTTCTGAGTGGCTTTAACCTATCCGAGTGGCTTTCCCCCACCCAAGATTATTAACTCACTCTTTTCCCCTGGAGAGTAGTCAAGGGGGAAATGATAGCTTTGTTACTTGAAGACAATCTTAGGAAGCATTCGCTTAATTCTTGGGGAGAACCCAAAGAGTGCTCCCCCGTCTCAGTGCTCCCCTGTCTGAGTGCTCCCCTGAAGGGAAGTGCTCCTGTCCGCATTTGCCTTCCTTCATGCTTCCTTCTGGGAAATGTGGCCACATGACCCCAGTCCTCCCCTACCCTCAGGGCCACTGTTCCAGGGTCTCAGGGTGGCAGAGAAGTATTGGCAAAAATAACTCCTTGGAGTAATTGGTCTTCCTTAGAATTGGGGTTTAAAATCTGTCTGGTTTCCTAGGGCAGTCATAATAAATCACCACAAACTTGGCTTCTTAAAACAACAGAAATGTAGTCTCTTATGATTCTGGAGGCCAGAAGTCCTAAATCAAGATGTCTGCAGGGTTGGTTCCCTCTGGTGGCCCTAAGGGATAAAAGCCGTCCCCTGCTCCCAGCTCTTGGTGGCCTCCAGCAGTCCTTGGCGTTCCTTGGCTCATAGACGCCGCACTCCAGGCTCTGTCTCCGTCTTTCTGTGGTGCTGTCTGTCCTCTCCTCTTTTTATAAGGACACCTGCCATTGGATTTGGGACCACCGTAAATCCAGGAGGATCTCGTCTTAAGATCCTACACTTAATGACATCTGCAAAGACCCTATTTCCAAGAAAGGTCACATTCACAGGGGCTGGGCTTCAGACTTGGACATAATTCTTTGGTGTCCACTATCCATCCAACTACGGAATCCAGATGGTGGCCATGGCTTGTGGTGAATCTAGTCCCTGTTCAGATGTCTGTGACACAGCAGGATGCCAGGGACCCAGCATAGTTTCTCGCAGTGGGGTTCGAGGGGCTCCCAAAGCCCACTGCCAGTTCTCTGAGCAGATCCAAAGTACCCAGAGGTGACTGAGAGGCCAAAGGAGTCTCTTTTCATCCAGCCGAGGAAGGAGCGTGGCCTGGCTCTCAAAGGCTGTACATGTGACTCACAGGAAGTGAGGTAGTGAGTTCACTTTAACCCACCTCAAACAGATGAAAATCAGCCGTTTCACCTGCTAGGGGTGGGCTTGCCTGGTTGGAACAGTAGGTATGTCCCAGTTTTTCCTAGGGATTACTTCTTGATCTCTGAAGAATTGTATGGAATCAGCAGATTCCTCATGAAGTGACTTTGTATTTAAAATCAAGACAAGCTTAGGTGCTTTTGTTTTATTTATGAGCCAAATATCTGCAAGAAATGTTATTACCACAAAGAAAATTCTCAGTATGGAAACCTTCAGCCAGTGTTTGGGTTTGTGTGAGGTAATTTATGTGATGGAATTCCAGTTCCACCAAACAATTTGGGTAGTTCTGTGGGCATCTTTGGTAAAAACTGGGCTTCGAATACTTATTTAACGTGGGATTTTATGACAGTTTCAGAAGCATCTGTTACTTTTCATTGACGTAGTTTCTTGGGCTGAGCCATATTATTGACAGGACTCATAGGAAATGTGTGAGCCAGGAAGGGTACCCCTCAGACCAATTGCCACCTGGCACCCCTCAGTGCACACAGCCAAACCTTGCTTGAAGGTTCACGCGTGTCTGATTTTGGCACTTATTGACCAGCCATTTAGGTCATAGTAACCATGAGCGACCCTATGGCGACAGATGCCGTGTTTCAGTTTTGATGTGTCTTCTAATTCTGAAGAAGGAAAATAGCACAGGTGATGTTGGGGACACCAGTAATAAGCTGATGTGGTGTTGTCTTGGGGAATATTCTCAGGCGAGTGTGGATCTGGGGAAATCTACTCAGTGGCCACCGAGCCCCTTTGCTGACTGTCTCTTTGGACAGTTTGGCTGGCCAGGCTGTGGTAGATGGAACACTCCTGTTCCGGTGGGTGTTTTGATTCTAGGAACTCTGTGGGTAGATCTCAAACTGCTCAAGACTTCCAAGAGGTGTCCTCTGTGGACATTGGCCGTGGATGAATTCTAGAGGGCTGTGTCAGAGGCACCCGATGTGCCAAGGTGGGCTACGGAGGTGGATAGCTTCTGGGCCTGTCCCTAAGAAATGCTGCTCCTCATATCATGACCTCAATTAGAGGGGAGGGCAGTGGAGAAGGCGCATTTGCAACAGACCCTGCTATAAGGGAGCACAGTTTTTGCAGGGTAGTATGTGGCTGAAGGTCTGGGAGCGTTTGGAAGTATGGATGGCGGCTGGGCGTGGTGGCTCACGCCCGTAATCCCAGCACTTTGGGAGGCTGAGGTGGGTGGATCACCTGAGGTCTGGAGTTCGAGACCAGCCTGGCCAACACAGTGAAACCCTGTCCCTACTAAAAATACAAAAAATCAGCTGGGTGTGATGGCAGGCGCCTATAATTCCAGCTACTCAGGAGGCTGAAGCAGGAGAATTGCTTGAACCCGGGAGGCGGAGGTTGCAGTGAGCCGAGATTGCGCCATTCCACTCCAACCTGGGCAACAAAAGCGAAACTCCGCTTCAAAAAAAAAAAAAACGAAGACGGAAATATGGATGTCAGATACCTGGATGCATGGGTGCAGAATGAGAGTCACAGAATTGCCTTCCCTGGAAAGAGGGGAAGCCAGGTTGGAGAAGTTGAAGGAATAGAAAGTATAGAGCTTTGAGGAGAGAGAAGTGTGACCCTGTGGAGCCACGTAGGCCATGTTTTTCATAAGCCCAGTTTCACCCTTGGCCCAGAGATGCAGGTGTGTGTGCAAGAAGAGAGTGGGACATATGGCAGGAAGGTTGAAAACAGACAAAAAGGGCTGCAAGGAGAGATAGAGGAGAAAAAAGAGTAGGAAACTCACACCCTGAATGTTCTGTTGAAGATAAAAACACCTCTTTTTTTTTTTTTTGAGAGAGGTTCTCACTCCCATTGCCCAGGCTGGAGTGCAATGGCATGATCACGGCTCACTGCAGCCTCAACTTCCTGGGCTCAGGTCATTCTCCCACCTCAGTCTCCAGAATAGCTGGACTACAGGCACGCACCACCACGCCTGGCTAATTTTTTGTATTTTTAGTAGAGACAAGGTTTCACTATGTTGCCTGGGCTGGACTTGAACTCCTAGGTTCAAGTGATCCTCCCACCTCGGCCTCCTAAAGTGCTGGGATTACAGGCATGAGCCACTGTGCCTGGCCCTGACATTTATTAAAATGGCAATGCAGGCCTTCTTCAGGACCATTGTGGTAGGTATAGGGACTGCCATGACAGTTTTTCAGTAGAGGAGAGAGACTCCGAATACAACTAGGAAAAGTAGGGATTTTAAAGCCGAGGCAGGTGGATCAGTTGAGGCAGGAGTTCAGGACCAGCCTGGCCAACATGGTGAAACCCCATCTCTACGAAAAATACAAAAAAATTAGCCAGGTTTGGTGGGCAGGCGCCTGTAGTCCCAACTACTCGGGAGGCTGAAGCAGGAGAATCGCTTGAACCCAGGAGGCGGACGTTGCAGTGAGCTGAGATCACGCCACTGTACTCCAGCCTGGGGGACAGAGTGAAACTCTGTCTCAAAAAAAAAAAAAAAAAAAAAAAGAAATGCCAAGGAGCAGGGCGAGGGGGTTGGTGGCTAGAAAATTACTAAGGGGAAACATCAAGGGGGAAGGGGTGGGGATTCTGGCTAAACCAACCCGATGGGATTCTTGCTGGAGACAGGCCAGGTGGCCAGGCATCTCCTGGGGGTGGTGGACTAGGAACCTGATCAGATAAGAAGGGTGGTCAGTTAACCAAGGGTGGGGGATTCTGGCTAAACCAGCATAGCAGTGTCAACAAACAATATTTTGACAAATTTAGTTTAGAGATCTCACTGGTGTTTATTAGCACGGTCCATGAACAGGGCAGCATCCCATTCCTGTAATACGAAGGTGCTCCTGTGGGCCCAGCCAGGTTCTGGCTTTATAGGCAGAAACGGGCTGAAGAAGCAAAAACAGGCAACGGAGAGTGGATTGTTCATTTCAGAGTGACTTTCCTTCTAGGGTTAAAGCAAAGGGGACGTCTGACTGGTTGCTGTGTATCCCCTGGTTTTTTGGAAACTGGCCCATTCCGAGTTCAGTTCAATTACGTGGCACCTAGCACAGATGACTCTGTTCTGGCCTGTGGGGGCCTATTGCAGAAGCTCAGTCCAGAACAGTAGCCTCTCATACATTTTATTTAACAGCAGGATTCTTGCTAAAATAGGGTGGTGCAGAGATGGACCTGGAGGTAAAAAAGTTAAGGTCTAGTTGGGAGGAGGATACAGAGGAGCCTGAAGTGGGTCAAGGAAGACGATCAGTTCCCGTGCGGCAGCATTCTGCCATACGTGTGTGTGGTGTCTAGGAACAGATCTGTGTCCACGGGTAAACGTGTAAGTCTGCAGGTATTCCTGTGCATATGTGGGGGTGCTTTTACATCGTGTTAAAAACAAGGTCCCTACCAACCTAGAAAGATACATCTCATCATTTTTTTTTCAATGTCAGGAATGCGTATGCAAAGTAGTGG
Source organism: Homo sapiens (assembly GCF_000001405.40). Lineage (NCBI taxonomy): Eukaryota > Metazoa > Chordata > Mammalia > Primates > Hominidae > Homo > Homo sapiens. Next base: position 124,021,869 of record NC_000010.11, on the reverse strand, counting down.
GAATTTCATGCGGAATTGTAATATTGTGAGAGCAACAGATGCTCTTATTTTTGTTCCCTTCAGTAGAGGAGAGAGGAATGAGAAGGTGCATAAAATTTTCATGGCTTCTCTTTGCTAGTGTACCATTTTTGTAATCTGGTATTGTTTGAAGCTCCCTGTTACTGTGAAAACAGAGGCTGCCTGAGATGATAGAACAAGCAACACCATAAAAGCGGCTGGTGGTTTGTGTGGGGCCAGTATAGACATGTCTGGGTCTGGAAGAGCTTAGGTGGCCACGAGAAGGGCGGGAGCTCGGAGGGATGAGGGAGGTGGCTCATCTGCAAGGGAAAGAAGAAGGGTGGTTGTGCTTCAATCAGGAAAACTAGATAATGTAATTGTACACTGATTTTCATTGTCGCCCAAATGGTGTGATTGCATGTTCATGGGTGGTAAAAATATGCATTTATTTTATTCACAGGTTGTACTCAGACTATCTCTACTTTGCAAGTTCGAATAAATCCGCGGACGACTTCCATGAGAAAGTGACAGAAGCACTGCAGCTGTTTGAAAATTGCATGCTTGATTATTCACTGCGCGCCTGCGTCTACAACAACACCCTCAACAACGCCATGCCTGTGTGTACCCCCCCCCCCCGTACCCCCCGAGCTGGCCCCTGGCAGAAGGAGCTGGTTTGTTGTTATTATGCAAGCGGCATTGTGGGTTTGCGTTTCAGCATAGGAACAGAGAGAAGCGTTTTAATGTGCAAATGCTGTTCCCCATTATTCATGGATGTAAAAGCTGAAAACTGATGGGCTCTTGGTCTGGCTCCTGCCTTCCTCCCTGCTGGTCACCTGCCACCTCCCCCTCCTCCCTCAGCAGGAGGATGAGGGTGCCTTTAGGAAGATTACCATTTAGCAAGACACCCAGCAATTAGAATCGGCAGACATGAGGACACCCAACTCTCAAATTGTCTTAAGAGCATTCTCTTGAGCGGTGGATTGTTTTGTTGGTTTAAAAAACTACCCATCAATGATTTTCAATGCTTCTTTGACAGAGTCTCAATTGAAAAACATTTTCTGTTGATTCCTCAATCGTATCTCTTGTTCTTCCTTCAGAACTATGTCTGTAAATTTCTAGCCTTTTTGAATGCAAAAAGCTGTTATTGGTGAATTCAGCACCTTTTAGCCCCGGGATAGTTTTCCATGCTGGGCTCCCTGGGCTGGCTGTGTACTTCAACAGCAGGGCTTATGCAGCGAGCATTGCCGCTGCGTGTTCCAGAGTGGCTTTACAAGCCTTGCTCTGCTCAGCGTCTCGCATAGCAAGGCACCAACAGGCCTGCTGTGGAGTCTTGGAAGCCCCCAGGTGGTGGGACTTCAGGCCAAGAGGCTCTGCCCCCTCTTTCTTACTACAGAGGCCGTGGGATCTGGGAGGCAGCATGCAGGGGCAGCAGGTGGGATTCCAGGCTGCCCTGTTGGACTTTGTAGTTTGGCAAGGAAGATGCCACAGGGACACAGGTAACCCCAGAGCCTGCTCTGGTGCCAGGTAGGAGGAGTACACTTTGGAACCAGCCATTGGTGTGGGTCAGGTTTCCAGCTTGGCCATTTGCTGGCTCTGTGACTCTAGGCAGTTGTCTCAGCCTTTCTGAGACTCAGTTGCTTTGTCATACAATGGGGTAATAATGCTGCTGTACCAGGCTGTTGTGATGGGTCTGTCTTGCATTCCTGCGTTCATTCTTGCCACTATGTCCCCTGCATGACGCTGGGTCCTGGGGCCACAGCAATGCCAGGACAGGTGTGGTCCTTGCCTTCCTGTGCAGCTGGCGGGGAGAGAAGATGGAGGCTGGGCAGGGAGCTCTGGCCACCAGAGAACCACCTGAGAACGGGGCTTCAGGCAGGTTCTTAGGAGAGGGAATGTCTGTGCTGAGGCCTGAAGGAGAGTTGGCCAGGGAACTGAGAGCAGCGTGTGCAGAGGCCCAGTGGTCAGCACCACCTACCATACAGAACGCAGCCAGCCGCCTGGTGTGGGAGATGGGGGGCACTGAGGCAGGGGGCTTGGGTGCGTGGCACATGGGGCCGCACCACCTGGTCTAGCCTCAGAAGAAGTCTAGACATCACCCTGAGAGAGATGGGACCCCTCAGAGGGTTTTAAGCAGAAGATAGTGTAGGAGTGGAAAAGGAATATCTCACTACTGTGTTCATGGCTGAGGCACCTATAATAAAAGACTAACGCGAGAAAGCACACATACTTGTTTAACGTAAATTTCATGTAACCCGGGAGGGAGCCTTCATAAGGAAACGGAGACCCGGAGAAACGGGAAACCTGTGCGTGTTTGTGCTTGGGTTTGATGAAGAGAGCAGTCGGGGAGAGGGCCATGATTGTCAAAGGGGGAATGACTCAATGGCTCTGTGGCCACCGTCACAGGGGACACAGGGTCTCGGAGAAACTCTATTTGTGTGTGGCTTGACCAGCACAGCTTGTCGACCCGGCTTCGTGACCCAGAACCACTCTCAGCTGTGACTCTTGGCCCTGGACCCCTACGGAGTGAGTCTGAGAGAGCAGGCAGGGCAGCCCACCCGGTCCTCAAGGCAGCTCCCTGAGGGCGGTCTCAGGGCTGGGGCTGGCAGGAGGAAAGGGGCGCTGGCATGACGCCTCAAGGTGGGGTTGTGGTTTCTTCCAGCACTGATCATGATGCTGAGCAGAGAGGGGTGCCCAGTGTGCTGACAGACACGAATCAAGTTGCAGCTGTGACTCAGGCCAGGCCCATTTCGTGCCACATCTACACTTTCCTGGTGCAGGTGGCTCTTCCATCCTGCAGGCCTCGCATGGAGGACCTTCAGTCCTGGCATAAACAGTAATAGCAGCAGCTCAGAGCCAGGGCTATTATGGGTCAAATGCCGAGGTTGGCACACAAATCGGGGAACGTGCTCGCGGACTGGGTTTCCCCATCATCCTACCATGCCTGATTCAATCCACCCACGAGTCCTTTTCCCTCTTTTTCCCAGTATTTCTAGAGAGCTCCACTGTTCTACCCTCTGCTATTGCCCTGATTCAGCCACTGGCCCTTTCATTGTAACCTCCACCTGCACAGCTTCCCTCTCTCTGGGAGACAGCCCCTCCCCAGACCCCTTCTCACCTTGATCCGTTGCACCAGGCATCTTTCTAAGATGCTGAACTGCCATCACTATTGATGGGGTTCAAGGCACACTGCCCCCAAATATAACAGCTTGGCATTTGAGAAAACAGCAGAAGCAGAAAGGCCATTCTTGCCTCCCTGTCCCCTCCTCCTCTGAAGCTGGCCATAAAATGCTCAGAGCAGAGGTGCCCTCCCTGTACATCCTAATCTCTGAAGATCCGGGGGCACAGAGGCGAATCTGAACAGACAGGCCTGGCTGTGTCTCCCCCAGTGCATGACCATGAGATAATTTCCCTTTACAGGGATTCGTGGCTCCGAGCTCACTTCTTTGGCTGGCACTCATGCTCTCACTTAATCAGCCAATATTTATAAATGCAAAGCAAAGAGAGGAAATTCCCCAGCATTATTAAATGATATAATTGGAATCCTAAACAACTGTAATTACAAACAAAATGTGTGACATCGTCAGGAGACTGTCTCCAGGTGAATTTAAAGCATGGCTGGGGGATTTGCCTACTTTAGTGTGGGAAGCAAGGGTGCACCTTTGTCCCCTGAGGGTCAGGGGGTGCAGGACCCCTCCAGGAATGAATCTTGAGGGAAAAGTCCAAGGAAAATCCAAGAGGAACCAAATAGGAGTGTTGTCCCATCTTTGATAGGGGCCTCCTTTCAGGGAAGGAAGAGCTTGGTGCACGGCCTTCAAGGCTTGTCTGAGGCCAGCACCCTGACTGAGGGAGGGATGAGGAGGAGGAAGGCATTGGTGGTTCCCGGCCCCAGCCGGCCAGGTGACCCAGTTTGCCTGGCTCCCTTCTCTGCCCAAGTGCCTCCTGGTAGACAAGAGCCACCAGGTGGAGCCTGCCGAGGAGGCTGTGTGTGCTGGTCAGAGTACGGATGGGAAGTGATGGATTCAGCCAGTGTAGACTCAGCACCAACCTGGCACTACACCTTAACACAGGCCCTCCCATGCCTGGGGCTTACTACTGGGAAAACTGAGGCTCAGGGAGGCAGCCTTCCTCTGGAGTCACAGCCAGTAAGCAGAGGATCTAGGACCCAAATCTAGGCCTTTTAACCCAGCTTCCCCTAGATGTGTGTTTGGCTTCAACATTTCCCCAACCATCTGATCTTCAGTGGTTGCTACTCTGCACCCACAGCGTGGCAGGCCCTGGTCCAAGAGAGAAGGTGCAGGACGGTGCTGTGACCAGTTGTGTGCTTGGAATGAGGCCTGTGTCTCCACCTGGGCGTTTCTACCACATTGTGCCTTTTGAAACTTTCTCCTCTTGGTGATCCTGCGTGACTCTCAAAACAAACCCGATAGGTGGGTGGGAAGACAGGAGTCAGTCATTGTCACTGTCAGCAGATGAGGACAGTGAGGGGCAAGGTATCCGGCTAATGTGGTCGTAGAAGGTGCCAGAGCCCTCCCCTGCAGGCCCTGGGACCACTGAGTTCTCTCTGCAGGAGGCTGCCTGAAAAGGACTGGGAAAAGTGGGGCAGGTGTGGGCTTTGCACTGGGGACTCCTAGGAGGAAGCGGCTTAAGCTGGGCTGGGTTTAGATGGACAGGGAGAGGCAGGGCAGGGGGGAACTCCTGACCCAAGGCACAGTTTATTTTAATAGCTTTAAATAGTGTTTCTTGCTGCAGAAGAGCTAATATCTAATATGCACGTACAGTCTGCTTGCTACCGGGCACTTTGTACCATGCAGAGTGTGCCGACTCCCATCCAGCGCCCTGGGGGCAAGCCCTTGGATAGTTTCTCCCACACAGAAGGGAGGGTGTGCCCCTGCCCTCCTGCTGCGGGTCAGCACTCCGACTGTGAACTGGAGAGCACAGCTGAAACTGAGCCATAAGTTCATGGGCACCATCGTGATCCTCCCTGTGTTGTGTATGCTTGAGTCTTCGTGATAAAAGGTTTCTAAAACTCCATCTGTGAGAGGTGAAAGGGATCTAACCTTTGTTCATTACTGCCAGCCCCTGTCCCAAGCCCTTTCAATGCATCGTCTCATTAGAGATCCCCTGAAATCCATCCCTGTTTTACAGGTGGGAAGACTGAGGCTCACAGAGGTTAGTTCTCCCATCCATAGCTGGTATCAGGCAGGCTCAAGGTTCAATCCTGGGTCTGCTGGCGTTTGACACTCAGGGAGTTTTTGCCTTCCCTAGCTGGCTCCTAAAAGCAAAGGGTTTTGCTGGCAGGAGGCCTGGGCTTTTATGCTCAATTTTGCGTTTTGCTGAGGATGACAAGACAGTAGCTTAGCAGGTGCCTCTGCTCAGAGGAGATCCCCAGGGGCAGGCTCAGTGGACAGGAGGGGTGCAGCAGTAACAGATTGTCCCTTAATCTTCAGTCCCTGGAGAACTCACACACCAGAGAAAGAGCCAGGCAATCAGAAACCCTCCTTATAGAGGTGAATTTTCATTTCTGGGAGGAGAAGCCGGTTTCCCTCCAGATGTGAATCCCAGCCCTGCCACAGCCCTGGGAGGGCAGCTTTGTAAGGCACCCTGGGCCCCGGCACACCCTGCTGGAGTCATTCACCGCCTTCCTGTGGCACCCGGATGCAGGGGCAGCACAGACCCCTCTGCCTCTGGCCAGCCCCCGCCACTGTTCCGCAGCACACCCTACCCTGAGGGGTGCTCAGAGGGGCCAGTGAGCCTGCCTCAGAGCAGGGTCCCGAGAAGCCTGGTGCCTGGATGAGCAGCAGCCACAGCCCCTGGGAACTTGTCAGAAATGCAAACGCTCTGCCAGTCCCAGACCTCCTGAATCAGAAACTCTGGGTACGGGGCCATGGTGTGTTTCTCAGGCCCTCCAGGTGGGTGTTTGTGGGGTCCGGTTGGAGAGCCACCAGGGCTCGTCACCACTCCCTCCTTCGTGCCCTCTGGGGTCGGGGAGACTTGCTCCAGGGCTTGCTTTACTCTGACTGTCTTCTCTCTCCACCCACTCCTTTTCTCCATTGCATGCATCACAAGGTGATCGCGGAAGTCTGTTTCTTTACCAGTTGAGCTCTGTCTCCATGAGATTGCAGCCTCCCTGAGGCCAGGGCCACTTCTGTTAGCAGCAAATCACCATTGCCTAGCAGGGTGCCTGGCACATGGTGGCACGAGCTCAGCTTATTTGCCAAATGAATGAATGGGGACTAGTGGGGAGGCTGGCTGGGGACTCCCAACTGAAATCCCTAGTAGGGGACGGAGAGGCTCGGCCTGGTACCTGTCTGGGGAGAAGTGGGGACTGGGACTGTGCTCAGCTCAGCCTTGGCTCTCGGTGGGGATTGCTTTTCCCTGGGGCCCTGCATGGGGGACAAGCTCCACAAGCACAGGTGACCTGGCTTCAGGTCCTGGCTCCAAGGGTATTGGCCACTGACCCTGAGTAGCCCCCCCCGCCCTGCCCTGCACCTCCATGTTTCTATTGGTGAATCAGCTGGCACGGTTAACTTCAAAGGCTTCTTGCAGCTCTGATGTTTTCTAATTTTAAGCACATTGGACACTTGCCCTAAATACGCTTTTTATTTTTGTTCTATTTTGATTCTCTGTCCTATACCGGGAAAAGGTGAGGGGAAAAAAAATCTGCTGGGGGCTGTCTTTGTCCTGTCTTCATGGTGCATATGGTTGCAGTAGTGATACTGCCTGCACCAGAAACTGTCACTTCAGGTGACCACACTCCCCCTGCTTGGCAAGGGGGCTGGGGGTTGGGGTGGGAATTGAGGGGCGTTTGGAGCAGATAGATCAGAGGGAAGGCACAAAGCGGGAGGGGAGCTAGCCCCGGGAGAAGCAGCCGAGCGCCAGGAGGCCTTTGCCGCCTGCAGCCCCTGCGGTTTCCTCTTTTCCTCCGCTTCCTGGCTCAGCCCTGCCTGCTGAGGAGGACCATGCTGCGGTGCAGGCCTGTGTCCACCTGAGACAGCACAGGGGGCTCTCATGAGGATGGACACAAACAAGGTTTCAGAGAACTATCTGTCAGGTGCAGGTGCCCAGCCAGGTGCTCGGACAGACTACAGCTGCTCTAAAACACCCCAGCCTGCCACAAACACCTGGCTGCTTTCCTTCTGGAAAGTTCTCCTGTTGAAAGGCACGTCCTCTGGAAAAGAAAAACCTCATCAGACTGGTCTCCCCTACGAGGGACGGCCTACAAGCCTGCCAGGGAGACAACTGAAAAGCCCCGGGAGGCGGGTGACTTAACAGCGAGTTGGTCTCGTCATGATTCGTCTGCGTTGGAGGTGACAACACATGTTTATTTCTGAGACCGGCACGTTCTCATTTTCTCTTTAGTTTCGGCCCAGCTTGAGGTCTTTTTTCTGAGCTGGCATGTGAGGTAGCAACAGTGTGGGTTGGAAACAGCTAATGAATTTTGAAGGCAACTTATCCACTCTAATTGCTTTTCTTCCTCTCCATCCTCCTCCATGGTTAGAAAAATAATGAAATGGGAAAAGAATAGTTAGCATCTGTACATATTTTGCCCAATCTTTCATTGTCTTATTATTAGCACTGTATTCAGCAGTTGCACCCGAGAACCATGTTGAGGGCCAGAGTGCAGGCTTTGCAAGGAGGGAATGGTGGAGAAGCCACAGTCCCTGCCCTCAAGGTCAAGGTCCAGGTCAAGTTGGGCAGGAAAGGAAATGTGACATGAGAGTGTCTGCCTAAAAAATGGGAACTCCAGGGAGGAGCCTGGGGAGCCAGGAAGTGCTGCATGTATGAGAGGATGAGCTGGAAGTTTAAGCCAGGCCCAGGACTTTCTACACATAGAAAGCCATGGAGGCTTTAAGCAGGGCTGGCTGTGGCCAGATCACTGCTTTGGAAAGCCCATGCTGGTGGCAGGGTGCATATGAGAGTGCAGAGACCAGGGGAAGGAGGACTAGCCAGGAGGCTGTATCAGCTTCAGGCAGGTGTAGATGGGGCATAAACAAAGGGAGTGGTGTGAACTGGGGAGAGGTGGGAGATGAGAAGTTCTGGGCAGACACAGATAGGCAGAGCAGGGTCCCTGGGCACTTGGAGAAGAGGCAAGGGGAGAAGCCCTGGAGAAGGGGGCCTCACAGCAAAAGGGGATGAGGCTGTTTTTTTCTGGAAGCTTTGCTAAGAGTTTAGGGTGAACTGTGGAGTTAGAGGAAACTGTTCCTAAGACTGCTCTCACTTCTGACACCAGTTGCAAGTTCAGGAGAGATATTCTCCAACCCACCTTCAGGTTTAGTAATTTTCCAGAAGGATTCTCAGAACACACTGGAGGCTATTACACTATTGGTTATGATTTATTACAGGGAAAGGATGAAGATTAAAATCAGCCAAGGGAGAGGAAGTGCAGGGGGCAGACTCCAGGAGGGGCCCAAATGCGGAGCTCTGAGTCCTCCTCTCCCTGTGGAGTCATGGACGGTGTTAGTGCCACTGGCCATGGTATGTGGCAATCCTCGTGGAGTATTGCCAGGCCAAGCCTTGGGGGTCCAGGCCTTTTACTAGGGTTCCGTCACATGCAGATGCTGTGGCTGACCTTTAGTCTCCAGTCCTACCAGAGTCAGAACTGATACCATGTGGCCCAAGGCCCCATCATCAATCTCAGTGTTAGCCTGCCTATGACCAAAGCCCTCAGGCCAACCAAGACACTTCTGTCAGGCAGGACATCCAGGGGCCCAGACATCACCCCCAGGAGCCGAGGGAAAGGCCCGAGTTCTCTCTGAGTAGAGTTAAATCTTCACCACACGGCTTGCAGTAAGGCACGAGAGAAGGAACAGAAGGGTGAAGACCCGGGAAATGGGTACTGGAAAGTAGAAAGGACTTAAATAGAAACATCCTCCTGTGTACTTGGTTCAGTAATGATTAGATGCTGAATTACACACACCCTCACAGTCAAGGATGTTCCTCTGGCATCAGGCATTTGGCTCTTCACTCATGTAGGTTGTCTTTGGGGTGTCTGTGGTTGATTTTTCACATCCCGTTGTGTGCTGGGCATAGAGGTCACACTGGGAACAGAGAAACAGCCAGGATATTGTGCGAGGAACATGTACACCATTGGTGGCCACAACCTTGACCTCTTCCCTGCACTTCAGTCCTTACCTGTGAAATGGAGGCATGGCGCTACCCACAGGGTGTTGTGAGGATGAAATGCAACCCCTAATATAGGAATTCTTTGCACATGTAGCACAAAACCCCCCATAAAGAAGCAAGAACACCTTGTGTTAAAATCCAGCTTCTGAAAGTAACTTTGCTAGGATAACTCTTTTGTGGTACAGTGAAATGCCATACCACTTTGGAAAAGTGCCCTATGGTGTTGGGGCAACTGCTCCTGAAATAATGCCCTTCTTCTGTGGTCCTAGGTGAGGCTCCAGGTTGGGCTCTATGCTGTGTACCTTCTGGACTGGCTCAGCGTTTTTGACAAGCAACAGTTTCTCATTCTTCGCCTGGAAGATCATGCATCCAACGTCAAGTACACCATGCACAAGGTCTTCCAGTTTCTGAACCTAGGTATGAGTGTGGTGCTTAGACTGACGGGCCAAAGCATGAGCTCCGTGGACTTGTTCTGGGAGTCCTCTGGGGCAAATGCAGACCTGGTCAGCTGGGTGGGAATGGGCTGAGCTGGGAGGCCTGGGGATGTCCTTCAGGAGGCCTGTTAAGTACCATTTATTGAGCACTAGCTGTACATAGGTCATTGTGCACAGTATGGTGAGGGATTCTCTGGAGAGAAGGAGATGGTTTCCCTTCTGGGAGCTTATGGTCTAGTGAAGGGAGAGGAGGAAGCCATAGCTCACCTAACTGAATGACAGGTAGGATGCCGTGGGGAAGGTCAGCACTGTCATGTAAGGTATGTGCTGATGGTTTGGGATCCCAGCTACTGCACGGATGAGGAAGGCTTCATGGAAGGAAAGGGCCTGAGAGCTGAGCTTTGTAGGACCAACAGGATGTCACCGGGGGGCTGGAGCAGAGGACTTGGGGCTTAGAGGAGGGAACAGACAGATCATTGCATCATCTCCGGTATTCTTGGAAATTCCAGGAGTCAGAGCCGTGTGGCTGAGTTTTGGCTGCTGATCATGGATGCTGGGCCCCTGGGGCATGAGCGCCTGCCCTCAGCCTGTGGATACCAGCCCCCCCAGGGGCCTGAGAGTCACTTTGTGGTGACAGGCCACACTGCTGACTATGGTGATGGCTGGCAGAGGCATGTGCTGGCGGAGCGAGTGCTGCCCATGTGGACGGGGCACCGAGGGATGGCTTGAAAGGCTGAGCAGGCTCGAACAAGCCGCCCTCCTTCCCAGAACGCCTCCTGCAGCCCTGACTAATGGTCTTGCCCGGGAACTTGGTTAATTGAGTATTTCTGAAAATATATCTGCCTGCCACTGGGACTTGGGCCTCTTTGATCATTTGATTTTGTTTCTCCTTTTTTTGGAGTTTGATGAGTTCTTTCCCTTCCAAGGCTTAGAATCATCTTTCTTTGATTTGACCACATGTTGACTCTGTCCCATTAATGAGCTTGTCTTTTGTCCCCAAGATGGATAGTAAGGCCAATTCTGTGTTTCATATGGCCCTAGGATGCTGGGACATGCTTTTTCTGTCTATGGGCTAAGGACTTTGGCCAGATCCCAAGAGCCCCCGGTAAAGAGGCTTGAGCAGTGATGGGTTACACCAAGAAGCTGTGGCCCAGAGGGCGGGGCGTTGGGGTCGCAGCCCTTGCTGTTCTGTTTCAGGGCCTCTCACTCCAGAGGGCGGGGCGTGTGCGTGACTGACAGCCCCTCCCGGCCTTTTCCAGGGCCTCTCCTCACTCCAGAGGGCGGGGCGTGGCGGTGACTGACAACCTCTGCCAGCCTGTTCCAGGGCCTCGCCTCACTCCAGAGGGCGGGGCGTGGGGGTGACTGACAGCCCTTGCCGGCAGGCCTCTTCTCCCTGATCTCCTTGCTGCAGATGGAGGTTCAGCCAGTGGGGGCTCTGGGCACAAGTGGCCTCCTCCCAGCCCTCCTCCCTATGGCCACTTCACAGCAAGACGCACAGGGTGAAACTGTGCAGGCCCAGGGACCTTGGCATGAGCAGCCTGAAGTAGAAACGATGATGGCGGAATTCCAGAGGGCTGCTGAGCAGGAAAACCGAAACCCGTGGGCTGTGCTCGGCAGGCCGCACGTTCCTCCAAGGACGGGCTGACACCCATGGAGAGCAGCCCACCAAGGGCAATTGGAAGGGAATCCTTGAGGTCAGCCTTAGACGCTGTATCATCATTAAATGCCAGCTGGGCTCCCCCGAGGGTGGGCATCCTGCACCCGCCGCAGAATTTCTTCGCAATTTCCTGATGGTGTTTCCACCTTCCTCCCTCAGTGCTTCCAAAATGGATCCAGCCAAAGAATTTTAATCCCTAAATATGTTCTCTTAAAGGAAACTCCTGTCTGAATACGAAGCATAGCTGGGATTTTTGCAAAGTCCCTTTTACTTCCTGCCATGCCTCCTGCCTTACGGGACTCGTCTTCTTTTATTCTAGGGCCCTTAAGTGAGAAGCAGGAGGCTTTGATGACCAAGAGCCCCGCATCCAATGCACGGCGTCCCGAGGACCGGAACCTGGGGCCCATGTGGCCCATCACACAGAAGATTCTGCGGGATTTCTACAGGCCCTTCAACGCTAGGCTGGCGCAGGTCCTCGCGGATGAGGCGTTTGCGTGGAAGACGACGTGAGAGCTGAATTGTTGCTGCACGTGCTGGGCCCGCCAATGCCGTCATCATCAGGATTTTACAAATCTCTTTGCGGGGAACTGTTTCACTCATGGTATGGAAAACCCCAGGACTCTGCCACTCTAGGCACACATGAATTATAACCATTTTGGAATTTCCTTCGTGATGTTCGAGAGCTCAGCAATGGACCCCTCACAGAGCTCCTCTATCCGAGGCCATTGGAGACCCCAGTTTCTCAAGAATTCAGCTCTGCTCTGAGCGTCCTGGAGCTTGGGGATGCAGCCAGCTGGCCTGCACTGGGTGTGGAGAGAACACCTAGGGAAGGCAGCCTGGCCCTGCCCGCCTCCGCCTTCTGGAGAGCCTCTGGGTTCTGAGTCAGCAAGCCAGAGGTCATGCCACAGGCCTGGCTGGAACTTACACTTCACGTTCCCTTTTTTTCCCCCTAGAGATGGGGTCTCGCCGTGTTGCACAGACTGTCTGTATTCAATGGCTATCTTCACAGGTGTGATCATACCACATTCACTTCTGAAACACTCTTGTTGCGATCGCTAACCTCACTGGGACAGAGAACCGCAGTCTTTCGAGAATGGAGGCTCTTCATTTTTTTTTTCTCCTTTACTCCAAACTCAGCCCTCCAGTTTCTTCAGATGTAAACCCTGTTAACGTCACTGTTTCCAAAAGGAAAAAAATAAGTCAGTTTTTGGCAGCACCTTCATCTTTCTGACCTCCTCCTATTCTGTCCTTGTGGACTTATGTTTAACATAGAAAATGAATGCGTTTAAAACAAAACCACTTTCTGCATTTAACCAGTCCTGGCTCTCTCTCTGCTGCCTCTTCATACGTTTTCTCAAGAACTTCAGTTTATAATTGGAAGAGAAATTTTTGCTGTTAATGCCAGAATGAGCAACCTCAAGGAATTGAACACTTCTTGGAAAATCTAGGTAATTCAAGCCCTCATCAGGTTTACAAGATCATCAGAGAAACAGAGGATTTTAATTTTTAGTTCTGGCCGGCTACAGGCTCCATTTCTCTGCCTTCCCATTGGAAATAGTTTATTTCCACATTCTCCACTGCGTGTGGTCAAAGTTCCTCACCCAGCAAGGGACTATAGATACTCGTGTCCCAATTCCAAAACACAATGCACAAGCTGAACTTGGGCTGAACGTGGCGTGTTGAGATTTGGAATGAGGTTTCTAAGAGCCGTGTTCTTCATGGAATTTTCCAGGCCACTTGGCAGCTTGGTTTACCGATGGATGGGCTAGAGATCTTGTCGTTTCTTGGAAGTCACAGGGAAGATTGAAGAGAACGCTTGAGCATCCTTGGCAACAGCCCAGGTGGGACCTGGATGAAGCTTTGCACTCAAGTATTGTCAAGGGAAGCTTCCTGTGAACCAAAGTTCTCAGGCCAAGGTCTCGCCCACCAAAGCCAGAAAGTGCAAGCACCCGTCTACCCAGCTCTAACTTGTATGTGTGAGACAGACCAGGCTTCGGGGGTAGGAGGATCTGCAGTTGTTCAGCCGTCTTTCTGCTGGTGTTGTCTTTCTGCCATCAGAGAAGGGACACACAGCCCGTTCGAAGGTGTGCAGAGGGCTCTGAGCGCCAGGATGGCCAGGGCTGTTTTTGCTACTGAAGGAGCGTGTGTCCTGAACTCCCACTTGCAGGGACAGTCCCCACCTTCTCTATAGCCGGCACTGGGAGCAGCCGCCAGCAGGGAAATCTGGCCTGAGCACAAGGATGCTTTAGGGAGAGATCACTTCAGTGTGTGTGTATATTTATTTGCAGTACAGTGCGCGCGTGTGTGTGTGTGTACGCGCACGTGTGGGTGAGTGCGTCTTCTGAGTGGGTTCTGTTCAGTTGCTAATGAGGCTCCTCCGCTCTGGACACAACCCTTTTATAGATTAATTTCTCTGCCAATTAACTTGTCATTTTCAGTACATATTTTACTATTCCACACCAACCATAATTACAACAAGGGATTTTTCTTATGCACTCCTATGCATGTGAATAACATGTGGTGTAATTCTGCTTCTTACAGAAGTATTACTGAAGGTATTATTTCCAATATTATTTGGTTTATTATGCGGATCTTTTTTATATATGCAGTCCCATCCCTTCTGTGCCACTCAATGCCATCCAGACATGGTTTTTCCCTCCAGGGGCCTTTCTCTCCAGAGGGCACTTCGGCTGCCTCTGCTTCCTCTCATTCGAGGCCCGGCTCTTGCTGACAGAATAGGTTCCGTTCTGGGCGGTGGTTCTCGAGCCTGCCATTCAAAACCAAAGCAAATTGGAGCATTTCTCACAACATGGTATTGAAGTTCCTTTTTGTTCTCAAAAGTTGTGACCGTGTTAAATTGTACTCCCTTAGTCCTGTAAGGTATGTTAAGTGAATCGCAGTTACGCTGTACTTTTATTAATATTTAACATAATTAAAGATGGACCCATAAGAGTGACGCCTGTGGAGCGCGTGCTCTTCCTCTGCAGCCAAGCTCTTCCTGGTGCATGAGTGAATCGCAGTGGTTTAGTGTCGCACCTGCTCGAGTTGTGCAGGCTCTGTGTAAAGAGGAGTTACAGCTGTGCTGGCTGCTGAGAGACGAGGTGTGATTGTGCGAGCAACAGGCAGAAGAAAACTCAAGACCAGAGAGAAAAGGATTCAGATGTTAGCAGGGACTCCCTGTGCGAGTCCTGTTGGGGTGTGAGTCAGGGTGGGAGGTCTGGCCCAGCCACAGTCAGGCCTAGCGTTGTCTTCAGACCTTCAAATTTGAAGGTTAAGTGACCACAGGCCTCATTCCGGTGGCCTGCCTGGCCCCTGGCAGCTGTGAGTTTGAGACCCCTGGTGTCTCTGGCACATGTCCTTATTGCTGAGGGCAAGCCCGCAGAAGGAGGTGTGGTGTGCACTCAGGTGGGGCAGCCAGGACAAAAGACCACAAACAACGGAAACTGATTTTCTCAGTCTGGAGGCCAGAGACCCGAGATCAAGGTGCTGCAGGGCTGGTTTCTCTGGGGGTCTCTGTCCTTGGCTTGCTGATGGCTGATTCTCTCTGTGTGTTCATGTGGCCACACACACACACCCCTGCTGCCTCTTCCTCTCCTTATAAGGACACCAGTCGGAGTGGATGAAGGCGTGCTCTGACAGCCTCATCTTAACCTCATCATCTCTTTAAACAACTTTATCTGCAAATGCAGTGACATTCTGAGGTACTCGAGATTGGGACTTCAACATACGAATTTGGGGCACACTTTTCAGCCCATACAGAGGGGACATCTCAGGCTTAGGGCTCTGAAAGCTGGGCCATCCTGAGCACAGCGTGGACCATGGTGGGTCCCCCAGTTCTGGGCAGACCTTCCTGGGGGAGCCTTCTCCCCAGCACCACCTCCCACAGTGGTGTGTTGAGGTAGGGGGCAGGTGTGTCCAGGCTGGAAATAGGGAAGACCCCATCTTTTCCTGCGAGGGTCAGGAATGGCTTTACCCAGCAGGGAATGGAGGACGGGTGGGAGTCAGGAGCAGGACGGCTGGGGTGCATCTTTGAGGGCTGAGGGTATGACCTCCCTCCATTTCAGATTTCCTCTGAAAGCCTCTCCCGTGAGGCCACCCACTCCCCACCGAGAAACCAGCCCTCGGGAAGGATCCTGATGAGGAGTATGCCTCTTCCCCACAAAATGACCCTATTTGGGAACTGAAGCAAAGGCTGTGCTCCAGGTGGAGGAACTCCAAGGATCCCTGAGTGTGGAGACAGGGATTATGTGGGTGACTATTTTCCTGTTACTCCAGAAATCTCACCCTCCAGGCAGCTGTGCTGCCTATGGTGAGGTGGATCCCATGGGGACTGATAGGAAAACATCACTCTGATGAATCGGGTTTTCCCAGTACTTCACCGGGCAAGGTTCCCTGCAGAGCAGCAGAGACAGAATAGGTCCCGTGGGGCAGAAGCTGCATCGGCCGGAACAGCTGTCGGCCTGGGAGCTTTGTGAATTTATGTTGCTATAAAGGAGTACCTGAGGCTGGAAATGTATAAAGGAAAAAAGGCTTGTTTGGCTCACGATTCTGCTGGCTAAGGATTGAGCATTGGGTGAAAGCCTCAGGCTGCTTCACGCCTGGCGGAAGGTGAAGAGGGCGGGCTGCGCAGAGGTCACAGGGGAGGGCAGGGCCGGGGGAGGGAGGTGCCAGGCTCTTTTTAACAACCTGCTTTTGCGGGAACAAATAGAGCAACAACTCACTACCCCCAGGATGGCACCAAGCTATTCTTGCGAGCTCTGCCCCCATGACCCCAACACTGGGGATCAGATTTCAACATGAGGTTTGGGGTACACACATCCAAACTACAGCAGCTACTATAAATCACCCCAAACTTAGTGGCTCAAAGCAACAGAAGTTTATGATCTTACAGTGCTGGAGGCCAGAAGTCTGAAGTTGGTCTCACTGGGCTAAATTCAAGTGATGAGCAGGACTGGTTCCTTCCAGGGGCTCAAAGGGAGTGTTTTCCTACCTTTTCCAGCTTTGAGAGGCTGCCTGCTCTCATGGCTCCTGGTTCTTTCCTCTGTTGTCAAAAGCATGGCATCTTCAAGTCTAACTCTCTCCCTCTGCTTCAGAGATCACATGGCCTTCTCTGACCCTCATGCTCCTGGTGTCGTAAGGACCCTCTCGATGACACCGGGCCCACCAGATAATCCGGGATCATCTCCCCATATCTGGATCACATCTGCAAAGCCTCTTTTGCCATAGAAGGGAGCATATTTGTAGGCTCTAGGGATTATGACATGGACATCTTCAAAGGCCCGTATTCGGCCAAGCACAGGAGGGTGGTGTGGAGAGCTGGCCAGTCAGCCAAGCGTGGGATGGAGGAGGTACCCCGTGGCTGGTTCCCTGTGCTCTACTGTACAGCTCAGGCAGGTCTGAGTGGGGAGGGGGCTGCCCTCAGCAGAAGGCCGAGCTTCTGGATGCGTCTATTTTGGGACAGCGCACCTTCCCGTCCAGGCAAGGCCCTGTGACTGGGGTAGTGGAGTAGGTGGGACAGGGTGACACGAGGGGTCAGGCCACAGACCCACCTCCTCCTCAATTCACATCACAGTGTTTTTCCCGTGGAAGGTCACCTGGTTTCCAAGAGTCAGCCTTGTCCCCCACAATGGAGACAGGACAATTTCTCCAGCTCTTGGTAGAAGTAATTTTTGAGTGCTTACTAGTTATTTACCTTTTTACTTTTTAAAAAATTCTTGTGAAGTTACTTTGTGAGTTTTCCAGGATGTGTGTAAACTACACACATCAGCCACCTAGGTAGTTTTGAGTTGCTTTGAAGTTCAGCTGTTGTTGACTTCAAAGGCAGCAGCTTATGAAAGTTGGAGAAATAGAACATTTTCCAGTCCCTATTCAGGGGTTGGTGACCTCCGTGGCCCCCAGCCTCGTGGCTTTGGGCTTTGGAAGGCTGGTGTCTGGTCTCACTGATGGCTACAGGCTGGACTCACCCCCACCATCTCTGTCCTCACCAACCCTGTCCCCAGCCCCCTGGCTCATCCCCAGTATCCTCTACAAACCTGCTCCTACTCGGGTCCAGGGCAGGAGGCTGAGCACTGTGGGCCATCCTGGGAGCCTCAGGCTGCACAGGTTGCTGACCTTGGACTGTAAGGGCTGAGTACGAAGGCAGAAGGTGGGGATTCTCAGGCAATGCAGCAGGCCTGCGAGAGACTCTGGGGAGGAGCAACAGGGCTCTCTAAATTGCCACCTGCAAGTGGCTGCGTCCTCCTACCATGGGGCACCCAGGACCCAGCTCAGGCTTGCACCTGGGTTCTTCCTTGTTGAACCTGTGGCAAAGCAAGGAGGAGACTTGGTCTACTCCCTCCTGGGCAGCCTCTGCTGACTGCCCTATAGGTGCTGGGCACTGTGTCTGGGACACAGAGACTGTGAAAGGCCTCCTCTCCCACAGTGGAGAGCTGCCAGCAGCATGAGGAGGCCGGGTTCATGCAGGGTCCTTGGCAGGCCTGAGGGCCAGTGGGGATCCTGGGGGCTTTCTGGGGTGTACCCTCAGCTCTGCATGCTTTGAAAGGCCCCTTTAAAGTCA
This sequence comes from Homo sapiens, assembly GCF_000001405.40. Classification (NCBI taxonomy): domain Eukaryota; kingdom Metazoa; phylum Chordata; class Mammalia; order Primates; family Hominidae; genus Homo; species Homo sapiens. The sequence goes on along the minus strand of NC_000010.11, from coordinate 124,004,102 downwards.
GGTCCTGGTCAGATCTAGAAGCGGGCAAGTCTCAGCTGAGGCTGAAACCTCGGCCTCCCTGAGCCTTGTGACTTGCCCAGGGTCGGAGGCCCAACGCCCCCTGAGGAATTCTCTTCCTGGTACGGCAGAGAAAGGTGGGGGCCAGGGAATCAGGGTGGGGAAATCCCAGCTGCCTCTCCCTGCACCCTGGCCCATCTCCCCCAGGTCATGAGCCATCCCCCTTCGACTGTTTTCCCACCATAAGGGACTATGATTTACATCTACCAAACTCTGCCACCGACAAGGACAGTGTGGGAAGAGGGTGAGCCCTGAGTGGAGCCAGGTGAGCTGGATTCAAAGCCCAGTTCCGCAGCAGAGAGCCTGGGAGAGCCATCTCTTAACCTTGGGTACACCACAGGCCCTTTCTGCACCCACAGGTCTGTCTTGCTCATGAGTGGGTCTCAGAGTTTACAAATATAGACTGAGGATCAGAGAGGCTGCATGCGTGCCTGAGGTCACACAGCTCAGATCCCCAGAAAGAGAGCAGAATGCAGCTCAGACATTCCGAGTCAGTGCTTTTAACCATAGTGCTGCATTATATACCCTCAGCACCAGCCCCAGGCTTCCATCCTCAGTAGCCTGTCTACATTTCAAGGGTTAGTTCTCCTTCCCCTCCATTTCAAATGCCCCCCTTTCAAGTTCCCTCAGGGAAGGCCAGTGGTTTTTGGGGTCACCTGGGCCAGGGTTTTCTGCAGCTCAACCCATCAGGGGTCTAGGTGATGACTGGGATTTCTAGGGGGAAACAAGGGAAATAAACATGGCTTTTTCTGCCAAAAGGCTCTCTCAGCCGAGACTTGCTGGCACGGATATTGCCCCTGCCCTGGGCTGGCTGGCGTGAGTTGTCTGCGCCTCCCTGAAGGCAGACTTCAGGGGCTAGCTGTGATGGGCTAGCTGCGGTGAGGAGTCCCCTGAGCCCTGAGTCACATCAGAAGCACATTGCTCCACCCCAGGGCTCGGCCTTGCCCAGGGCCTCAAAGGCACCAAACGTATACACCTGAGCTAGAAAGTGTAAAAAAGCCAAAATTTAATTTTCTCAGCAAATATTTTCTGAACATCTACTATGCACGAGTCATTGGGCCAGGCATTGTGGTGAGGGTGGGACATTGTTCATTTGCTCATTCATTGATTCCTTCACTGGTTCTTCCAACAAATATTGAGGGATCGCCAGCCATGTCCTTGGTATTAGAGGCACCTGGGAGAGCAGAGCTGGTCCCTGCCTGCATGCAGTGCAGCAGACAGATTTTGATCAGAAACAGACAAGACATTGATCACAGCATTGCCTGAAGCATTTCAGAACTGCAACAGGCATGAGGGGCGATACTGGGGACAGTGACATATTTCTGGTGAGATACCCTCATTCCTCCCCAGCTACTCCACTCTATGACCTCCCCATCTGCCTCAGAGACCAAGCCCCAAGAGGAGGCTGGGCTGGAACTGAACCCCCAGCTTTCCCCAGGCCACACGAAGACCACTCCCAGAATGTTTCAGGCCTACCAGCGCCTCTACCTACGAGGTCACCCCCAAGGCTGCCATGCCCTGATCCTCAGGAAGCCACTGTACCTTGCATTGGGTCCTATGTGTCCCATGGCCCCTCATCCATTCTCAAAATGCCTCCTCCACTTTCATGCTCTGGCTCAAGATGACTGAAGTGTTTCCATAAAGGGCCAGATGGTAAATAATATTAGACTTTGTGGGCCCAAGAGGAAAAACAGGGATATTAGGTACTAATGTAACACAGAGAAAAGAGGTTCCACAAATATTTAGAGATGGAATTCAAAATACAATAGTTGAGTACAATTTTTTGGTAATACAGCTCTGCTTACGAGAAGCAAGGGGTTCTTTTGGGAGTGGGTAACATGCTGCTTCATTGAGGGTCAAGTTGAGTGCACCCTGTCAGACCCTCTGCAGATGCTCGTCTGGAGATGCCATTCCTAATCCAATCTCCTGGCCCTGTTGACTTTGTTGGCAGCTCCTCCTGAAACTCTCACTTGGTCTCCAGAACAACGGACTCCTCGCTGGTCCTCATCCTGCCTCCATGGCTGCACCTGCTCTTCTTTCTGGCCATGAATGTCGGGGTGCCCAGCGGCTCAGTCCTTAGCCCTCTCCCATAACTGTTCTTATCCAGTCCGTGGCCTCAGACGCCATCTCTATGCCGATGACTCCTAGACCTCAGCCCTGAGCGCAGGCTGGTGCACCCACTGCGTGACAGGTGGCGCCCCCAGCATTAATGACTCAGAGCTCTTGGGTCTGTCTCTCCACCTAAGCCGCCTCCCCAGCAGGGTTCCATCTTCAGTCGCAGTGACCAGCCCATGCAGGCCATGTCACTGAGCTCTACCCGGGCGCTGCTCGCCCACACCCACCCTGGAACCCATCTTGCCGGCCGTCCTGCTCCTGCCATCTCTTCTGCGGGAAGGCTCTGCCCCCAGCTTCCTCCTTCAGGCTGACAGCCACTTCCCAGTCAACCTGACCACCCTGACCAAACAGCCACCCCGCCCCTTCCCAAGCCACTCTCTCACCGTCCTGTCTTATTATTTTGTGTAAGTGATCAGGGAAGGGACCATAGTGAGGCAAAGGCACCGGCCCGGCCAGGGTCAGGGAAGGGACCATAGTGAGGCAAAGGTGCTGGTCTGGCCAGGGCCAGTGAAGGGACCATAGTGAGGCAAAGGTGCTGGTCTGGCCAGGGCCAGGGAAGGGACCATAGTAAGGTGATCTCACTTGGTCATAGTAAGGAGACCAATGGTGGATCCTGCCTCATAGGATCCACCATTCTCCCGGCTCTGCCCCCTCATCTTGACCACTCTTGTATTAGTTTGGTTGACTATTTTCTGTATTTTATGATCCTTTGACATCTTGCTGGCCTGGGAAGGACTGCCCTCTCGGGACTAGCTAACCCCTAGATATAGAGGCACTTGGAGCACACCTTTTGTGTGCAAAACGGCCAATCCCAGCCCACCCCGACCATCTCCCTTCCTGAGCACTTGCAGTGGGCAATGCAGCTCCCCAGTCGCCCCGCGGGCCAGGGGCCAGAAACTTGGAAGCCCAGACACTCTGAGCCCCATAAAATTATTCAAACTCAGCTCTAGCCCTGCATAGCCCAGTTGCTGTTTGTCCATTTCTTCCTGTGAAAACCACAGCAAAGGCTCTGGCTCACCATTTCCCCAGGGCTCTCTCTGCCTCCTCCCCTCGGTGCTTCCCAGTGGCCCCACATAGCCCGGTGTGTCTCTTCCTCTTGGGAACTGTGAGTAACAAACCATTGTGCCAAAGGCAATCTTTTTTTTTTTTTTTTTTTTTGAGACAGGGTTTCACTCCGATGCCCAGGCTGGAGTGCAGTGGTACCATCTCGGCTCACTGCAGCCTCAACCTCCAGGGCTCAGGTGATCCTCCCACCTTAGCCTCCTGAGTAGCTGGGACTAAAGGCACCTGCTATCATGCCCAGCTAACTTTGTGTATTTTTTTGTAGAGACAGGGTTTCGCTATGTTGCCTAGGATGGTCTTGAACTCCTGGGCTCAAGCAATCCACCCACCTCAGTTCCTCAAAGTGCTGGGATTATAGGCATGAGCCACTGAGCCCGGCTAAAGACAATCTTCTGAGCTGTTGGTCTCACTTTACCCGAATAACAGTGAAACCTATGCTTCAACACCCCCCACCCCCGCACCACTCCCGCATGGTGGTGAGAGCCGGGGCCAAGGCCCTCCTGGCACCTCCACTGTCACTTTTCCCCTGCAGTCCTTCAAACCATGTCACTCTCTTCCTTGAAACCCTCCCCAACCCCCCAACACACCTAGGATAAAAGGCCAAGACCTGCTCATGGCCCTCGAGGCCCTCCCTGGGTTCTACCCTGCCCTGCTGACCTCTGAGACCTCAGCTGCCCGCACTCACCTCAGCCCTGGCTATGCTGACCTCACCGCCATGCTCAGCACACCAAGCCCTTCCCTGTACTGGCCTGTGACCCTGGGGTGCCCTGCCTGGCACACCCTTCCCTGACCCTGGCCAGGCTGGCACCTTCGCCTCACTACGGTCCCTTCGCTGGCCCTGGCCAGACCAGCACCTTTGCCTCACTACGGTCCCTTCCCTGACCCTGGCCAGGCCGGCACCTTCGCCTCACTACGGTCCCTTCCCTGACCCTGGCCAGGCCAGTGCCTTCGCCTCACTACGGTCCCTTCCCTGACCCTGGCCAGGCTGGCACCTTCGCCTCACTACGGTCCCTTCCCTGACCCTGGCCAGGCTGGCACCTTCGCCTCACTACGGTCCCTTCCCTGACCCTGGCCAGGCCGGCACCTTCGCCTCACTACGGTCCCTTCCCTGACCCTGGCCAGGCCAGTGCCTTCGCCTCACTACGGTCCCTTCCCTGACCACTTACACAAAATAATACCTCTCCTGCATGGCCAGCCTCCCTGCTTGATTTGCTCACAGCTGTCACCTGAGACTGGACCATCTGTGTGTCTGCTGCTGCTTCAGCAGCCCTCTGCCCATCAGGGACCTCCGCTCCTTGAGGTGGGAACTCTGTTCATGGCTGCAGCCTCAGAGCCTGAATCAGTGACTGCACATAATACTCACTCAACAAACTTAGATGGGGCAAAGGCATGTGTGATGATGCTGTAGAGCAGGCAATCCCCCACCCCTCGGGCATGGGCCAGTAGCAGTCCTGGGCTACACAGCGGGAGGTGAGAAGCAAAGCTTCATCTCTATTTACAGCTGCTCCCCATCGCTCACATTACCACCTGAGCTCCACCTCCTAGTGGTAACGTTGGATTCTCATAGCAGCTCCAACCCTATTGTGAACTGTGCATGTGAGGGATCTAGGTGGCACATTCCTTACGAGAATCTAAGATCTGTTGCTGTCTCCCATCACCCCCAGATGGGACCACCTAGTTGCAGGAAAACAAATTCAGGGCTCCCACTGATTCTACATGATGGTGAGTTGTAGAATTATTTCATTACGTATTTCAGTATAGTAATAATAGAAATGAAGTGCACAATACATGTAATGAGCTTGAATCATCCCAAACCATCCCCCCCACCAAACTGTGGAAAAACTGTCTTCCATGTAACTGGTCCCTGGTGCCAAAAAGTTGGGGCCTGCCGCTCTGGAGTGTGAAGCAGGGAAAGAGGACCTCACCGTAAGGGCCAGGCTCACTTTCCTAAGGAAGGAACAGGGAGAGCCTAGAAGAATGCAGGCCTTGTGCAAATGTCAGAACCTCCAGCAGAGGAGAGGTCTGCAGGGTGCATGGGGGCTGTGACCCAGATGGCATCAGGAAAGAGGTGGCGTTAAGCTGAGCCCTAAAGACTGGCAGGATCTAGAAAGGTGGGCAGGCATGCCGAGAGGAGGGGCTGGGGTGAGCAGGGGCAGGGAGCAGGGAAGGCCAAAAGAGCAGGGAAGGTCTCAGTGCCTCCGGAAAGGAGTATACGAACATTCTGGGCTTTGGAGTCAGGGAGACCTGGACTACAATCCTGGCTCTGCCATTGTCCTCTGTGTGACCTTAGGCAGAGGGTTTGATGCTACTGAGCCTCTGTTTTCTTATCTGCAGAATGGGTATGCACTCAGACTCAGGCCCTTATGGCGATAAGGGTTCACGCATGTAATACCCTCCACATGGCATCTGGACCCTGGAGGTGGGGGCAGGTCACCTCAGCAATGGTCCTCAGGCACGATTGTTGTAGCAGTAGGAGGTGAAGCCACCCAGGTAAGTGGGCACAAGGTCAAAGAGGGTTTGGGTCTCAGGGTAAATGCCTTTGGTTGAACTAGTGGTGTATTGAGCTTCCCACACTGACATTTTCTGAGCAGAGGAATTATTGGTTAGCGCAGGGATTTAGGTCATTAATTTGGAGCAGGTAGAAGTGCCTGGAAATGGAAGGACTAAGGCTGAGGCTTCTATGGTCCAAGTGAGTGATCACAGGGGCTGGGAGTAGGAAGCACGGCTGAAGGGCCATCTCAAAGGCACTGTACCAATGGGATGGTGACATCACTACTGACGGCACCCACAGAGCTGGGGTATATGTATGCTTATGTGTAACTTCCCATTTTACAGAAAAGGAAGCTGGGGCTCAGGGAGGTTAGGTGACTGCTCCAAGGTCACACACTTAGTACTGGACCCAGTGTTGGAACCCACCAAATCTGACCCATCTTGTGCTTGTCACTAACTGAAGGATGTGGCAGGCAATGGAGGCAAGGTCAAAGGCAAAGTCAAGCCCCAAATGGTCAAAGACAAGGATTAGACTTGGAGCTGGTGTCCAGCCTGAGGGTGGAGGGGTGAGGGACATTTACCGTAGCAGGGGAAGGCTGGGTCGAGTCAACGTTCTTGCAACATCCGTAATTGCAGCGTTAGCTGGGCAAGTTAGATGGGTGGGGAAGTCCTACTTAACCACATAGACATTTCTTAAACATTTTATTTTTACTTCAAATATGTGAAGTACAGCACATCTATTTGTCTGCCTTTTGGTATGGAGCCAAAACCTTTTCTCTGAGCATGAGCCCACTGATTGGAGCTCTGGGTCATCTCTGTGGCAGAAACCACAGAGCAGTGAATCAGCACTGATTTCTGGTTTCAGTGTTTCTAAAGGGACATGAGAACTGGAAGGCGCTTGCAAGGCAATCTCGAGGCAGAGTCCTTCATTATTTGTGTGATTATTTTCCCCAAATCATTACCCTCATCTGTGCTGGGACTTTCCAAAGCTTCCAGCCTAGCATTCAGGGAGCAGCTCCCTTTCTGCATTAATATTTCATCAGCTTCCCTCAGTGGCTCTCCGAGAGTGGCCCAGGGACCACTTGCGACCCTTTCAGGGAATCCAAAGTCCAAATTCTTTTCACGGTCAAACTGAGATGTTGTTTGCCCTTGATGCTCTCATTTTCTCCAGAAGGTACAAATAAAGATTTTCAGAGCCCCCAGCCCCCAGCCCTGGCCTCTGACAGCCGACGGAATGCGTGCTTGTGTGTCTCTGTGCTTTGAAAGTCTCTCATCTTTAATTTTGAAGATAGTCAATATCAATCAATGCAAGCCACTGAAACAAAAGCTGTTTGGGATCTTCAATGATTTTTAAGAGTATAAAGGAATCTTTAAACAGTTTGAGGCTGGGCATGGTGGCTCACACCTTTAATCCCAGCATTTTAGGAGGCCGAGGCAGGAGGATCCCTTGACCCCAGGAGTTTGAGACCAGCCTGGGCAAGATGGTGAGACCCTGTCTCTACAAAGTAGGTAAGTAAGTAAGTAAGTAAATAAATAAATAAATAAATAAAAATTAGCAGAATGTGGTGGCACACACCTGTGGTCCCAGCTACTTGGGAGGCCGAGGTGGGAGGATCACTTAAGCACCAAAATTTGAAGCAGCAGTGAGCTGTGATCATGCCACTGCACTCCAGCCTGGGGGACAGAGCAAGACCCCACCTCTGAAAACAAACAAACAAACCCAACTAGTTTGAAAACTTGCTAGCTTATATGATATTTAATTAACCTGTGCCTTCATAATATCAAGAACAGCTGGCATGAAAAAGGCTCGGGGGCAAACACAATTGACTTGTGGTAAATACAAGATCAGCTGGAGGGTGTTTTGCCAAACGGCTGAAAGCCAGGAGAGCTGAGCACGCCCAGGATGTCTAGGGGACATGGACACACCTGTCACCTGCAATGGCCAGATGAGAGGCCATCCATGGTAAAGGGGATGAAAACGGTCATAACAGGGCCAGCTATGATTGAACACAGGGTGAGTGCCACGCCCTGTGCTGGGGCGTCTCCTCGTGTCTCATTAGATCCTCACTGCAACCCCAGGAGGAGGTTTTATCTTTATTCTGGTTCCGCCATTATAAAGGTGGGAGAATTGGGGCTCAGTCCCCTCAGCTAGTAAGGAGAAGAGCTGGTCCTTGATCTCAGGTCTGCTGGTCCCCAGAGCTCGAGTCCCAGCTTCAGCTTCTCAACTCTGAGTCTCTGAAAAGGGTTTCCAAGGAGGCGGTGGAACCGTGTGGACTCAATGACTTCAGACATGGTCTGGGGCTGGGAGGCCAGACCGAGCTGCTGCAGGTAGGGAGGGCTGAGGTCAGGGTTGGGTGCCATCTTCAGGTTGTGGAAGCAACAGCAATGCCAGGACAGCAGGGCCTCCTCCTCCCCTGCGACCCACTGTGTGCCCAGACTCCCAGGGACAGAAACTCCGTCCTGGGCTCCACCGCTGCCTTCACTGCATCCCCTCCCTGTCCCACATCCCCCTGCAGGCCAGAGCCGAGCTGAGTGTGCTGCTGGCCATGGGGCTCTTCGCAGGCGCTGTTGAGCAGATGGGACCGGCTGTGCCCTGGGCCCTTCCACCTCACAGGCTGACGCTTGCTCAGAGCCCAGGAACCTCGAGCCGCCCCAGACGCGGCCAATTCTGAGGTCAATACGGGGCCCCGGTGGCCAGGGGCTCCAGCAGCTGAAGGTTCGAGTCACGGTGGAGGAATGGGGCGTGGCTGCTCTCTTCCCCAGGGTTGGGCTCCCGGCCGCGGAGGGGCAGCTGGCTCGTGCCCCAGTGGCGGGGGAGACTATTTGCTTACTCCCACCTCCACATGAGATAATCAGGAGGTCTCCTGCCATACTCTGCGCTTTCAGCATAATGGAATTCAGGAAAATTCCTGGGCCGAGCCACCCCGCAATTCTAAAGGCAGAGACCTGGGCAGCCTGCAAGGACCTCGGGATATGGGTACACTTCCTATCCCCGCTATCTTCCTACTTCTCCTAAGAAACCACTTGCCTCCCGGGACCCCAGGCCTCTGCCTCCTGCCTTTGCCCACGAGGTGACTCCACCAGGAGTGCCCACCCCCACATTGTTCAACTGAGTCCGCCTCTTACCCCACCCCAAGGCCAAGTTCAAGTGCTGCTGCTTCCTCCATGATGGCTGCCCGGATTCCTCCATCCCTATCCCCAGATATGCAGCAGTGGAGCGATGTTCCTGATGCGGAGGCAGTGGATGTCTGGAGAGAGAACCGAACTGGGGGGCCAGAGAAAGAGCTGGACGATCTTAAGCAAGCAATTTAACCTCTCTGAGCCTCAGTTTCCCCAGCCTCTGAACGGGGTGAGAATACGGAGGATTTCAAGGGGCCCTTATAGATCTGCCTCTTTATTGCCTTTTGAAAACTCGCCACTTTCCCCAAGCTGATTGAATTCCTGAGGCGTTTTGCAGAGGAGCTGCGGGAAGGGTGTGGAAGGGGGCGGGTCCGGGAGTGGCAGCCCCGTCCCCACGCCCCTGGGGTTCTGCGGACCAGCTCACTGGAGACCAGGAGGCGCTAAAAGGCAGCCCTGCGCTGCCCCCTGGTGGCCGATGTGGACACTGCAGCCAGGAAGCCTTTCCCTCCCGGCCTTCCGGAGACAGGCTGCCGGCTGGACACTCCCCTGGCTTCGCGGCTCACCTCTCACCTGGCTAGGGAACTCCTGACACCAAGGGGGACCCCGGGATGAGGGCGTTGGAGGGTGAAAGACTGGGTCTCAGCTCAGCCAATCAAGAGCGTAGTTCTGAAGAAGCCCAGTTGCGGGAAAGGAGTGAATGTGGCGGCCCCCAGAGGTGCGCCCAGCTGCTCCTCCGTCTGTGGGCTTTTCCCACGGCCTTCTCAGGAGCGCCGCCCAGCAGCTCCGCTGGAAGTGGTAGGTGCGCAGACACCTCCTCCCCACCCTTCTGCCCTCCTAGTCCTTCCACCCTGGGACAGTTGCCCCTTCCCAACCCTCTCTTCTGAACCCTTACAAAACCTTGTCCTGAGCCAGCTGTACTTTGTTCTCAAGCCCCCTCCTAGGACTGTGGACGGTTGAGGAGGGCCTCGGAAGGAGCCACCACTATCCCCAGGGAGGCCTTGGAAGTGGGCGTGATAGTGATGGGGAGTTCCTGGAGCAGGATCAGGGGCCTGTCTGCAAACACACCAGGGTCCTATCCTTTTTCACCATTGCCTGCCTCTGCCTTCTCCACTTCTCCCCAGCATTCTGTCTTCCCTGGCCTCTCCCGTCTCCTCTCTGCCTCTCTTCTCTCCTTAAGCCTTGCGTCTGTGTCCTCGTAGTCCTATGCAGGCAGGCTCTGCTTATCCCTGTTCCCTGAACCATTCTATTCCTAGATGGAACAGGATGGAACAGGTCCAGGGGCCGCTGGGCTCCGACACCCCTGGCCCTATTCCCAGGGCCTCCCTGTGTTATCTGAGCACCTTCCCAGCCTTAGTTCAACACGCTGAGGTCTGGGATTTCCATCTTGGACCCAGGTGCTCATCCTGCTTGGCCCTGACCTTCCCCTCCCCTGTCCACTTTGCCTTTGAGTCCTTTCTGCCCTCTCGTCTCCTTTACTTGCTTTCTCTCTCCTCCTCTCCATTTGCTCTCGCCCCTCCGGCAGTGAAGGAGATTTACTGGGCTGGGCTAGGGCTGGGGTTGGGGTTCCAAGGGACAGAGGGTCTGGATAATAAGCCGCTACTGTGCAGGCTTAGGAGTGTCCGCAGCCTCAATGAAAAGCCGAGATAACGCAGATAAATCCACATGCCCTGCTCTGCCTAAAAGACACACTTAGAAGATCCAATCTGTGACGCTTGGCTGCACTTTTTTTTTTTTTAAATTTTACTTTAAGTTCTGGGATACATGTGCAGAACATGAAGGTTTGTCACATAGGTATACATGTGCCATGGTGGTTTGCTGCACCTATCAAACTGGTATCTAGGTTTTCAGCTCTGCATGCATTAGGTATTTGTACTAATGCTGTCCCTCCCCTAGACCCCACCCTCCAACAGGTCCCGGTGTGTGATGTTCCCCTCCCTGTGTCCATGTGTTCTCATTGTTCAACTCCCACTTATGAGTGAGAACATGCTGTGTTTGGTTTTCTGTTCCTGTGTTAGTTTGCTGAGAATGGTGGCTTCCAGCTTCATCCATGTCCCTGCAAAGGACATGAACTCATCCTTTTTTACGGCCGCATAGAATTCTGTGGTGTATATGTGCCACATTTTCTTTATCCAGTCTATCATTGATGGGCATTTGGGTTGGTTCCAAGTCTTTGCTATTGTGAATAGTGCTGCAGTAAACATATGTGTGCATACGTCTTTATAGTAGAATGATTTATAATCCTTTGGGTATATACCCAGTAATAGGATTGCTGGGTCAAATGGTATTTCTGGTTCTAGATCCTTGAGGAATCACCACACTATCTTCCACAATGGTTGAACTAATTTACACTATCACCAACAGTGTAAAAGCGTTCCTATTTCTCCACAGCCTCGCCAGCATCTGTTATTTCCTTACTTTTTAATGATCGCCATTCTAACTGGCATGAGATGGTATCTCATTGTGGTTTTGATTTGCATTTCTCTAATGATCAGTGATAATGAGCTTTTTTTCATATGTTTGTTGGCTGCATAAATGTCTTCATTCTTTTTTATTATTTATTATTTTTAATTTTTTTAAAAAATAATTTCCTTGGCTGGGCTTGGTATCACTGTCCCCACCTTCCATGGTAGGCTGCTGGGGTGGCCTGGGGCGTAAAGGCCTTAGGTACCTGGGCCGGAATCTGGGCGGGGGGACCCACTCATCTCCCTGCTGTTGGTGCCCCTCCAATGGGGCTGTCTGTTTGGTTCTACCCCATCAGTGCCCTCTATAGGCTGCTGCTGGTTGGGGGGCCGGGGGCCTCGCACAAACCGCCGTAGGTAGAAGGGTGGGGGGCGCCATCGTCTGGGCCGCTGCCCAGAGTCTTCGGCCCGCTCCCCTTCGCCGCCAGGTTCTGTCCCCCGAGAGGGGATCTCTGCCACCATGGGTGGTGGGGCAACTGAGGGAGGCCGGGGATGAATCAGCGGAACCTACGTCGGTTGGGGGCATAACGGTGCCCTTCATGGGCACCCCCGCCGCCCTGGGCCCAGTTACATTAGTGGCTTCTGCGCCCTTCTCTCCTTCCACGACATCAAATTCCACAGTCTCCCCATCTCTAACGCTGCGCAGAAACTTCCTGGGGTTGTTTCTTTTAACAGCTGTCCAGTGAACGAAGACATCTTCCTTGGCGTCATTCCTGTTGGTGAATCCGTAACCACTCCGGACGTTGAACCGTTTGGCAGTGCCCAGGCAGGACTCGGGTTGCCAGCACCGGCTTGTCCGCCTGACTCCGGGCGGGGGTTCCCGAGGCCGCCGTCGCCGGGTTGCCAGGGGTGCGGGGGCCCGGCGCCGAGGGGGTCCCAGCAGCGGGGTCCAAGGCGGCTGCGTCCCCGCCGCAGCCGCCCGCCCCGCCGCCTGCTTTCTGCGGCTCCCCTGCGGGCACCGGTACCACCACCGCTACCACCCCTGCCACCGTCGCGGGCACCGTCGCCGCGGGGACCGCTGTCGCCACCGCTGCCGCCTCCACCTCGCTCATCCCGCCGGGTCCAGTACCGGCCCCCGCCGCCACCGCCTCCTCCGCCGCCGCCGCCACCGCCCCGGCCCCTCCCCCCGGCTGGCGAACCCGCTGCGCTGCGCGATCCTCGCGCCCCGAGCCTCGCCCGGACGCCCAATGTCTTCATTCTTAATTGCTGCACTTCTTTTTTTTTTTTTTTTTTTTTTTTTTTTGAGATGGAGTCTCGCTCTGTCGCCCAGGCTGGAGTGAAATGGCTGATCTCGGCACACTGCAACCTCCACCTCTCGGAGTCAAGTGATTCTCCTGCCTCAGCCTCCCAAGTAGCTGGGATTACAGGCGTGTGCCACAACGCCCGGCTAATTTTTGTATTTTTAGTAGGACGAGGTTTCACCATGTTGGTCAGGCTGGTCTCAAACTCCTGACCTCAAGTGATCCTCCCGTCTTGGCCTCCCGAAGTGCTGAGATTACAGGCATGAGCCATCATGCCCGGCCTGCACTTCTTAATCGCTCCCTTTCCCCAGTCCCTCAAGCCCATGCTTGTTCACGTATCACAGCCCCTCACCAACCAGTGGCTATGCCTCTTGGAACACGGGGCCCTCTCAGCCCATGCACCAGAAGAGGGAACTACCATTGCCTTAGCTGAGAAGCGACCCATTTAAGTCCACTCACATTTCAGTTGCCAGAACTCGATCTGTGTCCCCATCCAGCTGTGAGACGGCCAGTCTGCCTTGGCCTGGATGGAGAGATGCTGTCAGGAACCTGCGCTGTCTTGCATTTCACTGAGGACTCCTATGAGACTCTGCAAGGAGAAAAACCATATGATCGTCTCAATCAACGTCAACAAAAGGATTTGACTAAAGGTAACATCCCTTCATGATGAAAATCACCAACAAATTAGGTGTGAAAAGGAACATATCTCAACACAATAAAGGACATATATGACAAACCCACAGCTAATATCATATTGAATAAAAAAAAGCTGAAAGCTTTTCCTCTAAAATCTGGAATAAGACAAGGATGCCCACTTTCACCACTTGTATTCAACATAGTACTGGAAGTCCCTGCCACAGCAATTAGGTAAGAGAAAGAAATAGAGAGCATCCAAATTGGAAAGAAAGAAGTCAAATTTTCTCTGTCTGCTGATGACGTGATCTTCTAAAGTCTTCACCAAAAAAACCGTTAGAATTCATAAGTTCATTAAAGTTGCATGGTACAAAATCAACATACAGAAATTAGTACTGTTTCCATACACCAATAGCAAACTATCTGAAAAAGAAATCGAGAAAGCAATCCCTGGGCTGGGTGTGGTGGCTCACGCTTATAATCCCAGCACTTTGGGAGGCTGAGGCAGGAGGATTGCCTGAGGTCAGGAGTTTAAGATCAGCCTGGCCACATGGTGAAACCCGTTTTGTATCTACTAAAAATACAAAAACTAGCTAGGCATGGTGGTGCACACCTGTAATCCCAGCTACTTGGGGGGCTGAGGCAGGAGACTTGCTTGAATGCGGGAGGCAGAGGTTGCAGCGAGGCGAGATAGTGCCTCTCCCCTCCAGCCTGGGCAATAGAGTGAGACTGTGTCTCAAAAACAACAACTACAACAACAAACCAAGAATACATTGAATCAAAGTGGTGAAAGATTTCTACAATGAAAATATAAAATATCAATGAAACGAACTGAAGAGGACACAAATAAATGGAAAGGTATTTTATGTTCATGGGTTAGAAGAATTAATATTGTTAAAATGTTCATACTGCACAAAGTGATCTAGAATTTCAATGCAATCCCGATCAAAAAAATTAACATTCTTCACAAAAATAGAAAAAACAATCCTAAAATATGTACCAAACCATAAAAAAACCCAAATAACCAAAGCAATCTTAAGCAAAAAGAACAGAGCTGGAGGCATTAAACTACCTAACTTCAAGATACACTACAAAGCTATAGTAACCAAAACAACATGATATTAGCATAAAAACAAGACATATAGACTAATGTGAGAGAATGGAGAACCCAGAAATAAATGCAAGCAGTTATAGCCAACTGATTTTTTTTGACAAAGGTGTCAAGAACACACACTGGGAGACAGGACAGCCTCTTTAGTAAATGGTGCTGAGAAAACTAGATATTGACATTCAGAAGAATAAAACTCTACCACTTTCTTTCACCATATTAAAAAAAATCAACTCAAAATGGATTGAAGAGTTAAATGTAAGACCTGAAACTGTAAAACTACTAGAAGAAAACATAGGGGAAATGTTTTAGGACATAGGCCTGGGCAAGGATTTTTTGTTGCCTATGCTCAAAAGCATAGGCAACAAAAGCAAAAATAGACAAATGGTATTATAGCAAACTAAAAAGCATTTGTACAACAAAGGAAACAATCAACAGAGTGAAGAGACAATCTATAGAATAGGAGAAAATATTTGCAAACTATGCATCTGACAAGCGGCTGATATCCAGAATATATAAAGAACTCAACTCACTAGCAAAAAACTAAATAATTGAATTTTAAAATGGGCAAAAGATCTGAACAGATATTTATCTAAAGAATACATAAACATTGCCAACAGGAGTGTAAAAAAATGCTCAACATCACTAATCATGAGGGAAATGCAAATAAAAACCATAATGAGATATTACCTCACCCCAAGTAGAATGGTTATTACCAAAAAGACAAAAAACAAAAGAAATACTGGCAAAGATGTGAAGAAATGGGAACCCTTATGTAATAGTCTGTTCTCACGTGGCTAATAAAGACATACCTGAGACTGAGTAATTTATGAAGGAAAGAGGTTTAATTGACTCACAGTTCCACATGGCTGCAGGGGCCCCACAATCACAGTGAAAGGTAAAAGGGAAGCAAGACATGTCTTACATGGCAGCAGGCATGAAGGCTTGTGCAGGGGAACTGCCCTTTTATACAATCATCAGATCTCACGAGACTTATTCACTGTTATGAGAATAGCATGGGAAAAACCCACTCTCAAGATTCAATTACCTCCCACTGGGCCCCTCCCATGAAACATGGGCATTATTACAATTCAATATGAGACTTGGTTGGGGACACAGAGCCAAACCATATCACCTTATATACTGCTGGTGAGGAATGTAAACTAGCACAGCTGTTATGGAAAACAGTATGGAGGTTCCTCAAAAAATTAAAAATAGAGCTACCGTATGATCCAGCAATCTCACTGCTGGGTATACTGTATATATCTAAAGGAAATGAAGCCAGTATGTCAAAGAGACACCTGCACCTCCATGTTTATTGCAACACCATTCATAATAGTGAAGATATGGAAGCAACCGAAGTGTCCATTAGTGAATGAATGGATAAAGAAAATGAGGTACGCATACACAATGGAATTGTATTCAGCCATAAAAAGAATCGAGTCTTGTTATTTTCTGCAAGATGGATGAACCTGTAGGACATTATGTTAAGTGAAATAAGCCAAGCTCAGAGGTATAAATACCACATGATCTAGCTCACTTGTGGAATCTGAAAAAGCTGATCTCATAGAACTGCAGAGTAGAATAGAAGTTACCAGAGGGTGGAGAAGCTTAGGGGAAGGAGGGGATGAGAAGAGATTGGTCAATGGGTACAAAATTACAGGTAGATAGAAGAAATAAGTTATAGTATTCTATTGCACAGTAGGGTGACTATAGTTAACAATACAAGGGGACTTCAAAAAGTTAGGAAAAAATGGAATTAAAAGATAAAAATTTAAAGCATAAATTTCATTTCTCAACATAAGCTCCATCAACTTCAAGACATTTTTCTAAGAGATGTGATATGGTTTGGATCTGTGTCCCCACCCAAATTTCATGTTCAACTGTAATCCCTAGTGTTGGAGGTGGGTGGGGCCTGGTGGGAGGTGATTGGGTTACGGGGGCACATTTCTCATGAATGTTTTAGCACTACCCCTTGATGCTGTCCTCATGATAGTGAGTTCTTGTGACACCTGGTTGTTTAAAAGTGTGTAGCACCTCCTGCCCACCCCCACCATCCCTCCTGCTCTTGCCATGTAAGACACCTACTCTCACTTTGCCTTCTGCCATGAGTAAAACTTCCCAAGGCCTTCCCAGAAGCAGATGCCGCCATGGTTCCTGTACAGCCTGCCAATTAAACCTCTTTTCTAATAAATAGCAGTTTGACAATGGACTAATACAGGATGATACCAGCCATTTAGTCCGTTCCTGAAGAACTGAGGGTCCTGGGAATTTAACTATGTCAATGTAGTCTTTTTTACATTATTAACTAAAGGAAAATGGGTGCCATTTAAAGATTTTTTAAGATTAAGGCCGGGTGCAGTGGCTCATGCCTGTAATCCCAGCACTTTGGGAGGCCAAGGTGGGCAGATCAGGAGTTGGGGACTAGCCTGGCCAACATGGCAAAAGCTCGTCTCTACCAAAAATACAAAAATTAGCTGGGTGTGGTGGTGCACACCTGTAATCCCAGCTACTTGGGAGGTTGAGGCACGAGAATCGCTTGAACCCAGGAGGCAGAGGTTGCAGTGAGCTGAGATCACGCCACTGCACTCCAACCTGAGTGACAGAGCAAGACTCTTGTCTCAAAAAATAAATAAATGAAATAAAAAATACATTTTTTTTTAAGATTAAGAAACAAAAAGAAGGCAGAAGAAGCCACATCAGGACTGTAAGGTGCATACCTAATGATTTCTCATTGAAACTCTCATAAAAGCCCTTGTTTGACAAGAGGAATGAGCAGGAACATTCTTGTGGTGAAGGATTCTGGTGAAGATTGCCTGGGAGATTTTCTCTTAAAGCTTTGGCTAACTTTTTGAAAACACTCTCATAATAAGCAGATGTTATCATTCTTTAGTTCTCCAGAAAGTCAACAAACCAAATGCCTTGAGCATCCCCAAACATGTTGCTATGACCTTTGCCCTTGACTAGTCTGTTTTGCTTTGACAGGACTCCTTTGTAGCCATTGCTTTGATTGTGCCTGGTGTTCAGGATCATGCTAGTAAGGCCATGCTTCGTTTTCTGTTATAATTCTTTAAAGAACTGCTTCAGGATATGGATTCTACTGTTTGAAATTTCCATTGAAAGTTCTGCTCTTCTCTGAAGTTAACTTGGGTAAAACTGCCCTTATCTCGTTTATAAAATTAATCAGGGCTGGGCACAGTGGCTTATGCCCATAATCCCAGCACTTTGGGAGAATCGCTTGAGCCCAGGATTTGAGACCAGCCTGGGCAGCATGGTGAGACCCTGTCTCTATAAAAAGTAGAAACAATTAGCCAGGTATAGTGGTGCATGCCTGTGGTCCCAGCTACTCAGGAGGCTGAGGCAGGAGAATTGCTTGAGCTCAGGAGGTCGAGGCTGCAGTGAACTGTTGATACCGTTGCACTCCAGCTTGGGCAACAGAATGAGATGCTGTCTCCCAAAATAAAAGAAAATGAAAATTAGGGAAGAAGGGAGAGGGAGAAATAAAAATAAACCAAGCTTGCAGCACGTTCAGCATTAATCATGAAGTCAGCCTGTTCTCCGACCTGCTTCCTCACAGTTGTTTGTTTGGTGCCTATTGTCCTGGAATGATGTAGACCCTGTTAGAAGATTATAGTTCTCCTTAACTGCTCTGTAGATAACAACTTAACGAGTATAAAATGTTAAGTTTTCCCTTTGAGATATACTTTCAGGTCCTGCATACTGATGAATTATTGACTTGGCTGGTCTGAAGGACCCCACTGATGCCAGCTGGTCTGAAGGACCCCATAAGAAGCTAACTCACCAAAGCATGAGTTTCCACATCTTGATGATATCATCCCCCTTAGCCCAACCAATCAACACCCCTAATTCTCCAGCCCCTCATCCTCCATAATCCCCTTAAAAACCCAATCCTAGAACTCCTTAGGCAGAGGAATTTGAGGGTCTCCTCCCATTTCCTTGCTCAGCACTCTGCAATCAATCAATCCTTTCTCTGCTGCAACCCCTACTGTCCCAGTGTAATGGGTCTGTTACTGCACAGGGGGCCATGGGCACAATGGGCTTGGCACCTATTGAGTGGAACATTTGTTCAGTTATAATTTTACAGTCAGAATTGTATATGCTGAACCAACTGAGATATCTATGGTCTTGCCTATTTTTTCTTCTGTGAATTGTCAGTCCTCTTCAGTTAGGGCACAAAGAAGCTTAATTTTTTCCTCGAAAATTGATGTGGATGATCTGCTGCTGTTGGCCAAACTTCTGCATGTTCCCATCCCTTTGAGTTATCCTTGTGTAAACTGCTGATCTCACTGGGGCATTGTTCTAATAAGCTTTTTGAAAAGCATCAATTATTTCATCATTTGTCCATCCAAGCTTCACCATAAATTTCGTGTTTGTTCTTGCTTCAATTTTAGCAGAATTCATGTTGCTCTGACGGGGCTCTGATACGGTTTCGATCTGGGTCCCCACCCAAATCTCATGTTGAATTGTAATGTTCAGTGTTGGAGGTGGGGCCTGGTGGGAGGTGATTGGATCATGGAGATGTTTCTCCAGAATGGTTTAGTACCATCCCCTTGGTGCTGTTCTCATAATAGCGAGTACATGAGTTCTCACAAGATCTGATTGTTTAAGTGTGTAGCACTTACCCCCTTCCTCTCTCTTGCTACTGCTTTTGCCATGTGACATGCAAGTTTCCACTTTACCTTCTGCCATAATTGTAAGCTTCCAGAGGCCTCCCAGAAGCAGACTCCAGTACTGTGCTTCTTGTACAGCCTGCAGAACCGGGAGCCAATTAAATCTCTTTACTTAATAAATTACCCAGTCTCAGGTATTTTTTTTATAGCAATGTGAGAACAGCCTAATACAGGCTGTTTTTAAGTCCATGTCTTACCCTTCTTAGTTCCTCAAACTAGATCCTGCTCAGGCCCCTATTATAAGTTAGTATGTGTTTATTTCTGTGCAAAAATTTTTGCAATCCATGCGTAGTTTTTTTCATAATATGCACTTTCCATGAACTTCTTGAAGACCCCTCACACTGTATCATGTATTTCAAAATAATTAGAAGAGAGGATTTTGAAGGTTCTCATCACAAGGAAATGATAAATGTTTGAGGTGACGGATATGCTTAATACCATGATTTTATCATTACAGAATGCATACATGTATTAAAACATGACACTGTACTTCATAAATAGGTACAATTATTGTGTGTCAATTAAAAATAAAATATAACAACAACAAAATGAACTACTAGATTCTAGGTTGGTCCTCATTCATTATTCCTCATAATCTTAATCTTTTCAGATTTTCTCTTAATCTTAATTCCTTTTAATCGTTTTCAGATTTTCTTTTTCTTTTTTTTTTTTTTTTTTTTTTTTTTTGAGATGGAGTCTCGCTGTGATGCCCAGGCTGAAGCGCAGTGGCGCAATCTCAGCTCACTGCAAACTTCCACCTCCCAGGTTCACACCATTCTCCTGCCTCAGTCTCCCAAGTAGCTGGGACTACAGGTGCTTGCCACCAGGCCCAGCTAATTTTTTTGTATTTTTTTAGTAGAGACAGGGTTTCACCATGTAAGCCAGGATGGTCTCAATCTCCTGAACTCGTGATCCGCCCTCCTCAGCCTCCCAAAGTGCTGGGATTACAGGCATGAGCCACTGCACCCGGCTTCTTTTTTTTTTTTTTCAACTTTTATTTTAGTTTCAGAGGTATATGTGCAGGTTGATTCTAGGGATAAATTGCATGTTGTGGGGATTTGGCGTACATATTACTTCATCACCCAGGTAATAGGCATAGTACCTGATAGGTAGTTTTTTTGGTCCTCACCCTTCTCTCATTCCTCACCCTCCAATCGGCCCCCAGTGTCTATTGTTCACTTCTTTGTGTCCATGTATACTCAATGTTTAGCTTCCACTTACAAGTGAGAATACATGATGTTTGGTGTTTTGTTCCTGCATTAATGTGCCTAGGATAATTGCCTCCAGCTCCATCCATGTTCCTGCAAAGAACAGATCTTGTTCTTTTTAATGGCTGTGTAGTATTCCATGGTGTATACGTACCACATTTTCTTTATTCAGTCTACAATTGATGGGCATTTAGGTTGATTTCTTGTCTTTGCTATTGTGAATAGTGCTGCAATGAACACATGTTTGCATGTGTCTTTATAGTAGAGTGATTTATATTCCTTTGAGTATAAACCCAATAATGGGATGGCTGGGTCAAATGGTAGTTCTGTTTTAAGTTCTTTGAGAAATCACCGAACTGCTTTTCTACTACAGTGGTTGAACTAATTTGCATTCTCATTAGCAGTGTATAAGTTTTCTCTTTTCTCTACAGCCTTGCCAGCATCTGTTATTTTTTGATTTTTTAGTAATAGCCATTCTGACTGGTTTGAGATGGTCATTTCATTGTGGTTTTGATTAGCATGTCTCTAATGATTAGTGATGTTGAATATTTTTTTGTATGCTTGTTGATTACATATATGTCTTCTTTTGAAAAGCGTCTGTTCATGTCCTTTGCCAACTTTTTAATCGGGTTGCTTGTTTTTTGCTTGTTAGTTCTTTTAAGTTCCTTATAGTGTCTGGATATTAGACCTTTGTCAGATGCATAGTTTGTAAATATTTTCTCCCATTCTGTGGGTTGTCTATTTACTCGGTTTTACAGTTTCTTTTGCTGTGCAGAAGCTCTTTAGTTGAATTAGGTCCTATTTGTCCATTTCAATTTTTGTTGCAATTGCTTTTGGCATTTTTGTCATAAAATCTTTGTCAGGGCCTATCTCTACAGTGGTATTTCCTAGGTTTTCTTCAAGGCTTTTTATAGTTTTAGGTTTTACATTTACATTTTTAATTTTGAGTTGATTTTTGTATATGGTGTAAAAAAGGGGTCCAGTTTCAATCTTCTGCATATGGATAACCACTTATCCCAGCACCATTTGTGGAACAAAGAGTCCTTTCCCCATTGCTTTTTTGTTGTTGCTGATTTTGTCCAAGATCAGATGGCTGTAGCTCTAAGGCTTTATTTCTGGGCTCTCTATTGTGTTCCATCAGTCTATGTGTCTATTTTGTACATGCTGTGGTGGTTACTGTAGACTTGTAGTATAGTTTGAAGTAGGGTAATGTGATGTTTCCAGCTTTGTTCTTTTTGCTTAGGATTGTGTTGTCTATTTGGGCTCTTTCTTTCGTTCCATATAAGTTTTAGAATAGTTTTGACTAAGTCTGTGAAGAATGTCATTGGTAGTTTGATAGGAATAGCATTAAATCTGTAAATTATTTTGGGCAATATTGCCATTTTAACAATATTGATTCTTCCTATCCATGGACATGGAATGTTTTTTCATTTGTTTGTGTCATCTTTGATTTCTTTCAGTAGGTTTTGTAATTCTGGTTGTAGAGATCTTTCACCTACCTGGTTAGCTGTATTCCTAGGTATTTCATTCCTTTTGTGGCTATTGTGAATGGGATTGTGTTCTTGATTTGGCACTCAACTTGGATGATATTGATGTACAGAAATGCTGCCAATTTTTGTACATTGGTTTTGTATCTGGAAACTTGGCTAAAGTTGTTTATCAGGTCTAGGAGCTTTTGGGCAGAGGCTGGGGTTTTCTAGGTATAAAATCATATTGTCTGCCAACAGAAAGTTTGACTTCCTCCATGGATGCTTTTTATTTCTTTCTCTTTCCTGACTGCTCTGGCTAGGACTTCTTGTACTATGTTGAAAAGGAGTGGTAAGAGTGGGCATCTTTGCCTTGTTCTGGTTCTCAAAGGGAATGCTTCCAGCTTTTGCCCATTCAGTATGATGTTGGCTGTGGGTTTGTCGAAAATGGCTCTTATTATTTTGAAACATGTTCCTTCAATGCCTACTTTGTTGAGGGTGTTTAACAGGAAGGGATGCTGAATTTTATTAAAAGCCTTTTCTGCATTTATTGAGATTACCGTGTGGTTTTTGCCTTTAGTTCAGTTTATGTGATGAATACATCTATTGATTTGTGTGTGTTGACCCAACTTTGTATGCCAGGGAAAGCCTACTTGATTGTTATGGATTGGCTTTTTGATGGGCTTTGGATTTGGTTTGCTAGTATTTTGTTGATGATTTTTGCATCTATGTTCAAGGATATTGTCCTGAAGTCTTTTTTTTGTTGTTGTTGGGTCTTTGCCAGGTTTGGTACTGGAATGATGCTGGCCTCACAGAATGAGTTAGGAAGGAGTCCCTCTTCCTCAATTTTTTGGAATAGTTTCAGTAGGAATGGTACCAGCTCTTCTTTGTATGTCTGGTAGAATTAGGCTGTGAATCCATCTAGTCCTGGGCTTTTCTGGTTGGCAGGATATTTATTACTCATTCAATTTCAGAACTCATTGTTGGTCTGTTCGAAGTTTGAATTTCTTCCTGGTTCAGTCTTGGGAAGTTGCATGTTTTCAGGAATTTATTCATTTCTTCTAGGTTTTCTAGTTTGTGTGCATAGGGATGTTCATAATAGTCTCTGATGTTTTTTAATATCTCTGTGAGGTCAGTGATAATGTCCACTTTGTCATTTCTAATTGTGTTGATTTGGATCTTCTCTCTTTTTTTCATGAGTTTAGCTAGTAGCCTGTCTATCTTACGTATTTTTTCAAAGAACAAACTTATGGCTTGTTGATCTTTTGTATGGTTTTTCATGTTTCAATTTCACTCAGTTAGCTCTTTTTCAGATTTTATACCTCTTCATATCTGCATTGTATTCTGTGAAATTCTCTTACATTTATCTCCCAGTTCACCAAATCTTCCTACTTGTCTAAACCATCAATTCTGCTATTTAAACTATTAAGTTTTTAAATGACTTTTGGGGTTCATTTTCAGTCTGAGAACTACAATTTGGCTCATGTTCAGGTCAGGCTGTTATTATTTTTTAAATAGAAGCTTATTTTTTCAACATGATTTTTATCCCTTCTTTATGTGTTTAATCATTTAAAATGTATTTGGTATATAATTTGATTTGGGCTATTCTGTCATCACAAGTGTCTGGGGGATCTAATTATGCTGTTGATTGTATCTGCTGACTTCCCTTATTGTGAATTGTTTCTTTGTGTAGTTTGTGATTTTAAAAAAATCATTGGAAGTTTTCTTCAGCTGGTGTTGCCATTGTTTTCCCCTGTGGGAGTCTCATGTGGCCTGGCATTGAAGATGTCTTTAGAAAAGGAGTTCTCTTTGCTTTAGTTTTGGAGCCAAGGGATCACTCTTCTGAAATTCATTATATATATATAAATATATTGTATATAATATAATTATATTTTATAAATATATCATATATATGTAATTATATTTTATAAAAATATCTATATAATTGATTATATTTTATTTATAATTATATTTTATATATATTTGGTTTGGGATTTCCTTACTTTGTGGGAAGTATAAATTAAAACTTTACATCTGATTGGGATGGAATGAGTTTGGAGTTTCCATTTCCAGTGGGATATTTTTCCCCTTTGCTTTTTCTGTGCAGTCAAGCTTGGTTCTGGAGATTTTGCTTGAGTTTTTCTAGTTCCTCTTATAAGAAGGGGGCAGTCTTCCAGGGTCTCAACTCTACTCAGAGTTCTTAGTTCACCTCTGCCTCATGCAGGTCAAAGTCATATTCCGTTTCTCCTAATCAGCATCAAAACCCAGCTGTGAGCCCTTAGGACATGTGTTCACATTTGATGTTTCCCTGGGCTCCTGGTGTGTTGGCTCATGGATTACCCGCTGGCTGTAGTTTCTATTTTATTTCTGTTCAAGAAGTGTCTTTTTTCCTTCCTTCAAGTTTTCCTATGAATTAAAAGGACATTGACATATATTTGGAGGCAGAGATTGCTAGCATAGCAGAAAAGGAGATTTCCTAATTAACTTTTTGTTATTAATTTCTAGATTAATTTCACAGTGGTCAGAGGGTTAATTTCACAGTTGTCAAGAGTGATTCAAATCCCTTGAAATCTGTTGAGAATTGTTTTATGACCCAGCATATGACTGATTTTATTAAATGTTATGTGTGCACTTAAAAAGAATGCATATTCTGTCATTGTAGGATACAGTGTTAATTAGGTCAGGCTAATTGTGCTATTACTGATTTTCTGTTTGCATTTCTATCATATATTGAGAGGAGTGTGTTTGTGCCTCTGAATATTATTGTGAATTTGTCTCTTTTTCTTTTTTAGTTCTGTCTGTTTTTGCTTTATGAGTGGATTGATCCTTTTATCATTGCAAAGCAACTGCTTTATGTCTAGCAATGCTTCTTACCTTCCAGTCTACTTTTCTGATATTAGAATAATGATACCAGCTTTCTTTTGTTTAGTGTTTATCTGGCATAGCTTTTTTCAACTTTGACTTTCATCCTTTTTTGCTTTTGAGGTGGGTCTCCTGTAACCAGTATATACTTGAGTTAATAAAATCAGATCTGACTATTTTGGTCTTACTTGAAGTATTTAGTCAATTTATATTTGACATAATTATTAATATATTAGAATTTATAGTTACCATTTTACTTTTTGTGTTGTACCCATTTTATGTTGCTTTTCCATGTCTTGGGTTTTTTTTTTACTTTCTTTTGGATGAATAGTTTTATTATTCTATTTTCCCTATATAAACTTGGTACTTAAGTATTTTAGTAACTACTGTAAATGTTGCAACATGTATCCTTGATTTAATATTGTCTAATATAATTTAGGACTTTTATTTCTTTTACACAATGTTGAGACCTTAGAATACTTTATTGCTCCCATTCTTTTCCTTTACTCTTGTCAATATATATTTTAAATCCCACTAGACATCATTTTTGATGTTTCGTATGGTTAATATTTATTTATATTTACATATATACTCTTTCTGTAGCTTTCAATTTCTTCATGCATTTCAGTTTTTAAATCTGGGTTCTTTTCCTTTGTCTGAAGAATTTCTATTGGCATTTATTTTACACTGGGTTTTTCTGTTTTGGTGTCTTTAAATAATATTTTCCCTTCATTTTTGAAAGATGTTTTGGAAATTGCCTTTGCAAAAATTAGAACAGTGAGAAAATTATGATAGTGAAAGATCTAATCAACTCCATCTTGCTTTTAACCTCCAAACTGCCCTTGGCCATTCCTGAGCATGGGCCAGACTAACTTTGGGAGACTAAAACATAATAGCTCTTCCCAAAACTAAGCCACCTTTGCAAAACTAATGAAAGGCAACCAGGTTAGGAAGATTAGAGGGACCTGAATTCTGCTAAGATGCAGGCATAGTTAAATGATTACCAGCCATTATTCTGGAAGTCACAAGATTTGCAACTTCTTCAATGACTCCTGTAAAGAGCATCACTATTGTAGACCCTCAGATTGCCCTTTTAAGATGTCTTTTCAGACTTTTGCATTTCTGATGACTAGATGACTCCAACTGGATCAGCAACTCCTCTCTGGCTCCCACCCAGAAGTGAACTCAGCACATGAGGACCACTTACCACACCACTATGATTGCATCACTAACTCATCAGCAGCACTCATTCCCTATCCCCCTGCTCACCAAACTATCTTTACAAAACCCTAGCCTCCAATTTTTGGAGAGGCTAATTTGAATAGTAGTAAAACTACAGTCCGTGTTTAGCTGGCTCTACATATATTGAACTCTTTCTCTATTGCAATTCCCCATCTTGATACATTGGCTGTATCTGTGTGGGCAGTGGGCAAGATTAACCTATTGAGCTGTTACACTTTCATTGAATATAGAATTTCAGGTTAGTTTTACTACCTTCCAGCTCTTTAAACATATCATTTCTGAAAAGCCAATCTTCAGTCTTACTGTTGCTCCATTGAAGGTAATCTGTCGTTCCTCTCCTGCTGTGTTCACAATTTCCTTTTTTATCTTTGTTTTTCAGCTATACTAAAGTAAAATTTATTTTATATATACTTTGCTTAGAGTATGTAAAGATTTTTAATTTGTGGACTAATGTCTTTCCTCAGTTTTGGAAAATTGTCAGGTATTAGTTCTTCAAATATTTCCTTATCCCATTATCTCTTTCCTCTCTATCTGAGGCTGCAATTACACTAATGTTAGACCTTTACACTGCTGTCTATGTCCTTTATGTTCTCTTTTGTATTTTCTATCTTCTTTTCTTCTGTGTTTCAATCTTAATTTTTTAGATTGCTGTATTTCCTAATTCACTAATCTTTTTTGCTGTTTCTAATCTATTCATAATAGATTATTAATAATAACAGATTACATTAATAATAAATCCACCTACTGAATTCTTTAGTTTTTGCAATTTTTAGTTCTTAAAATTTTCATTTAGTTCCTTTCATAGTTTTCAATTGTCTGATGAAATTCTATTTTCATCCATCTATCTTTTTCTATATTGTCTTTACCATATTAATAACAGTTCACTTAAGCCCTTATCAGCTAAGTCCAATATCTGAATCACCTGTGGGTTGATTTCCCATATCTAAATATTCCCCCTGATATTTGACCATTTAGTCTTGTCTCTTGGTATGCCTACATTTTTTATTGAATGCTGGACATTGTTCATCCTTTCCTCTGATAGGTAGATATACTGTATTAGCCTGTTCTTGCGCTGCTAATAAAGACATACCCAAGACTGGGTAATTTATAAAGGAAAGAGGTTTAATTGACTCACAATTCCACATGGCTGGGGAGGCCTCACGATCGTGGCAGAAGGCAAATGAGGAGAAAAGTCACATCTTACATGGAGGCAGTCAAAAAAAGAGCTTGTGCAGGAGTCCCATTTATAAAACCATCAGATCTCATGAGACTTATTCACTATCACAAGAACAGCATGGGAAAGACCCATCCCCATGATTCAGTTACCTCCCATCAGGTCCCTCCCACGATATGTGGGAATTGTGGGAGCTACAATTCAAGAGGAGATTTGAGTGGAGACACAGCCAAACCATATCATATACTATGGGTTAGTCAGCTTAATTCAACCAGGGACTGAGTTAACTCAGGGCTCAGTAGCAGTATTGAATCTCTACCTACTCCTGGATCATGTTTATTCTTAGAGCATGGTTTTAGGGTTTTCCATTGAGTGGCTGGGGTGTTTATCATGGCCCTTGCCCCATAAGTTCTAAATTCTAGTCCTAGTGTCCTCAGCACAGTAAGACTATTGAAAACTTCACTTAGCTTTTCAGAGGCTCTGTATTTGCCTACCTAGTTTCCATTTTGTGTAGCTCCAGAAATTTCCCAATATCTTCTGTTAAAAACTGACTGAGAGTTTGGCTCAGTTATTTGCTCCATCTTGTGGGATTCTGGATCCCCCACCCCTAAGAATTTAATTTTCCCTTTCCAGACCTGTAAGCTTCCCACATCTTTGCTAGTTTTCTTGCCCTTTCTAGTAGCCCAGGCCTGGCCTTCTGCCCAGCATTCCCAAGTTCATGAGGGAAGAGCAGCTTCAGAATATGGCTCATCTTTCCATGGGTTTTCCCTTTCAGGAATCTTGGCCCCTTAGGCCTGGTTGCCTCCACAGCTCTCCAATGCCTTCAGACAAATGTTTTTTGGTATGCCATCAGCGTTCTTGTTCTCTTTAAGAAGATTGGTCCTCTGCAAGCTCTCTAAGAAACAGAAGCCCCTTTCTATTGTGTTTGAATCATTATATATTTTGGGGTCTCTTTGTTACCGCAAGCCACCCTACCCTAAATAATACATATTCTATCAGCATTTTAATATATTTTTAGGAGAAAGTGGCCTGCAATAACTATGCTTCTAGGATGTTGAACCAAAGGTCTTACATTGATTAAAATAAAAAATATGAATGAAGTAACTCTAAAGCCAGATATTGTCATTAACCACAAGATTTAGGAACACAGTCAAATACTGTGTGAAGAAGATTTTTTTAAAAATGTTGAGTCTAATTATAAAGATAATATAAAATAATATCTATTATAATAGTCATAATTATCTTTATATAAACATAAAGATAAAAAATAAAGATAATTATAAAAATTTTTGAGTTAATATAAAAATAAAAAAAATTCAAAGTTCAGTACTCAGAGGCAACTGCTATTTACATATTGTCATATTTTTCCAGTCTTATTTCTATATATTTTGCTTTAGTTGAGATCATATTATATGGAAAATCTACATGCTGCTCAAAGAAAAACACACATAAAACAAAACTTAATGTAGGATATGCTGCGTGCCCTTGGCCCCTTCAATTAGTCTCACTGTACCTCAGCTTTCTCATCTGTAAAACAGATATTTATTACAGGGCTGTGGTGAAAGTCTAATCAGCTATACATGAAATTGTTAACATGATTTCAGACACATAATTGCCCAACGAATTGTGCCTATTAGAATTATTAAATGTCTTAGTCCATTTGTGTTGCTACAAAGGAATACCTGAAGCTGGATAATTTTTTGTTTTTTAAAAGGAGCCTTATTTGGTGCAGTTCTGCAGGCTGTACAAGAAGCATGGCACCAGCACCTGCTTCTGGTGAGGGCTTTAGGCTGCTTCCACTCATGGCAGAAGAGGAAGGGACACTGGCGTGTGCAGAGATCGCATAGAAGGAGAGGAAGAGAGCAAGAAAGAGGGGAGGGAAGTGTCAATTTCTTTTTAACAGCCAGCTCTTGTGGGAACTGATAGACGGAGATCTCACTCATTACCATAAGAACTGCACCAAGCACTTCATGAGGGATTGGCACCCATGACCCAGACACCTCTTGCTAGGCCACATCTTCAACATCAGGGATCATATTTCAACATGAGAGTTGGAGGGGTCAAATATCCAAACCATAGCATTAGGACTACTGATATCAGTAGTATCTCCATTTTAGAATGAGACAACTGAATACGAGAGGAGTTAACTAACTTGCCCAGAGTCACCCTCCTTGTAAGTGGCAGACTGCAGGTCCACACTCTGGTCTGCCTGACACCAGGCTCCTTCCACTGTCACCTTCTGCTTTGAACTGCACATAGAACCATGCTAGGTCCTGAGACATCATAGAAACTGAGCGCTCCTTCTGGCACCTGTGTGGAGCTAGAGTGAATCCACCATTAACTGCCACAATAATGCTGTGTATCAACCATACAACCTCAATAACACCCTATTATTCATGTCACACTATAAATACTGACACACAACTCTGTGGATCAGTGACTTAGGCAGGGCTCTGCTAGGCAGTTCTTCTGGTCTTGGCTGGGCTCACCCACGTGTCTGCTGGTCAGCTGCAGCTTGGCTGTTCTAGGATGAGCACACCAGGGACAACTGGGAAACTTGGCTCTGCTCCACATGACTCACCACTTGGACTGTCTTGGCAAAGGAGAAGGAGCAAGAGTGAGGGAAAAGTGCAAGTGTCCCCCACCCAACCCCTCGCTGAGTCATGTTTGCTAACAGCCCATTGGCCAAAGCAAGTCACGTGGGGTCAAGGGGCAGAATGCCACGCCCACAGTGGGAGGACACTGAAAGTCTCATGGTACAGAAAAGGTGAAGAAAAAAGCATCGATCCGTTAGGCCCATTAGAGGGAGGAGAAGACACATAAACCATCTAGTTAGCTGCAAGACAGGCAGGTCAGAGTTCACCCTGTGCCATCCCAGCAGGATGGCATGTAAAAAAATTAATTGATGGGCTCCTTCCAGCTCCGCAAAACCCTATAAATGGGTCGCTAGTTAGGTGACCACATTCCCTGGGGCTAAGTCACAAATAAAAACGTAAATGTAAATAAAACAAAATGTAAAAGTGGGGTGGGGGATGAGGTGGCAGCTCCTGGATCTTAACTTCAAGAACCCTGGTCTAGGAATAAGAAAAGATTCAGAAAAATATGCCTTGTTTCTTCTTCCTTCATCAACAGTAACTTATCTTCCTGATTAAGGCAGACCCAGATGGCAAGGGGCAGCCCTCCTCCCAGGAGTGGAGGGAGGATACTCAGTAGCAGAGCTCCAGCGGGAAACGTGGGCTCGTGAACTCAGCAGGTCAGCTTCACCCAGCGCCCAAACCAAAAGGAAACCAACAAAATCTGTGAAAGAGGACAGGGCGCGGTGCACTCAAAAGAGGCACTGTTCAGAGCCTACCACAAAGCCAGAAAGAAGGGACCAGGACCTCACTGTCCTGCACTCTCTGCAGCGACCTTGCACCTGAAGGAGCTGGATGGGGCTGGTACCCACAGCTACATTGGAGCTGCTCCCAAATCAGGAATTCATAAGCAATTCTGGGCTTACAAGAATCAAAAGCGGATTGATTGTACTGTATGCTGAATCCAGATACAGCCACACACACAGTAAAGAATACAAAATCTCTGGAGTCTCCAGGAAAGGGAAGAAACTGAAGGTGATTATTCCCCCAGGAGTCTATGCCCTGTGGGGGTTAATACAGCAGGGGTGACTGCCTTAACCACAGAAGCTGGGTTGGCCTTTGGGTGACCAACTTGCCCTGGTCTGCCCAGAACTTTTGCGATTTCAGCTTTGAAAGTTTTGCATTCCAGAAAGCCCACTCAGTCCCACTCACCCTGGCCGGCCTGGTGGGTGAGGACACAGGCTGAGCAGGAACTAGGGGAGCCCATGGCCTCCCGCCTGCGGAGTCTGCACGCGCGCAGGCCTCCCCGCAGACACCCATGGCTGGGTTCGCCCGCAAAGTCTGCTGCATAAGCCCGAGCCCTGCAAATCTCAGGGAGACAGCGCTCCCGTCGGGCTGTCCGCCAGCTATTTCCCATCCCCACACCTGGAGGAAAATCTGCTTGGCCCTGAGTGTATTCAAGGGAACAAGAACTTCAGGGAAGGCGTCCACCAGGTGCAGAGCAGCCACCCGCGGGGCGCAACGAAGAGCGGAGAGTCCCCATCACCCGCCCCGGCCTGGCGGCCGAGGGTCCCTATGATCATTGCTATGGCTTTGGTGCGTCCAGACGTGGGATCGGAGCGAACGACACCCCATCCGCTCCCCGGAGCTACTGCCCCTTCCAGGACTGGGAATCAGAGGGCGCTCATTATAGCACTTAAAAGTAGCGCACAAAGACCTGCCCACCCATTCCAGCAGAGACAGCGAGGAACAGCCCGCAACGTGCCCGCCCGGGAGAGAAGCGGCCTCGGCTCTGGCAGCGGACGCCCACCCGCCCGGGAGCCTCCTCCAGGGGCGCTCCCAGCACGGCGAGCAGCACGGCCAGGCGGGGCGTTCAGAGCGGCGGGAAATCGTTCCGCCCTCTCCGTCCCTCCGTCCCTCCATCCCCGCCCTGCCGCTCACCTTCATCCCCTCTTCGCTCCTCCACCTCTCTCCTCTCCCTGCTCCTCCCTTCTCCCCATCGCTGCCGCATCCCTCCCTCCCACCTCCTCCCCTCCCCTGCATCCTCTCCCCTCCCACCCCGTCCCTCCATCCCCTCCCCTCTCCACCCCTCCATCCCTGCCCCTCCCTTTCACCTCCTCCCCTCCCCTACATCCTCTCCCCTCCCATCCCACCCCTCCATCCCCACCCCTCTCCACCCCTCCATCCCCGCCCCTCCCTTCCATCTCCTCCCCGCCCCTCCCCACCTCTCCGTCCCGTCCCCTCCCCCGCTCGTTCTCCGTCCCGCCCCGCCCCTCCATCCCCTCCCTTCTCCACCCCTCCATCCCCGCCTCTCCCATCTCTTCCCCTCCCTACTCCTCCCCTCCCTTTCCCTCCCCTCCCCTCCTCTCCCCTCCCCTCCTCGTTCTCTGCCCCGCCCCGCCGCCACATTTCTGTGGGTTTCCACAGCTCCCCTTCTGCATCACCGTTGACAACTTGAGTTAAGTGGGATCGACTCAGGAGTCAGGATACAAGTACGTTCGCTCGTATCCCTTTTGAATGGCTCCACTGCTGAAAAAAGAAGTTTCAAAGTCATTTCTCATTCATAAATCAAATGCATAATCAATAATTAATATACTGTATTCAATTTTAAAAAATATGTACTTTTGAGGCGAGCTGGTTTTTCAGGCTTTTCCTGTCTTTTCAAATAAAACTCTCAGACCAGGAATGGGGAAGGGGGAGGAGGGGAAGAAAAGAAGTTAAACCTTGTGAGTGTGAGAATGTATATTGGGTGTGTTCGTGTGTGGGTATTTGTGATTGTGTTTGTATGTGGGTGTGTTGGGGGTGTTTGTGTGTGTGATTGTGTTTGGGTGTTTGTGGGGTGTTTGTATGTGTGGGTGTGTGTGGAGTGTTTTTTGTGTGTGTGTGTTTATGTGTTGTGTGCGTTTATGTGGTTGTGGGGTGTATGTTTTTGATTGTGTGTGGGGGAGTGTTTGTGTGTGTGTGCGTGTGTGGTGTTTGTGATTGCATGTGAGTGTGAAGTGTGTATATGTTTGCGATTGTGTTTGTGTGTCAGTGTGGAAGTGTTTGTGTGTGTTCTTGTAATTGTGTGTTTGTGTGTGGGGGGTGTGCATGTGTATGGGGAATATTTGTGTGTGTGGGCATGTGTTGGTGTTTGTGTGTGTTGGGGGTGGGTGTTTATGTGTGATTGTGTGAAATTGTTTTTGTGTGTGGAGGGTGTGTGTGTGTCTGTGTGTGGGGGGTTGTGTGTGTGTAGGGTGTTTGTGTGTGTGACTGTGTGTGGGGGTCATGTTTGTGAGTGACTGTGTGTGAGGTATTTGTGATTGTGTTTGTGTGTGAGTGTGGGATGTGTATGTTTGCAATTGTGTGTGTGACTGTGGGGGTGTTTGTGTGTGTGTGATTGTGTGTGAAGGTGTTTGTGATTGTGTGTTTGTGTGGCGTTTGTATGTATGTCAGTGTGTGGGGGGGATGTTTGTGTGTATGTGTTTGTGTGTGGGTGTGGGGTGTGTGTATGTGATTGTGTGTGTGAATGTGTGGATGTTTATGTGTGGGGTGTGTGTGTGACTGTGTGTGGGTGTGGGGTGTTTTTGTGTGTGATTGCGTGTGTGTGTTTGTGTGTGGGAGTGTGTATGTTTGTACGTGTTTGTGTATGGGCGTGGTGGTATCTTATAGGCTGAGAACCCAGGGCTGGGTCCACTGGTGCGGGAGAGATGCTCCTCTTCATCAGCGACCATCTGGGTTCCTGGGCCTCCCAGAAAAGCAGCAGGTGGCTGCAGGGGGCGGGGCAACGTAGGGCAGGGGGCAGGGCAAGGTAGGGCAGGGGGCGGGCAAGGTGGGGCAGGGAGCGGAGCAAGGTGGGGGCAGTGCAGACGCTGAGTCTTCTGGGGCTAGGCCTGTCTAGCGCTGGGAATACAGCCCAAGCAAGGAGCTGGAGTGTCTGTCCTCCACAAGTGTCCTCACACAACTGTCCTCAAGTATCCTTGGGCTCACAGTTTAAGCCGGGTGAGTAGCGATCATTCAGGGCTGCGGAGTGCGGTGGGAAGCAGAGGGCGGAACCGCGCAGTGGAGCTGGCCAGGGGACTGCTAGGATAGAGGCTAGGGCACTGAAATGAGCTGAGATGTCGTGGGTGCAAAGGGAGGTGCAAGTGGCCAGACGGAGAGAGTGGAGAGAGGAAAGGAGAGAGCAGCGGGCCAGCTTCATAGCACTTAGCTCCCGCCTCTAAAGCAACCTCTCTCCAGCACTGTGGACTCAGACCCAGCCCTTTTGCCTCTCTGCTTGGGCGTCTAGTGAACTCCTCCCGCTCCCCTTTATCGCTCCTCTTGGGTGTCCAGTGAATGCCTCCTGCTCTCCGTTTGCCCCTCTGTTTTAGTGTCCAGTGAACGCCTCCCACTCGTGTCTTCACCAGCATTGCACACCTGTCCGTCCCATCTCTCAGGAGCCAAGGAACCCAGAGCCATCCTGGGCTGCTACCCCCACTCACATCCCACCCACCTGGGATCCTCTGAACATCTCTGAACTCCTCACCACTGCCACCCAAATCCACTTCACCCTCCTCCTCCCTGCAGGTGACTCGGGGCTCTCTGCGCCCCCCTCTTAACACCCATCGTATGCCGGCAGCTGGAAGGAGCCTTTTGAATATGAGCTGGGAACTGTTGCTCAGCTCAAACCCTGCCATAACTCCCCATTGGCTCAGATGAAAGCCCACGTCCTTCCCATGACCCCAAGGACCTACCCTTTCCCTCATTTCCTCCTTCCCAGCCCCTTGGATCCCCTGGGTTTCTCAAATACCCAGGCCTGCCCACACCTTGGAGCCTCCCCGCTGGCTGATCCCCCACCTGGAAGGCTCACCTGTCACCTTGTCAACGAGGCCATCTGGTCACCCTCCCCTGGCATTCCAGGTGCCTTCAATCTGCTCTTTTTTAAATATATATATATATAGCAATTTCATCTTCTAGAAAACCATCATTTACTTACCGTTTGTTTATCGCTCCCCCCGCCCCCCTACCCCTAGACAGCTCCATGGAGGCGAGGAGTTTTGACTCTTTGCTGTTTGGCATCTTCCATCACAATTGCCTGGCACATAGTTTATGTCCAATAGATATTTGCTGATGGTTGGCTGAATGTGAAGATGTGGCGCCTGGCTGGCCACGGAAGGAACTGGCGTTTTGTTCTGTTAACCGGGATAGGCAATAAGAGAGTTTAAGCACAGGTGCGATGTCAGCTGAGTCGTGCTCAGGAAGAAGGCCCTGCTTGCCCTGGGGAAGATGGGCTGGGCCTGGGGGAGGAGACACACATGCAGGCAGGGGTCATCGTCCCTTTTGTCCCTGAGAGATCCTGGAGCAGGGCTGTCCTGCAATGGAAGTGTCCTGCATTGGCACTGCACCTGCAGCGGCCACGGGCCTACGTGTGGCCCTTGAGCACTTGGAATCTGGCTAGGTGTGGCTGAGAAGTTCGGCTTTAAAATTCACTTTATTTTAATTAAATTAGTGCAATTTACATAGCGACATGTGGCTAGTGGCTCCGTGTGGACCATGAAGTTCTGGAATCATCCGGATTAAAGACGGTGGTGCATGGACAAGGCTGGCAGCAACAGCAAAGGTGAAAGAGGTCACCTTTGGGCTTTATTTGGGAGGTAGACCCCACAGGTTGTACTGAAGGTTGGATTAGGTGTGAGGGAAAGAGGACTCAAAAAGATGCCCTGGTTTGGACCTGAGTCATGGAGACAGGGAAGGCTCAGAGGGAAGCGGTGTGGATGGAAATGGCATTTCTCTTTTAGCTGGGTGAGTCTGGAGCACAGGAGGGATCTGGTCTGTGGGGAGAAACAGGAGGCAACTGCAGGTGGATGGCACTTTAATCCTTAGGAGTGGATGATACCAAGGAAGGGGAAAGTGTACCTGGAGCTGCAAAGAGACTAAGGCATCACCAAGCCATTCCCAGAAGTGATTAGATGACATTTGTTGTTATTTGGTGAATGGGGGCTGGACTCTCATATTAAGTCCTGTTATAGAAAAATAATACCTGTTTTGTCACCTGCTTTGTTCTGCAAAATTTGTTCTTACTACAGATGCTAGCACATGGTGGGTGTGAGCCCAGGGTCCTGGCCAGGTGAAAGCAAAATTAAACTTTCTACTGCAAATACTCAAATAACAGCAACGAACTGGAAGCCAGTCTGGCTGGAGGCTGGGATTTTATGGGTGATTAAGTTTGGGTCATTAAAAGATGCAAATCAGCTGGATTTATGATCCTCTATCACTGTCCTATGGGATCAGAGAGTCTGTTTTATGATAACTGCCAAAAGGCTTTGAAAAATACTAGACTGATTTAATGAAATTAGCAGAAGGGAAATAGACTGTTTTCTTAGCAGGATTGAAACTCCCCGTTCCGATTGTTGAGTGTTTCATTGAAGCCCTGAGTCAACCATTTGAGTATACTGGGGTAGAGGTGACCTGGATTCCAGCACTTTAACCTCCAGCCCCTAAACACTCTCCTCTCTGCCCCACTTCTGACAAAAATATGCTGCACACAAATTTTACACAATTTATGCCATGGTTTCCTTGACAGGCAGAACATACATGCAATCTTCTCGGTTTAAATACGTGGTTAGAATGAATGATGACTGTATCAGCAGCACTCTATAACTGATTTTGTGACGTGTCATTCCCAGTTTATTAGCGTGGGCTTCACGGGGGTATCTGAGAACTCAGAAGTCCACCTTTGCACGATGAGGCTGACGCCTGTGTTTGGTTCCCCGACACAGCCAGCAGGGGGCAGGCTGGACCTGGGAATGCACCGGAGCGGCTCCCCGGAGACCTGCAGTTTGCCGAGATGATCCCAAGGACGCCTGAGTCCTGAGTTCCTTCAAAGCCCCGTTCCCCACTGGCCCCTACCGGGACCCAGTTTTCTTCCCATCAGTGAGAAAAGTCTCTGGAATTCTCGGCCGGGTGGTCCAGTTCTCCCTTCCCCGCCAAAAGGGCCCTGGCCTGTTCCAGTAGCTTGTCCTGGCCAAGTTGTCCCTTGAGGGCTGGGGCTCTGGCTGGGGGGTCTGGCTTCTTCCCTCACGCTGCCCTTCAGGGCCAGCTCACTTGGTCACCGCAGCGCCTGTGTTTCAAACCAGCTCCAGGCCCGCTGAGCCCACCTGGCAGCCCTGGGCCCACCCTCCACTCTGGGTCCTGGTCCTACCTAGATAGCCTGGCCTCAACTCTTGGCTCTGCCATTTAGTAGCAACGTGACCTTGGTTCTCCACTTGGTAGTTTTGTCATCTGTAAAATGGGACTGAATGAGTTAATAATTAAGAAGTGCTTAGACGAAGGCCTAGTACGTAATCTGTGCGAGATGGATATAGATATATAAAATTTTCTTTAACTGTGGAATACTCTTATTCTACTTGAAATTTGCAGTGGCCCTCAGAATACTCTTTTATTCTGCTTGAAATTTGCAGTGGCCCTCAATCGGCAGAGGTGAGGAGGAGCCGCTGGAGCTGGGGTTGACCCACTTACCAATACTGAAACCAGGTTGTCAGCCCAGAGACAGAGCCGGCAACGCCGGCCCCTCCTAGATCCACTGGCTTCTCCTCCCAGCATATTTGGGCCGCGTTTTCTTTAAAGGAGATTTTCAGCTGTGAAGCTCTCACCCTAAATGTGCTGTGGAAGGAAAGAGGATTGAGTTTTCCTGTTGTTTCTTTCAAATGCTTAGAGGATGAGTTTCAGTCTCAGACTGGAAAAGCAAGGAAACCCTGAAACTGTATACAGATCCAGACCATTCCAGAAGCCCCTGGAGATATGCAAGGCGGCTGAGAGCTCCAGGGAGCCACAGAGCCCCCCTCACTGCTATTCCTGATGGCCCCGATGCAAGCAGTGGGCGCTCAGTGGGGGGATGGGGTGGGGGGACATGGGGCGGGTAGGCAGACACGCGATCCTCCACTTGGTTCTCAGCACAAGAAACTGGACTCTGAGCCCTACACCACACAAGGCTCTTTTGTCAGACTTCATGTCTGAGGCCAGGGTTTGCTCCCCCAGGTTCTGTGCAGGCCCCCACCTCCCCACCCCACCCCACTCCCCCTCCATCCTAGGCAGTCCATTCTTTCCAACCAAGACCACTGGAAGCAGCTCAAAGCAGCATGGGTTGGCCTATGCTGCATCTGACCGTATTTTAAGAGGCTTTTAATTCTGGAATAGTTCTAGGGTGAGTTCATTGTGTAAATTCCAATGCAAACACTTTTTGTTTTCATCATCCTCATTGTTTGGTTTCCTCTAACTCATGTAATCAGTTGAAATATTAATTACAAAAAGATGGCGGGGCATATAGAGCTGGAAGCGATTTGCTTTATCCGACAACAGAGGAGGAGACGAGCCTGGAGGGGAGAGACTTGCCCTAGATTGCCAGCCCCTGGTAGGGCTCCCTGGGCCCTACCCTTGGTTCCTGGGCTTCTGTCCTATTTGCTGACTTGCATTTCCAGTGCTGATTTCCCTGGAAGTGGCAAAGCACTGGAATGACCCGTGAACTTAGGAAGTGTCTGAATAGTGTGGAAGCCACGGTGGGAGCTTGGACCCTCTTGGAAAGGAAGCTGGAGTGGTGAGAAGCCACTGTTTGGCTGTGGGTGTGGGGCATGGAGAGGGGGCAGATTTCTCTTTCCTGCTAAGGTCATTCATCAAGGGGGGACTCCAGGGCCCCTGACCTGCTGGGGTGATGGGTGACGCTGGGACTCTCTCACCGCAGGGCTGCCTTCAGATTAGAAAGGGAAAGGGTGCTGGTAACGGCAGCTCCTCTGCTTAGCTGGAGTGACAGGCAGCCATGCAGGAGGGCTGCAGCTGGGGTCAGCCCATGCAGTGATTCCCTGGTGGTCCTTGGGCAAATCAAACCTCCTTCCCCATCTACAGACAGAAGGGGGATAGGCTCAGACTTGTTTTACAGGCTTGTTGTAGTGATAAAATAAAGTCTGTGAGAGCAACATCTGACATATGCCAGCGGAGGGTGCCCAGGGGGCATGTGGCTCACCCTGAGCAGTGGCCGTGGCACAGGCTGGGGTGTCTGCCGCTGGGGAGGCGAGAGAGCAGAGCGGTGCTGCAGTGGCTGTCCCAGCTGGGGGAGTAGGAACCTCTGCTGGAGGTGGAGCTGTGTGTCCCCGTGAACTCACTGGGTGACTTTTGGTTCTTCGCCCAGAGCTCCAGCATCACCAATGAGTGGGCCTGCCCTTTCTTCCCAAACTCTGAGACTTGGGCGAACACTTGATCTTCTGGGACTCTGCTTCATCCTTTGATGGAGTTCGTGCCCATTGGGTTGGTTAGAGTGAGGAATAAAAGGATCCTGTCACTAAGTGCTTTGCACAGTGAGCCATCATCTGCCAGTCCAATGTGGGGAGAATATGCCAGGGGGAGATGAGGGCAGGAGCCTCACGTAGGGTGTGAGCCAGGCAGTGGCTCAGAGCAAACTGAGAAGGTCCTTCCAGCCCTGGATTCATGTCTCCATGGAAACCTGCTCTTGCCAGAGAGTCCGCCCAGCCCAGGCCCCCCTCCTCCAGGGCTGGTGGGTTCTTCAGCTGGAGCTCCAGCATCACCGATGAGTGGGCCTGCCCTTTCTTCCCAAACTCAGAGAACTGGAATGGGTTTCCTTACCTGGGACCTGCAGTTGACTGGGGAATGGAATCCAGGATTCTGAGTGCAGAAGTTTCCAGATTCAGGGTAAGCTGGGTGCCTGGCCGCTTCTATGTGCAGGGAGAACAGACCCTTCCCTGTCCCCCCATGGTGCTGAGGTTGTGTTTAGTGAGAATGTGACGAATTGGGCACTAGGTGTGAGCAGAAGCTTGTAAATAACCAGGGCCTTTCCAGAAGGTCTATATTGATCTCAGAGATGCAGTGTTTGGAGGTCCCGGCATGGACTCCTCAAATGCCCCCATTCCCTGCATTTTTTTCATACTAAGCTGTGAAGGTCAGACTAAGCCATGAAGGTCAGAATCTGTGATTAGTGGGTGAATGGCCTCCCTTAAATAGCCATGGCCCAGCTAGGTATGATTCTGTCTGGGTGGCAGAAAGAGCCTTGAGTCAGGAGGCCAGGGATGAGTCTGGCTTCAAAACCTCTGACCCCAGCCTCGTACCCTCACTCTGCCTGTCTGTTTCTCGGCTGTAAGCTGGTGATAGCATGGCCAAGGCTCTGAACCCAGCTTCTGCCCTACTTCTGTCTGCCTGATTCTCCCTTTTCCTTTTCCTCTCCTTGTCCCTCTCTCCATCTTCCCTGCCAGAAGCAGGGCTGGCTGCCCTCTCAGTCAGGGTGTGCAAGGCCCCCAGGGAGGCGACTGTGGGTGCATGCATGCATGCGTGTGGGGGTTTTATGTGGCAGTGTCTCTAAGATTGGGTTTGGGGTTCATGAGATTATTTTCCAAAATTAGAAAGCAAATGTATGTGGGGAGGAAGGAGGTGCTGCCAGAGGGCATGTCTAGCTGTCTCTTTTGGAAATTAAGGAAGAGGAGGTCTAGTTTGGCCCCTAAAGTCATACTTCCCCTTGGGGCTGCAGTTTTTAATCTGATATCATTAACCAAAGTCACTGCAAAGCTCCTCCCAGGGCTTTGATTTGAGGTGAGTGGGAGCCCCCTGTCTTCTTGGGGGTTGGGTGATTGTTGGATGACATCAGAGAAGCCCAGTGTTCCAGGTCAGAGCCTTACTCTCCCTGCAGGCTCCCCACCTCTGTCCACCAGAGGATTTCCTGTCGCGTCTGTTTGCTTATTGCTTCTCAGATAAGTTTTCATTTGAAACAGTGGTCTGAGGCTCTAAATCATTTGAAAGTCTTCTCTCCCAGTGTTCAGACAATTCCCCTGGTTCTAACATTTGGTGATTCTGCAAGAAGCCTTCATGCTAGGGCAAACAACTCTCCCACTTTGCCCAGCGCCGTGGGGTTTCTGGACATGGGACTTCTAGTGCTGAAAGTCCCAGGAAAACCAGGCCAATTGTTCATCCTCTCACATTCTCACTTGAGTAGCTTATATTTTGAGCCATGCTTGTTTAGAGAAGGGAAAGACACCATTTAGAAAGCCCCTTCAATGCCTAAGTGTCAAGAAAAATGGGATCCATCACCTAGTCGAATAGTAACACTGGATGAGAAGGGAGGGAAGCTGGTGCCCATATGTTTTGAAAAAGCAGCATTTACTTTAACTTTGAAATCTCAGAGCAGTCCCCAGGCAGGATGGGAAGCCAATGGGGCCAGGGCTGGTGCAGCTGATGGGATCTGAAGGGAAAGAAGAGCTTTTAAAAAGGAGAATTTCACACTGAATCTCTTAATCTGTTTTACAGACTCATAAAATCTTAATATAGCCCCGAGACTGTCATGTTTACAGACAGTGCAGCAAAGGCAGTGGCTTGGAGTGTGACCAGAGAGTTTGCAGAACAAACGCACCAGGGAGGGGCTTGGATGGAAATAACCAAGCGCTCTCCCCGCAGGGTAAGGCAGGACAGCCGGGCAGCCCCCGTCTGGTTCCCCCAACTGTGAGCAGAACGCTGGGCTACAATCTAGGCTGAAGCTTCAGTGTACTGGCTTTTAGCAAAAAGCCCCCATACTGCTCCTGGGGCAGAGGATGGTAAGATGCCAACTCCTGACACATCCATGACAGTGTGTGATGCAGGTGGAGCTCCAGTCCAGTGGACACACCTGTGATAGATTTGAGAACGCCTGGAGGTTGGAGGTTGCTGAGAACCCAGTGTTGCTAAGAGGGTCACAGGCACTCAGAAGACAGGGAGGTTCCGGTGGGCTTCCTGGAGAGGGGCCCTGGGCTGGGCTCCACAGCATCTGGGAAGGCAGAGGGCATTTCTGGGGGAGAGGGCATGAGCAAGTACGGGGAGGCTGGATGGGCACAGCACAGGTGAGGGCAGCAGAGGCAGCACCTGGAGAGAGGGCTTTTGTTGGGGGAACGGTGAGAGATAAGCTCACCCTAGTCCTGGCTTTGGAGATGAGAAGAAGAAACAAAAATGAAGCAAAATACTTGTCACTGTAGAGGAGCTTACAGTCCAGACGACCTGGGAGAAATGAATTTGAAAACAAAGGAAGATTTAGGAGCTGCGCCTGTCAATGTCAAGGTCCAGCCTGAGCCATGGAAAAAGAATAGAATTGGAGTAAGCCCTGCTGGAGGGCAGACGTCTTCTTCTCTCTGTACTCCCTGCCCATCCCAGGAATCTGGACACTGGCGTACTTCCGTGTTAACATAACGGCTTTAAAATTTTTCCCGTTATGAGCTTTAAAGAAGTAATTTCCAAATATTGGTCTTTGTGGAAAAAATGAGAAAAGAATCAAGTTTCCCTGGTCTAAGACTAAATGTGAAAAGTAAAGAAAATATAGTGAGTTTTTTTTTTTTATAAAGCCAAGCTTATTTAATTTGGAGTATCCTTTACACAGAGATGATGCTGTTCCTATATTTTTGTGTTCAGCTGGCTTTCTTTAATGGAATCATGGCCTGTGAATTAAAATTAAAAGTATTGGTTTCTGAAACCCTAAAGGCTGGGAACTACTGTTTTAATGGCTGATTGTCTCCATTTCTAAAATATATATCAATATATTTTGACATATGGACACTAGGCGTCAGGAAGACAGAAGAAGCTGGACAGAAAGAGATCAAGATTTAACTGGTTATGCTGTAGACCATGGCAGATCGTAACAGAAGACAAAGCCCTTAAAAGGTAAACCTCCTTGGCTCTGTTCCCTGGAAGAGGTGGGTTATTATGTTGATGGGAGGTGGGTACAAATTGGGAGGGATTTGGATGATGCTATAAGATTGGAAGCTACGAAATTTTTGTGAATGTTTATTTCTTTGAGCTAGGCTTGGGATGGGGAAGACTCTTCTCTCCTTTGTTCCAGACATGAGTGAGATCAGAAAGTCTCCTAGACAACAAGAGCTGGCCCCCTCTGACACTTCTGTGTCACACTCCGTCTGAGCTTTCTCTGGTCTTGCCCTTTTCCTAGGGTTAGAGTCCAAAAGCCAAGTTGACATGCCAACTTGGAGCTCATGCCTGTGTAGGGGAGGAAAATAATTTCTCTCTACTTTTCATAGTTTTTAGTTGGGACAGACCCCTGTAACAAAAGACAGATTAACAAGAGAAAAACAGAAGTTTAATAACAAGTATACCCTCATGCATAGATGGGAGGTACTCAGAAAAATGAATGAATCTCAAAGAGGTGGCTTGGAATTCAGGCTTAAAAACTATTGTCTATGGAAACTAAGAAACAAGGGCATGGGGAAGGCTGGTTATGGGAAGAAAAAGCACAGTAAACAAAGAGTAATGTTTGTATTTGCAGATCTGAGTCAGCGCCTTCTCCATTGATAAGAGTCTTTAGTGATTTGAGTCCTGGTACAGAGAGGGAGACACTCTTACAGATGGAGATTTCACCTTTTATAGATATAAATTTCCCTTACACAAAGGTAGCTGCCACTTTGTTTTCAGAGCATCTTTTGTGTCTGTAGCTTCTCAAAATAATAAGCTCAAAATAAGTCTTAAGCCAAAGAGGCATACTTTGGAGTAGCATTTTCTGGTCTCCTACACCTCTGCCTTCTAGACAATGCTCCAATTCCTGGAACATTGGAAAGCCCCATCCAAATGACCCTGTGTTAGTCTGAGTTCTCCAGAGAAACAGAACCAATAGGTTACACACCCACATATTTAAATGTATATATATTATATAAGAAGCATTTATTATAAACACTTTATTATAAGGAAGTGGCTCACGTAGTTATAGAGGT
Source organism: Homo sapiens (assembly GCF_000001405.40). Classification (NCBI taxonomy): domain Eukaryota; kingdom Metazoa; phylum Chordata; class Mammalia; order Primates; family Hominidae; genus Homo; species Homo sapiens. The sequence goes on along the minus strand of NC_000010.11, from coordinate 123,960,907 downwards.
TGAGATATCCTAAGATCTTCAGTTGGCAAAGTGGAGACCCAGGAGATCCAATGGTATAGTTCCAGTTTGAGTCTGAAGGTCTGAAAATGAGGAGATCCAGTGGTGTACATTCCATCCAAGTCCAAGTCTAAATCCATAGGTGGGAGAAGACCAACTTCCCAGCTAGAAGGCAGTCAGACAGAGGAGAGAGAATTCTCCCTTACTTGGCCATTTGTTCTGTTCAGGCCTTCAATGGATTGAATGCAGCCCACTCACACTGGGGAGGGCAGTCTACTTAGTTTACTGATTCAAATGTTTATCTCATCCAGAAACACCCTGATAGACCCACCCAGAATAATGTTTAACCAAATATCTGAGCAGCCTGTGGCCAGCCAAAGTGATACATTAAAATTAACCATTACAAGCTCCAAGGCACTTCCAGGGCCTGTGCTGGCTTTCTTCCTGGGTTCCTCTTCCTCAGGTGGGCCACACAATTGGATGAGTACGTCTAGGCCCAAAGTTGGGCCAAGGGGGGATATTTGTGGGGATGGGGAGAAGAGCTTTCATATAAGGGCCTAGAGAGTGAATATAGGTGTTCACAACTGGTCCAGGGTGGGCCAGTATGAAAAAAAGGGACAGGCTAGGGGCCAACTGTTGCTGCACTGCCTGTTTCAGTGCAAAACTCCAAGCAGTCCGATAATTCTAAATTTGAACTTAAGTTTCCAGGTTGTTATGAAAGTATAATTATCATTGTAGGAGGAGGGAATGTATTTAACAGCTTGTTTGCTTGATTTATAACTTTTGAATATTTAGACATATGGTATGTGGGTGTCCATTTGTACACTTGCCCAGGCCCTCTAAGGGTCCTGTCTGTGTGGATGGGGTCCTGATATTGTAAAATTATACATTAGAGGGTATTGGGGGTTGTTCAGAGGGGCTTGTTCAGATAGGGTTGATATTTCCTTTGGGCCTTGAATACAGCAGGATTTTGAAGTTCAGTGAGGGTAGGACTAGTGTGGTAGACTCTGATTAAAGTGTACACCTTGAAAACCAGATAGAAGTGACATTCAGTTAAATATGGCAGACTGAACACGTGAATTTCCTTCTACCCCCACCCCAAATCCCACCAAAAAGACAGTAAAGGAATTAAAGGGAGCACAAACTCTTAAGGACAAATAGAAAGTGAGTGGAATAACAACAGGATGTTTTGGGAACTGGACAGTGGATGAATGAGTGTCTTAGTCTGTTCAGCTGCCATAACAACATACATTAGACTGAGTAATTTATAAACAATACAAATTTATTGTTCATAGTTCTGGAGGCTGGGAAGTCCAAGATAAAGGCACCAGCAGATTCAGTGGCTGAGGAGGGCCTGTTCCACATAGATGGCACACTCTGTGTCCTAACATGGTGAAATGGGCAAGCAGGCTTGCTCAGATCTCTTTCATGGGGCACTCAGATCTCTTTCATGAGGGCACTAATTCTTTTCAGGAGAGTGGAGCCTTTGTGACCTAATCACCTCCTAAAGGCCCCAACTCTTAGTACTATCACACTGGGTATTAGGTTCCAACATATGAATTTGCAGGAACACATACATTCAGACCATAGCAAGAGAGTAAATGATTAACTGACAAGAGAAAGTCGGCAGGATCCCTAGTGTGGTGACCAGTGGTGGTGAAAGCAGGAGGACTGTGGAATTTGGAATACAAAGTCTGTGGAGGAAATAGACCTCAAGATTCCCTGCTTCCCTTTGAGGAATGGGCACCTGACTCTTCTGCTATCCTGCAGAAGACTGGAGGTCTGCTTTCCAGAGAGACTGAGGAGAGGGACCTTGGTCTCAGGGAGCAGGCAAGAGAGGAGAGGCACACTGAAATACAGGATTAGGTGCAGGTTTTCCTAAAATGAGATGTCAGCCCCTTTTCTGCTCTGTCTTCAAATGTGTGACTCTCCTAGGCAGGAGTGTGGAGGTTACCCCATGAAGAGAGTTATCAACTCAAGAGAAAGACCCCCACCAAGTTGTCAACTGCTTCAAGTTCCCTTTAGGAAATGGTCTTAAATCCCTGCATGAATGGTAATCTTTTAGTGTATCCCTCTTGACTGTAAACCACAGTCAAAGCCCATTCGACATTTGAAGAGAATGAAAGACAGAGACCAACCATGGCCCCATAATTGTTACAGTGAAATTATTCAATACAGTAGAGGATCAGTTGATGAGTCAGACTCCTGAACAATTGCTCTGGACAAATGTCCTTGGAAGGTACACTCTATGTGTCCTAATGTGGTGAAATGGGCAAGCTGGTAAAGACAGATTTTGATTCTTAAGGTATGAGTATACTCTGTGAAGCTGGGTTAGAGTTCCAGGCTTCTTTTCAAGGGTACTTCCTTAGCTGGGACGTCTTTTTCCTGGCTCCTTGCTCTGAGTTGGAATTATTCCCTGACTCCCTGGGCTGGAAGTCTTTCTTCCTGACTCTCTGTGAGGCCTCCCCGTTCTGTTTATTCTTTCTGTTCTCTCTACTGGATCCTGCTTCTCTCACTGGAATGATTCTGTCACCAGAAGCTCCTTTCTTTGAACCCCTGCTGACTAGATGCTCTGCCAACTCTGGTTACCTTTGCCAGATCCTTTCCCTTCCCACTCCTGCCCCTGAGTCAATTGAATTTTAGCCTCTCTACCCTCCAGGGGCTCATAAGGGACACAGGGCCCCTCAAAAGCAAGCACCTGAGGCTGAAAAGAGAAAAAGAAAGGACTATTTGGAAATTGGGCAAATGAAAAAATCTTAAAATCTTCTCCACAAATATTGGTAAAAAGCCTTAACCCTTGTTGAGTAGGTAAATTCAACTTGTCTTATTTTCATCAGAAACACAATCTGGATAAAAATATAAAGTGAAGATAAACCAGTGAGTTTGTATGACTCTGTTTTACTACCTCATTACTAAAATTTTTTAAAAATGGAAAGCCATAAGATCTAGTTGCATCTCTTTGTATGTTTCTGGATGTGTACATGTATGATCTATGTTTATATGTTATATATATGTGATCTTTTTCTACCTCCAATGGCATTACCCAACCAATATGCTAAAATTGGCTTAGGGATAAATGAATGCTCAAACAAATTAAGTTTTCATAGAATTCTCAGAAAATTAGAAACTGACTCAATTTTTTTTTTAAGTTCATGTGCTCTGGAATAATCCTTGTTAAACAAAAGCTAGTTTAAAAATTACTGATCAAATAAAGATAGGACTGTCTTCAGAATTGTCAGCACTGAATATCATACAGACATAAATTTTTGCCTGGTTCTCTGGTCAGAGAGGTCTGTGTTGTCTCTGCTGGATGTTTAAGGACATAAAACTATAAATACAACCTTAGAGTAGAATGCACAGTAAAAATGAATTGCTTAATTGCTTAATGAGTATCAGTAATAGAAGTAAAAAAAAGGTTATAAAAGCATTGTGAAAATTTTATCTTGTATGGTCAAAGTTAACTAAGATTGAATAGATTCATTTATAAGGTTTATTAAAATAAGTTTCAGCACTACATTGACACAAAAGTAGATTTTGGTCTTCTCTGTTAAAATGACAGGATTTTCTCAGAGTAATGGTTTGAGAATATGAAGGGTTTTTCCTTATCTTTTAAGTAAACAAATATTTTATGTTTTATTAAGATATTTTCTTGTGTTTCATTATTGTCTTTTATTAAGTATTTGATTACTTAAGATAAGTGCATTTTCTCAATATTAAGAGTTAAGGTTTTATTGATAACTATGTAAACTTCTGTATTTACCTCTTGAAGTCTTTTAATTATTACTCTGTTTAAATGAGTGACTCTTACTTCAAAGTGACCTGTGATCCTATTTTGATGAAGCATTTTAAACTTTTTGACATTGAAAAAAATTTCCCATTATCAAATTCTAAATTAAGTCTTTTTGGCCTTGAATTAACATTGGGATTTTTTAAATTGGGCTCCTGGAAAAGCTCAAAAGATGTGTCTCTGATTTTGTAAAAGAGAGAGGCTAAACTAACTAGACTTATTTGATGTTAAGTTATATGGGAAGCATTGTCAGATAAGTGATTCGAAACTTTCTTTAAGTAATTTTTAAGAGACATAGTCTTGCTCTGTTGTCACCTGGGCTGGAGTGCAGGGATGTGATCATTGCTCACTGTAACCTCAGATGCCTGGGCTCAAGGGATCCTCCCTTGTCAGCCTTCTGAGTAGCTAGGACTGCAGGTGTGCACCACCATGACTGGCTATTTTTTTTTTTTTTTTTTTGTAGACACAGGGTCTCACTATGTTGCCCAGGCTGGTCTTGAGCTCTTGGCCTCAAGTGATCCTCCTGCCTCAGCCTCCAAAAGGTCTGGGATTATAGGCATGAGCCACTGTGCCTGGCCTATGGGTATGTTATCAATATGAATGTTTTAAAAATTGTGTGAGATGTCTAGAAATCTCATATTCTATCAGTCATAATTTTGGCTATGTTAAATTGTTGTATTCCACTGAAAGAACCAAATTTCTTTGTGAGTTGCATCATTATAATAATAATAATAATGAACTCTCATGCTATTTTTAACCATGGCCATTCTAAGTCTTTGTCATCCACAGTTGTTTTTTTTTGTTGTTTTTTTTGAGGTGGAGTTTTGCTCTTCTTGCCCAGGCTGGAGTGCAATGGCACAATCTCGGCTTACCACAACCTCCCCCTACCATGTTCAAGTGATTCTCCTGCCTCAGCCTCCCAAGTAGCTGGGATTACAGGCATGCACCACCATGCCTGGCTAATTATCTATTTTTAGTAGAGACACGGTTTTTCCATGTTGGTCAGGCTGATCTTGAACTCCCAATCTCAGGTGATCCGCCCGCCTCGGCCACCCAAAGTGCTGGGATTACAGGCATGAGCCACCGCGCCTGGCCTCACAGTTATTGTTTTTATTCTTCTCTGAAATTATTTGCAATCAGCTACAGTCCAAAATTTCTTTTTCAAGGAGTTTCATGGAAAAGACTCTGACAAGTACTCTAGAACACAGGTTTCTCAAAACTTTAAGATCATACCATTGGTCTGAGTAAGAATTTCCAGAACTCTGGTGAAGAAACTCATGGGTTCATGAAACAACCATTTCAATATCAAGCAGAACACAAAGTAATTACATGGGACTGAATAAACTGATGAGGATACTTTTTAATGACTTTTTATTTAAAACATTGCTTGCTTTAATTGTTTTGTTGTCCAGATTTAAGCAAACTTTTTAAAAAAAGCTATCTGTAGATTGCAACGATTTGATAAAGTATACTTTTGTGAACAAAAATGGGGTTTCTCCCTCCTTGATCCATCCAGAATTCAGAAACTATTTGTAAGTATTCTTATGTTTATGGAAATATAGTTATTTGCATAAGTTAAATAAGAATCTGTCCTCCTTATAACAGGACACAATTGGAAGCACTGGATATATTACAAGGCTTTGACTGGAATGCCATATTTTCAGATATGACCAGACAGCTTTAAGGAACTAAGGTTGACTTTATGGAGCCAATAAGCCATGCCCATCTTAATAAAACTGGCTTGAGGGTTCCAGCCTTACAGGCAAATAAGGAATATCCCTTCTTGGCAGGCACAGAAACCTCAGGATATTCAGGGACCTCAAGAAGAGAGGAATTCACTCAAATCTAAATGTAACAGATGAAGCATGATGGTAGGTCATTGGTTTGGCTTCATATCCTAAAGAGGCTTTCAGAAGTCTAATCTGAGGTTCCTTACCAAAAGTTCTAGCAAAGCAGACTGAACAAGAGCCTAAGTGGTCAGTCACTATTCTTGCTGCATTTGTGTAAATAATAGACTTAAACTTATTGTTTTGCAAATGAATTAGTCTTTCTTTGATTATCTTTGGTAAAAATGGGGGTGACTATAGGGAGAAAAATTGTTTCAGAAGAAAACTATAGTGTACCTAATATTTGATTCTAGCCCTGTTCATTTTTTTGAGGTTTTATTATCCACATGTAGTTTGGACTGGATCCTGAGTTCTCCCAGTTTCGCCCAATATCTGACTATGACTTTCCAAACTAATGTTTCCAATTTTCTCTCATCTTTCTGGCTTGGGATCACTGCTGTTTTCCTAATGCCCTGTAAGCTAAAGCTGAGCAACTTTCTATTAAACTTTGGAGGAACCACCAACCACAACAGCTTACGTATGGACAACCTTCATGACATCCAAACTGCAAACCTGGAAAATCCGTTAGATTGCTACTGCCCTCCCAGTGCCTTGCTACAGCTGAAGATACTTCAGGGCCAGCATCTAGAAATCTTTACTGGCTGCCCTATGGACTCAGAAAGCGAGTTTATGGTTTGTTCTTACTATTAACATTTATTTTTCTTTTATTTTTATAGAAATGAAACTATCCTCATTAAAGGCCTGATGGCTCACACCATCCAGGAGATCTCCTCTGCTACCAACTCCCAGCAGCTGATTCAGCGGTCCTTCATGAACAATAGGCAACTGAACAAGAAAATGAGTTTATATTGTTCAAAAGAAAGAAGAATGCCTCTTTTTTCCCTTGAACAAGGGAGGTGGAGACTAACAAAAGATTCTTTGCTTGACCAAACTTTAGTCAGGCTTCTAAATCTTCCCCTCGGCCCGTCTGTGCACTTCCTTGTGAAATCCAGTTTTAGCAAAGAACATTTGTAAGTCAGTTTAGCAAGAACCCACCTCCCCACCCCCATCCTCAATATCTGATCAGGTTGCTCAGTTGCCATCATCCCCCAGGTGATGTCTGATTACCCTAGCCTGTCTTCAGCAAGAATTCTGTTAGGTCAGTTCAGCCAGAATCTCCCTTAACTCTTATGTTTCCTCTCAGTAATTTTTTTATTTTTATTTTATTATTATTTTTTTGAGACAGAGCCTCCCTCTGTCACCCAGGCTGGAGTGCAGTGGCACGATCTTGGCTCACTGCAACTTCTGCCTCCTGAGTTCAAGTGATTCTTGTGCCTCAGCCTCCTAAGTGGCTGGGACCATAGGTGTGTGTTGCCATACCCAGCTAATTTTTTTTTTCCTCAAGACGGAGTCTTGCTCTGTCGCCAAGGCTGGAGTGCAATGGCGCAATCTCAGCTCACTGCAACTTCTGCCTCTTGGGTTCAAGCAATTCTCCTGCCTCAGCCTGCCGAGTAGCTGGGATTACAGGTGCTCGCCACCACGCCCATCTAATTTTTTGTATTTTTAGTAGAGACTAAAAATAGTCTCTAGACCATGTTGGCCAGGCTGGTCTTGAACTCCTGACTTTGTGATCTGCCCACCTCGGCCTCCCAAAGTGCTAGGATTACAGGCATGAGCCACTGTGCCCACCCGGTGCCCAGCTGATTTTTTATATTTTTAGTAGAGACTGGGTTTTGCCATGTTGCCCAGGCTGGTCTTGAACTCCTGAGCTCAGGGCAATCTGCCTGCCTCGGCCTCTCAGAGTGCTAGGATTACAGGTATGAGCCACCGTGCCCGGCCTTCTTCTTAGTAATTTTCTATCCACTGACCCCCACACTCTTCATGGCTATAAATTCCTATATAATTGCATAAATTCTACGCAATCTCTCTCCCCAACTCTGAGACCCCATTGCAGTGGTACCCTATAACTATGTCAATGGCCCTGAATAAAGTCTTCCTTACCATGCTTTAACAAGTATTATTGAACACATTTTCTTTAACAACAGCAAGAAAAAAGCAAAGCAGGAAAGGGATGTAAGAAAGAGTGAGATGAATAACACACTTCCAAGAGGGAGGGCTCAAAGAAGGAAAAGGAAAGATCAAATGAGTTCCTTATATCCCAAAAGAAACTGCAGACGCAACGGACCAACAAACTGAGCTCAACTGAACTCTGTAAGTTTCAAGCAGAGATTCTGTGACAACAGAGAGATGAAAGGCAAGTTGAGGAAACAAATGGAAGAAAAAGATAAAACATTACAGTGACGGGAACCACGTTCAAAGCCACACAACCCTGAAAGCACAAGTTTGACAAAATTGTGCAAAACAAACTGGCACAAAAAACATGCAAGATTGATCGTAAAGAAGATGTAAATGGCAGGCAAAGGGCAACTGGTTTTTCCAAGAAGAGAACAGAATGGATGAAACTGAAAAGGCATTCAAGGAACCATGGGAAGCTGACTTTTCAGAAGGAGGACATGGACTTCCAATTCAACTGAGCACGTTGTATCCCAGAAAGAGAAACATAGACAGAGTGACCCATGCTGAAGCATAACTATGGTTAGCTTCTGAACACAGTGACAAAGGCAGAATCCTATCAACCAAAAAGCCAAAGGAAACCAAAGCACAAATTCCCCCACAGCATTCAGCACCCGAGGATGGTGGCCACAATCTACAGTTTGGGGGAAAGGAAATGTGGATCAGCAGACCCTGGCACGTATAAAGACCACACACAGATGGCTTTACACGTGTGGGCACTCAGGGCGGACAGTTCCTAAAAGCCGTTTTTGACAGAACACTGAGGAATCAAACTGTAGATCTTAGGAACAAGGAACTGTGCTGAAAACGAATGACAGTGAACACAGAATCCATTCTATTTTGGAATTAAGACCCCAGTAACTAGTGAAATTGTGTTATAAAACAGAGAGTAACTCTTATAAACATGGCCGGTGTAAATCATGATGTCATCACCAAATCGGAAAAGGAGGTGAGGGAACGCTGGCACTTCCCTCATCTTTCAGAGCAGGAAGTAAAACTTGAAACATGCAGTCATATCAAAATCCAATAACCTTGAATAATCACTCTTTGTCTACCCTTTTCTCCCCTTGACTTTGAAGGGATCATTTGGTCCTTTTTATATTGCTTGAATTTGTTTTTTTCATTGATGCATAATATTCATACATATTTGTGAGGTACATATAATGATATGGTTTGGATCTGTGTCCTCGCCCAAATCTATTGTAATCCCCGGTGTTGGAGGTGGGTCTTGGTGGAAGTGATTTGATTATTGGGGTGGATTTCCCCCGTGTACTGCCCTCATTATAGTGAGTGAGTTCTCATGAGAGCTGGTTGTTCAAAAGTATGTGGCACTTCCCCCTTGCTCTTGGTCCTGCTCCTGTCACATAAGACGCCGGCTCTCATTCACCTTCTGCCATGACTAGAAGCTCCCTGAGGCCTCCCCAGAAGCAGATGCTGCCATGCTTCCTGTACAGCCTGCAGAACTGTGAGCCAATTAAAGCTCTTTTCCTTAAAAATTACCCCATCTCAGGTATTTCCTTATAGCAATGTGAGAACGGCTTAATACATGTAATATTTTGTTAGGTGCATGGAATGTGGAGTGACCAAGTCAGGGTATTTGGGGTATCCATCACCTCAAGTATTTATTTCTGTATTCTGGGGATATTTCAAGACCTTTCTTGTAGCTATTTTGAAATACACCCTACATTGTTGCTAACTAGTCACCCTCCTCTGCTATTGAACCTTATTCTTTCTGTCTTACTGTGTGTTTGTATCCATTAACCAACCTCTCTGTCCTTCTCCCCACTGACACACCCTTCCTAGTCTCTGGTATTTATCATTGAATTTGTTTCTAATGAGCATGATTTTTTTTAAACAATAACAAGAAAAGGTCATTATTCTTAAAACATTTCTTTTTGAGTTTTCTCCTGTCTATCTGGTTTGCTTCATTAAAAAGAGAGAGAGAAGAAAAAAAAAATTTCGTGCCTTTGAAAGCATCTCTCCTAATCCATCTTCCCCAGGGCAAAGAACCAGCTGGGAAGGGTGGGCGGGGCCTCCCTGCTTCCTGCTGAGGGGGGCTCTGTGGGCACCCAGCCCTTGGAGAAAGGCTTGACGGCAGATGGGGCCCTTTGCTTGGAGCCTTGACTTGGTTCGTGGGGTTGGCTTTGGCTGTCAGGGGTCTTAGCCCATGCAGCAGAGGAGTCTTGGTGCCCCTACTTAGGCCTGCACTGGAGGAAGGGGTGTCTGGGCTCCCCTCAGAGCCCAGGTGGCTCACACAGAATCCTGGGGGGCAACCAGAGGAGGTGATCACCCAAAGCCCCTCTGTGGGGAGATTGTTGGACCTTCTTCCCTTCCTTCCCCCCAGTTTCCACTTCAGTGGGCCCTCTCCTTGTCCAGGGCCAGGTGTGGGTTTGGGGCTCAGACTGTCCCCAAGCCACAGCCCTTAGAGCTGCCCTCCTTTTCTCCAACCTCAACCCCTCAAGCTGAGGCTTGAGCGGAGAGAAATTGGGGGTGGGCATGTGGGTAGGGAGAGACTGGAGGGCCGCCATCCAGTCATCCGTTCATTTGTGCACTGAGCAGCCCTTGTGAGCAGGCTTGTGTCTCTGGGGACACAGGCTGTGTGGGGGACCTAGGTGGAGGCAGAATGCCAAATGTAGGTGCTCAGTAAGAATTAGCTGCCACCTCCCTGCTGTCTGGCTCTAGTGAGCCATCCTGCCCCTCCCAAGATCAGTTTCTTCTGTAAATAGACTATCCCAAGATCCCTTCCAGCCTGAGGAACTGAGTCCTCTGGGATAAGTGATCATTTAGTAGACAGAATTCATAAAACATCATAATGTAAGCTTATTCAGACACTCTTCAAATTCCTGTGCAGGCCTTATTTCACTTAATTCTCACATTCTTTCTTCCATTTTATTTCATTTTGAGACGGAGTCTTGCTCTGTCGCCCAGGCTGGAGTGCAGTAGCACCATCTCGGCTCACTGCAACCTCCGCCTCCTGGGTTCAAGCGATTCTCCTGCCTTAGCCTCCTGAGTAGCTGGGATTACAGGCTCACCCGACTAATGTTTTTTTTTTTTTTTTTTTGAGACGGAGTCTTGCCTTGTCGCCCAGGCTTGAGTGCAGTGGCTTGATCTCGGCTCACTGCAAGCTCTGCCTCCCGGGTTCACACCATTCTCCTGCCTCAGCCTCCCAAGTAGCTGGGACTACAGGCGCCCTCCACCACGCCTGGCTAATTTTTTTGTATTTTTAGTAGAGATTGGGTTTCACCATGTTGGCCAGGCTGGTCTTGAAATTCAGACCTCAGGTGATCTGCTCGCCTTGGTCTCCCAAAGTGCTGGGATTACAGGCGTGAGCCACTGTGCCCAGCCGTTTCCTCCATTTTATAGATGACAAAATTGAGGCTAGAAGATGAAGTCACCTGCCCAGTAGTAAGTGGCAGAGACTCTTAGACCTGGGTATTTCTAATTCCACAACCCTTGCAGCAGTATATTTGCCTGGTTTTTTGTGACATACTTAAATATCAAATCTTTTTTTCCTCCAATTGGTGAGTAATTAAATACCAAGAGGGAAGAAGCAGTCAACTCCTACAGAAGGAGTGGGGCAGGGAGGAAAGGACCCTGTTGTAAAACCATGTTGGAGAAAAGATCGGACAGATCCATTCCCCTTTAATTGAGAAAGGGCTTCGAAAATACTCCCCTTTCTGCGTAATACAAGACGATAGAAACTGACTTCATTTAAGTAACTGAGCGAATGCACAAGCATCTGAGCACAGACGCATAAGCCTGTGTTATGTCTGCCTTTTATTTGTTTTCTCTGGAAATGTCTGCATTTAACATACATAACAAAATGCCTTCATCATGATCTGTTTGTCATTTAAAGAAAAAAGAAGCCCAAGATTTAGAAACTCAGTATAGAACAAAAAGCTTTTAACATAGCAGTTTTATTTAAAAACAAAACCAAACAAGAGCCTGGCTTCCTTGATGTGAGGTCATGTCACTGCCCTGGCCTGTTCTTCCTGTGTCCATCCCCGGACCCGCACCCCTGCGTGCTCCGAAGTTGTCATTGCCCACCCCACAGGGCCTCCCGGGCCTGAACTCTCAAATAGGTATTTGCTCTGTGGATGCAGAAGGAAAGAGCTCTCCCTTTAGAGAGAATCCAATTATCTGACCTCTTACAGCAAAGACCCATCTGGAGAATTTTAATCATTCCAGCAGAATGGAAGATTCAGTCACTCTTGGTTGATCTCTGTGACTATGCGTATTCATTTCCGTGATTATGCGGTTTTATTATCTCTTGTAGGTAAACAAGGATTCTGAGAGGTTCATTGCCAGTGCCCATGGGTCAAGCTCCCGATGGTCTAGGAGAGAATATTGTGTCTCCAGCCAAGCTGGGGATCTGCATCTTACCTCAAGGGGATTAAAGGGCACCCTTCACCTTAGTTCTTTGAGCCCCATTAACATCGTATATTATAATGATGAGCTGGATCAAACCCTAGGCCTGCACCATTCCCACAGGCCAGTGGTGCCATTTGCATTGAGCCTGCCCATCTTAACCCTTTGCCACCCAGGCCCTTCCCAGGGCATTTGTGCCAGGCTGAGTTAGCACGTGTCTTGTTGGCCCTGGGGTGAGTAGGAGTTGGTGGCTGTGGCCCAGAAAAGGCCTGGCTGGAGATGAGCAGTGTGGTGGGGGGAAGGGACGGAGACGGGTTGGGGAAGGGGTCAGTGAATATTTTCAGCAACTACCTGCCATCTTTGCTTCAGTTTTCCCATGGTGACCCTGGTTGATAGGTTTATCAGCCTCAGAGCCCTGATCCTGGCCTCAGTTTCCCTCTGGCTTCCTGCAGCTTTTCCCTCATGGCCTTCCTCTGGCTGAGGGGTAGCCATCTGTGCCTCTGCTTCTGGGCCCACCTGCTCTATGAGGGACAGTCCAAATCTCACCTCCCATCTCCCGAGACGTAGTCATCCTCCGGGAACTCATGGTGTAGGCAGAGCACAGAGTGACCTGTGCTTTGATGTGGGTATTAGAGAAACCACAGCCACCTGGTGGGTGTAGGAGGAGCAGAGAGAATTGGCAAGGGGATGGGGCAGCCTCCTGGAGGACGTGATGCTGAACTGAGCTGTGAAGGATGAATGGGAAACACCTGGAGGAAGAAGGGTGAATGGGAAACACCTGGAGGAAGAAGGGAGTGGGGAGGAGTTCCAAGCAGAAGGGACCGAGCCGCATGGACTGGGAATTCTAAGTGGCTGGATAGAAAGCGTCTGTCAAAGACGGTGACACGTTAGGCCAGAGAGATTTGGGGACCTGAAGGCCTCGAAGGTCTCTCTCTGTGTTACTTTCATGGGCGTGGAGTACAGATGTGTCTCAGAGCACCCCTACACTTGTGCAGTGCACAACTCAAATAACTGAGCAGGGTGACCCTGCCCCACTAAGGGAGATGAGCTTTATCTTGAGGGGAATGGGCAGCCTTCAGAGGGTTTGAAGCAGAAGATTGACATGGCTATAAATGTGAGTTTAAAAGATCACAGTGGCTGTGGAGCATGTGTTAGAGGAAGAAAAGGCGGAGGCAGGAAAGCAGTTGGGAGGAAGCCTTGTGAATGCAGGTGAGGCTTGTCAGGGCTGCTTTCAGGCAGTGCTGGGGAGAATGGAGGGGCGCATGCTGTGTGGGGCCCGCAGTGGCTTCTGTAGGAGCTTGAGAGTGACAGCACAAGGAATGAAGAAAATGTCCAATCCACTGTAAACATCTTCGGTGAGTAACAACGGGACTTGTAAAATCAGCTGCCATTGTTGATGCTTATGCCATAGAAACTTGCCAGGAGTTTTCTCCCCGACAGTTTCAATGATGCCTGCTGAATTATGTTGCTTGTCACTGAGAATATGAATACTTTAAGGCATTTCTTTGTTTCAGTAACTCTCCCCTGCTAATACTCAATACCTTTTCTCTGTTACGACTCAAAGAGATGTTCTTGACTCTGACCACCCACGTGCCAATTCAGTTCTGGAGAAGCAGAAAAACCTGAGTGCTGGAGATGGCGAAAGGTCTGTGTCCCTGGCGTGCCCAGGTCCACGTCTGCCTGCCCTCCTCCCTTCCCCAGTTGTTGCAGGGGGCTAAATGGTCTCAGCACTGCCCAAGCACCCACAGCAGAATCTGCTAGAGCCTGGTCCCGTAAGCTTCCCACCTAAGCTTAGTCTCCCAGTTCTAAGCTCAGCCCCCACCCTCAACCCCTCACAAAGGCAAATACCTCCCCTCTTCCCTCTCTCCCAAGACTACTCTGAAAACAAGCCCTTATACTTGGTCATCTATTGACAGCTATGCTTTGCATAAGAGAGAAGGATCTGGAATCCCTGGGCACAATTCAAGAGGCAGGGATGTGGCAGAGGGAGAAAGAGTGGAGAGGAAGAGAAGACCCAGTGAGAGGTGGGGAAGATGAAAAAGCTGGTAGCCAAGAAAGACAATTCCAAGGCTGGTGTGGCCAAAGAACCACAATGCCATTCACACTGAAATATGTGTGGTTGCCAGGGAGCCACCTGGGAGGTGGAAGCTAGCTGCTTTAACAACAAAATTCAGGCCGGGCGCGGTGGCTCACGCCTGTAATCCCAGCACTTTGGGAGGCCGAGGCGGGTGGATCATGAGGTCAGGAGATCGAGACCATCCTGGCTAACAAGGTGAAACCCCGTCTCTACTAAAAATACAAAAAATTAGCCGGGCGCAGTGGCGGGCGCCTGTAGTCCCAGCTACTCGGGAGGCTGAGGCAGGAGAATGGCGTGAACCCGGGAAGCGGAGCTTGCAGTCAGCCGAGATTGCGCCACTGCAGTCCGCAGTCCGGCCTGGGCGACATAGCGAGACTCCGTCTCAAAAAAAAAAAAAAAAAAAAAAAAAAAAAACCAAATTCAAACGAGTACTGGCTCAACACGAGGCCGCGCACCTCGTGCTTGCAGGACAGGCCTGGGGTTGACTCACCTCCATGTAGTCCCTTGGGACCCAGGGTCCCTCCTCCTGGTCTCCATCATGGTCTGGTTAACATGAAGGAAAGGGCCTAGAGAACATGCCAAAGGTTTCTCCAGATTGGGGCTGGGAATAGCTCTCTCACTCCTTTTTTTAAAACAACTTTATTGAGGTACATTTTACGTATCATGAAGTTTATCCATTTCAGATATCAGTTCACTGATTTCGGTAACTTTACCAAGTGTTGTAACCATCACCATAAAACAGTTTTAGAGCACTTTCATCCCCAGTAAGATCCCTCATGCCCATTTCCTGTCATCTCTGTTCCTATCCCCAGGGAACTGCTACTTTACCTTCTGTCTCTGTGGATTTTCCTCTTCTGGACATTTCATTGAAAGTGAGTCATACAATCTGTGGTCTCGTGTGTCTTGTTTCTTTCACTCAGCCTCATGTTTTTAAGGTTCACTCAGAGAGAGAGACAGTAGTTTGTTTCTATTTATTGTTGAAGTGTATTCCATTATATGAACAGACCATGACACTTCACTTCTGCCCTGCTTCCATTAGCTAGAATGCAAGTCACGTGGCCAAACCTAATTGCAAGGGAAGCTGGGAAATGTAGTCTCTGTACCCAAAGGAAGTAAGGCTTTTGTGAACAGACAGTGGTATATCCTGACAATTCCTCCCTGTCTCCAATTACTCCATAAAAAGCTATAAATACACAAATGACACGCATGAGTGGTGTGTGTGTGTGTGTGTGTGTGTGTGTTTGCAGAAACTGCATAGTCCAGGTCTGACTTGGCTGGATGGGCAGCAGGGCGTGTGTGTGTGAGAAGGTAGGCGGGAGAATAAACGCTAAATTGAAGGTCAGAGGTAGCCTTGAGGACATGAATGTAACCGTGGGCTTGTTGAGACCACAGAAGAAGGGTCAATGTAGAGCTTAGCCAGGTCCTTGGAGGCAGGGAGACCCTGCTGGTGCGTGGGTTACAATTGCTGGCATGATTTAAAATGCACCTGGAACAGCCCTTGAGAGGGACCCTCTGGGGCTGGCTAAAGACATCTCCTTTGTGCTTGTGATTTCCACGGCAGCAGCATATTATTGACTCTTCATGAGCATCGTCACAGCTCAAAGTCTGGAAGTATAATTTTTAGGAAGAAAATATTCCTTCTTTTTGCATTCTTGGAATAGTTGTCAAAGGGGGAAATGACCCCCAGAAAAAGTATGGTCTTTGTAGGGGAAAAAAAAACTGCACTCCTGGGCCCTTTGAGAAGTTGATGCTGCTACCAGAAGTTCAGGACAAAGAGTGATTAGACTTGCGGCCTGAGGAGTTATTTAAGGACACGCTGTGCCCCGGCTCCCTTTGAGTCTCAGCAATGTTTTTCACTTAGCATTTTAATCATTTGGTGGAAAGGAGGAGATGAGCTTTCAAGGCCAGAGAATTCCATCATTTGGAATAACAGGCCAAGCAGCCCACGTTGACCTGAGGCTGACTTCTCTGGACAGCTGAGGCCCAGCACCCGCCCTGTGGAGCCCACACTCCGGCTTTAGGATGCCTGAGAAGAGCCAGCCATCTTTATGAAGGGAAGAGGTGCTGTTGCTTCTCCTGTTTGGAAGCAGAATGCTGGCAGTGTGGTTGGGATGCTGTCTGTTGTCCAGAGGGCAGTGGAGGTTATAGAAAATTCCACACAGAACTCTGAGGAGCCACCCTCAGATTTGCTTTGCACCGTCCAGAAATTCTCATCTCAATGGTAACGCATCTGTCTAGGGAGAGTCAAGAGGGAAAGAGAGTGGGACCAGCGTTCTGCTGGAACTTTGCAGGCATTTCTTAGAAAAGCAAGTCAGTTTTCCCAGGTTCTGAAAATGGCAAGATTGAATGCTAGAATTTCATACCAGGTTCAGAACCCTTTGTTTTAAAGACCCACAGAGAAGAAGTGAATTTGTGTTGAGCCGGAAGTAGAACTTTTGACTTGTAGAGATTGGCCAAATCTTATCTGGTGCTTTGTAGAGCCTACAGAAGACCTGTTTCCTGCTCTACAAGAAGGAATGGGGGTACTGATATTTAGGATGAATCTGCTCTATATCAGATGCTTTTTCCACGTTTCCTATATTCTCAGGTAATCCCACAGCTCATCAGGTGAGTTAAACACCCCTTGTGAGGTCACACAGCAGGCAAAAGGGAGAGTTGGGACTCAAACCCAGCTCAGCCTCACACCCCAGCCCGGGGCCTTTGCAAACATCATGGACACTTTAACCTTGTAGGACATCCTATCCCAAGCTGTGGAGCTTTGCAGGATGATCCTGGCTGGAAGCAGAAGCAGGTGACCACGATGACGATGGTCTCTTTAATTAGGATGCCACAAAGGACCTGTTTAGCCTCAGCTCTGGAGATACAAATACCTTCTCAGAGCTACCCACTACACAGATCCCCCTTCTATTCCATGGGGCAGCAGGGGTTGTCTGCTCCATCTGGGAAGAGGACCAGGACAGTGGTGTCCCTCTAGGCCCAAGACGGACTGTGTTTGTCTTTGCAGGTGGCTTCATTGCGCCAGACAGCCCCACCGTAGCCTGGGCCCTGAGCTTCTGCCTACCAGGCTGTCAGCAACATCTCAGCAACAGGCTCCAGCCAGTTGGCACATACCTGGCTCAGCTCTACAGGTAGCAGTGATGCTTTTAGGACCTCGTTTGTTATTTTTCAGACCTAACCTCATTGCTCTGCACTTCAGGGGCTGAAATGCAACTCCCTGTGGGGCCCAAGGGGACTTTTGGCCTCTCTGCAGCCTGCTGGTCCCTGGAGGATCTACCTCGTGCTGCTCACCCAAACCCTGCACGGCTGGCAAATCCCTTCTGGGTTTTGTTTGAGGCACCAGAGGCTCCCCTGAGGCATTGAATTCTGATTTTATTGTTGCTGTTGCTGTTGATGTTTGTGTCCATACATTTTGCAACTTCCCACAAACTTGTACATCCAAATGCTTTGCCCTGTTGTCCTTGTTAAAAGGATAATTTTTAAAAGGCACAGTCATGATTGTCATAAAATATACAATGAACACATCAAGTTTACTTAACTTACTATTTAGTGAGGAAAGCAATAGTATGGTACGACCAGTTCAAAGGAACATTCAAAGAACACACATGAATTTAGAAATACAGTCATACGTTGCTTAACTATGGGATATGTTTTGAGAAATGCATTGTTAGGCAATTTTGTCATAGTGTGAACATCAGAGTTCGCTTACTAAAACCTGGATGGTATAGTCTACTGGTATGGCCATATGGTAGAGTCGATTGCTCCTAGGTTACACAGCTGTACAACATGTGACTGTACTGAACAGTGCAGGCAATTGTGACACAATAGTAAGTATTTGTGTAACTAAACATATCTAAATATAGAAAGGGTAAGGTAAAAATATGGTATTATAATCTTATGGGACCATCATCATATATGTGGTCCGTCAGGGGTTCCCATCCAGACCCCAAGAGAGGGTTCTTGGATCTCACACAAGAAAATTTGGGACTAGTCCGTAGGGTAAAGTGAAAGCAACTTTATAGAGAAGTAAGGAAACAAAAAGATGGCTACTCCATAGTGAGAGCCCTCCTGAGGGCTGCTGGCTGGCTATTTTTACAATTATTTCTTGATCATATGTTAAACAAGGGGTGGATTATTCACAAGTTTTCTTGGAAAGCGGTGGGGATTTTCTGGAACTGAGGGTTCCTCCCACTTTTAGGTAATCTAGGGTAACTTCCAGATGTGGCAATGGCATTTGTAAACTGTCGTGGTGCTGGTGGGAGTGTCTTTTAGCATGCGAATGCATTATAATTAGCATATAATGAGCAGTGAGGATGACCAGAGGTCATTTCTGTTGCTATCTTGATTTTCGTTGGCTTCTTTACCACATCCTGTTTTCATTAGCGGGGTCTTTGTGACCTGTATCTTGTGCTGACCTCCTATCTCATCCTGTGACATCGTAGGTTAAGAATGCCTAACCTCCTGGGAATGCAGCCCAGCAGGTCATTTTACCCTCGGTTTACCCAGTCCCTGTTCAAGATGGAGTCACTGTGGTTCAGATGCCTCTGACACATCCTTGACTGAAATGTTTTTATGCCGTGCATGACTATAGATCCAAAGCTGGTCGAAACCCACAGAGCAATAGCAGTTGCATTCTACCAGACAAAATCCATCTGCACTTCTGTGGACTAGAGCCATTTGCATTACTCTAAGTTTTCTGCAACTTACAAAATTGTCCAATTCCTCAAAGACAATGAAAGGTGCAGGCCCTTAGAGATTCAGATAACCCTGGAGGGGTGCATAGATAGGACACCCAGCAATCTTTTTAACCTATTTTAAGCTCTTTCACAATTTCTCCTGGCATGCCCATAGGGATCTAAGCACACTTGCATGTGCAAGCCATTGTGCCTACAGATTCTGGGTTTGCCTGTTTCCACTGCTTCATCCGCATCTCAGATGCGGTTCAGAGAAGGTAGGTGGCCTGCTCAAGGTGAACGAGAGAACCAGTTCTTCTGGCCTCATACTCTAGCTTTTGAGCTCTTCTTCAAAGCACCCCCAAAGGCAGAGGAGGGGGAAAGTCCTCTGGGGTCCACAGGGCAGCCGTCCGCTGCAGGTGGGAGGGTCTTACGTTCTACCTCGTGAATATCCACACTGGTTAAACATAAAAACAATGTTTTAACATTATTCACTGTTATGGGTCAGATTGTGTCCTCCAAAAATGTATGTTGCGATCCTAACCTCTAGGACCTCTGAATGTGACCTTTTATGAAATAAGGTTACAACAGATGTAATTAGTTAAATTTAGACAAAGTCATACAGGAGTGGTGGTGGGGGGCTTTTAATCCAATATGATGGTGTCCTTATAATAAGAGAAGATACAGAGACAGACACAGGAGGCGGAGGCCACGTGACAACAGAGGCAGAGATTGACCTGCTGCAGCTGTAAGCCGAGAAACACCAGGGAAGCTGGCAACCAGCAGAGGCTAGGAAGAAGCAAAGAAGGATGCTTCCCTAGGGCCTTCAAAGGGAACACGGCCCTAGCCACACCTTGATCTTAGATTCCTAGGCCCCAGAACTATGAGACAATACATTTCCATTTTATTTTATTTTTAATTTATTTATTTTTTTGTTTTGAGATGAAGTCTCGCTCTGTCACCCAGGCTGGAGTGCAGTGGCGCGATCTCGGCTCACTGCAAGCTCCGCCTCCCAGGTTCATGCCATTCTCCTGCCTCAGCCTCCCGAGTAGCTGGGACTACAGGCACCCACCAGCACGCCCTGCTAATCTTTTGTATTTTTAGTAGAGACGGGCTTTCACTGTGTTAGCCAGGATGGTCTCGATCTCCTGACCTCGTGATCCGCCCACCTCAGCCTCCCAAAGTGCTGGGATTACAGGCGTGAGCCACCGTGTCCGGCCCATTTCCATTGTTTTAAGCCACCTGTTTGTGGCACTTTTGGACGGCAGCACTAGGCAATGAGTACCCTCACCATGGAGACACAGATGCTCCAGGAAGAAGCACCAGGCTTGTCCTGTGGCTTTGAGGGCCCCACCGGTGTGGGAATCTTGAGCTAATCCATGGTCCCAGAAAGGCAAGTGCTGTTTTCCACCCACTCCAACAACTCAGCGTTGGTTTAAAATGCTGGAAGTCGAAAGAGAAAGGCTGTTGCCATCTATGGATGCTTGTTAGGTGGGTGTTGAGGCGTCCCCCAAGAACTTGGAAATGAGGGAAATAAGCCTGCTCACTGAGAGCCGGAGCCAAGGCCCACACACAGAGTGTAGATCAGAGATGGGCAAAGTTGTTGGGTAGTGATGAGTGATTCCCAGGCTTGGGCGCTCCCTTGCCAGGTGGGTTCTGGGGTGGATCTGGGACAAGGGCACAGATGTCCCGTGCACATCATCACAAGGACACAGAGTCCTGTGCCCATCATCACAATGACAGAGATGTCCTGTGCAAATGACAAGGACACAGATGTCCCATGTACATCATCACAATGACACAGATGTCCTGTGTACATCACAGCAAGGGCTCATCACCCATGGGTAGGTAAAGAAGAGGCATGGAGGTGAATGCAGGCAGCAGCTTTCAGGGAAGAAGAAGCATCAGGCTGCAGACCTTGCCTCCTCCCTGCCCTGATGGCAGGACTGAGGCCTCCCAGGGTGAGCTGGGTGCAGGCAGCAGGGGAGGGGTTGTGGTCCTGCTGCTTCGAGCTCAGGGAGCTTTACAGCCAGGATGTGTCGATGACTGTGGTTCTGGGACTGAGGGATGTCGATGGTGGGGTGGGGCCGTTAGGTATTCTCTTCTTCTAAGTCTCCTTGCTCTAATTCCATGACTTCAAGTCCTGCAGATGCCCCTACCCAGCTCTGCCTGTGTGGACAGGAAGTACGTGCTAGCTCTTCAGCAATGTGGTCTCGTGGGCCTTCTCCTGGAGAGCCAGCCATGGGGTTCCTGCACTTGGGCCTGGCTGTCAGAGAGCCCTGATCAGGCACATCTGGGGTGCGCCCAGGCTCTGGGACAGGGATTCTCATGGCAGACTGATGCCTTGGGCCTCTGTGCTCCCACTTAGCATGCGTCTACCTGTCTGGCCTGATAAAGTCACATCCAGACAGCCTCTCCTTAGGCCCGGCCTCCCCATGCCATCCCCAGGGCTGGTGCTCTACTGACTTCTGCACCAGACACCCCGCTGAGCCCTTTAGACGCAGAGTCTCATGACATTACAATCATCCCAATGACCCTGTATATTAGGGCGTGTGCCTTTCTCTCCTCCTATTTTAAGGATGAAGAAACTGAGGCTGAGGCAGTTCAACAACTTGCCCAAGGCCACGCAGCAGGTCAGTAACAGAGACAGGATGGGAATCCAGCCCCATCTAACTCCAGAGCTGGCCTCTTTCCACATCCCCTCGCTTAGAGCCACCAGCATGACCGAGAAGCCAAAACCCACCAGGATGGCAAGAGGGGACTTCCTGAACCTGCCTGCCTTCCACCTGCTGGGCCCCGCTTGGTGCCGCTTTTCTAGTTTACTTTAAATATGTGAGTCCTATTTCCAGCCTTACCCGAAGCAGGCCCAGGTAGAAAACATTGCCATGGTAACCCTGCTACCAAGGGGCAGTACTGCTTCTGGAAAAGATGATACCTTGGTTCCCAATACTACGGCTCTGTGGGTCTGAGGGACAAGTTTAATTGGCACTGCTCACAGTTGGCTCTGCAGATACACTTCTCGTGGCTTTATGTCCCTGACATGGTATCCAGGATACCAGGAACATAATGTGTCTGCTCCTCCAGAGGAGGGAGAGGGGTGAGTCTGGCTGTGTCATTTGTATCGGCTCTAGTTTGTCTGATCAGAGGGCTTGGCAGGGTGGGAGCTCTGGGTGGGCTATGGAAGTACCTGGGCTGTGATCCACCTGTGTCCCTGGGTCACCTATGTCCCCCAGTGAAAGTCACCTGGGCTGGGTCCCACCTGCATTTCCAGATAAGTGTTGCCTCCCACTGCCATCACCGACTCTACATTGAAAGCCTGGCATGACCCCTCTCTCTTTCTACTGGCTCACCATAGACCAGAGCGTATACGGGTGGCCCTGAGTATCTGCAAGATGGCTGCGGTAGACGCTGGCCAGCCGGGCAGCCAGCGGGCATTCACCATTCTTGCTTGCTAACGGCATCTGTCACAGTGACCCTGTTCCCCTTGGCCAGGTGCACAGTGTCCCAGGCTCCCTTGCAGCTCCAGGAGGTCACATGACAGAGTGCAGGCCAATGAGCTATGAAGACATCTCCTGGGAGACTATTGGGAAAATTGTTCCCTTCCTAGTAAAAAGAAAGAGACAAGGGGAAAGAGCTACTCTCCTCCTCTCTTAGGGAACAGACATGCTCTTTGAAGCCATCTCATGATCAGGAGATTTGCAGGCACTGGCCAAACCCCTTGACATGGTTGAGCTGCAGACCGCACTGCACCTATCTACCTCCAGACCACTGGCTTCATGATATAAGGAACTGTCTTTCATTGTCTGAGTGCTTGCTACTCAGTGTGATCCCAGATTGCAGCTTCAGTATCATCCAGGAGCTTGTCAGAATTGTCAGGATCTCAGGCCCCTCCTCAGGCCTGCTGAATCAGAACATACGTTTTAAAAAGACCTCCTAGTGATTGTGTGCACACAAAAGTGTTAGAAACATTGACCACTGAGAGAAAGGGAGGGAGAGTGGGAGATACATAAAGAGAGAGTCAGAAAGAGGGAGAGAAATCTCTTGTAAGAACTGGCTTTTTCTAGAAACTCATTTTCTTGGTGGTGTACCTGTATTTATGCCTCTGAGTTAGGAACAAAGGAATCTTAATTCTATTCAGAAGGAAGACAGAGCTGCTTCCACGCTTCCCACAAGGCTCTAGCACCAGAAATAGACACTGGGGTTTCTTGCACTTCCACAGTTGGTCACTGTGGGTGCAGGGGACATTGGCATTTCACTCCTGCCTTGGGTTGGGGTTGAACCTTCCCTCATCTTCTCTAAAGGCTTTGATTTTAGAAAGATCAAAACCTCCATGTTCAAAACAGGGCCCTGAAAGAAAAATAAAAGTTGCCTGGGGCTTTTTTCTTTCAAAAATCTTGTTTCCCTTCTCAGACAAGCAGTCAGGATGCTCAGAAGAGAAAGCTCATTGTGAATTTGAGCTTCAAGGAACTGTCAAGAGACTTTGTTGAAAAAAGGCATTCTTGCTTAAGAAAGGGTCTTTGGTCCCTGGAAGTGAACAAAGAGATAAAATTCCAGTGGAAACAGCTTCTCTCCATAACTCCAGAATTCTAGTGTGTGTGTGTGTGTGTGTGTGTGTGTGTGTGTGTGTGTGTGTGTGTGTTGTTTTGTTGTCTTGTTTTTCTAACAGACTGAAAGCTGGGGATGCCTGTTGGCTGATGGACATTTGGGGTGGGGGGTCCTGAGGTTGCAGAGTGTCAGGCAGATTTTTCAGCATCGCTGAGGGAAGCCCCCTGAGCTGCCGGGTCAATGCTGTCTTCTTCAGCTCTCCTGATCCTGAAGGGAACTCGAAGCTTCAAGGGGAATTGTAACTTTCCTGAGACCCCACAACTGGGGAGGGGTGGAGTCAGGGCTGGAACCCAAGTCCAGCTCCTTTCTCCACATTAGCACCTCCCCTAACCAAGCCTGAGTTACATCAGAGGAAAATTAGGGTCACCTGGACTCCCCTTTACTTGGTCAGGAAGGCTGATCCCTGGGAAGGGGAATTGCTGTGTGTTTAGAATTTGTAAAAGTCCCAACTTTGCCACCTTCTAGCTGTCGTTGGCCTCTCTGAGCCTCAGTTTCCTCATTTGATTGAGATGGGGGATGTAAGAACCCCCTACCCCGGCCTTCCAGGGAGGAGCCTTTGTTGCAGGACTTGAATGCTGGGTTCCCCCTTTGGTGAGAGAGAGGAAGCATCCTGAATGATGGAGAAAAAAGTCAAGAGGAGGGAACTCATTGCTACCCACAGAGGAAGAGGAAGATGAGGAAGGCAGGAGGGTGCAGGCCAGAGCCTGGAAGGGGCAGTGGGGCCCGAGGACTGGAGGTGGGAGTATGGGGAGAGAGAAAGTGAGAGACAAAGGGAGAGTGGAGAGGAAAGTGCCGCAGGGTGTGAGACTTGAGGAAAGAGAGAATATTGTGAAGGAATCTTGAGAGTTGTATGATGTCATTGCCCCTTGAGAAAAGACATTCGGTCAAGACCTTCATTCCTTTGCAAGGCTTCTGGGAGTTGCATTTTCCTTTGGTTTGGATGCATCATGGTGCTGAGATGGGCCTCAAAGTAGCCTCGCTTTACTTGGAAGGCATGCAAAATGTGAGTAATATCTCTTCTGTGTGGCTGTTGTCTAGAGACAGGAGCTTTGCACCAGCCAATCCACCCATGCCGTAGGAAACTGACATATAGCCGATAAGAGCTGCAGACACTTCTGGAATCTTCTGGAATCATTCAGCTCCTGACTTATCTGCCTCTATTATTACTGATTGATTTTGGGGAGACAATAAGGCATAATGGTTTACAGGATGGTCTGGAGTTCTGGACCACTCTTACTCCCTGGTGGCTTTGGAAGGTTTACAGTCTCTGAGCCTTAGTTTCCTAATCTGTAAAATGGGGATGATAGTGCTGATCTTACAGGGCTACTTTGGGGATTAAATGAAATAATAGCTGTAAAGCACAGTGCTTAAACCCCAGTAAAAGTTTAATATCAATAGATGATGATGGTGATGGTGGTGGTGATGGTAAAGATAGTGGTGATGATGGTGATGGTGATGATGGTGAAGATGCTGGTGTTGGTGGTGGTGATGATGGTAAGGATGCTGGTGATGGTGGTGGTAGTGATGATGGTGATGATGGTAAAGATGCTGGTGATGATGGTGATGATGATGGTAAATGTGGTGATGATGGTGAAGATGCTGGTGTTGGTGGTGGTGATGATGGTAAGGATGGTGGTGATGGTGGTGGTGGTGATGATGGTCAAGACGCTGGTGATGATGGCGATGAAGATGCTGCTGGTGGTGGTGGTGATGATGATGGTAAAGATGCTGGTTATGATGGTGATGGTGATGATGATGGTGATGATGCTTGTATTTCTGGCTGGATCTTTACTCAGAGTCCCTCCCTGACTGCATCCTTGTCTGGGCTATTTTTCTTCCCATCTTTCATGTCTGGGCTCCTACCCACTACACCAGCTTTTAAGTGTCAGGCACCACACTGGGGCACTTACCAACCACTATGGGAGGAGCAGGTAGAACATAAGGTGAGGTGTTAGAACTGTTGAGCCCTCTCCCTGTGAGGTCTGTCCCCAGTTTCTGGGCCATTCTGGCAAGGGCAAAGTTTGTTTTAGCAGTTTCACATCATCCAAGGTATGGTTTCATGAGACAGATGCTAAGCTGGAATGGTTGGGTGTTGTGTGGTCTCTGTGGCCCCACCCAGGGTGGGTTCCCCAATTGCCTTTTCCCAGCCACTAAGTGGGCACCTCTGCTTGACCCCCGCCGCAATTGAAAATGCTACCAGCTTAAGGTTTTATTCATTGAAAGTGCAGCTCTCCCTGAGAGAGGAGGGTTTAAGCCAGGCCTTGTCACCCTTTTTGTGAGTTGTGGCTGCTTTTTTACTCCTCTCTACAATAGCATTAACAGCTCATGGTTAACAGGATTGAGTGGGCTCCATGCAGCAGGCTCTGACAGGCCTTTGCCCTGATTGTCTCTTACAATGCACACACCTTCCCTCTGCAGAGGAGACCAAGACAGGAAGTTAAGTCACTTGCTAATCAACGCTGGAGCTGGGAGGAGGCAGAAGAATGTGGCCGAGAAGAACAACTAAGAACTTCCTGGCTAGGTCGTACCCAAAGACAGCCTTGGGTGCTTCATGTAATTTTAGATGATGAGGAGTTCACCTCACTGTGGCCTGACAGAATGAGAAGGCTGGGCATCAGTATCAAGGGGAACTTGAAACGAACTTCATCCAACACAGCTAGTGGGAGGCACAGGTCTCAGTGGCAGGCGATGGATGGCAAAAGCAGAAAGATGGCTGGAGGAAATGGGTGGGGAGAAAGGGCCCTGCACACCCTCTACGTGGGTGGGGCGGATGTGGATGAAGGGCCTCCCATGGGTGAACACAGAGCTTCCCCATCAGGCTTGTTCCTGGTGCGTGGTTCGCAGAGTGCCTTCCTTCTCTTGGGGTTTACAGTGGGTTGAAGAGGGTCCCCACCAAATTCATGTCCACTTGAGCCTCTGAATGTGATTTTATTTAGATGTAGGGTCTTTTCTGGTGGAATCAAGATGAGGTCAAACTGCATTAATTTACCACTAAATCCAGTATGATGGGTGTTCCTATAAAGAGGGAAATTTGGACACCGAGACACAGACACACAGGGAGAGGGCTGGTGAAAACAGAGGCAGGGATTGGCGAGATGCACCCACAAGCCAAGGAAAGGCAAGGGATACCAGGAGCCAGCGGAGCCTGGGAGGGGCAGGGACAGATCCCCACCTATGGTCTCCAGAGGCATGTGGTTCTGCTGACACCGCCATTTCAGACTCCTGGCTTCCAGAACTGTGAGAGAAGACCTTTCTGTTATTGTAAGTCACCAGTTTGTGGTGCTGGGCTATGGCAGCCCCGTGAAGTGCATGCAGGGCTCGGTGTCATTGGGTACAGCAGACCCTCTTGGGCATCTGCCAGCATTTCCCCTTCCCCCTTTCCTAACAGCACCTTAAACCTGTTCAGCTGTTACCTCTTCCTTGACCCCAACATTACAAAAGTGAAGAGGACTTACCCCGGCTCCAGGAGCAGCCCTAATTCCCAGGTAATCAGGTTTGGTCATGCCATCCCATGACACCTGCCTGGGACTCATTTCTGAGCAGACACAACCCAATCTGACCAACAAGAGATGAGGGGAGTTGGGTAAGGAGAGGTATTTGGGAAGACATATTTCCTCTCTCTTAAGAGGGAGATTCAGAAAAGAAGATGAGCTCCCTTCCTCCTGTGCTCCTTACATCTTATGAAGGGTATGATGGCCTCCTGTGGCCTGCCCGGGGTGGGGAAGCCTGGGTTTAGGTGTACTTCCTTTTTTTTTTTAGTTTTGTTTTGTTTTTGTTGTTGTTTTCAGAGACATGGTCTCGCTCTGTTGCCCAGGCTGGAGTGCAGTGGCGTGATCTCAGCTCACTGCAACCTCTGCCTCCCGGGTTCAAGCGAATCTCCTGCCTCAGCCTCCCAAGTAGCTGGGATTACAGGCATATGCCACCACCCCTGGCTAATTTTTGTATTTTTAGTAGAGATGGGGTTTCACCATGTTGGCAAGGCTGGTCTCAAACTCCTGACCTCAAGTGACCCGCCCACCTTGGCCTCCCAAGTGCTGAGATTATAGGCGTGAGCAACTGCACCCAGCCTGTTTTTGATTCTTAAAGTTCAAATATGGTGACATCATTTTTTTGGTTTTCTTCTTGATTCCTCTAATAGCTCATCCATCTTGAGCATCCCCACTGCCGTCAAAGGATCAGAACAGCTGGGTCTTATTTAATCAAAATGCCACTAGTCCTAGATCAATGCTAGGAAGACAGGGCTGGGAAGTTTGGTGGTCAGTGCAGGAATGATGCTGGCTCTTGCTGCAACATGGCATTGTGGTTGGAGACCAGTCCTACTTGCCCTTCCTTGCGATGGCCTCACTGTCCATTCCCTACCCAGGCCATGGTGGAGCCCCATGCTTGGTTTCCAAAATCGCATTCAAGGTAGCTTTACTTGACACCTCCTTGGTCAGTTATTGTCCCTAATGCACAATCACTGTACCAGGGTGGATTGGTCCTGAGATCTTCCTGTCTCTGCTACAGGGCCCAACTCTAGTGGACAGCAGGCACATTACCTTTTGAAGTTGTGCTCCAGGAGACCCAGTTGTTATGGCTTACAATGCTTTACAGAACCAGCTCTCCCCCATGTGAGTCCTGTGCCCTTGCACTGAGACTGGCCTACAAGCCCTGCTTCCCCTTTCTCTCCTTTGCATTCCCTGTTGGAGCCCTTGCTGTATTTTGCTATCTGCCACGCCGAGAAACTCCCACACTTCCTGCACTTGGAGCTCAGGGTGCAGGCATTGGAGTCTGAACCCTCCTTCCGCAGTAGGCTCTTGCGTTCCTTATGTAAATTGATTCACCTTGTACACAGAGCCCTGCATTCCATGGGGAGAAATGACTTTAAGTAGATGCTGTTGAGTGAGTTTGAGAATGAGATTGCAAGGAGCAGAGTGGGACAGGGAGAGCCTGTCCGTACAGAAGGATGGAGAGTCATTCAGAGATGCACTATTGAGTTGGCCACTGCAAAAGGCAGTTGACTGCCTGACTTTGCAGACTTTCTGGGAAATCTATGGAATGTGTCTTAGAACTGTCCACCCAAGGAACAAAGTGGGAAATATCATCTGCTGGCTCCAGGTCCCACTGGTCAAGAGTGTCCTATGGGGTGTTAATTTGCAAGTCTGGAGTGAGGTGCTCTTCAGTTAGCTCAAAGCCTGCACAGAGCTAGTTGCTGCAGTAAAGGCTGGCATGAGAGGTGAGGCTGAGAGGATTCTAGAGACAGGCACCAGAGCAGCCCAATACCACCCTATACACACAGAAGATGGTGCCTGGCAAGGATGCCTACTGACCCTGCATTACATAACCAACCACCAAGTCTGCACTTCACAAAGAAGATTGGCTTCAAAGTGGCCACCAGTCTTTGCTTGAAGATGTAGCTGACACCTTCCTCTTGTACAGTTTCACCTGTACCTTCGTAGACTCACATATTCCCTAACTTAATCAACACTGTCACCCTGTTTAAAAAAAACCACTCAGACTTATACTCTGTATACTGACTTAAGACCTGACTTTCTTCTTTTACTTTGCTTTTTACTTCATAGTAAAGCATCCATAGTTCTCATGTGTGTCAAACTCTTGTGAATTTCATCATCAGTCACTGCCTGACATTCCTCGCATGGCACATAGTTTGAGAAAGGCAGTGCTATTCTGAACAATATTATGATAAACACCTTTTTACATATAGTGGTTTACTCTCCCATTTTATTGGTGGACTGAGAGTCTGATATGAATATACTAATCTAAAAATGTAATAATTACTGCATCTATTCATTTAAAATGAGTGTAGTGGGAAGATTTGATAACCACAACCATCCCTTTTTGATGAAGTTCAACTTATCCATTGTTTTCAAATATTGCCCTGTATGAGTTTGGTGCTACTTTTTTTCCCAGGAGGAGGGGCAGGAAAGAAGCCAAATGTCTCTCACAATAAGAAAAGCCCATCATCTGCAAGATCATCCTCAGGTTGGACAGTTCCCTAGAAGGATTCACAGAACAAGTTATGGGCTGTTACACTCACAGTTATAGTTTATTACAGTGAAAGGATGGAGATTAGAATCAGCCAAGGGATGGGGCACATGGGGCAGAGTCCAGAAGAGTTCCAAACATGAAGCTTGCTAATGTCCTCCTCCACAAACTCATGGACAGACTAACTTTTCCTAGTAGCAATGTTCAATAATACTCATGAAATACTGTCAATCAGAGAAGGTTACCTGAGCCTCAGTGTCCAGGGTTTTTTTTACTGGGGTTCGGCCTCATAGATCTGATGTTCTCACCTCCCTTCCTCTTTTGTTAATTGCCAGACAGCTGAGGCTCACTTGGTCCCCACCCCTTCCCACCGGAAGTCTCTTTGCCAGATGATGGTAGTGGTCAGTCCCTTCCCTGAGTTTTCTAGACCCCCCTTGACTAAGGAGCCTGATTAGTTCTTACTCTCTGTTGTGGTTACACGTGGTCAAGTTGTCCCCATGAATATGGGTGTACACTCAGAAGCCTGGGGCCTAAACCAGGATATTATGGCAAACCCAGTGTGGGTAAGTTTCCCCGGCCTGCCCTCAGATCAGCTGCTGTGGGAACGAAAGATTTATTTCTCCTTGCCAAGCTCTGGAGACCTCCCGGGCTACTCATTTTCTGTAAATGTGACAGGGTTGTAATCATCTAACATTAAACTATTCAATTAAAATGAATGTCAGGAAACGCCATCATGACCTGGCTTTGGAGCATTCTTTCAGCAATTCATTGGATCGACTCACTGGATATCTTTTCCTGCTTTAACCGTAACAGGGAAATTAAAAGCACATGGCAGCTCTCAGGAGTGTTATGCAATTTCAAATCCTGATTCACTTACTGGAGGTCTGCCTAGCTCATCAACCTGCTTCTGGGCTTACTATCTTTTGGTTGTATGCACTTGGAGGTCCTGATGGAAGGGGAAGACAGGGCTGCTTTGAAGCAGGGTCCAGGAATCTGGCTGGAGTGTGCTACAGGAACCCACAAAGGTACCAGCACTCACGTGGCCTCTCCTGCAGTCCTGGTCCCTGGCACAGGGAGAACTGCGTTCCTTTGGAATGTTTCACGCCCAAGATAAACTAAGCTGGAGTCATGGGGCTGCTGGAAGCAGCACACCCCAGTATGTTTTTCTCCTGAGGACAGCACCTCTGCCTCCAGTTCAGATGGTGCTGCGGGGAGCAAACAGAAAGTCTCAAAGAGTAACTTTGAAGCAGGGCTGTGGGATGGAGGTTTGAGCAAAAGCCCAGGAGAGGGGTCTGGGATTGCCTTACAGGGCCCACGTGTACTCAGGCATGAATTTTCCCAGGAGAGCTGAGAACTCAAGCTATCAAAGTGTGTCACTGTGAGGTGGCCTTTTCAGTGTGCTTCGTGTATCAGGTGTGAGAAAAGGACCAGGCTGGTGGCTGCGTGGAAGACAGGGGTGGAGGGGAGCCAGGTTCTTCAGGGGACAGAGATGGCCCAGGACGGGCTGGGCAGCCACGCCCACAGCAGATGCCTGGGAGGGGAGGTGGTGGGAACCTCTGTCACCTCTGCTTCAGCAGCAGCTCTGGGCACACCAGGGACGCCCTACCCAAGGAAGGAAGCATGACCCGGTGGTTGGAGCTGTGACCCCAGGCTTCTTGTCCCTTTCTGATTACAGATGGGGTCTTTGGCAGGGATCCAGAGCTGGCAGGGGCGGGCTGTGTATCTGTGTGGGTGCACACCCCGCTCTAAGACAGGACCTGCTTGCCTTTCTGGGCTACCACCAAAGGGGCAGCAGGTTCCTTGCAGGTAGCCATTTTAAAATAAGGCTTGCAGAAGGCAAAGGGACCCTTCCCAGCAGGAATAGTGGGGGTGAGGGTGGGTGGGGAGAAGCAGAAATGAGGACTCTGGCCAGAGCACCCACTCTACACTGGGATCCAAAAGGAAGTGAAACAGCGAGGGCAGGGAGAAAATGAGGTTTCTTCCATGGTGGCCTCCTGGCTTTCCTCCTCCTAGCCTTGTTTGTAGCTCCTCAGTTTATCTGGTCTCTTCTCAGATTCAGTTGCTGTTCTGCAATTTCACTTTTGTCAAAGACTGGAGGGACTCTGGCCCATAAAGCCATCAGTGGTGCTGACCAGGAAGCCCCCAGCTCCTAGAAGCTGAGTCAGCCTCATTCACTCCAGGGGAAGGATTGCCAAGGCACCAGTGCCCTCCCATGGGCCCGGGGTCTGGCCTCATGAATCCTCCGAAATTCATCCTCCCTGCACTCTGCCAGTGCCCCAGCCCATTGGCTCCTCAGGTCCCTAACTGTGGCCACCCAAAAGCAGTCCAGTTTGCATGCTGAGCCATCATCTGTCCTGGCACTGCCTGCCCCATCCTGTCACCTCTGACAGATCCTTTCTCTGATCTCCCAACAAGGTCTCAGATGTCTCCTGGCTTCAAACCTGCTGGCTTCTCCAGGATTCCCTGTCCTGGACTCCTGCCTAGGAGAGGTACCAGCTATAGGCCCCCTGTAGGAGTGCCCCCCTGCTCCACTCAGGACCACAGTCTTCCCAGGATCTTCTGGGGAAGCCCCATCTCCCAGTTACCACTGTTGTATAATAAACCACCTCAAACTTAGTGGCATAAACCAAGTATATTTTTCAACGGCCATGGATTTTGTGAACCAGTAATTTGGACAGAAGCCAGTGGGAATGGCTTATTCCTATCTCTGATGTCTGGGAAGCCTCAAAGGCTAGGGGACTAAATGGCTGTGGGATGGAGTCATCTGAAGGCTCATTCACTCATGTTGAACATTTGATGCTGGCTATTACCTGAGATCTCAGCCAGGGCTGTTAGCGGGAACACCCAGAGATAGCATCTCCGTGTGGCTGCTTGGGCTTCCTCACAGCATGGTGGCTAGCTTCCAAGCATGAATGTCCTAACAGAACAAAGCAGAATTTTCTGACCTTGTCTCAGAAGTCACATAGAGATAGGGATGTTTCTACCATCATCTGTTGGTCAACATAGGATCAAGGGGAGGGGAGAGAGATGCCACAATTTGATAGAGCAGTGTCAAGGCCATATTATAAGAAGAGCATGCTGTGGCCACATGTGTTGGTGTATTCTGCTTTGTTGAGACATAATTCACATAGAATAAAATTCACCAATTTTAAATTGCAGTCATTTAAAATCTGCATCTCAAAATACAGAAACAGTCCACCACTCCCAGGGGTCATCAGACCATCCACTCTGGCTGTCTTTGAAGAGTTTTTGGAGAGGTTTGGAACCAGCTATTGAGGTTGGCCAGGCCAGGTGTCCACGGACAATCTTTGTGGTGAATCAAAGCTCTCTGGTGGCCTCCCTTGTTCAGCACTCAAGAAACCAGTTTCCAAGCATGAATCTGTGGTCTATGAAGGTCTCGCAGAAGGCAGGCTGATAGGAGTACATGGTGGTGGAGGGGAGTGGGTGCCCCAGCCAGGAGGTTTGGCAGACAAGCTCTGTGCTGTGTGTTAATGTGGGCATTGACACTCATGAATAGGCCAGGAGGTGGGGGCACAGTTGAGTGTGTTAGTCCTCAGGGGTGTGCAGATCCTGGGTGGGCAAAGAGAATGGAAGTGCCTGGTACCTACCCCCAACACTGGGGGGTTCCTGGAGAAAATTCCCGAAAGGGAGATCCAGGGAAACGAGATTGGATATCTTGCTAACAAGTAGGTGGGAACTAAAACCACACAAATGTTGGAAGAAATTATGAACGTGACCCATTTGTACTCATCTGGGGGTAACAAAGCCTGGTGCAGTGATTGCACAAGCAGTTACTTCCAGAGTGGCAGGTGTCTGGCCAATGAGAATAGTTGTTAACAGCTACTGGGAGCTAATGAACCAGGTGCAGTTGGGAGCCCTAAGGCCGCATGAGCAACAGGTAAGCACCTGGACTCCAGAGCTCACTTGCTTGGTATAAATCCTGGCTCTGCCATTCATTTGCTGTGTGACCTTGGGCAAGGTGCGTTAGTCTCCTCATCTGTAAAGTGAGGTTGACATTAGCACTTGTAGGTCATGGGGAGGATTAAATGAGTTAAAGGCATGTGAGGTGCTTAGGATAGTGCCTGGCATGAGATAAGCCTATGTACGTTTTTACTCTCTGATTGTAAGAATTGGCTATTCTGATTCTCACATCAACTCAACAACAATGAGGCAGGTACTATTATCATGCCCACTTTATGGATGAGAACACTGAGGCACAGGGGCATTTTGCTTGTCTAGCATCACTGAAGGGTGGGACACAGGAGGCTGCCAGAGCAGAAGCCTCAAGGGAGGTAGAGAAAGAGGAGAGACTGTCCTTCCTGTAAAGGGAGCAACCTTTGAAAAGGCCCAGTGGTGAGCTGGAGCTTGGCATGCATGAGGGGACCCCTGTGGAGTGTGGCTGGGGTCTGGAAATTGAGAGTGGGTAGTGGTGAGACTGCGGTGAGAAGGTTGGCAGAGCTTCAGTAAGGTCACGTGCCCATCCACAGATGAACACTTACTGGGTTCCTATGTCCCAGGACCTGTCCCAGGTCTGAGATGCAAGAATGGGTAAGTCTGTCTCTTCTCTGAGAGGCTCTGTCAGTTAGGGGGCATTTGGCTGGAACTCTCGGGAAACTTAACAGAAGTGACTAATGAAGTGAAAGGGTTTTCTTCACATAACATAAAATCTGGAGCCATGCAGTACAGGGCAGACACAGCAGCTCAGAAGCCCTGGGGATTCCCCTGTCTTGTCTTCCTGTCTTTCTGCTGTGTCATCTTTAACTCATGGCTTTAGTCCTCATGATTGCAATATGGCTGCTGCACTCTGGACATACGTTTATGTTCCAGGCAGGAGAAAGGGGAGGAGCAAAGGACAAAAACAAAAGGCAGACAGATTTTCTGGATGTATCTCTGTTAAGAAAGCTTTGCAGAAAGCTA
This sequence comes from Homo sapiens, assembly GCF_000001405.40. NCBI lineage: Eukaryota > Metazoa > Chordata > Mammalia > Primates > Hominidae > Homo > Homo sapiens. The sequence continues at coordinate 123,926,602 of NC_000010.11, read as the reverse complement.
AACCGTTTTGCGTGGTCAGCTTAATTGAAAGAATATCTAGGAAAGTGAATAGTTTTAAAAGGACCACTGCCCTGGACAGAATTGATGTTCTCTAGCTCTAAAGAAGGGGAGAAAACATGTTCAGGAAGCAATTAGAAGCATTTGTCAGGCGAGTTCAGTTCAAGGGAGAGAGACACACAGATGATTCCAATAAACTGTGCTAGGTGCCATGGTAGAGGTATGCCCAGGGCACTGGGGGAACCCAGGAGGAGCATCCAAGCCACAGAGGAGTCCTCAGAGGAGGCAATATCCAAATTAAACCTTAAGGACAGTAGAGCTAGCAGAGGAAGAAGAGCAGAAGGTGGAGGAAACCATTTCCATGGTAAGACCCGGTATCGGAAGATTAGGTTATTGTTCCCACTTCTTCACTGCCTTGGTTTGGAATGGCTGGAGACTTACTTTGGCCAATGGCATGTTACAGACATGGCACAGATGCTTTGGTGCTGGCCCTCTGGCCCGCTTGGAATCTGCCATGAGAAGAGCATGTCATGGGTAACTCCTGTGGAAGAGGGCAGGCTTGGGACATGTGTCTCTGGAAGTCCTTCTAGCCCTGAGATCCTGCTATACTTTAAAAGCATGATATGCTTACATATGTTACTGAGATTTCACTGGAAATCAGTGAAAATAGGGCACTTTTGCCTAATGCATAGATCTTGGACCCTAATTTTTGACATGTTAAATTATTACAATTTTGTATGGTTGTATCTGGAAGCTCCATGAATTTGCTCATTGCTCTGTTGTTTCTAGAACAGAGCCTTGACACTTAGTAGGTTGTCACTAAATATTTGTGGAATGAATGAATGAATAACTCTTATAGTCTAGAGGAAAAAGTATACAGGTAAACAAGACAGAAACATGGTGTGGTAAGTGTGGTAGGGTGGGGGGATCCATAGTGTTGCAGGAATAACAAGCTTTACCTCATAATACACACAAGAGAGGCAAGAGATGCCAATTTTGTTGGATGTATGCAACTTACAAATATTTTGGCACAGACATAAGATTTCCAAGAGGATGTTTACAAATTAAGGTGTTTTAAAATTTATGCATTTTAATTAAATTCACTCTATTATGTGAAATTATTGTGGAAGCCACTATCTCTCCCGGTACACTAATTAGCAATCAAGACGGCAATGTGTTTTGCAGATTTAGCAAAGGCTGACAAAGGTGATCTTGGATTCACTGGAAAACAAAATTAATAAGTGTGTGAGATTCTTTCTAATAATCTCCACTACTTAATGAGGTCTGGAAACTTGCTGAAGAACTGAGCAAGCTTTCAAGCCTGAATTCTCTGTCTTTTAATTGAAAAAAATAACCAGTGGATAATTTCCTGAACTTCTCCCTGCTAGAAACATGTAAAACAGTGGAAAATCTAGCAGATTTAGGGCATAAATTGGGTCCAGGGACCACGTCTCTCTCCCTCCCTTCCCACCCCTCTGTGAATATATATAAATAAATCATTTGAAAATAATTTATGACTTATCATGACACTTTACCCCTAAATCATAATCCCTTAGCACTTACTTCCTAACAATATTTTCTTATTGTGATACAATAAAAATATATGTATTTGGTCTCTGTTCCTGGTTTCTGGCACAGAGCCCCTAAAACCTTTGGAATTTTCTCGTCAATAAGGTGTTCTAGGAGTGTCTTTTGTTCTAATAGGGGTATTTTGTTCTAATCAGGGTCTTTGACCCTGATTCCTGACACAGAGCTCCTAAATCCTATGGAATTTCCTGAGGTGATAGGGGCATGCTTTGTTCTAATGAGATGACTCTTGTTGGGCCCCCGAATAGCTTCAGGATGGAGTCTGGTTACCAGAAAGACCAAGCCAGGACTAGAGGCTTGGAACTTTCAGCTCACCCACCGCCACTCTGCATCCTCTGGGGAGGAGAAAAGGGCAGGAGATTGAGTTTATAATCAATCATACAAAAGTGATGAAACTTCCATAAAAATCAGAGAGCTTCTGGGTTGGTGAACACGTCCCTGTGCCAGGAGGGTGGTGCACCCCACCTCCGTGAGAACAGAAACTCCTCCACTTAGGACTCTTTCAATCCTCATCCTGTGTGCCTCTTCTTCTGGCTATTCATCTGTGTCCTTTACCATAGACTTTATAATAAAGCAGCATCAGAAACCAGGAAACCAGTAGGCATCTCCCTGAGTTCTGCAAGCCGTTAGAACCAACTATGGAACCTAAGGAGAGGGTCATGGGAACCCCTACACGGGGTCATTGTGGCTACGTCAGACAGAACTGTGGGTAACCTGGGGACCCGCTATTTGTAACTGATGTCTGCAGTGGGGGCAGTCTTGTGGGACTGAGCCCTTCATCTGTGGAGCCTGCACCAACTCTAGGTAGTTAGTGTCCTAACTGCATAGTAGAACACACAGTTGGAGTCTGGAGATTTGGTGAGCTGCTTGGTATGGAAAATCTGCACATTTGGTGTCAGAAGTGAAGTGTGTGTGTGAGAGTGTAGAAAGAAAAAGAGTGTTTTTCCCTTTTTACTTATATAACCACAATACTATTACTACACTTGAAAAAATAACAATCATTTTGACCTATATAATAGCTAGTGTATTAGTCTGTTTTCACACTGCTGATAAAGACATACCTGAGACTGTGATTTACAAAAGAAAGAGGTTTAATGGACTCACAGTTCCACGTGGCTGGGGAGGCCTCACAATCATGGCAGAAGGTGAAAGGCATGTCTCACATGGAGGCAGACAAGAGGAGAGAGCGTGTGCAGGGAAATGCCCCTTTATAAAACCATCAGATCTTGTGAGACTAATTCACTACGAGAATAGTATGAAGGAAACCACCCCTATGATTCAATTATCTCCCACTGGGTCCTTCCCACAGCATGAGGGAATAATGGGAGCTACAATTCAAGATGAGATTTGGGTGGGGATACAGCCAAACCTTATCATCCAATTTATGTTCAAATTTCCTCACGTGTCCTAAGAATGTTTATTTCTTTTTTTTTTTTTTGAGACGGAGTCTCGCTCTGTCGCCCAGGCTGGAGTGCAGTGGCGCGATCTCGGCTCACTGCAAGCTCCGCCTCCCGGGTTCACGCCATTCTCCTGCCTCAGCCTCCCGAGTAGCTGGGACTACAGGCGCCCGCCACCACGCCCGGCTAATTTTTTTGTATTTTTAGTAGAGACGGGGTTTCACTGTGTTAGCCAGGATGGTCTCGATCTCCTGACCTCGTGATCCGCCCGCCTCGGCCTCCCAAAGTGCTGGGATTACAGGCGTGAGCCACCGCGCCCGGCAAGAATGTTTATTTCTTAAGAGCCAGGATCCAATGCACACACATTACAGTTGCTTGTTATATCTCTAAATCTTTTTACATTTAGCATGGTCGCTCCACTTTTTCTTTTTCTTTTCCACGACATCAACTTTTTGAAGAACGCAGGCCAATTGTCTTTTAGAATGTCCCAGGTTCTTGATCTGTCTTCTTGTGTCCTTGTGGCAATTTTGCATGTTTTTCTATCCCTCCTTTTCCCCCTGAACCAGGAGTTAGCTATAGAGGCTTGAATAGATCTCCCTGGTGAAATACTTCCTAGGCGAGGGTGGAGACTGCATGGGACGGCCTCAAGCTGCTCCACAGTGAGTAATCTGTTCACTCGTTTAAGGTGTTGACAGCGACTTTTCCCTTTGTGATTATTCAGTTATCTGTGGGTGATACGTTGGCCTCGTGTGAATATCCTGTTTCCCAATAGTTTTTCAACCAATGATCATTCTGACCTGAATCAATTATTCTACTCAGGCTGCAACATGAAGTTCTTCCATTCCTCTTGGATTCTGCAGCTGGAGATGTTGCATAAAGAAGAACTTCCCTCCCCATCCCAAATTTCTGCCCACTTGGCCAAGTTCTCTCACCTCGCCGAGCCTCCTATGCTTTGGGGAATTTAATCTCAGCGCTCAGAAATGTTGTAGACTCAGTGAGACAAAATACAGTAAAGTTCTGTATTTGCTTATGCAAACTCAGGGGACTTGCCACAGGTGCAAGCTGGCTGGGTTGGCTGCTGCTGAGTGAGGATCACAAAAAATCCAGCACTTAGTCAGTGTTGCTTGAATGAATGAGTGAATACCTAAAGCACAGATATCCAAGAGGGACAGCATATATTTTTTTAGAAGGGCAAAATTGCATTACATCCAGAAACATTTTTACCCTTTTTGAATTAAAAAAATTGAACTTTATATGTTTGCCCTTATTCCCTTAGGCTCTGCTGGGCTCAGTGCCATACCTGTGGTTAAGATGCCAGAACTCACCTTTTGCTTCTTCAGAAATCACTATACCATGAAATTTCCAAAATGGGTAGGATGATGGTTCTCAACTGGGGTGATTTTGCACCTCGGGACATTTGGCAATGTCTGGAGACATATTTGATTGTCACAAGTGTGGGGCATGGGTGCTCCTGGTATCTACGGGGTAGAGGTCAGGGATGCTGCTCAACATCCTACAATGCACAGGACAGCCCCCACAACAAAGAAACACCTGCCCCCAAATGTCAATTGTGCTCAGGTTGAGTCCTGGAGTAGAACAAGATACATTCTTCTTTAAAGGGAACAGATTCAAAGGGTTGTGCAGGGAAACATGGGGAGGGATGGAGAAGAGCTAAGCAAAAGAAAGGCATCAGGCATCACACATTACAACTTTCATACCTCAGCTATCCCTTCTCTTAGCTCCTGAAAGAGTTGTAAACCAGGGATCTTTCCTCCTCAAAGTTGGATGTTGCCAGGGAATTGCAAACCTTTATTCTAAAACTCTAGGTATCCTGGGATTCTTTTTACCTCCCTAAATGTCTATAATTCCCTTCTTCACTCAGGCTAACAATGGCACATGTGGCTGTCTCTATTACCCTGTAGGTCCACTGAATTATTCAGCACACAGGTGTTTGAATCTGAGCCTCTGCTACCATGTCTATCATCTGGATCCTGAGCTCATGCTCCTTTGTTAGTGGTCTTTATTCCTTGCCTCTCATAGCTTGGATATTATACAGGGATAGGTGGGCTGCCAGCTCTTATCTTATTCACAGAACATCCCTTAGGCATTAAAATCTGCTGCTGCCATTTGAGGCTAGCTGTATTTTTTGTTTCTTTCTTCCTTTCAGTCAATGATTTTATCAATTGTGAAGCAGTGGTTACCACTAGCATATCAGAAGATTCTTTCCCATAAAGGCCTTTTTCTCTTTGTAAACAGAATTAAGAACTTTAAGAACTGTCAGGCAGGCCAAATCTATAATGTCTAATAATTTTGAACTTTAGATGCTTTTTTTAAAAAAAAATTGTCTTATGAACTTAGATAATTGGAACCTCATGAACATGGGTGAAAGCTGAAATAACTGACCATCTTCTTCATCTGGTGGGCACTCTCTTACACCTCCTCTCTTTAGAAAGAAATCTTCAAGAATATGCTCTTTTTCTTGGACTAAAATTGAGAGATTTATTCCACCCTTTTCCCTAACAACCTGGTGCATTCAGAAGTAACTTTTTTTTAATGTTATAAAAATGTTTGATCATTGTCTTCATCTGTTTTTTGTTGCTATAACAGAATACCACAAACTGGGTAACTTACAAGGAAAAAAATTATTTCTGAGAGTTCTGGAGGCTGGGAAGTCCAAGAATAGGGCACCAGCATCTTGTGAAGGCCTTCTTACTGCATGATCCCATGGTGGAAGGTGGAAGGGCAAAGTCGTGCATGTGAGAGAGAAAAAGAGAAGAGGGAGTCAAACTCATCCTTTTATAAGGAACCCACTCCCACAATAACTAACCCACTCCTGAGATAACAGCATTAATCCATTCATGAGGGCAGAGCCCTCATGACCTAATCACCTCTTAAAGGTCTCAACTCTCAACACTATCATATTGGGGATTAAGTTTCCAACACGTGAACTATGGAGAAACATTTAAACCCTAACAATTATCCACTGTCATTTTGGAAAATATTAAAAAATAAAATAAAAGGACAATTTACCAATAGATCTTTTTGCCAAAAGAAGTCACTAAAAACACTTTATTTTACTTCTACCTAGCTTTTTCTCTATGCATAGTATTTTTGGACATAATTGCAAGAACACTGTTTTTTAAATTTTGTATCATGATTTTTTAAACATTAGATCATAGGAATTTTTCAAAGTAATAACAAGCCCTTTGTAAAATAATTTTGCATTGTTCTTATTTTTGAAATCTGTTTTTAAATTTATAACTACTGGTGATAAATTATCTTAGTTTTCCTTCATCTGAATATATCTTTATTTCATTTGCTTTCATTCCTGAAGGATATTTTTGCTAGATATAGGAATTATGTCTTTGAGAACTTTAAAAATAATTTTCAATAATCTTTTGGTTTCCCTGGTCTTTAATAAGAAATGACACTGAGGCTCTGTTGATTTATTTTTAATCTTTTATCTCTTTATCACTGGGTAATTTCTATTGATCTGTGCCATGGTTTGGATATAGTTTGTTTGACCCCATTAAATCTCATGTTGAAATTTATCCCCTGCTGTTGGAAAAGGGGCATGGTGTGAGGTGTTTGGGTCATGGCAGTGGATCCCTCATGAAAGGCTTGGTGCTGTCCTTGTGGTAATGAGTGAGTTCTCACTCTGTTAGTTCCCATGAGATCTGATTGTTAAAAAGAGCCTGGAACCTCCTCCTCTCTCTCATGCTTCCTCCACTTCCTGAAATGTGATCTCCCCACCCTGCCTCCTTTTCACCTTCTGTCATGAGTGGAAGTTTCCTGAAGCCCTCACCAGAAGGAGATACCACTGACATCCTTCTTGTACAGTCTATAGAATTGTGAGCCAAATAAACCTCTTTTCTTTATAAATTACCCAGTCCCAGGTATTTCCTTTATTGCAATACAAATGGACAAAGCAACTTGTCTTCAAATTAACTGACTCTCTTTTGTCATTTTCATTCTGTTATTGTGCCTCTCTAGGGACTTTCAAAAAAATTCTATTTGTATGTTTCAGTTTTTAAAACTTTCCACTTGGTTCTTTCCTACTGGTTCTATTTCTTTACTGAGAGCTTGTAACTTTCTATTTGTTTCAAGAGTGTTCATTCTTACTTTATGGAGTATGGTTGTCATACCTGCTTTAAATTCTTTGTCTGATAATGCCAAAATCTGGGTTATCTTGTGGTTGCTGGGATGTATCTGGTTCTTAGTATGTTGAGTAAATTTAGATTGTATCCTGGATATTTTTGAATATTATGTTATCATGCTATGGGCACTGTTAAAATCTTCTGATAAATGTTGATTATTTCATTTTAGCAGGTAATCAAGCTGGTTAGGAATGGACCACAAGTCCCTGTGCATCTTTTGTGGGCCGGAGTTTCAATGTCAGTTTGATTTTCAAAGGCTCTGTGGTGCTATTTGGATATGTCCTGTGTGGGGACCACCCAGGGTCCAGTCTGGGTCCTGAGCAGTGGATGTACAGCAGTTAAATTCTCAAAGCCTTGTCTATGCTACTTTATGTCAGTTCCATACGTGCACAGCTCAGAGAGGAGCTGTGGGCTTCAAACAGATTTAGGGGCTCTCTTTCTTCAGCTGCCTCCTCTTCCAAATTTCTTCCACAATCTCCAGCTCCCAGTGGCCCCCTTTCCTGGTGCTCCAGCTGGGGTTTTTACCTTCCCTGTGTTTTCATGCACTCTCTGTGACTGGGTCCACTTTAGGACAAAATAGCTAGGAAAAAAAGAAAGAGGAGATAACAGACGTCCTTCCCACCTCACTCTTTGGACCACAGGGACCCCTTTTCCAGCTTCCTCTAGTCAGAGGAAATAATTTTCTCAGAATTTTACATGCTTGTATGGCTTCCATGACCACTGCTGCTGAAGGGGATCACAGCATCATGACTGGGGATTGCCTTGGGACAGGGCTGGAAGACTAAAAGAAGGGAAAAGGAAAACAAAATGCGGATTTAGCCCCAAGCTGTGCACTGCAAGAGCTGCCCTTCTGATTTTCTGGCCAGAAAGGGAGGATTTCTCTTGGAACTTATTCTGTGCACATAACATCTGCCACACAGTTCAGGATTTAGCTGTTCTAGTGTCTAAGCCAGGAAATATGAGGTGGGAGCACTCCAGGACACTCTGCTGGATCTGTATTTCTTCGAGTTTTTATTTCTTTCCCTACTCTGTTATTATTTTTCACAGTACTCTGATAGTTATTTTATATAGTCTGTCCTGAGTTTTTAGTTGTAACCAGTAGAAGAGATAGAGAGTAAGGTATACCTCCTAGCCAGAATCGAAACCTGCCAAGTTATTTTTCATGGCTGCATAATATTTCAGCAAGCACAAGGGTCATAATTTCTTGAAATTTCTCCCTATTCGATTTTAGGTCATTTCTATTTGTTTTCATTATTATAAATAACCAGTGAATATTTGTTTCCATATTAATAATTATTGTCTTACAACAGATATTCAGGTGAAATGGCTGAGGAAATAATAAATACCAACATATTTAGATCCCTGGGCTTCCTTCTGATTGGAATGCGCTGCCCATATTTTCTTGTGAATGGGTCCTTCTTGTCATTAACTCCTCAGGAGGCATGGACTCTCTCTCACACCTGCCCTACAGTCTTGAACACATCACCCTGTTTTAATTTCTTTATGTGTTCCTATTATAACATCATCCCTGACAATAGAGAGATCTGTCTCCTGTACCACTGTATCCCCAGCAGCCAGGACAATGTCTGGCACAGAGTAGCTGTTCAATAAAGATTTGTTGAATAAGTTATATAGCACAGTGTTGAGGCATGTGGGTTTTTAGTCAGGTGGTCCAGGTTTGAATCCTTTCTCAGTCCTGAAAAGCTGGCTGAGAGGTATAAATGAGACTGTACGAAAGCTCAGTGCCTAGAGTATGGCAGGCATTCAGGGAATATTAGTGCTTATGCACTATGAATCATCAACTTGCTACTTCTGTAAAATGGGGCTAGTAATACTTCTCTCCTCTTCAACATACAAAAAGTGAATGTTTGTGAGAGCACATGTGGTTGTTAGGTAGAAAGGTGCCATTAAAATCTGAGGCTTTACATCTATTATTATGTGTACAAAATAGCAAGAAAAACGTCAAATGAATTCTGAAGCCCATTATAATCTTCTATCAAGAGCAGCAGTTGGAAGGAAGGTTCTGTCCGCAGGCTCTCTCCAACTCCCTGATGTCTTTGCAATGTTTCATTTTGAAAGAAAGTGTTGAAAAAAGTCAGGCTGGGTGTTAAGAAATGACTATGTAATTTAATTATTTTTAATGACATTAAAGATGTTAGTCATTGTAACTTTCCTTCCTGTGCCTGAGCACATCAAAGCGGATCCTGAATTAGAAATGGAATAAAGGATCTTTTCTATGGGCGCCTCTAGAGAGATGTTAAGGGAGATTTGGGAACGTTATGAATATTTTGGCATCTGCTGATTGTATAGATCTATTTTCATCTCCTACTCTCTCCCTTTTTGCCTCAAGCTGAATGTCTATGCCTCCATCCAATCTCACTCAATTTCAGAAACACTAGGTCCGGCCTTCCCTCCCCTCCCTTCCTGTCCTGGCTTCCCCTCTGCCCCCCATCTCCCTATCTGTCATTCTCACTCCCTACTCACCCCCTCCAGCAAACAACTGGAATCAAGATGAGGATCAGAGCTGGGCGTGGTGGCATGTGCCTGTAGTCTTAGCTACTCTGGTTATCAAGGCAGGAGGATCGCTTGAACTCAGGAGTTCCAAGCTGTGGTGAGCTATGATTGCACCACTGCACTCCACCCTGGACAACAGAGCAAGACTCTGTTTCAAAAGAAAAAAAAAAAAGAGAGAGAGAGAGAATCAAATGGCAGAAGGTGGCTTGAGCTAGAGGAATGAAAGGATTCTTCAGATCATTTAGCCAGATCAAACCAACAAACATTAATTTGATGCCTGATGTTTGCCAGGTTCTGAGCTGAGGAAGAGAGAGGAACACAGTGTCCCTGCCCTGGAGGAGCCTGAGTTAGGGAGGCCAGATGCACGCATGGAAAGCTGAGCAGTTAGGGACTTCAGTCACCACTCAAAGGAGTGGGCTTAATGCAGTCAGAGACGACTGGTCAATGGCAGTGAATAGGAACTCCCATGGGGCTCCATGGAAAGGAGCACAGAGTGAATGGGGGTGGGGTGGGAGTGCTTAGCTAAGTGACTTGATGGCTCTGGTTTTCTCAGTCTTGCAGACCTGGACACAGAAGCCCAGAACAATCCAGAGCCTTATCTAGTGTATCATTCATCAGCGCAGAGTGGCTTCTCTATCCCAGGGCTCCTGGCCCCTACTCCATGGATCCTACCACCTACTCTCGCTTCATCCAGCTGCCTCTGATCCCACATATAATAGCATTTTGCCCCTAATCCCCTGGGATGCAATACAAGCTCACCAATGACCAACATAATGCTCCTAGGGCTGGGAATATTTGGTGGCTGAGATGCTTTCCACTCCTGTAGTAATTTGGGTTTGCACAGGTATTTTTTTTTTCTCCCAAAGCATAAAGTACAGCACCAAACTTCAAGCCTGAGAAAGAGCAGCCTTATGCCAAGTGCCCTGGAATCCACAAGCTTTCAAAGCTGGTGACTGTTTTCCCAGAGGGCACAGAGAGTCATGGCCAGGTGCTAGGTGCTGGTTTCAGGAGCAGAAAATTGCTCAAGGGCAGCAGAGGGCTTTGCTGGCCAACGTCAGGAGTATTCGGCGGAACTCCAGGGCTGGAGTGGGCAACAGCTTCCTGAGCAACCAGGACCAGGGACTGGAAAGTTCATAGAGCACTTTCTCGGTTCCCTGTCATTGTTTTCTCTCTGCTTAGCTTTCAAAATAATACATGAATGCGCACTATTGACCAACTCTGAGGATGTAGTGTGGATCAATCACAGACCTGTCCATAAGGAGCCATTGACCAGGAAGAAAGTTGACATCATACAAGGCAACAAACTAAGAAGAAATGATGAGTTGTCTGAAGGGCTCAGCAGATAGCTGAGATGGAGAATAATATGTGGGGCTTTTATTTTTATTTTTATTTTTTTTGACAATCTCGCTCTGTTGCCCAGGCTGTACTGCAGTGGCCCGACCTCCACTCACTGCAACCTCCACCTCCCAGGTTCAAGTGATTCTCCTGCCTTAGCCTCCCAAATAGCTGGGACTACAGGCGCCTGCCATCACGCCTGGTTAATTTTCATATTTTTAGTAGCGATAGGGTTTCGCCATGTTGGCCAGTCTGGTCTCGAACTCCTGGCCTCAAGTGATCTCCCCGCCTCAGCCTCCCAAAGGGCTGGGATTACAGCTATGAGCCACCGCACCCGGCCTACGTGGGGCTTATTTTGGATGGAGAGATAGGAGGAGATCTCCCTGCCATGCAGGGATGATGTGCAGAGTCAGATGTGTGAGGCAGGAGCAAGTGTGTGAAGGGCAGGGCGAGGACCTTCAGGCAGAGGAACAGTGAGTGCAAGGCCCTGAGGCAGGAAATATTTGAGAAACTGAAAGGATCTAGGCGGGGGAGAAGTGAGGAAGGCATCAGAGGAGCCGCGGGAGGGGAGGGGACCAGAGCAGGTCCAATCTCAAACCTCTTGGTAAGGACTTTGCATTTTATTCTTTGGGTGGGAAGAATCAATGAAAGGGTTTGAAGCAGATCCATTTGTTGTTATGAGCTGGCCCCTCTGGCTGCTGCGTGGAGAACAAATTGTCAGGAGGCAAGAGGGAATATGGGGACTAGTTAGGAGGCCGTTAATCAAATCCAGGTTGTCAGGGAGAAAGAGAGAGCATGGAGACTAGTCAGGAGGCTGATAAGCAAATCCGTGTTGAAGATAGTGCTGGCCTGAATGAGGGCAGTGAAATCTTGGGGAATCAGGGAAGAAAACAGATACATGGTATACGTTGGAAGCTGAATCTACGAGATGGGCTGATGGATGCTATGCTGGGGTTGAGCATTTAGGGCCCGGGTGCCAGGCTTCTGGCTTAAGTAACCATCCAGGTATAAAATGGTGTTGTTGGCAGAGACCAGGAAAACGAATCTGGGAAGGAAAATGGGGAGTTCACCTTTCGAGTGAAGTTTGGGACCTGGAGGCAGCATCTGAGTGGAGATGTCAAGGAGGCTGTCAGTCACACAGACCTGGAACACGGGACTTCTCTGCAAGAATTTAAAGCCACAGCAATGGGTAGAATGAACAGGCTTCCCTAGAGAGAGAAGGGGGAAAGCTGGAAGTGAAAAGGGGCCCAGACCCAGCGCTAAAGAACATGTACATCTTGAGTCTCAGAGAAGGAAGACGAGGCAGAGAAGGCCTGGTCAGGGCATTCCGGTATCCCAGATGGGAGAATGTCCGGGAAGGAAGCCATGGTTAATGTGCTCGATGTGGCTTAGAGATTAAGAAGTAGACTCATGGTTAGCTTCACAGAGTTCCCGGATGACCTTGGCAAGAGCTGTTTTGACCTTCAACTTGGCCATGCTCATTTCCTCTGCTTCTCAGGCACAGGGCAGGCTGGATCTCCTCCCAAATTGCATGCTCCATGCCAAAGAGGTCAAGCCACCAAATGACACTGACTTCCTGCCTTTAAGGTTGGATTCTGAAACCCCAGGGGAGGGAATGCGGTTGGCAATGGCCTGACTCTGGTGCTCACTCTGGTCCATCAGGCATGGTTCAGGGTCTGGGAATTATGTATTGCATAGGCTGTGGGCAGCTTCCAGCTTCCAGAGCCTGGGAGGGGGGTGCCTCCTGAGGAGGGATGGTGCTTGGAAGTATGCCACAGATCCGGTTAAACAGCCAGTCCACACCATCTTTCTTTCAGAGCTTTATCTCTGCGGACCTGGAGCTGCTGGTCACCATGGAAACAGAAGCTTTTGTTCACCACTTCCTCTTCTCTTTTTCTCGCTCCCCACCCCTCGTCTTTCCTTCCTCTCCTCACACCCACTTGCCCTCCTCTCTACTTTCTTTCCTCTATTTTTATTCCTAATTTTCTATCTCACTTGCCCTGATTTCCTCATCTATTTATTTAAAACTTATTTAAATTTTATTACGTAGCTTCCTTAGCCATCTTTAATTCCCTTTGTGGGAACAAGGTGCGGAATACATGCGTATATTCATTCAGATGTATGCACATACACACCTACGCACATAAACACACTTATGCAATAATTCCAGTGCTCTTTTGCCAAGCCAATGCCCCCTAAACAATCATTAGGGAAAGAATACAGAGTGGTGAGACATATATTCTAGCCTTGTTATTCACCAAATGCTACTTGGAGAATACATATTCTCTTTTGAGTTTATCCTGAGACTCCGCACTTGGATAAGGCTGCACTTCTTCGGCATATCTGTGTATAACTTCAAACAGCCAGGCTTTGACTGCTCCTATCTTAATAAACATAGCTATCAGTCATGTTTAGCTCAAAATACCCACAGCACATCTTTTATTTTATGTATATACACACAACCAATCCAGAATCTTCCAAGAATGCCTCTGCCAAACTCCACACTCATTAATCAAATCAAGGCAGAGAGCCCAGCAGCCTCCTAGAGTAAGAGCTACTATGCAGATTTAGAGCCCTTCATCTCTGCAGAGTAGAGCCCGGGGATCCATTTCCATCGCTAAGCACTCTTTCAGCAGAGAACTACCCGTGTGGATGAGCTTTGGAGGAGTCTGGAGTATGACTACAAAGAGAGGTAAATCCACAAGGTCTGGCAGTTCCTTCATGACCCTCTATACCTAGTTGGCAAATGAAAACAACAACAAAGTAGTTGAACCTGTTGTGTGGCTTCAGAGACAAAAATAACTGGATGGTTGCCTGGACTGAGGTTGTTTGATAAAATAAATTAACAGGTTGTGAGAATCACAAAGATGGAAGTGGGTGATTGATCAGAGCCCGGGATGAAAAAAGCTAAGTGCCTTTCAGAGCCTTCCTCCAGCCGGAGTGGAGAGGGCTGGGCGTGTTTCAGTTCACACTTCCATGCTCCCAATCCCTGGCAGTGCCTCCTAAATTAGCAGGCTTTGGGGTGAATACCCAGGAGGGCATCACAGATGGAAACAAGCCCTGGCCACCAGCCCCTCCCCTTCTTTTCCACACCGGTGCAATGTCTGGGAGGGCACCAGTCTGCAGATGCAGGGGTGGCCCAGGATGTGGAGCTGAGTCCCAGAGGGCAGCCTCTGCTGCCTCTCTCATGTGACCTGGGGAGAGAAATGCCAGTGCAACAGGCCTCACTTTTCTCACCTGTTCAGTGGGTTACAGTGGGTAGCTACTTAGGTATGAGCAGGGCAGGAATGCCTGCCCCCCCCCCCCCGCCCACCATCTGCACACTCACACACACACACGCACTAGGAGTGTTGGGTGACCATCATGTGATGGTCAGGCAGCTGTCAACTGTTTCTCTAAAATAATAATTGGTCACAGGCGCTGCCAGGGAAAGGCAGGCTCCTAAGAGAAAACACCTGAAACCGATCCGCAGCTTCCTAATAAGATCTCAGGAGTGGGGAGAGGGAATGCAAGATCCTGGAAGTATGCCAATGCAGAAAACCCCAGTCGAGAGGTCTAGCTGTGCACGTGGTTCCGCAAGTCACCCGCTTGGTCCTCTTCCAAGTTTGCCCCTCCTTCCCCCCTCCTTTCTGTTCTAAAGCTTTTCAAATAAACTTTCACTCCTGCTCTGAAGCTTGCCTCAGTCTCTCCTTCTGCCTTATGCCCCTCAGTCGAATTCTTTCTTCGGAGGAGGCAAGAATTGAGGTTGCTGCAGATTCACCACTGGTAACATGTAGAGCACCCCACCCCTGCAGGGTGGCAGGAATGATTACAGGAGACGGTGCTCACAGTGTGTGTTCAATGGGTGGCACCTGTAATCAGAGCCCACAGAGGCTCTGTGGGTGCCTTGGCATCACAGTGACATGTGAGCACCCATGTGACTTTCTGGAGTTTCATCTCTTGCCATGCCTCTGTTTCTACCTTGCTGAATCATCCAAGGTTTCCTGAAGTCTCTCAGCTTCTCTCATCTCTGAGTTTCTTGGAGCTGTTTCCGTTCATGGCCTCTTCACCTGGCTATTAGGTTGGTGCGAAAGTAATGGTGGGTTTTGCCTTTAAAACTAATGGCAAAACCCACAATTACTTTTGCACCAACCTAATCGTATTCAGCCTAGTTCTCATCTCCATCACTCTTTCCTCTGAGAAACTTCATCGATGCCCTAAGGCTGGGATAGGAGCCCCCTTGGGGCTGCCCTGCTCTGAGTGTCCTCAGACTGCACTTCCTAGCAGCTGCCGGGGGACCTGTCCCCTGGACCATCAGTTCTTGAGGGCAGGAGTCCCTCATACCCAGCATAGTGCATGGAATGTAACAGGTGCTCAATAAATACTTGCTGAACAAATTCCCAAATGAGAGAGTCACAAAACTAGATAGATCAAGAGAAACATAAGGTCTGTATGGGTTGAATTTTGTCCCCCACAGAAAGATATGTTGAAGTCCTAACTCCCAGTATCTATGAATGTGACCTTATATGGAAATAGGGTCTTTGCAGGTTTAATCAAGATAAGATGAGGTCCTTGGGATGGGCTTTAATCCAGGATGACTGCTGTCCTTATAAGAAGAGGGAAATTTGGACACAGACACAGACACACGAGGGGAGTGCCATGTGGACACACAGAGATCCAGACATAGCAGCACGATGGCCCCATGGAGGCAGAGGTGGAGATTGCAGTGATGCTGCCACAAGCCAAGGAACACCTGGGGCCACCAGACCTGGAAGAGGCAAGAGTGGATCCTCCCCGAGAGCTGGTGGAGGGAGTGTGGCTCTGTGGACACCTGGATCTCAGAATTCTGGCCTTCAGGACCGTGAGAGAATAAATTTGTGTTGTCACCCAGTTCTGTGGTGCATTGTTACTGCAGCCCCAGAAAACGGATACAGTCAATAATGAGGCAGAGACTTAGGTGCAGTTGGGTGAGCACCTGCATTCATACCTGTATTTCACACCAGTTATGCCTAACTCACTTATGCAAATGTCTAGTAACTGATGATTCTGCACCAGCCTGGGGCTTGTATCTGGGAGGGCACAATGAGGAGGTGCTGAGGTAGCCCTTGCTGACGGGAAGTGAAGAAAGCTGGGATGCAGTGGATCAGGAGAACTCCCCCTGGGAACTGCAACAGGGGCCGGGGGTGCAGTTCCGAGAATCTCTGCAGTGGGGGAGTGATACTAGGTTTGATGAATGCTGACAGGACATGAAAGGGTTCTGTCCGGGTGGAGGTCATGATCTTGGCCATTGATTTGACAAAGAATCCTACCTCCAGGGCCGCAAATGCACAGAACTGATTCCCAGACTCCAGAGGGAGAAGGAGTAAAAAAAACCTGGCCAGGTGTCCAGGCATTCAAAGCAAGGCACCTGTCTGGCATGGGTGAGCAACCAAAGGCTGAGTCGGGAGATGAGGCAGGTGTGCAGGGGCGCGAATGTGCAGGTGGGCCAGCTCGGTGGGGCTGGGTTCAGTGAGGGACATTCCAGCCTCTGTCTGCCATTATGGTCTGTGGTGGCCCCACCTGTCTATGGTGGCTGCACCTGCTCCCTACACTGTCTCTGTGGGTTCGGGCGCTGCCTGGCTGCACCCACCAGTACAGGTAGGTGGCTGTGACCCTGGCAGTCCTGGGATATGGAAGCTGGGCCACCTCTCTCGAGGGCATCTTTGTTTCCACGTGCATCAGCATGGAGGGACTAAATGTTGGCATGAGATTGTGTTGAGGGCACTGCTCCATGGCCCTCATGGGTGAACACATGACTGATACTGTTCCTGGACACTGAGGAAGCCCCAAATCACCTCCATTGTCTCTGCTTTGAGAGAACATGACAGGAAGAGGAGAGTGGTTATAGTTATCCTGCCTTCATTTTATGAAAGCATTATGACTTGTTGAAAGATGTTCCTTTGGGAGCTTTTACTAGCTTTCCATTTGAGTCATTGAGGGCTGACTGTCAACTTCTGCATTTGGAGAAGTGTTGACAAAGATTTAGTACCGTACAATGGAAAGAGAAATATTCTGGAGGCTTTGAACGGCCCAGCAAACATGAGCAGCCTGGGTGAACACAATTAGAACCCAATGCAGGGCTGAAGGAAAGCAGCGCCTGGCCGGGCTTCCGCTTGTCAGGTGGAGCCTTGTGGAATATAAATTATACAGCTGCTTTCCCTTGCTGGGCATGGCACTAGTTAATTACTCAACACAGATTTTGGCAAAGAGTGTTCTTTAAAGAAAAAAAATTAAGCCTTGTGTGGACTGCAATCGGGATTTATAGAAACATAGGATTCAGGAGGTGGACTTGCTGAGGGCGAGTCCCCCCTGCAGGCCCTGAAGACCTGTTACAGGTGGGATGTGGGCTGGTAGTGTACTTTCTGGAGATCTTTCCTGGACGCTGAACCTCAGGGTGGAGGGAAGCCCGTGTCCCGAGCTACACGAATCCTGCTCTTATACTGTCTTGTGTGGGATCCGCTATGCCTGAGGTTGATGGCAGAGTGTGCCTGTGCCCAGCCAAAAGCTTGAACCTACAGCTTCAAAAGGGCAGAATTGCCTCTTAAAAGGTCAAGTCAATGCATTAGGTTATTACAAAGTATTCACTTAAATTTAGTGAGAGTTAACAATGAGCCTCCTGGCTTGTGTTTACAGCTTTAAATCTTTTTTTTTAATTGAAGATATAAGGTACTGTTAGCAAAATTTACATAGAGTGAATTAGATGTAAAGTGTACAGTTTGTTGATTGTACACTGCTGATTTATAGATTGTACATTTAACAAATGTATAATGTGTACCTGAACCATGATATGGAATATTTTCTTCACTGCAGAAGGTCTCCAGTGCCCTTCTGCCATTAAAAACCTCATGGCTGTTTAAAGCTGCAGTGAACTTGAACACATGGATAGATCCTGCCCACCTCCAGCTGTTCTGGAGAACTCTGCTCAGTTGTCTGGTCCCTGTGCAGCCATTCCTGGTACCCCAAGCAGATGGACCAGGTGGCCCCTCTCCCCACACCTGTCTCCTTGCCCCGAGCCCTCCATGGTAGCCTTGACCTCCTGGGAGGGTGGTCCTCATCTGCATGTCTGTCTCCCTACTAGGCTGCAGATTGAGTCCTTGTGGCCGACTTCCCAGAACCTGCCCGGGGTCTGGCTCTGGCATGAGCTCAGCCAGTATTTTCTGATTGAGTGATCGAATGAAGAAACTTGCAGGTGATCTGGCTTATCTGCAAACAGGATGGTTTCTGCATTTGGCCTTAGCAGAGAGTCTCTTGTCAATAGCTGCTGCTCAAGCTGTAGCCTTTGGAATCTAAGTGTTCTCACTTCCTAGTCTTTCTCCAGCAGAAGTCCCCTGCACAAGCCCCCACCCCATCCTTTCCTCCTCTCTCCTTCCCACCTGCGGCCACTCCAGGACGTCCTACTGGTGCTACCCCTAACAGTGGACTTGAATCTGTCCCCTTCTTCCCTTCTCCACAGTCCCTGTCCCATCCCAAGTCACCACTATCCCTCCCCTGCACAAGCCCCAGACTGGTCTACCAGCATCCCCACTTTCTACCCAATCCTGAATATGGTCCTTGTCACATCTCTCCCCTGTTTAAAGTCTCCTATTGAGTCCTTGCTTCCTCCCTTCCTTTCTCACTTCTTTCATTTCCTTCTTCCCCTTTTCCTTTCCTCCCCCTCCCTTCCTTCCTCCTGCTTCCCCTCTCTTCCTTTTTTCTTTTTAAAATGTTTATCAAAAGCTCTGTATGTTTTGCTGATGTATTGCCTGGTTTAGCACAATCCCCCTAGTCCCCACACTAGAAAATAAGCTCCATGAAGGCAGGGATGGTGCCTTCAGTGTACATCTGGGTGGGCGCCTTGCGGGGTCCAGTCCCTTTCTTGGCACCAAGGAGATGCTATTTGATGGGCACATGAATGAACTTGTGGGAGGGGGGGCATCTATGTTTCTGTAATGGGAATGATAGAAGACACATTTTAAACTATCCCCCAGAAATGTCAGAGCTTTTGGGGAACCTGTAGCCAGTTTCTAAGAGAAAAATGCACAGGATGGTGCCGTGTCACCTAAGTGATCCCCAGTAGGGTCAGGGTGGGACTTGGGGTGGGGGTGGGGGATTGTGCTGGTGACCACATCCTCCCTGTGCTGCGGGAGGGTGGGTAAGGACGCTGCGAGGGCCCCGCCCAGCGATGCCGCTTCTCTGTGTGTTGTCCTCCCCAAGTAAATGCAGTTTTAGGATAACATTGCATAAAGCACAGAAATGTGAGAAAAAGTAAAATCTGACTTGAATAATAGTCTCTCTTCTAATTACAGAAAGCTGTGTGGTTTGAAAGGAACAGAGTTTTCCATTAAGAGGTCTCTAAAAATAGTCTTTGTGAGTTGAACTGCCTTCTCCAGTTTCAGCCTGAATGTTAATTACACTAGCAAATCGTGTTGGCAGCAGGAGCAGGTATGTCTACCACACCGCTGTGGCAGTCTCTCGTAAACACTCGGTGCTGATGGAAGCCCTCCTGGAAACTCTACTATTTAGAACACACATGCACACACCGTGCTTCGTGTTTCCTAAGGTGCCTCTCAGCATGAACTTTGCATCAAACTTGTAGGGCAGAAACTCGTAAATCCTTTAGGTGAACTTCAGATGGGTAGCAGGCATCCACCAGGCAGCTTCTGGGCAGTTGGAAATTTCACCTGAAGAAGACAAGAGCTGGTTATTGCAAGGGAGGCAGCCAGACATCCACCTGGAAAGCAGCAAAGACATCCTCCCTAATCTCTTGATCCGGCACAATTTGGGGGTTGCTTTCCATCCTGGTCCTTGGTTTGGGACTCTGCTTTCTCTCCTAAAAGTGCATGGGGATGGCTTGAATCCTGAGGCCATGTGAGAAGTTTCTTGCATAGATTTCCTGTCTTTGGAAGGCCCCAGATCTTTTGGAGCCAAGTTTGGGGGTCTTCAGGGCACATGAGGCGAAATGAAGTATTTATTTCTGATTACTTTTTCAGTTTGGCATTCCACAGTGAGGAATTTGCAGTTTAAGTTTTATGAAGTGTTGCAGCTTCTGGATTTAATTTAAATTTTATTCCAATATCATGCACACATGCTCAGAACCTCAGAGGCAGCTGAGTGAAGCTGACATGATTTATAGCAAGGGTGTTTGGGGAACAGTGATTTGGCAGATCCATTAAGATCCCGTAGCTGTCTGGAAGAAAGGTGCTGTATCTATGAGAGTGAGGAGGCTACTGTGGGTGAGGAGGAGGAGTGAGCTGGCCTTGACTCAGCATTGGGCCTGACATTTACGTAGCGTTTCATTTTGTGAAGCACCTTGGTTCCATCTCTCTTCTAGGTAGACATTAGTGTCTCATTTTATAGATCAGGACACAGAGGCTCAGTAAGGTTAAAGAACGAGGTTAGCCTGTAGTGTGCCCATGTTGCCCTTCGGTCACATTTCTGAGGACTTCTGGGATGAAATGCATGGACTTGGGGATCCGGAGTGGGAGATGGGTGCAGGAGCAGACAGGGGGAGGCTTTCTGGAGCTGGCAAGGCTATGCCTGGCAGTGGGATGTGAGAGCAAAGGTGCGGGCCATGTGGATGACCTGCCCCCACTTCAGTACCTGGGCGTCACTGGCCGAAGGAAGAGTGGACAGACCGTCGGGAGGTGGGGCTTGGCCTGTTCACATAGAACCCGAGAGCCAGAGCTCGGGCTCTGGACATCAGCCTCAAGGTGGCCTGGAAAAACCACAGGGCTTGAGCGTGTCTCCTGAGGGGGAGATGGCAAAGGCAGCGTTTCTGGGTGAGGAGTCAGAACGCAGGAGATGGAGGATGACTGGGTGAGGGTGGGGTGGGAGGCAGGAAGGCGAGAAACAGAAGAAACTACAGGCAAGAGGGCTGGGAGGGGACCCCCAGGATGGTCTGACCCTGGCATCACAGAGACGGCTTCGTGAATAGGGAGAAGCTGCGTGGGAAGGAGCAGTGGGAATGTACGGTCACATTAGGTGGGAGGCAGCCTAGACCCAGGGGCCAGAGGAGGTCTGGAATCTCTTGTGCTGGGTTGGGCCATCCCTCGGTCATTGGCATCCTCTGCCCTGGACTGAAAGCTTCAGAGCTGTGGTCAAGCTTTATCAGAAAAGTCAGGGGCTCAAACGGCAGGGTCATCTGTCCAATGCCCGGATTGGCAGATGGGACAGCTGAGGCCTTGAAAGCCTCAGGCAAAGAGAGTGGCATCCCGAGAGCCAAAGTGGCTCCTTGTCCAGTGCTCTGTCCCTGTGCTGCACTATCTGAGACCATGGCTTTATCAGAAGGTCACACCATCCCAGCACAGAATCCAAGCAGGGCAGTCAAGCTGCTCGCGGAAGGCCTTTCATTCTGGAAGCACTGCCTGCAAATGGCCCGGCTCCCAGGCTGTGTGGCGGGGTTCATTCTTTTCTCTTCATTTCCTCTTTTTCCTTGCTGAAAGGCCCACATTAGAAATAGCCTCACTTGGGGGTATAGCTCAGCGGTAGAGCATTTGACTGCAGAAATAGCCTCACTCAGGGAAGCTCCACTTGGAATGCAAGCGCCTGGTAACAGGTGGAAAGTCCTGCTCTGTCCTTGTCTTCACGCATTTTCCAGCACACCTGCTACCTGCCACCTGCCTGACCCAGCTCCTGTCACAGGGTGAACCTCACGGACTTGTGCTTCACAGAGCACAGGAGGCTGATCCCTCACTAGGATGCAGGTGTGATGCAGAGCTCGGGCCCTCCAGGTGGGTGGGTGGGATGGGGAGGTCACAGAGGTTGGGGAAATGAGGGAGGGGCTGACATAACTAGAAGGAAGTGGTAGATGGGTGCTGGCAGAGGGGAATGCCTGATGAGAAGGTAGGAGTGCTGGATGTGTGAATGCACAAGAGTGTGATACTGAACTTGGCCAGAAAAGGAGATTCATGAATAGCAGAAGTGACAGGGAGTTTGGAGACACACGTTCAGACCAGGGTTTGGGAGAGCTCTATGGCAACCTTTACTGAACCCTCGCCCCATGCCAAGCATTGTGCTAGACACGGTCATAGCTCAGTAATAAAACACTTAGGAAGCTGACAGTGATGATGGGAATAATATAATTTGGCCCCCTGACGTCGAGGCCCTGATCCAAACACTCTGCATGTGTTAACCTGTTTACTCCCCACAACTGGTCGGTGAGGTGGGAACGATTGTTATACCCACTTTCCAGATGAAGACCCCAAGGCACAGAGAGGTGAGGTGACTGCTCCAGGACATAGCTGTGGGCAGCTGAGCCAGAACCTGCAGGGCCCACCCTCTTACCCACTGCGCCTGCGTGTCCCTTACTCAAACATCAGCACAATCGGAAAGAAGTGGCCCAGTGGAGTGTCTGCCCCGAAGGGAAAGAACAGGCTGCAGAGCCAGGAAAGAGGCAGGAAGAGTTAGTCCTGATTGAGACAGAATTTTCCAGAAAGGGGTCTCCGAGGAAGTAACATTTAAGCTGATATAGAAAAGATAAAAGATATTTTATTTATGTAATAAATAACTGGGAAGGTTTTGTTTGAACAAAAAATGGTATACTGGTTTTAATTGTTAGGCTCTTTTCATTTCACTTTCTAAGGCTCATCTATGTTTTTCTCCAAAGAGGGAGCTGAGCGTTGCATTGGAGGAGATGGGGTGAACTCACACAGCTGGGGCCGTGTGGGGGCTGGCAGGAGGGGCTCATGTCTTGGCCAGGCAAACCCACGCCAGAGTCTGAGAGCTTCCCCCAGCACATCTCCTATTTCTGTCAGGTTACAGCTACGCCTGGCAAACCTTGCTTCATTTGAATCTCTCAGCTGTTTAAAAAGTTAATTGGTTTGGCTCCACTTTTTCCTCCTTTGAGAACGAGATCTGTTGTAAAATTTCAAGTGACTGTGCCAACTGGGGAATGCTCTCTGCACATTACAAAGTCCCTTGGCCTCCCAGCCTCAGGACTCCACCAGTGTGAGATGAGGAAGAACCATGCCCTGGTCTCATGGGAATGAGAGTCCTCTTCCCCTATCCCTGAGAGGACTTCACCCATATTAAGGCAGGGACCTAAGGACTGGCTGGAGATGGCAAAGGTGGCGGGACAGGACAGGTGGGTACCCCAGATCTCAGCTGAGCCAGGAGGCCAGGAGAGGACACTCAAGAGGAAATGCAGTCCAGGCCATGTGCATTTTGAAAGTCAATTTCAGTGCATGATTGTTTATTGAGCACCTACTGTGTGCCAAGCACTGGGATAGGCTCTGAGGATGCAGAGAGGAATCAGACTTTGCATCCTGCTCTTAAGGTCTTTGCATCCAGCCATCCAACTCCAACCAGCATTTACTGAGCACCTTCTGCATGCAAGAGGGATGCCAACAGCCCTGGAGGAGGTAATTGGGTAGCAGGGATCCCTCTGTGGCCTAGGCCCAGGACAAGGTACTCTGTGTCCTATGGCCAGGACAAGGTCCTCTGTGCCCTATGCCTAGGACAAGGTCATGAGGGCTGGGAAAGCCACATTAGGGGAGCTGTGGGAGCCTGGGAACAGGGACACAGGACCTCACCCGCTGCAATCATGGAGGGCTCCCCCAGGAGGAGGCGTTAGAGTTGGGCTTCGATGTGCAAGTAGGTGTTTGCTGTGAAGGGAAGTGCCAGAGGGTACTCCAGGTGGTGGCAACTATGTCTGCAAAGGCAAGGCACTGACAAGGGAAGAATGAAAGGGCACGGTGGGGAGGTGGCCTTTGTTCTCCAGGCAGTAATGAGCATGTGCTTTACACTGACAGGCTAAGACAATCATCATGAAGAATGACAACAGCCGCGAGCCTTTCCTGAGTGTTCACTCTGTGTCGCGGTCTGAATGTTTGTGTTTCCCCTGTCAAATTCATATGTTGAAATCCCCAACCCCAAGGCAATGATATTAGATGGAGCTTTGGGGGAGGTGATTAAGTCATGAGGGAGGAGCCCGCATGAATGGGATCAGTGCCCTTATAAAGAGGCCCAAGGGTGCTTGTGTGCCCCTTCCAGCATATGAGGATGCAGCGAGGAGCTGCCATCTGTGAAATGGGCCCTCACCAGACTCCGAATCTGCCAGTATCTTGCTCTTGGGACTTCCAGCCTCCGGAACTGTGAGAAATGAATTACTGTTGTTTATAGGCCCCCGTCTATAGTATTCTGTTATAGCAGCCCTAATGGACTAAGACACTATATGCCAAGATTTACTCTAAGCTGTTACATGCATTATTTTATTAAATTCTCACCATAATTCTCTATCAGGTTAGGACAGGATTCCCCCACTCTGCAGATGTGTAAACTAAGGCTAAGTTGGTGAGGTCAGCCTGCTCTAGGCTTTCCAGCTAGCGTGGGAAGAGTCAGAATGGGAGGCGCTCAGGCCCATGTCAGATTACTCCCCTGGGTAACCTGCCTGTGAGCTGCATGACCTCGCCTGGCCCACTCCAAGTTCAGAAAACCCCATTTAGAAGCTCTTTATATACTGAAATATAAAATTTAAACACTTCCATATTTGACACCCTTCACCCCCAATAAGAGCAAAAATGCTATTTTATCCACTATAGTTTGTAAGCTTAGGTTTGAAAAACATTTAAACATTTTATCCAGGTTGCGACAGTGGTTACTTCAGTGGGATACTCTGCACAAAAGTTCTCTGGAAAACAGTTCGGAGGAAAGAGACTTCATTCCAGTGAACAGTTTGCAATTCAGGCAAATGAAAAATTCAGCCCCGCTTACCTCCGAGTGATGACACAGCTGAGTTCTGATTGGTCAATATAACTGAGCCCTGATTGGTCAATACAGCTGAGCCTTGATTGGTTGATACAGCTGGTCTCTGATTGGCACAAGCAGGTGAACTCTGATTGGTTGGTTCAGGTGCTCTGTGAAAGTCCCGAAGTTAAACAGAGGTATTGTTTTTCAGGAACTCAGAGTTATGTGTGTGACCTCTCTACTCAGCAAATGGCCACTTGACTGTATTTTAAATTTTGGCTCAGTTAGCCAGTGGTGATCCATCTTGAAAGATTGGCTCTTTCAGGTTCACATTTGTTCACAATACCCAAAGCATCAGATATTTGAACTTGAAAGTTAACCTTCTCAGAAACAGAAATGGTTTCTTAGCTACCAAGCTTATAATGCAATGTGAAAACTTGCCTTCATTTGCATAGGGGAAAACACACACACACACACACACACACACACACACACACACACACACAAACTTGCTTGGATGGAAGGAAAACAAGGTGTTTGCTGCTCCCAGGAGCTCCTTCTCTGTTATGCCTCAGCCCTGGAAAAACACTGGGTCTCAGCATGTGATTTACAACTGGAGCTAGTCAGTGAAGCCCAGGTGTGAAGGAACGATGCCAAAGCTCTCTCTTTTTAAAATTGTATTTCCTGATTGTGCCCCTAAGGGTAGATGTAATTCAATTGGATTTAAACTACTATGCCTCTGCTTTGATGTATGTTCAGTATTATGATCTCAGGTAATTGCAGCTTGAGAATTAGTGATCTATTTTTCTTACTGTGTAAGGGTATTTATATTACAAAGTCCCTGGAGGGCAAAAGGACATATTAGAAATGCTTTTAATACATTGCATTTGTTTGCTTATTCTTTATGTCTCTTCCTAAAAGCAATCAGAAAATTATAAAAGAATAAAATGTTAATCCTCTTTACCAGATAATTAGTGTGGGCTGACTCTAGAATGAAATGCCATAAAAAAGGATCGATTCATTCAATTCAGTAGAAAAGAAAAAAAAATCTGTTAGGTTGGTTTTGCCAAGTCTTACTTTTTCAAACGGTAACATGTAGAAATTGTTTCAGTGACTTGTGTCCTGAGTTAATGTAATATTCTCTATTGGCACAAGCATTTTAATAAAAAATGCTTTTCAGCTAAACTTATTTTAAATTTATTTTCATTGGACTCATAATCTTTTATGTCTTTTATATAAACCTTTAATTATGACAGACACATGTTTGGGAATGTCAGGAGCATGCGTCTGCTCTCCCAGTGGGTGGTACCCATCTGAATCCTCACCAGCAGTGCTGGGGTGCCCCAAAACTCCACACCGTCATCAACACTTGACACCATCCAGCTCTCTGATTTTTGCCCAGCTAATAGTTGTCAGATGACACCTCTTCATTTAAATTTGCATTTCTCTGGTTACTAATGGCTTTGAGCATTTCTTTATATGTAGTTAGCCTTTTGAGTTTTCACTTCTGTAAATAGCCTGTTCATAGCTTTTGCCCATTTTCCTATCAGGAGTCCGCCCTTTCTTCCTTATGTATCATGGATATTAATTTTTTGGCCAGGCGTGGTGGCTCATGCCTGTAATCCCAGCACTTTGGGAGGCCAAAGCAGGCAGATCACTTGAGCCCAGAAGATTAAGACCAGCCTGGCCAACATGGTGAAACCCCTTCCCTACTAAAAATACAAAAATTTTCTGGGCATGGTGGCAGGTTCCTGTAATCCCAACTACTAGGGAAGCTGAGGCAGGAGAATTGCTTGAACCTGGGAGGCAGAGTTTGCAGAGAGCCAAGATCACGTCACTACACTTCAGCCTGGGTGACAGGGCGAGACTCCGTCTCCAAAAAAAATTTTTTTTGTTAGACATTGCAGGTATTGTCTCCCAATATGTTATCTGCCTGTTCATTTTGTTCAGTGTGTCCTTTGTAGAACATTAATCTTTTATCTTGATATAAGTAACCTCATTAATTCCTCCTCTTCTTATTTTTGCCTTATGGTTTGTGCTTCTGAGGTTTTTATTTAACAAGTTTTTCCTCATCTCTAGGTTACAAAGATATGTTTATACACTTTCTATTATTGTTATGGTTTCACTTTTCACATTTAGTTTTTTAATCCATTTGGAGTCCACTTTCGTGTGTGGTAAGGATCCAGTTTTAGTTTTTTCCATATGAGAGCCAAGTTTCCCAAGGTCACATGGTAAAGAATCCACCTTGATGTGTAACATTCTCAGTCTTCCCTTCCTTCCCCTTCCTCCCAGGGTCTCACTGCGTTGTCCAGGCTGGTCTCAAATTTCTGGGCTTAAGTGATCCTCTCACCTCGGCCTCGCAAAGTGCTGGGGTTAGAGGCATGAGCCACCATGCCCAGCAAGAATTGAATCTTTGATCCCAAGTTGCCCATGCAAGAGCATAGGTATCTTTCCATTGTTCAGGACATCTTTAAACAGATGCTGTATATTATGAACTGCTTTTCTAATTCAGATAATTCATTGATTTAGATAATCATACAACCTTTTCCTTTTGATCTGTTGACACGATAAATTACATAGGTCGATTTTTCTACCATTGAACCATTTCTGTATTCCTGAAATAAAGCCTACTTAATTATACTTTATGGATTTTATGTATAATTTATGGATTTTATGTATACTTTATGTATTTTAAAAAATAAGCTATTGGATTCAGTTAGCTAATATTTGACTTAAGATTTTTAGTGTCTATATAACGAAATGAGCCTTTTATATTCTTTTCTAATAATTTCATTCTCTGGTTTTAGAATTAAGATTACATTAGCATAATAAAATTATCTAAGTAGATTTCCCTCTTTTTCTATTTTCTGTAAAAGGAAACTTTCAGGCCGGGTGCGGTGGCGGGTGCCTGTAATCCCAGCACTTTGGGAGGCTGAGGCAGGCAGATCACCTGAGGTCAGGAGTTCGAGACCAGCCTGGGCAACGTGGTGAACCCCCATCTGCGCTATGAAAAAATACAAAAACTTAGCTGGGCATGGTGGTGCATGCCTATAATCCCAGCTACTTGGGAGGCTGAGGCAGGAGAATTGTTTGAACCTGAGAGGTTGATGTTGCAGTGAGGCAAGATCGTGCCATTGCACTCCAGCCTGGGCGACAAGAGCGAAACTCCATCTTAAAAAAGAAAAAGAAAGAAAGAAAACTTTCTATAAGGTGGGAATTTCAGCTTTTAAAAAAGTTTAGTAAATTCAACTGGAAAATTGAAAAATGATCTGGAACTTTTGTTTGTTTGTTTGTTTTTGGAGACAGAGTCTCACTCTGTTGCCCAGGCTGGATTGCAGTGGTGTATTATAGCTCACTATAACCTCAAGCTCCTGGGCTCAAGTGATCCTCCTGTCTCAGCCTCCCAAGTAGCTAAGACTACAGGTGCACATCATCACTCCTGGCTAATTAAAAAGATATATATATTTTTTTGAGATAAGGTCTCACTGTGCTGCTCAGGCTGGAGTTCAGTGGCTATTCACAGATGTGATTATAGAGTACTACAGCCTTGAACTCCTGGGCTTAAGCGATCTTCTTGCCTCAGCCTCTCAAGTAGTTGGGACTACAGGTGTGTGCCATTGCGCCTGGCTTAGAATTTTTTTTAATAAAGATTGTTTGACGCCCATTTTAATTGATTTAATATTATTGGTCTGTTCAGGTTCTCTATTTTTGTGTCAGCTGTAGCATTTTATATTTTTCTAGGAATTTATTAGATTTTCAAAGTCATTAGGTTCATTAGTTTATTATATTTTTAGTCTCTATCCTACCAAGTTCAGTGTCTCTTGTGTGGTGGGGAGAGGCAGAGATGTTCTCTTGCAGAAACATCAGTGAGACCCCTGGCGTGGAGTCTGATTGCCCGACAGCAGACTACAGGTGTGGGAGGTCTCTCCCAGCCCTGGGGCCTCATAGAGTGTGTGGACCAACTGCATTTGGCACTGCTGTTTCAGAGAGCCCCGTACCTTGACTGGGAGGATAGAAAGAGGGATGCCTGAACTCAGACCTTCCAAACCCTTGCTTCTGATTCTGGGCCAGAGCATGGCAGCCCTGCCCATGTGGCAGTGATGAGCCGGGGGCCGGGGCAGCATCTTCCTCTGCTTTGCTTCTTGGCTTCTCACGCTGAGTTCCTCTTCATGCAAATCTCAACTCCATGAAGATGATTTTGCTTCTTGTCTTTCGGGCTTCATGCATTAAGTGACCACAGAAGCAGCTCCAGAACTTCTAAATTTAAAGAACTTAGATCTTGAGCACTCCTGATGGATGGAGAGGCTTGAGATTTACTGGAAGCTAAAGCCACCCCCACCCATGACCACCCCAGTGTGCCCATGCTGCACCCTGACACACTATGCCACTCCGCCCAAGCTCATCTCGGGTTGCCTGATGGGCCACAGTTCCCTTTGGCTTGAGACTGTAACATGAGTGATGGAGGCAGAAATTTTGGAGTGAAACAGTTGGGGGTTCAACTGACTCGATCATTTGTTAATTACATGACCTTCAGCAAGAGACTTAGCCACTTCTAGATTCCTCAGCTGTAAGATAGGGGGAGCTATTCTCCCCTCACAAAGCTTTGGGAGGATGATATCAGTCAGAGACCCAGCAGGAAACAGAGGCACACACAGATGACAGGTGAATTAAATGAAGTGCAGAGGTGTGGTCAGGGATGTGGAGACAAACAGTGATATTGAGGCTCCCGAGACTAATGAGTGGAGGCTCAGTCTGTGAGGAAGTCATGTCCCTCCATAGGACTGCAGGGCTAGAGTTGAGGAAGTGGGTTTCAGGGAAGCCCAAGGATCCAGCCACCACTAGGACCCCTGGGCCAAAGTGGGTGGGGGGCATGGAAGGGTGGGGGTGGGGGAAGGGGATGAAATACCCAGAGCCCTTTCTCCTCACCTTCCTATCTCTATTGGGCAATCCCAATCAGAAACCAGAGGACAAGGGGACAAATTTACAAGGGGCAGCCTCCCAGCCTCCCAGATACAGAGGCAAGCCCAGAGGGCTGGAGACCAGAGGCAGTGCAAACAGAGAACCCAGCTTACAAAGGTCAAATGTGATCACTTCTGTAAATGATCCTGCACATAGTAGGTGGCCAAGAAACACAGTGCCTCCAAGGCCGCTCAGCAGGCTCCGGTGTATCCTGCGTTCAGTGTCTCCCTGGGTGCCTGTTCATGTGGTTTCTTAGGAGCTTTTGCAACAGCATCTTACTGTTTACAAATGGAATATCTCATGCCAAAGCAAGTGTCCCAAAGGTCAAATTGAAAATGAAACCACAGAGTGGAGGCAATAGTGAGGAGAGGAATTAAGTTGCAAGAGGGACCCATGAACTAAGAATAAGGCTTATCAAAAGATGCCAAATGTACAGGGTATGGGAGTAAGAACAAACATGCTGAAAATTAAATATGAAATGGGTAATTATGTAGTAATGAGATTGAGGACATCACAAAGGACACTGCCATTTAAACTATCACATCTCAACACAGTAATGAACGAGAAAAACCCTCCAGCTTTGTAATTATAATGATAGTTGCCATAACAACTTAGTATCTCTCTCCCTGTGCATCCATCTCAAGACTATATTTTTAGTAATGGCTGTGCCTGAGTATGTATTTTTCTTTATATAGCAGCTAATTTTTCAAATTAATGATCTTTCAAAAAATTCCATTTTCATTCTCTCTGAAAGTGTAAGAGTCTCAGGGATAATTAGGGAAATGAGCAGGTGTGAAAAGTCCGTAATGAAAAATGCTATAAAAATATTGATGTCTTGACAATATTTGTTTCAACAGAATGTTCTCTAGACCTGCACACTCTATTGTTCCTTGCCAAGCAGCTTAACATAAATCTCCTTTGTGGGGCTCATAAATATTTGAAAAATTATTAGCCGTGTAAGGTGTTTGAGGATTATCAGACAAGTATGGATTTATGTTGTATAACAGAAACTGGCTTAGCAGAATCCTGTCTAAGGGATGAATGAATGGACAAACATGGGCTTATTTTGCTTAGCAGAAGTGCACTTAGCAGATTCTCAATTGAGGCAAACAATGGTTGACTTTAAAGAACACCATTTGAAGAACTCAGAAACTGGGGGGGATTCTGAACTGCCACTTTGGTTTCCCAGTTTGCCCCCATTACTACCCCCGACTGGTGTGTCTGGTTTATAGCACGGCTGACATCCAGGGAGAATCAGTGCTTTCTGGAGTTCTACTTACACTACGCGGAGAGACTCACAGCCCCTCCTGAGGGTTCCAGTCCTGAGTTAAACAGACAAATTATTAGATTGAGAACAAAAAAGTCCTAGAGAGAAACATTCTTTGGCTGATGCCGTGAAAGACTCTAGGCAAGATTAGTTATGCAGAAGGAGTTATTGAAATTTTCTGTGTTTCTTATATTCTGTTGGTTTCTGTGGAAGATGCAAAGTTAGCATATTATAATAATCACAGAGCTTATCAGTGCTGTGCAGGAGGCCATTAAGAGTCTGTCTTGGCCGGGCATGGTGGCTCACGCCTGTAATCCCAGCACTTTGGGAGGCCAAGGCGGGTGGATCACCTGAGGTCAGAAGTTCGAGACCAGCCTGACCAACATGGTGAAACCCTGTCTGTATGAAAAATATAAAAATTAGCTGGGTGTGGTGGTAGGCACCTGTAATCCCAGCTACTTGGGAGGCTGTGGCAGGAGAACTGCTTGAAGCCAGGAGACAGAGGTTGCCGTGAGCCGACATGGTGCCACTGCACTCAAGCCAGGGTGACAAAGTGAGACTCTGTCAAAAAAAAAAAAAAAAAAAAAAGAAAAAAAAGAAAAAAAAAAGAATCTGTCTTATGGTTGTTGCCCAGTGGCAAGTGGAAAGAGCCAAGTTTGAGTGAGCTGGTGAGCCTTGAACCTTACCTAGAGGGGTTAGGTTTACTTGGGATTGGTTAGCCCTGCAGATTCTTCGGTCGGGGAGCAAGGTTGTTAACGGGTGTTTAGGGAGAATGAATGGCTTGTTGCCTTGAAGGAAGAGTGGACGGCAGATCAGAGAGGCCCAAACAGCGAGACCTGCTGAGCACGGATTCCCATCATCTGCCATGGGTCTCTGAACCATGGGCTGAGTGATGGGCAGTGGGAACAGAGGAAGAGGCAGATTAAAGAATGTGTGCCATGAGAGCAGCAGGACTTACTGCTATGTATTAGAAGGTGAAGGAGAGATGGGGCCAAGATGACCAGGGAGGTCTTCATCTGAGAAGCTGAAGAACGCAGGACCCTCCCAGGCAGATAGGTGAGAGTTGGGAGAAAGAATAAGGCTTGCAAACCAAGAGAATGAGGTCAGCTTTGCCGCCCTATCTTCCTAAACTTCATGAGCTCTGACTGTGCCTTGCACCTTTCCAGGACGGGCAGCACCAGAGAGAGGGAGCCAGAGGTAGACAAAGGAGGCTCCAGGAACAGTGCCGTGGGCTTCTGTGTTGGGAGAACTGGCATCAGTGCAATCGATTCTTGTTCTATTTGTCCTACTTGCTTTAATTATGTGTCTCTCCAGGGAAAACAAACAAGCAAGCATTGATAGGGAGAGCAGTAATAAGTGGGACTCATTTCTTTATTCCAGGGACATGTTGAGAGGCATGTTTGGGTAGGGCCTTCTCTGGACACTTACCAGACACTGCAGAGCGGGTATATGTTATGTTACTCACCTAAGAGGTGCTGAAAAGCGGTAAAGTGTCTTCAGGACTCATGGGCTTGGGGCCATTGGGATGTATATGGCCTGACTTTAAATATTGGTTAAAGGCAGCAGAGCAGGGTTAGTCCTGGCCATCACTAGCTTGCTGTGTGTCCTCAGGTAAATCTGGGCCTCAGGATCCTGTGTAAAATGAGAGGGAGAAGATTCATCTTAAATTTGGATGCTATCAGAATTACCTGAGGAACTTCTTAGATATGCTAGTACTTGAACCCACTCTTTAGGAGATTCTGAAGGTCTGGGGTGCCGCCTGGGTGTCGGTCTGCTGTTGAGCAAGCTCTGGGGGTTCTGATGGAGGTGGTGCAGGGCACCGTCCTGGCCTGGGCTGCCTCTGCAGTCCCTCTGGCCAGGATGCCAGGCCAGCCTCTTGTTAGCGCTTCACACAGCTCGCTGGAACGCTGGGTGTGTTGCTTGCTGCTGGAGCCGCTTTCTGTTTCACCACTAAAGACTGTGTTGTCGTCTGGAGTGCCTGGCTTCAGATAAAACAGTCCCCAGGAGTGAGCCCTGGGGATAGGCCATGGAGGAGGGTGGGTGGGGATCCAGGAAGGGTTGGGGAGCAAAGAGTGGTGGGTGGGGAAGGGGACCCTCCTGCCCTCTCACCCTGAGGACTTCTGCTGGCTCTGGATTCCAGAGCGTCCTGGGGGTTTGACAGGCAGGACCAAGGCCTCCTGGTCCCTGCAGACAGGCCCTGCCTCAACCAGCAGCCTCCTCCTCTCCCTCTGGTCATTCTGCTTTGGCCTTCAAACTGGAAGCCTGGAAGACTGGCCCTAAAAGATGGCCTGGTGGAGTGGCCTGCGCAGAAAGAGAATGACAACCTTCCTGGTCCAAGCCCTGCCCACTGTGGGGTCTCAGGAGCCCCCACTCTAGGGAAGTCCTCACTCCAGGGCAATGGTGAGGCCTTGCCCTGGTGCCCTGACTCAGCTCAG
The DNA here is from genome assembly GCF_000001405.40 of Homo sapiens. Lineage (NCBI taxonomy): Eukaryota > Metazoa > Chordata > Mammalia > Primates > Hominidae > Homo > Homo sapiens. The sequence continues at coordinate 123,893,274 of NC_000010.11, read as the reverse complement.
TGGCATCGTAGGATCACATCACAGACCCAGAGGAACTGGGAAGGTGACAGGCCAATGCAGGCTTGAGGGTCAGTCTGTCCCTGTAGCGCACTCCATGGGTTCCCAAAGACATCTACACCTGAATACCTAGAACAAGAGATAGTTACGGAACCTGGCAAAAAGTTAGGGAACATGGCAAAATGGACTTTGCCGATGTGGTTAAGGTCACCACTCAAGATAGGATGACTATACTGAATTTTTTGGGTGGGCCCATCTATTCACACTCTCTTAAAAGCACAGAATTTTCTCTAGCTGGAAGGCGGAAAGATGTGGCAGGAAGGGAAGCGATTTGAAGCTGTGCCAGCTCTGGCTCTGAGATGCCGGGCCCACGTGCGAGGACCAGGGAGAGGCCTGGAGGAGCCTGCAGAAGACATGAGGAGGAACACAGGCAGCCAGCAGGAGGAAAGGCGCCTCAGCCCACAGCCAGCGAGTGAACTGCACGTCAGTCCTACTACCGCAAGGAGCTGAATTCAGCCAATACCTGAGTGAGCCCGGAAGTGGACTTTTCGCCAGAGGCTCCCCTAAGAAACCAGTCCTGCTGACCCCTTGATTTTGGCCTGGTGACACTCGCATCAGCCTTCTCACCTGCAGAGCTGTGAGATAGGTGTTGTTTGAAGCCACTAAGTTTGTCATCGTTTGTTACAGCAGCAAGGGAAACGATGCAGTCCCTGGTTCCCCACATCCCCGCCTGGAGAGCAGAAGCCGCAGGGCCATGGGCCTGGGCTCCGCATAAAGAACCCATGCAGAGTTGTCCAAAGCAGGAGGCCCTTTCTCAAAGGACCCTCTGGGCAAGAGCCTGCTCTTGGATGAACCACAAACCCTCTTGTGACCCCTGGATGGCCACCTTGGGGTAACGTCACTGTCTTTCCCAAGACCCAACAGAATCACAGTCTCAGATGGGAGAGGGCTCCTCCAGGGTCCCTAGGCCCTGCTCCCAGGGAACTTTACTCCCAGAAACCCCGGGAACCTCAGGAATTCCTCATTCCCAGTTCCTGAAACAGTAGCATGGCTAGTGGGAAGTCCACGTCTGCGGAATGGTCAGCACACGGGGCACGGTTTGAGAGCTGGAGGCTGCTTGGGCTCTGATTTACTTTAGGACCCTGGGCCAATCTTTTCTTCTCTCAGGTCACGTTTCTCCACCTGTAAAACAGGAATGGAACAGCGGGCCTCAGTGTTTTCTTCTAAGATTGAAACTCATTAGCGTCTCTGGGGAAGCAGGCCCCACGCTGGCTGGCCTGCGGGGGAGGGGAAGGGGGCTTTCTTGGGCTTGGCTGCTTGGAACACCTGCCTCCAAGGACCGGCCTCGGAGGGGTCGCCGGGAAAGGGAGGGAAGAAGGAAGGGCGGGGCCGGCCCCCCTGCGCCCGCCCCGCGCCTCTGCGCGCCCCTGTCCGCCCCGGCCCAGCCCAGCCCAGCCCCGCGGGCCGGTCACACGCGCAGCCAGCCGGCCGCCTCCCGCGCCCAAGCGCGCCGCTCTGCTGTGCCCTGCGCCCTTGCCCCGCGCCAGCTTCTGCGCCCGCAGCCCGCCCGGCGCCCCCGGTGACCGTGACCCTGCCCTGGGCGCGGGGCGGAGCAGGCATGTCCCGCCCGGGGACCGCTACCCCAGCGCTGGCCCTGGTGCTCCTGGCAGTGACCCTGGCCGGGGTCGGAGCCCAGGGCGCAGCCCTCGAGGACCCTGATTATTACGGGCAGGAGATCTGGAGCCGGGAGCCCTACTACGCGCGCCCGGAGCCCGAGCTCGAGACCTTCTCTCCGCCGCTGCCTGCGGGGCCCGGGGAGGAGTGGGAGCGGCGCCCGCAGGAGCCCAGGCCGCCCAAGAGGGCCACCAAGCCCAAGAAAGCTCCCAAGAGGGAGAAGTCGGCTCCGGAGCCGCCTCCACCAGGTAAGGAACTTTCTGCGCTGGGCAGCCCGAGGGGGCGCCGGTGGTTGCGCGCCTCCAGGGGACAACTGGCTTCTCCCATTGTGTGTGTCTGGGATGGGCCAGTCCCGGGAATCTCCCTGTTGCCGCCTCTGCCTCCCTAGGGACTGTATCTGCGCTTCCTGCCGGCCCGCCCAGCTTCCCAGAACTTGTCCTTGACCCTGACATGCATTTCAGCTCTGGCTTATGCCCTTAGGTAAAGAGGGAGCTGTGCAATTGGGAGGCTGCCTATGAGAGTCAAAGTTCTTGTTTCAAGCTTGAAATCCCCTGAGCTAAGGGTCTTTCTGCTGGATGCCTCTTACTTCTCTGCCTACTTCTTCAATCCTCAAATGCGGCTGAATTTCCGCTTTGGGGATGTGGATGGCTGGCTGTTTTGGCAGATGGCCTTCTAGGGAAAGCTCTGCCAGTAGGCCTTTACCCAGTCGTGTCCCTTCTCAGCTCCCTCCTTCCCACTCTCAGCGGGTCTCTTGGGTCCTCTGCCCGGCTGGGGCAGGATGGCACAGCCTCCACTGGGGAGTCTGTGCCTGGAGTCTGCTGCAGCCTGGACTCCGGCTTGGGGGCTCCCTGGCTGCCTGCAGTGCTCCGTCTTTCATCCAAGTCTCATACCCTTCTCAAATCCATCTTCAGTTTCTGCCAACCTCATTTTCTTAGGAAAATGACTTCCACTAAATGACGTAGTTTATTAACCACCTTGTGAAGTGGGGCTTTCTCTAGTTCCAAATGTTCTTTGCTTAAATTGCAGGGGCTGCAGGCCTGGTATTTCAAGAGTGGGGCATGAGCAGGAATGTGGCCAAATTCTCTGGCCTCGCAATGGCCTTTCCTGAAAGGAGATACGTGCGGGTGCCACCGTTACAGGGCTCCGGGTATGGAAGGCATCGTCTTTGTTTGGTTAAACTGCTCACGAAAGTCAGCAGCCAGGGCAGTGGGAAAGTGGAGGAGGGGTGAGGACACAGAACTCCTGAAAGGGTGGACCTATATGAGCACCCCCCTTTGCAGAGGCCCTGGCATGCTTCCATTTGTGGACAACTTTGAATGGGCGGAGATTTCTGAGTTGTGTGACAACCCTGAACACATCCAGAATTTCCAGTGTTTCAGGGAGAGTTATGGGAATTCAGATGTTTAAGAGCTACAGTGGCTTAATAACAGGATTAGGAGTGGGAAGAGACTTATATTTGTAGAATGTCGACTGTGACTCCATTAGAAACTTTATGTGCCAGTTTCATTTCATCCTTTCAGTGGCTCCGAAGGGTGGGTGAGGCTCAGACAGTTTAAGTAACTTGCTCAGCGTCACTTGCTGGCTTGGGATATTTGAAAGCCTTTCTTCTGTCCTTTTTAACTCAAGGCCTTTTTGGTTTGGTAGTTTGAATCAAATCCACATGCATTCTAGTTTTTTTTTAAGTGCCTGCAATGTGCTTAGCTCCGTCCTGGGCATGGTAGGGTGGTGTAGGCAGGAGACATGTATGTTGGGTTCTGGCAGTCACTGGGGGTAGTGCTAAGGGGGAAAGTGGAAGAGAGCCCCAGACTGGGAGTCTGAAGACTGGGCCTAACACCCATGTTTAGGGCTCATCAACTTGGGGATCTGGAATCATGGCTCAGTTTCCTGAGCTTTAACTTCATCATCGTTTGCAAATAGGAAGACTGCACCTGCCACCTCACTTTACTTTGTCAATTGCTGTAAAAACCTTTTTAATGAAAGCTTCCAGTGTGCCTGCCCGCTTATGTGCTGGTCTTCCTGTGAACCTTTCATTCATTCCACAGGCCGTTACCAAGAACCTGCTAAGCACTGGTGCTGGGTGAGATCCTAGGAATGGGGAGAGCAAGACGTTCCTCTTCCCTGCCCCCCAGCCCCCGCCCCCCACCACATGGAACTAGCTGGGAACTCTGAGAAAGTAATCACAGTTGTGTTAAGGGTTGCACAAAAGTGTGGGGTGTTAAGGTAACAAACAAGCTGGGGGAGCTCACTGAATCTGTGGGGGCTTGCGTAATGCTTCCCCGAAGAGGTGATGTTTAAGACTTGACAAGTAAGTCAGCTTGATTGTCCTGGGGACTCGTACAAGTGACCGGACATCATTCCTAAGATAGGTTTCTTTCCCTACAAAACACATCTCAGAAAGTCACAGCCTGGCCTGAGCAGTGTCCACAGACTAATGTGTCTGCAGACTCAGGGGTTACATGGGGAAGTGACTCTCTTTAGTCCTTGGAGAAACAGCTCTTGCCACTCTTGGAATGGGGTCTCTGGAGGAGAAATCAGAGTGTAACCTGAATTTGCAAGAAAAAGCTCATTTGGTTTTGGAAGGCCATCTTGCAGGTAGAGACAGGCCATGGGGGAGCCTGTTGATTCGGTGCCTAGCCTCTGCTCCTGCAGGACACATTGCCCAGTTCACCGCAGCCCTGGCATCCACCGGGATCTCCAAGCCCCATACTGAAAACACGTCTTCGGAAGATCTAGAGACTCACATCAGAGGCCTGTTGGGACAGCTGCCTGCAGACCTGCTACCATGTCAGCTGTGTTTCTAATGAATTCTGTGGGGCTTTTTTAGAGCTCTCCCCAACCATGACAAGACAAGTGTGACATTTATCTCATATTTTTAACTCCTGTCCTTTTTTATTTTGGTGTTTGCTCAGCAGAATCCTCTGCCCTGGACCAAAGTGGGAAGACTGGTTTAAGCGTGAACTTAGTTAGGGGAATCAGTGACAGTTTTGTGCAGTTAAACTACACTAGGAGAAAATTATTTTTTTTCTACTTTAAGTAGCGGCTTGATCTATATGCTGCTCGTGGTGTAATAGAAGCACTTATCTCTGCATTGGATTGTTTTGGAATATCTTAGGAAGGCACTTACATAGGAAGGAACATTGGACTGTGGCCTGGAGTGTTTAATGCAAACTTCTGTACTTTGCTTCACTGGGTGGATGATGCAATGCTATGTATGAGGCACTGAGGTGGGAGTGAGGGGTTCAATTTAGAGATGCATAACAGTATAAAAGCATATATAACTAATTAAAAGTCTATATGTACTTTATCTTTGCAGATGATAAAATATTTCCCAGATAGCTCTTGTTTTGCATAAAGGTGAGTGCAAGGAAAGATGTATTCAGCAGTGATTCCCCACACAGGCAGATTTTCTATGTGGTAGGCCCTAGGAGGGAGCCCTGTTTTAACCCTGTAGCGGGGTTTATGCAAGGAGCCAAGGGCATTGGGGATTTGATCTTGATGTGGGTTCTGGCTTTGACCATTGGCTGTTCTTTCGCACCACCACAGAAATGCCCAATGGGTGTGACATGCTGACATTCATGGAGATGCTTGGAGAACTGAACCCTTTGGCTAACTGAGAGTATTGCATTTTCCATGAGTGGCTAACAGGTTTCCAGAGAAGTAGAGCCCCAATATATTAAACAGAATGGAATCTTTAAAAACATTTATTTAAGCTTTTATTTTGAAATAATTATAAACTCACAGGAAATTGCAAAAATAGTACACTGAGGCCCCATGTACGCTTTGTCAGCTCCCCCCAGTGATAACCTCTTAGATGATTCTAGTACAAGATACTTCAATCTTGGCAGGATTGATGTTTTGGGCCAATTGTGTGTTTGTTTGTGTATGTGTGTGTGTGTGTTGTGTGTACGTGCCAACAGAGGAGGAAGGGGGTTGCCTTCCTGTGTATTGCAGGATGTTTAGCAGTGTCCCTGGACTCCAAATTGGATGCCAGTAGCACCCTCCCCCCTGTTGTCACAACCAAAAATGTCTCCAGACATTGCCAAATATCCCCAGGGGGATGGGAGTCACTGTTGTATACAGTATCAAAATGAGGAGGTTGACAGTGATACTGTTAACTAGATTACATGCCTTACTCAGATTTGACCAGTTCTTACATGCATTTGTAGGCATGTTCTCTGTAGTTTTTATCACATGTACAGGTTCATGGAACCACCACCACTGTCAGGATATGGAACCGTAGAATCTTTTTCTTAGGTTGCAGTAGGATTTTGGTACTGTACAGTTTCTGAGGTCCTCATTGTGAACACTCATCCATCCGAGAATTTTAGAACTCTAAGGACCTAAGTGGACACTGAGCACAGATTCTTGCTTATTGCGAGATTCTAACAGTGAGCTGCCCGGCCTCTGCTCACAGGCTTCCATGGATGGACTCTCACCATTCAGTGGATGAAGAGTACTTATTGCTAGAATGTTCTTCCTCATATGAACTTGACAACGTTCTGCTCTCTAATTCCATTTATTTAGCTGTTTCGAATTGAATTTGACAGTTTCTAGATCCCTGCAGTTGGAATGATTTAAGGCCACGGGAGTGAATCTCAGGTCCTCAGTTTTCATTCTCCCAGGGTTATGAATAAGGTAAGGGGCCACATTTTGCACGTGCAAGTGGATTTGGGGGTGTCTTACTTTCCATGCCATCTTCAAATTGATGACCCTGGTTTGCAGCCATATTCCTTTTGAAGAATAAAATAGAACAGAAAAATAAACCATAGTTATAGAACTTATCCTTTTCCTCCCACTTGGCAGTAACAATCAAATCAAATAATAAGCTGAACTATTGATTTGAATGAGGGATTTGAAGATTTTATTTATTTCTCTCTTCATTGCACATTGGGTTAGAAGTAGGCTTGGATATGTAGTCTTTAAATTTGAGTTTCTGCTTGGTCCTTTGTTCATAACTTTCTTCCTGTGCTGGTGAGAATGCACCGCTGTTTGAATGTGGACAAACCCACATCATCGCCATAGTCTTGAGCCCGTGGAATTTGCAGAGGGGGCAGCGAGCCACGTTTGTTTGTGTGTCTGTGCTCAGAATCATTGAGTTTGCATTTTGTACTGTGCTGGGCCCCAGTTGCAGGGGGAAATAACCAAAGAGTTGTTCTTTGAGCATATTTGGTTGTAAACAAAGCCTTTTCTGTTGTGTGTGCCGTAAGCCAGTTGGTGAAAAGGGCTTCACATTTAAGCTTTCCTTCTCTTTTCAGTGTGTTTTGCTGCATTTGGCTTTTGGATGGAAATGTCTTCTCCTGGGCAAAATGGGAGTGTGTAAGGATTAGGAAGCTGTGTTTGTAAATATTTCAATAAGTACTTTAAAAAGCAATCACAATGCTATTAGCATACCTAAACAATTAACAAGCAATCCTTCATGTCAAATTATATGCTTACTTTAAGAGTTAAATCCAAAGTGTTTTGTCCAGGTAAACTCCCTATAGAATTCCAAGGGAGAGGACGTCATTTCCTGTACATTAGCAAGCAGCTTTCTAAGACACCACCTCCATTTCCAAAATGCTTTCCAAAGTCAACTATTAATGCTGGCAAATTTCCTCTTGCCTGTGCCCAAGGTTCCAGAAACCAGGGCTCGCGCATGGATAATAAAGGAGGACACACCCACGTTTGCGAAAGCTGGACTGCATGCTGTGGTTCTTAAAAATAGCCACTGTGTTTTCTGTATGCCTCAAGTGTCCATGGCTGCTAGAGCTCATGGCACCTTTAGTGTGGGGACAATGGCAGCCTGGCCCTGGAGCCTTGACTTTTGAGGTGGAGGTTTTCTCTGGATGTCCCTGAGGGTCCAGGGAGCCTGAGCATTCAGGCTTGGCATCTCCAGCAATGGCTCTGCCCTCTGTGGCCCTCTCAGGCCCCAGCCACTGCAGCTACCACTCTGGGGTCACAAAACCCAGGAAATTAGGGTTTCTTTGGATGGCCACTGGAAGGGCTGGCATCCACATCTGGCTGGCAGCCAGCTGGCTACTCGTTGGGCATCATAGGATGGTTAGCATGGCACAAAACAGCTTCACATGTTAATTTAAGCCCCTGATGTCACAGATTTGTATGGAATGCCTGGTTCATGCTAGGCACAGGTAGGTGCTCCATGGTGAGTTTTTCCAGGATGAAGAGAGAGCTGAGGTCAAAGTCTGGTTCTGCCACTCATGGGCATTTGTGACTTCTCCAAGCATCAGTTCCTCACGATGGCATGGGAACAATTAATAACCCGAGCTTTTGGAGGAGGTGTACGATTGGAGGGGTCAATGCCCAGCCTTCCAGCCTCCCAGCCTCCCAGCCTTCTAGCCTCCCAGCCTCCGGAGTGGGGCAGCTCAGAGGCATCTCCCCTCCCAACCCCACCCTGAGTCCCCAGCCAGGTTGAGTCCCCGTTGAGTCCTGCCAGACAACACAGCCTGAGTTATTGGTGTTTCCCCTTCAACTTTTCACCTGTGCTACTTGAAATCTCCTCCCACATACAGCACTGTGCCCAAAGCCTTCTTGTCTCAGGCTGTTTCCAGGTGGAATCTAAGATGAGACTGGCAGGTACCAACAGCTCCCTGCACAGTGTCTGCACACACCCACCTGCTGCTGTTACCAGGGTGTCTCTTTAAAGGCAAAGGACTCTATTTGGTTGCAAGTCAGAAAGGTGGCTGCTGGCTGCACAGAGGGCAAGAGTGGGGGCCACAGGGCACTGCTGCCCCAGCCATGCCCACTCTTCCTTATGCCCAGATCTGAGGCCAGGTCTTCTGCATGAAAGGCTGGCCCAGAGGAGGGTGGGACTGACCAGGCAGGTATCCCAGAGAAGACACAATGGAGAGAGAGAGAAAGAGAGACAGAGAGAGAAAGAGAGAGAGAGAGATGGGCCATGGGATTTTGATGGATTGTTTGATTGATTGATTTTGGTCTAGTTTTGGTAAGAAGTTCTTAGACAATTTCATGAGTACCTCCATGTCCAGCCCACAGCCTCCCCCCGGGCTCCCGTCAAGGTCATTGAGATGGATAGAAGCCAGCGCATCAGTCCACTGCTCAACTCGCCCTTCAGGACCCACTGAATCCCTGGATTCTTATTTCCTCTGGGAGCTTCCAGTCCTCAGAATTGGATAAGGGTGCAGGTGATTCCTCCCTGTGTCATGGCCCTTTCCCTGCCAACATCGCACAGAGCAGGCGTTTCTCACTGCTTTTGTTTAGATTTTCATGTTCACCTGTGAAGTTCTCCCGGCTCTCCCTGTGTGAGGGTTCCCAGCAGATCCTCCCAGCAGATCTGGTGTGTTTGTGGTGATTTAGCCTTAATGCTGCAATTCTGGGGAGCCCCAGAGAACCTCTTTGGTCATTTTTTTCTCCTAATGTGGGTTCCTTAAGCAGAAGCAGACAAGGACCTCAGAGCCCTGGGCTGGGTCCTTTACTACAGGAATGCAGAGCCTGTTGGACTGGAATTTCCTGGGGAAGATGCAAAATTGCAGCAAAGCATTTTTTTTTTCTGGCTTCTGGGGGTTGCTACTGTAAGCCCTTTGTATAGTGAGGAGAAAAATAGTTCTCTATTAACCAAGAATTATATTTATCACTGTAGACCAGAATAGAACATGTGGCCCACATTGGCAATTCAGTTTGCTACTTTTAAGGGATTCGGTTTTGTCACGCGGCCCAGATGGAGATGCTGGCTTGATCCTGGCCCCTTCTCTGCACACTGTTTCCATTTTGCTTTCTTCTTTCATCTGCATGGACCATATGCTGCCTTTCTTGTTAGGAGAGAGGAAGGGGCTATGAAGGGGGGGCCTGTGTGCTGTCCATGAAGGGCTCGGATTTGGAATCATTCTCCAGCTCTGTCCCCTCCTTGCTCTGTCCGTGACCTTGGGCAGCTCTCTTCTCCCCTCTGAGCATCTGTGTCCCCATCTATAAAATGGTGTGCAGAGACCCTGTTAGAATCTATGTGAAAATGCCGTGTCAATTTTGAACCATGCTATGCACATTAGCTGTTATTCCTCCAGCAACTGGAATAGCTTTTTGTGATGGGTGAGAAGATAGAGGTCTTGCTCAGTGAGGCTGCAGGCCAGGGCCACCCTAAGCCCATCAGGCAGCATTTTTGTTTCCTGCTGGTAACTTCCACCGTGGCAGGTATTGTTGCCTTCTCCTTTCACTGATGAGGGAACTGAAGTGTAGAGAGGTGATGAGGTCATCCCAGGACATACCTGAGGGTACAGGGGCAGACATGGCAGCACCCCAGACTGGAACCAGGCCCTTAGGCCTGCACTTCCAACCACCAGCTGCCTCCTCCCCAGCGAAGGTGCTGGGCCCCTGCCTGCTGTCTCAGCCCCATCTGCCACTCCCTTTGGGGAGTCTGTTCCCCACATGTTGATCCTACCCTCCATCCCCCTGCCAGGGGAGTCACACTGTCAGTGTAGTAGGACCTTCGCCTGACATCCAGACTTTCACTGGAGTCCCAGAGCTGAGTCCCAGAGTTTCCTCACAGGCCTAAATCTGCCTGGGCCTGGGGGTGCCCGGGCCATGGTGTTGTGATGTGGGGGCTGGCAGGGCCGTGGTGTGGAGTCTGCCCAAGCCATGGTATTGCGGGCAGTCCAGGCTGTCGTGTGGGGGCTGCCCAGGCCATGGTATTATGGTTGCGGGGTTGGTGGGGGGTGCCTAAACCATGGTATTAGAAGCTGCGCAGGCCATGGTGTTGGGAGGTGCCCGGGCCATGGTGTTGTAGTGTGGGGCCTGGCTGGGCTATGGTGTGGGGGCTGCCCAGGCTGTGGAGTTGGGGGTTTTTCAGGCCATGGTGTTATGGTGGGGGGGGGTTGCCTAGGCCATGTCATTGGAAGCTGTCCAGGCCATAGTATTGGGAGCTGCCCAGGCCATAGTGCTGGGGGACCGCCTGGCTCCCTCTCTCACTGCCTGTTCCATGGAGGCCCCAGGGAGGCGGCCCTGGCTGAAGGAAGGTTGTCGTGAACACCATTTTCTGGGGAAGGCTGGAATGGGGCATTATTTTCCAGAACTTTGGCTTTTTTTCTCACATATTTTGTGAAATTTTTTTCTTTCCTTTTCTTAAAACATCTTATGTTTCTGAAAAATCCAACTCAGCCTTATCAAAAGTTATGCTCCTGATTTTGTGGAGCCACTAAGGCCTTTACAGAGCCCTGGTCAGGCTCTTAGGGAGGTGGCCTTCTTCCACGGTTTTCCCACCAGCCGGGATGTTCCCGCCCACAGAAGCAGGACACAGGCCAAAGCAGTGTCGGGCAGAGATGTGGGTTCAGGTCTCTGACTTGCCTTCCTCCTCTGGCCTTTACAGAAGTTTCAGTTAATTGGCTTCTAGACACTAAAGGGGGCACTTAATTTTTTTATTTTCTTTTCAGCTTACATGGAAATGAAAGATACTTCCAGCAGGTACCACCCAAGAATATAACAAAAAGGGGGGTTTCCTTTGGCTTGGCCCAATGTGCCCCTTGAATTTCTTGAAGATTTAAGGTTTTCTTAATAAGTGTCCTTTTAGCATGTGACTGTAACATAGTCGGAAATGATTTCATTATTGGCAGAATCCACCAGCTAATTTTGGTATTTCAACTGGCTTTTAAAGTTCAAGCTAAGTTTCTTTCTCCACAGACCTGCCCTGCCTCTTCTTTCTGTTTGTCACTCACCGACTGGTTCATTTGTTCATTCGTGCATTCATTCATTCATCACAGCCTCCTAAGTCCCAGACTCTGGAGACAGAGCAGTGAGCAAAGCCAGACATCATCCCTGTCTCATCAACAGACATGTCCCATTGCCACTGGGATGCTGCCACCCAAGATGGGTGCAGACCTGCGGTGTGGCTGCCAGTGCCCCACCCAGGTCTTCTTTCCCCACAGGGACACCCAGCCCCCAGATACCAGGAGTCTCCTCTTCAGGCAGCTCACACCTGCTTCCACCTCTGCAGAAGAACCCTTGGAAGGCTACATCTCCCACTCTCAGGCTGTAGCCAGAAGCCAACTGCAGTAGAAATGACAGCTCCTTGTCCCAAGTCAGGACAACCCTGTGTGCAGTTGCTGCTCCAGAGCTCCTGTGGGATGGGCTGAGCCTGACTCTGGCTGAGACCACAGCCTTGCTTAGCTCCTTTCCTCACCCCATCCTGCTTCCCTTCCTTCCCCTCTCCCTCAATACACCTTGTGCATCCAAAGCCCTGCATCAGGCTCTACCTAGAGGCAACCTGACCCAAAACAGGTGCTATCAACTTCCATCAAAGTGGATTTGATTTGGTGGGGAGGTCGGGAAAGTTTAAGGAGGCGATGCCAGAGCTGAGATGTTCAGGATCAGTAGGAGCTAATTAGCTTGAGCGTAAAGGGAAGGGAAGGGAAGGGAAGGGAAGGGAAGAGAAGGGTGCTCCAGGAGAAGGAACAACATAGTACACAGTTCTGGTGAGGAAGAAGCATGAACTGAAGGCTAAACGGAGGCCAGTGTTGCTGGAGCAGGGAGAGGGAGTGCAGTGTGAAAAGGAGCCAAGGGGCCAGCAGGAGCATGGCAGGCAGGTGTCTCAGGCTATGGCAAGGAGGCTCCCCAAATGGGGGCAGCATCCTTACCCACAGGTACCAAGCCAGGGCCTGGGAGAGAGTTAGGTTGGAGAAGCCCAGCAGGGTGGAAAATGCTAGCTCTGGGGTCACAAGTCTGAGGCTCCACTTCCAGTTCCAGAAACTACAAATGATGTCTCTGGGCCTCAGTGAGGGTCAAATGTACTACCCAAAGGTATTCTTCAGTCTTTTTTTTTTTTTTTTTTTTTTGAGACGGAATCTCGCTCTGTCACCCAGGCTGGAGTGCAGTGGCGCAATCTCGTCTCACTGCAAGCTCTGCCTCCCAGGTTCACGCCATTCTTCTGCCTCAGCCTCCCAAGTAGCTGGGACTACAGGTGCCCGCCACCATGCCTGGCTAATTTTTTGTATTTTTAGTAGAGACAGGGTTTCACCGTGTTAGCCAGGATGGTCTTGATCTCCTGACCTTGTGATCCACCCGCCTTAGCCTCCCAAAGTGCTGGGATTACAGGTGTGATCTTCAGTCTTATAATAGTAACAACGTGCAGGTGTACATTGTTTTTATTAGGAGTGTTTCTTCTCCTGGGTGTTGCTAATAACACATTTCCTTTCCTTTAACTAGAGACTCCTTAAAGTCCAAGACCCCATCTTTAGGGACAGGGGAGCAGAAGGGGAGATGGCTGCTGTGCAGGAGAGGACAGTTGAACTCTTAGCATCTTGAACCAGCTCTGATGTATGTGAAAGTAAAGGCATCTCTCTCTCCCCCTTTAGGTAAACACAGCAACAAAAAAGTTATGAGAACCAAGAGCTCTGAGAAGGCTGCCAACGATGATCACAGTGTCCGTGTGGCCCGTGAAGATGTCAGAGAGAGTAAGTGAGGCTCTCGGAGAGCCCCTACACCAGTCCTAGGCCCTGTTCAGGGAGGGTGGGTGGGTACAGGCCCCTGGTGCAGCAGCCTGACTACAGATTCCCGAGTGTGGGGCTGCCTGGGGCCTGCTGTCTATTCCGATCCATGGTGCGGGGGCGAGAACATTCACGGCAGCTTCTGCACCACACTCACACTTGTGCACTGCCTCACTACTCACAGCCAGATTTTCTGATTCAACTGCAGTCAGTTTTGAATTTCCTGGAGCTCTTGGTTGCTTTCCCCACCTCTCTCTCCTCAAAGACAACATCATTTCCTCTCTTGTGGGACCTCTTAGCTGCCCATGGCCTTCAGTGTGCATTTCTTATCTCCCAACCTGACCCAGGAGCCTCTGGGGTCAGAGATCAAATCTACTTGCAAAATATGCAGTGCTAGGCCGGCATCTCACAGTCATGAACATAGTGCACCTTTAATTACTCACCTTGGAATGTTCAAAGGTATTATTTTGAGACTCATGAACAATCTCTGGCCCATGAGCTACAGCTATTACTATTAACTACTACCATTATTATTATTGTATCATTATTATCTAAACTGTGGTAACCAGGATCACATTTCTGCTAAAATTAGTATTAGTAATAACAGCCATTTATTAAGCACTTATGTAGTAGCCAGGCACTTGGCTGAGTATTTGGCATCCCCTAGTGCCCCCCTGACTATGGGTATTATTATTATCATTATTATCCATACTTTACAGATGAGGAAAATGAGACATGGGAATGTGCATAGTTTACCAAGGGTTATGCAGCTTCTACGTGGTAAAACAGGGATTTGAACCCAAGATTTTCTGATTCTAGACTTTTTGGTTAGCTTAAAATAAATGATGCATTTCACAACTTTGCATTTACAGAGGCAGGACTTTAGCTGCCATGTGAGTCCATAAACAGTGTTCCAGAGTTGATTGTCACAGGTGGAAGTGCTGCTTCCTTAAGCACAATGTAATGATTTGGGGCAGTGTTTCTAACCAAGAACTCGCCATCAAAGAAATCATAGAGATGACTAATAGTGCATCCTCAAGTGAAAACAGATGTCAACAACAGTGACCTTCTGTGGTCACTTACCAAATGTAAAGTATATTCCTTCTTAAAGTGGGCAGGCGTGCACTCCACCCATTGCCCATTGAGAGGACTCATTGGACCGGGAGAGCGCATTCTGCACAGTGCACACTGTGGCTGTGTTTCTGCTGCTTGACCCTGACAGTGTGGTGCTTTGGGGTCGTCTCTAGATGGGGGGTAATAGGACTCCTCACCTTGAATGGACCTTGGACATTGGCATTTTGTGCCCAAGCAGGCTGATAAAACACCAGCTGTTTCTTCAGGATTACAAATGCCACAGGGCTGACGTGGCCTTGAGAGTTGGTCTTGCCTCCCTGGGTCTTACTGCCATCAGATTGGATCCTGGTACTTCTTCACTGCCTTGTGAAGAAATAAACGTATTTCTTCACTGCCTTGTTAATTTTTAAGTGCTTTTAAACATATTTTGCCCAGATTTTTTTGAGTAGCTTCAGCAGAAGGGTTGGTTTGAATTATCTTAGTTCTTTATTATCAGAATTGGAAGTTCTTAAACTTTTGAGGAGACCATTTTCGGAAAGATTTTTGAAGACTCAATTACACACACACACACACACACACACACACACACACACACACGTCTGAATTTGCCTCCTTTTCTGCCATGGGTACACCCCTCCCTACTGGCCCACCCAGGATTGCTCCCATGGCTTTGGCTTCAAAGCTATTAGGTTGGGATCACTGGTCTCATAGGCAGCCATCACGGCTCTGGTTCATTGAATGCCCTATACGTGATTTTAGCCTGTGAAACTTCTTTTACTAAAAAAAAAAAAAAAAAAAAAAAAAAAAGAGAGAAAAAAAGGGGGTCGAGGATAACCTTGGAGGGGAAAAGCAGCTGAGGAGATCCTGACAACCGACAGATGGTGGCCATGGAGGCAGGGCACATGTGGCAGGGTGGCGTGGCCGTTAGGAACGCAGGCCTAGAGTCAGGCACCTGAACAAGCAAGGTGTGGCCTCAAATGCAGAACCGGGCATTCTCAAACCCTGAGTCCATCCTCCTGTCAGGATCTACTCAGGTTGCACTGGGGGGCTTTGAAGGCAGCGTGGCAGAATGTTGGGCTGGTGTACGTGACAACTACATTATGTTCAAGGTGGCAGGCAGAGCAGATGTCAGCCACTTCATTTGCAAGGCGGGGGGCAGTACAGGCGATGTTAACTACATTGAGTTATGAGAGTGGATGGGGTTAAAAGGCTCATCTCAGATGTAGAAGTCATCCTTATGGAACTTTAGCTTTTGAGGAAGAGAACATGTACATGGCTGTCACTGTGATTAAGGAGTAGTGTCAGCTGTGGCAAGTATCAAACTACCTTTTAGGTGTTGTTTTGTAATAGTTTAAGAAGTTGGTTGAGTCATCATTCTAATTCTTCACCTCTTCTCATGTCCACACCCTTTGCTGTGTAACTCTTTAGTTCCCTTTGCCAAAGCTGGAAGTCCCTTGGCTTTGGGCTGGTCCATGAGCCTCGTTTAGGCCAATAGATGGTGAAGGGATCATGTGTCAGTTCTGAGCCCAAGCTTTGGTTGTTTCCATTTGTCTCTTGGGCCTCTTGCATCTCCACAAGAAGAGTGTGCATACCTAGACCACTGGTCCTAGGAGGCTGAGCAATAAGTGGAACAGATGTGGGCCCAACCAGCAACCCAGAGCTACCCAGCTGAGCTCAACTAATCTACAGACACCTGAAAGTAAATGCGAATTGTGTGCCATTAAGAGTTAGGGGTTGCTTGTTATACAGCAGTAGCTGACCAATACAATGAAGATAAAGCATGACCTTGTTTTTTCAAAGGTTACATGACATTCCATAATATAACCACCTAATAATAGACATTTATGTTGTTTCCAATTTTTTGCTACTGTAAACAGCTTTTGTTGCAATGAAATTACCTTATGCCATGTTATTTACCATGCATTAATTGCAGGATTATTCTCTACTTGGCAATTCCCACTATAATTTTACCCATTTTCTGGCCTCTGCTTCCCTTTGTTTGCAGCCAGATGAGGGCTTGTTTTTTACATGTGTCCCAAGCTTTAAGCCTCTGCTCACATGTTCTCTCTATAGGGAATTGGACAAGCATCAAAGTTGGTGATTGAGAGGACAGCTTTGGGATCAGACTAACACTTGAGACTTTGGATAAGTTACTAACTTCTGGCTGCCAGACTCTGGACAAGTTACTAACTTCTCTATGACTCAGTTTCCTTCTCTGTGAAGTGGGAATAATATTAACCTTATAGGCATATTGTGAAGATTAAATAATGTCTGCACAGTGTAGCACACAGCACACAGTAAGCTCTCAGCAAACATTAGCTGTGACTTTAATTTACCGTCTTGGGGTCTTTTGTGTGCCTTAGAACAGGGGCTGGCAAACTTCTTTAAAGGATCAGATTGTAAATATTTTATGCTTTAGTAGCTAAGAGCCAAAATCCAGGATATTATATAAGTGCTTATATAACCATTTAAAAGGTAACCCTTAAAATATTTAAAGTTTATTCTTATTTTACAGATCATACAAAAACAGGCGGTGGGCTGTATTTGACCTTTACATGGGCTATAGTTTGTCAGCCTCTGCCTTAGAAGTTCAGTGCTCTGCAAATCCCACTTCCAGGAAGCCTCCTCTGATCACCTCTCTTTAGTTTCCCATGCTTCTTTCTTATGGTGCTGGTTCCCTCCTTTCTCATATCACAGTGATTCCCGTGCACGGTTCTTTGGTTCTGAAAGCCTGTGAATGCTTAAGAGCAGGGGCCTTGTCTGATTCATCTCTGGATAGACCCAATGTTGGTAGCAGCACTTGACAATGGTGAACCTGTTTGTTGAGTACCCATATTGTGGTAGAGCCAGCATCATGGTGAACAGAACAGGTGCTCTACATATGCTCAGGTGGGTTCTCTATGACCCAGAACAGCAGCTGGCCCTTTCAAGGAAGTGGTCTTTGATTTCAGTTCTTAGAGCAAGATCTGTAGGAAAGAAACATGATCAGCCGGGTGCAGTAGCTCAAGCCTGTAATCCTAGCACTTTGGGAGGCCGAGGCAGGTGGATCACCTGAGGTAAGGAGTTTGAGACGAGCCTGGCCAACATGGTGAAACCTTGTCTCTACTAAAAATACAAAAATTAGCCGGGCGTGGCAGCATGCACTTGTAATCCCAGATGCTTGGGAGGCTGAGAGAGGAGAATTGCTTGAACCCAGGAGGCGGAGGTTGAAGTGAGCCAAGATCACGCCATTGCACTCCAGCCTGGGTGACAGAGCGAGACTCTGTCCCACCAAAAAAAAAAAAAAAAAAAAAAAAGAAAGAAAAGAAAGAAACATGATCTCCTACCAGGATGGAAGTAGGATGGTTTCCCTGAAACATGTTGGTGAATGCGAGCTTGCTTGACGCATCTCCCTCATGCCTTGACTGGAAGAAGTTTGAGGCCTCAATCAGGCACCATACTTGGGGATTGGCCAACTTAATGTATATTTGTGTGTGTTTTAAGCTTGAGGGTTTTTCATTGCATCACAGACAGTTTGGTTTTTCATTCAAGCCCTTGTTATGAGCCTCTTCTCTTCATTGCATAACCAGACAGTTCCCTGGGGCGAAGTTGGGTCTTCCTTCTTGGCATCTGGCACAGCTATTCCCAGACCCCTGATTCTGAAAGATTTTACCGACACAGTAGACATGATAAACTGCCATGCCTGTATTTCAGACTCCTATGGGAGTGACAGGGGAGGTGAGGGGCCAGAACTGGGACAGAGTCACACCCCTCTTGACAGACGGTGGTTAGGAAGCCCAAGAAATGTGGGCACTGGGAAACCAAAGGTGCCCCTACTCCTTGCTATTTTCCACTTTCTGCACCATCTCAAACATGCCTAAAAAGTTATTCTTTAGTCTCTAAAAAGAAACAAGTGCCTTTGAAGGATTTTATAGCATTCCTTTACAATGTGGAGAGTTTTATTTTGTTTTTCCAATAATGGATTTGTGGCAGGGCCTTCACTGGGTTTGATTAGGGGTCCTGGGCTGGCTGTAGCCTACAGTAGACATGTCTGTAAACTGAGTGTGTTTTTGAACACTACATGAGCAGTGTGGCCAGTCTGCAGCTATAGGCTTCAGAAACCCTGGTCTGAAACCATAGGCACAGTGGACTTGTCAGCCTAGAAATACTTCCCAGACAAGGGTTTAGGGGACAGAACTCTGATGTTCTGATGTGCTCGGTAGCACCCATAGGTGGCATGAAATTTCATTCATTTGTATCAGCCACTTAACCCCAAGTGTGGTTCTTATTGACCAAGTACATGCTGGTCCACTTACAGGGGAGACATTCTAGGGCTGTACCTCCCCAGAATCCCCATGACAAGGGTGAGCACACGTGCTTCTGTTGCTCTTGGGGAATTTGTTCTTGGCATACTGTGATCTATCCTGTTTCCATCTTCTCAAAGCTTCTGTGATAAAACCCTCTTTATTCTGTATTACTGACTCTTGGATGGATTTAACAGAAAACCAAATTTACCATGTTATGCCCTAAAACTTTACAAAAAAAAATTGGCACTTAAACCACTTGTGGTAGAAGTTGGTCTTGTGGTGAAAGTAGACTTCTTTCCTGGCTTATTAAACATTTGGCTATGAAAGCAGTAAACACATGCTATAAACTGATCATGTCCCCACAGAATGTGTTTGTTGAAATGCTAACCCACAAGGTGATGGTATTTGGGGGTAGGGCCTTTGTGTGTGTGTGTGTGGTTGGGGCGGGGGGTGGTGATTAGATCACGAGGGTGGAATTCTCATGAATGGGATTAGTGAACTTATAAAAGAGACCCCCAAGAGCTCCCTTGGCCTTTCCTCCATGTTAGGACGCAGGGAGAGGATAGCCACTGTATATGAACCAGGCCCTCATCAGACACTGAATCTGTTGGTGCCTTGATCTTGGACTTCTCGGCTTTTAGAAATGTGAGAAATAGGCTGGGCATGGTGGCTCACTCCTGTAATCCCAGCACTTTGGGAGGCTGAGGCAGCCAGATCACCTGAGCTCAGGAGTTTGAGACAACCACCCTGGGCAATGTGGTGAAACCCCATCTCTACTAAAATACAAAAAATTACCCTGGCGTGGTGATGCATGCCTGTAGTCCCAGCTACTCAGGAGGCTGAGGCACAAGAATCACTTGAGCCCTGGAGGTGGAGGCTGCAGTGAGCCAAGATCGTGCCACTGTACTCCAGCTTGGGCTACAGAGTGAGACTCTGTCTCAAAAAAAAAAAAAAAAAAAAAGAAATGTGAGAAATAAATTTCTGTTGTTTATAATCTGGTACAGCAATTTGAATAGACTAAGACAAGTACTAAGTACCAAATGAAAGGGCACTATTTTGCAGTGCCACCTGTCTGTTGGATGTCAAGTATCCATATATGCCTGGCTTTGTTTTCAGGCTCACTAATCTTTATTATTAATTCATTTTTCTACCCATGCTTGAAATATCTCACTTTCTTAATTACTGTAGGTTTATAACAAATCTTGACATCTGGTAGAGCAGGACCCATTCTTCTTTAAAAGTTGTGTTTATTCTTGACCCATTGTGTGTACTTGTAAACACACACGCACACATTTACATCATGTAGTCAAGTTCTACATGATGTCAAGTCAAGTTCTTGGAATTTTGATTTAGATTTGCATTGATTTTACGAATCAATTTGGGAGAATGAACACATTTACAACATTGACTTCTAATCCATGAACATGGTATATCTCTCCACTTATTAGACCTTCTTTAATATCGCTTGTAGAAATTTATCGCTAGAGGTCTTATATATCTTTTAATAGATTTATTCTTTGATACTTGCTATTCTGTGATACTTTTAATTTCAATTTTCTACTCTTTATTGGTAGACTACAGGTGTATAGTTAATTTTTGAATGTTGATTTTTATATTCAGCAATCTTGCTAAACTCTTGTTAATCACATATTATTTGATATTTAAGTATAAATCGTAATGTATATGAAATAATGACAATTTTGTTTTCTCCTTTTCAATTCTTATACCTTTATTTATTTTCCTTTACTGTGTTGGCAAAGACCCCCATTCATAAAGAATAGATCTTCCTTGTGAGTTTTAATTCTGCTTTTATATTTTTAGTTTTCTTGCTATTTGGCCTTATTTAAAATATTTTTCTGCTTATCCTTTTCTTCAGCATGTTTTTTTTTTCTTTTTTTATGGCAAGTTGAAGCCATGACTCTTGGATTATACAAAGGATGAACAGTGTCTGGGTAAAATATTTTCCTAGCTAGCATATCAAGTTACTTTCAAGGTCACATTTCTCTGAGTGTTTTGGATGGTATACCTCCTTTAACGTTCTTTTGGTGGAATTTTTTGTTCTGCACAGACTGTACATTAGTGTTCATTCTTTATTTTTCAATGAGGCAAGATTCAGCCAGATTTTCTCCAGGAGGGACAGTCTAAGCCCTTTCTCAGATCTGTAAATGTTGACTAGCTCAAAATGCAGAACCTCCAATACAGTAGAGTTTCCAGTTTCTAGCAGCCTTTTGTCTTTTAAATATTTTCGTTCTGAGGTCTCAACTTCAGGCCTCCTTCCTACTTCCAGCCAGTAACCATTACTCCTGCTTCTCCTCAAAGATAACCACCATCAGATACAACTTTTGCCTGTTTTGAACTTAATATTCATCAGATCATACA
This sequence comes from Homo sapiens, assembly GCF_000001405.40. Classification (NCBI taxonomy): domain Eukaryota; kingdom Metazoa; phylum Chordata; class Mammalia; order Primates; family Hominidae; genus Homo; species Homo sapiens. Next base: position 123,872,438 of record NC_000010.11, on the reverse strand, counting down.
TTGTATGCTTTTTTGTGTCTGACTTCTTTTGCTCAATATGATGTTATGAGATTTGTCTATGTTGTTGTATATAGCATGGTTCATTTATTTTTATTGATTTATAGTATTCTAGTGCATGACTATACTGCAGGTTATTTATTCATTCTCTTGATGGGCATTTGGATTGTTTTCAGTTTTTTGCTATTATAAATGGTGCTGTTAAGACTATTCTTGAATAAGTCTTTTGGTGTATATATGAATTTTTTTTGCATGTATACCTATAAGAATTGCTGGATCACAGTGTATCACTAAGTACTGGTGGAGATTTTTCCAAATTGATTGTATCAGTTAACACTTCTACCAGCAGTGAATGAAAGTTCTAGTTGCTTCACATCCTTACCAGCATTTGATATTGTCAGCCTTTATTTTCTTCCTATTGGTGGGTATATGCTGATATCTCATTGTGGTCTTAATTTGTATTTTCCTGATGACTAGTGACTAATGCTTACTTACCATTAGGATAACCTCATTTGTGAATATGTGCTCAGTTCTTTTGCTTGTTGTTTTTCTTATTGATTTATAGGAGGGTTTTTGTTTGTTTGTTTGTTTTTCTTGAAAATACGATGAATATGAGTCCTGTATCAGATACATGCATAGTGAATATCCCACTTCTTGGCTCACTTTTTAACTCTAGTAGAAGTGTCTTTTGAATAATAAATGCTCTTAAATTTAATATAGACCAATCATCAATATTTTCTGTTGAGGTCAGTACTTGTTGCTTTGGACTAAGAATGTTTTTTGCCCACCCCAAGGTCATGAAGATATTTTCACGTTATCTTCTAGTGATAAAGTTACCTTTTACATGAACATATTTTCACTAAAGTAATTTGATTTAAATAAAAACATTAAGGAAATAATAGTGCAGGTGGTACATAGATGTGGAAAAATTTCTGAAGCTGATAATAGGCAAGTGCTTGAGGGTTGAGAAATGTTCTTTTGAACCAATAATTCCTTTTTTTTGAGCCTTATAAGCAACGTATAAAGAATGGTGTTAGTTTTCCATGATGATGCAGACATAGAGATTATCAGTTATACTGGATCATAATGCAGATTCATTCATTTGGGAACATTGGTTGGGCATTGGAAATTCGAGGATGAAAACTTGTCATTGCTGCTCTTGAGGCTCACAGCCTGTTCAGGGAGACAGACTAAACTACCATGGTAACAGTGTGGACTTTTCCTAGGAGGTTAGGCTAAAGGTAGGAGTGGGTAGGCTGGGAGGGTTGAGTGCAGGGGAGGAAGTCTTGGGAGGCTTTTCAGACAGAACAGCCCCTGAGCTGGACATTTAAGAAGGAGGTAGGTGGTCAGAACCTTTGAGGCTGAGGCTCCGGGCTGACTCCAGATATCAGCCACTGTAGCCAGCATGGGCTGGAACCCGATTCTTTGAGAGTGTCCTCTGTTGGATCCACTGGGGTCTGGGAAAGAAAATCTCTGAGCTTGTGTAGCCTCACAGGTAAAAGACCCCAGCCAGGTTTGCAGGGACTCTCTTCTGAGACTGGTTGTCTCAGAAGAATCACCTGGGAACTTCCGACCAGTGGTGGGTTCCTTTGCTAGCCTATTGATCAGTTTCTGGGAGAGGGGTTAGGGCACCTTTCCTTTAAGTTTCCTGGGAGATTGTGATGCTCAGTTGGGGTGAGAGCTGCTCTCTGGAGGAGCTCAGTGATGAGGGTCTGAAGGATCATCTCTCCTGTGGTGGGTGTTAAAGAGCTTTCCAAGGACGACTAGGTAAGGCTGAGATTGGCTCAGAGATTTCCCAAGACCCAGAGAGAGGCCCTGTCCCTCTGGGAAGCCAGTGGTATCTGAGAAAGGCAGAGAGCTACTGCAGACAGATTTTCAGTGTGCTGGGAAGCTGCCTTCACACTTCACTGATCAAAGGGAATGTCAAGTTCAGAAAGGCGAAGGCAAGAATTCCATTAAGTCGAAGCTACTCCATTTATAGGCGACAATGAAAGCAAAAGTTCAGGAGGGCTGTGAGTTTGTTCTTGGCAGCGCCCACCACGTCTTGAGGCGATCACAGTAGGCTACAGGGCCTCGGACTCTGAGCTCTGCTCTGCCAGCGGGGGATGCCTGTCTTGGCTCCAGCTCTTTTCCTGGTGTGACCCCAAACACCATCAAGCAACTTCATTTGTGTTATGCTCTCGAGTTTTCAAGTCAGACGGAGGTGGTGTAAAGATTATGCTTGAGATTTTATAACTCAAGACACCTAACGACTATTGAACTGTGTTCGGCATCCCTGAGTCTCAGCGATGATGAGCGACGATGCCCATCTGTTGGGGTCATTGTACAGATACAATGACAGGAGTCTCTAGCCAGTCTGGCTCGCAGTAGTTACCTGCAGGTTTTCCCTGTTGCTCCCCAAATCACTACACTTTTAAAATAATTTTCATGACACGACTCATAACGGCCCCCCACCCCCTGGACAGATTTGGGATACTGAAGGTGGGGTGTTGGGGTCAGTGCTAGATTCAGAATTCTTATTTATATGCTGTATTCTGACTGTGTCCTGGAATTTCTGGGCCACAAAGGCCTCCATGATCTTAAATGCAGTGGACATTTGCAGTTTGTTCAAGAGCTGCTGTGCATAAATGGTAATATATGGTGGTGATGATGATGATGATGATGAGGACTAATGAATCTGTGCCAGAGGGCAAATGCCTCTTTTTAAAGCATATGTAATGCAGAGACTGCTAGCAAGAGACAGAGCTAAGGCAGTACGTGCGTGGGGTGGGGTAGAATGAGGCAGAGGACGCCATGCTCGCCTCCCGAGGAATAGAGCATGGGGCTGGGAGATGGCGCCCTGCTCAGCGTGGTGTGTTCTCAGAGAGCTGCACTCTCTTTAAGAGAAAAGCAGATTCATCGTGGATGATTGTCACTCTCCTTTCCTCTAGATTGTGACACATCTCTGATTTCTAATTAATATTTTCCTGAAGTGTTTTCACACTTTTTTCTGTGTTCTCCTCACCCACATGCTTCTCAGGATTAGATCCTTTTTTCTTCCTAGAAGCAACAGAAACTTGATTTAATGAAAAAGGATGAATTTGTTTGTTTTAGGGGAGAAATGGGGAGCTCGTCTTGAGGCTGTTGGAACAAATTGGCTCAAGAGTCACTGAGCGATTAATTGTCGGAGCCCGCTTTCCTGCAGCCTGGCTGGGAACCCCCGCAGAACACTGCTGAGGGATGAAGAGCTGCCAATGAGTTTCCTACTTATTTCAAGCACTCTTTAAACCTAGTCATTATGTCATCAATTGACATTGTAATACAAATATGTTACAGTTCCAACAAAGATTTTTTTAAAATCTCTGATTACAGATATTTAAATTAAGCTTTGAAACCTTGCTTCTCCTCCGTTTTTCTTAGTCACCTATGCAACACTCCCGTCTTTCTTGGTAATGTTTTCTGAAGGATGGGGAAAAGTCCTAGTCCTTGGAAGTGGTATTGTGATTGACAGGTCCTTGGACCAGAACCAGATATTTCTTTGAGAATTTAAAGTCGATGGAGTTCTAACCTCTCATTCTAACTTTGCCATGCTTTTGGAGTTCTTTGGCTGGCAGAGTCCTCTGGGCTTATTTGCGGGAAGTGCCATGCAGTCCTCAGTGTCTGCTGCACCTGCCGGTCACGTGTCTGCTTGCCTTTGTGTCTATGTTTCTGGGCACGTGATTCTAGCTGTTCTTTCAGTAAAGGCCTATGGTTATGTTGGGAGTAGGGTACATTTTCCAAATACTCTTGTGTCTTAAAAAGCCCTTAGTTACCGTGACAATTACCGTGATTATTGACTATAACTTAGCTGGTAGTGGCTTCCAGATCCCAATTTCTTTTCCTTCAGCCCTTAGAATGCACAGGTTGCTGCTGCAAAATCTTGTGTACTCTGATGATCACTCTTGGTCATCTCCTGGCAGGTCCTAGACAAGCCCGGGACTGTGGCTGCGAGACAGTACTTGTCTCCTTTCTGCCGTCTCTGCCTTTCTTTTGAGATTTCTGGTTTTGAAGACATGGAGGTTTCCTGGACGCCGGTTCATTCATGCTGTGGATCTTGTCTGGCTGCTGATTGCCTCAGAGAAGCTGCCTAGGGGTTACGGTGTTAGCAGCAGTTCCCCATGGTGGCTGGGGTCCAAAGACCAGGGTGCAGCCCAGAGACTGAAGTGCTGACAATGATGTCACTTCAGGGACCAAGAGCAGCCTTGGGCGCTGGCCTAAGGGAGTGGGAGCTGCTGGTTTCTGGTGACTTGTTTGCACTGTGCTCCCTTCGGTCTTTGCCAGCCCAGGGTGGGGCTGACAGAGGTCTCATCCACTTTTCAAGGCCTCTGAAGGCCTAGGAACTGCAGATGTTTTCAAATGTTTTACCCTAGCCCCTGTGGCTCTGAGGCCTCCAGACCATTCTGCAGGTTTAAGATTCCCCAGACCTCCTCTCTCTTACGTGGCTCGCATGCTTTGCAAGTGGTTTCCTCATCCTGCATAATTTTCTCCCCACTGTAGTATTGTTCCCCTTAGCAGGAGAACCCAAGGGGGAGGAGCAGGTCACTTTATTCATTTTGGACATTGAGTAGACCTGTCAAAAATCTCTAGGATGGGCCGGGCGCAGTGGCTCATGCCTGTAATCCCAGCACTTTGGGAGGCCAAGGCGGGCAGATCACCTGAGGTCAGGAGTTTGAGACCAGCTTGGCCAGCATCGTGAAACTCTGTCTCTACTAAAAATACAAAAATTAGCCGGGCATGGTTGCAGGCGCCTATAATCCCAGCTACTTGGGAGGCTGAAGCAGGAGAATTGCTTGAACCTGGGAGGTGGAGGTTGCGGTGAGCAAAATCGCACCATTGCACTGCAGCCTGGGTGACAAGAGTGAAACTCCTTCTCAAAAAAAAAAAAAAAAAAAAAAAGAAAGAAATCTCTAGGATGACGCTCTGAAGGTAGAAAGAAAAGAAGAAAAATGAATCAGGTTGAAATATTCTGAAATTCTTCAGAGTGAAATATTAAGCATGAGTATTTCAATATTATGTATTTCGAATTAATTTAGATCTTTAAAGCAAAAGATAATTTTCCTGTCTTTTATTTTCTAGCCCCTTACTTTCTCATTCTTTAGCATAGGAAAATCCTGCCTTTTTCTAAATGTGGAGATTCCTGTGTCAGATGTTCAATATGTCTTTAAGATGGGCTTGGGAACTTTTCCTGGGATGCTTGATTCTGACATGGGATTTTTGCCTTGTTGATCTTTGCATAAAGGGATGTGGGATAGTGGGCTTGTGCTTAGACTACTTTATGCTTAAACTTCTTTTTAACTTAAAAAATGTTTTAAAATGGGATTTGGGGAAGGTGGGTAACTCCCAGCTGGCTCAGTGTGTAGTTTTATCTGAGCCTGCAGGATGCCTACTGCGGGGCATGGCGCCGTGTGTTAGGCTGGGTTGCAGTAGCATTTGTGAATTGCCCTGATGCTCATGGAAAATAGGGTGAAGTCAGAGTGAGGCAGACGTGGGATGGAAGGAAGGAGAGGAGGCTATCAAAGGGAAAAATAAAGAATGGAAGATTGATTAAATAAGAACTTTCCAAGTGAAGCTGACTTTACTGCTGTGTGCCTGACTGATACTGCAGCCTCTGCCACACAAAAGTGAGGGGACAGAGTGCCGAGGAAGAAGTGGTGACAAGCTTGAGGAGATTCTTTTGCAGCAGACATTGGAAGATGATTGGGTATTTGCTTCAGCTGCAGATTGCAGGCGGATTACTCCAGCTGCAGCGTTCACACCTGCCTGATGGGGGCCTCCAGGGTTCTGAGGCCTGCCTGCCACGTCAACAGGCCAGTCTCCAGACAAGCAAGTCGTCTGAGTTTAAACTTTTTTTTTTTTTTTGAGACAGTGTCTCACTGTGTAGCCCAGGCTGGAGTGCAGTGGCACGATCTCGGCTCACTGCAACCTCCGCCTCCCAGGTTTAAGCGATTCTCCTGCCTCGCCGTCCCGAGTAGCTGGGATTACAGCGTGTACCACCACACCTGGCTGATTTTTTGTATTTTTTAGTAGAGATGGGGTTTCACCATATCGGCCAGGCTGGTCTCGAAATCCTGACCTCAATTGATCCACCTGCCTCGGCCTCCCAAAGTGCTGGGATTACAGGCGTGAGCCACCGCACCCGGTCCTGAATTTAAACTTTGTGCGTGTGATTGGACGCTGAGTGGCATAGACGGTGCCTGTGACACCTCATAGCTGAAGTGTGGGCTCAGAAGGTGGATTGTTAAAGGGAAGGGGAGGGGCTCTCTTAGGGAATCAGTCTGAGGGTGATGAGCCCGTGCTGCAGCCAGGAAAGACTGCCCTGGGGAAGGTGGAAAGAAAAGTCCAAACAAGGAAGGAAGGTCTGGACCGAGAGGGAAGAGAAAGAGCAGAACATTGTGTGATGGAAACCAGGGCTGTGTGTGGTGTGGGGGTGGAGGAGTGGCTGAGAGGGAGAAATTGTGGGGCCCAGTACAGAAAAACGGAGAAGAGGCTGAGGAGTCCCAAAGGGCCACAAAGTGACCAGGGCCACTGTGAATGAATGGAGTCAGGAGCAAAAATCCCAGGAAAGGAAGGGAGAGAAGAAGCAGAGATGGAGGTGTTGCCCCTCCTGGGGTTGGCCAGGAGGAGGCAGTTGGAAGAACCCATAACTCAGAAGCTGGGCGAGCCTGCCTGAGCTGTGTTCACCCTCAGCTCTGGGCAGTAGCTGCAGGTGCCCGTCCCGTGCCCCATGTCGGTTGTGAATTTGGCGTCCCCTTGTTTTGCTAACAGCACCCTGATCCCAGTGGGCAGCCAGGGGACCAGGTGAGTCAGGCCCTCTCTGGAGGCATGCGTGAGGTTGAGTGGAAACTCAGAGGTGTGATAGGAGGTGGACAGTGTCATTGGAATCCACTGTTCTGCTTCCTAGATGACGGGAGCTCTGTGCCTTTCCACCTGCACGTGTCCTGTGTCCCGCCTCTGTCCTTCTCACTTTCTGCCATCCCTCTCATTTCTCTAGGGATTTCCCTTCCTGTCTAAGTTGGCTGTGGTAGGTTTCTTAAAACCAAAGGGCCCTCACTAACCCAGGCGGATCAGTAACTCTGTCTTTGCCTTTCAAGGACATTGTGTTTTCTCTGTGTGGAATCTCTAGCTTCTTTGTAAGTGGCACGGGCAATGGAGAAGGCTTCCAAACCAAAATTAATGGCTCTAAAAATAGCATCTTCTAATAAGGACAAAAAATCCCAGTGTCAGAGCATTGGGTTCCTGTAAGACTACGTTTGCGAGCAGGCCAAGTTCGTGTGTGTTTATCTGGGCTCCCCCACCAAAGTCATCATCTGTGCTGTGGGTGGAGGGGGTGAAGTTTCTGGCTTTGCCGTGACACCATCACAGGAGTGGACAAGAATGGCTGTTAGATGTGGCAGCTGCCAGCACTGCTGGCGGCGGGAAACTCAGCCCGTGAGAGGGCAGGCATTGCACTTTTCAGTTGCTATTAGACGTGCACCCATGAAACACCTCACTTGGGGGCACTTTCTTTTCACCCCTTATGTATCTTGGCAAGAGGATGTGACAGAGCTTCTGTCTGTCGACAGAAAAGCAATTTTGATGGATATGTAATTTTAGTCAGGTACTTCCTTTTTTGAATTAAAATACTCACGTGCATAGGAGTCGTGCTCTTTTTCTGGAAGAAATGTTTTGAATAGCAATTATTGTTGCTTTATTGAGCTGGTACATGATCTATATATGTCTGCCTGTCCATCTGGTGGGCTATCTGTCCATCTGTCCGTCTCTCACTTAGAGTGTATAAATGATATAAATAAAGGTGGCTTTGCTGAAGGAAGTCCATGGAATTTACCTCCTGCTGTGTCTTCTGCTACCAAGGAAGAAGCTGGTGGTTGGAAGGCCTTCAACACGGCAGTGAAATAGGTTCATAAGATGGCAGCAGATCCTTTTGGTGTTTCTGATGCTTGGTTATGTGGGACTGTTGTGGGTATGTATTGAGTACCAGGACATGGAGGGACAGGACCTGTGCCTGGTTCCCCATCAGGGTCTGAAACCCCCCAGGTCCCTTGAACCCTGAAACCACAGCTGGCAGAGTGAAGATAAATAGAGGCTATTCCCAGGCCACCAGGAATCGCCTGACAGAACCTGCTGCCTAGCCAGCTTGGTGTCACAGTCAGTGGGTGGGGTCTCTCTCTCAGTGGGTGGGGTCTCTCGGTGGGCGGGATCTCTCAGGACAGACCGGTTATTCCTGAGAATGCTGACTGTGTCTAAGGCAGGATAGGCTGAGACCAGGTGATGGGGAGAAGAGCAAGGAGTGAGCAGGAGACGAGGATGAGAATGGGGCACAGCAGGGCAGCAACCCCAGCTTAGGGAGCCCAAGAGCTTCAGCCAGAGCCCAGGCTCCTGGGGCCAGGCTGCAGGATGTCCTGGAGTCAAGCCTCTCCAAAGGGACAGGCAGCCTAATGGGTCAGTGGCCTTGACTCTCAGAGCTTGCCCTGGATTCTGACAAGGCCCTCTGGTGGATACCAGTGACCGCTGGGGACTGTGAGCTCCAAGAGGCGAATGGCATCCGACAGCAGGGGCCCATTGTCCTGAGGTGAGAGTGAAGGGCACGGGCCCAGGCTCCCAGCTGTCTCAGAGAGTGACGGGGTGTGGGATTATAACCTGGGCTCAGGGGCCAAGCTGCGGAGGTGCCAGACCACGAGAGTGGCAGGGTGGGGCTTCTGGGACAGCATGAGAAGGTTCTATGAGGAGGCAGGGCTGTTGGAGGCCCAGCAGTGAGGATTTCTGAGTATGTCGTGTGAGGATTAACCCTGCTGGTCAGCCACTTGAGGTCCATTTCTGGTAGGCAGGATGGAGAGTGAACATGTGGGACCCAGGAACTGCCACCACATGGGTCAGATTCATGTCCTTCAGGCCTGGAAGGTGTGAGGGCAAACCCTGGGGAAGGAAGGGGGCATGGTAGCCAAGTTTTTCTCTGTGAGGTCAGCCTCGGGTGGTTGGCATGCCTGCTGCACAAACCCCCTCAATGCGGGGACCCCCGGTTCATCATGTGGCCCCCTCTCGCTGCATGGCCTTTCACACTCACTGTGTGCACCCCTCCGCCTTCACTAAATGCTCCACCACTCACTGTGGTGGGCGTGGGGGCAAACAGCAGCCCAGAGGTCAGGAGACCCCTTCTGGATGCTGCTTTAAGCATTGTCATTCTTACGGACAATGGGCTAGGCTGGGACGATCAAGCACTGGTGTTTTATTCCAGGGGCAAATGGTGTTTACTAGCTGTGCTCCATGTTATCCATTTTGCAGAGACTGGAAAACAATAGGTTTTTTTTCTGCTTATATTCCTCTGCTCATTAGCATGCACAATATAAAGGCCAGAGTTGCTGAAGCAAAATCCGCAAGTTCTGATTAATTTGCAGAGCTCCAATGATGCTTCCTGACTGAGTCATGTTGGGGAAGGATCCTTAATTGGGAACAGCCTCAGACAGTAGCATGGACAGCAAAAGAGAAGGAATATCAGAGCAAAAACACCCCTAAAGCAAATGCCAACAAGAAAGAACATTGGCTTAATGTTGACAGTTCAATCAACCGTGTCTGGAAAGACCAGGCATGCCTGTGGGTGGGAGTTCAGGGGAAAATGGAAAAGCACGCGGCCAGATTTAGAAAATAAGAAACTCATCCCTTTCAGCATCTGTCGTTGTTTTTAACAAGCATTTGTCCTTTCCAGGTTGCCCACCTCTTGGTCTGGAAACCTTAAAAATCACAGACTTCCAGCTCCATGCCTCCACGGTGAAGCGCTATGGCCTGGGGGCACATCGAGGGAGACTCAACATCCAGGTACCTGGCCCTGTGGTTGGAAGGATTTTGACTGCCTTGTTTATTGCTCTGGTTCCTTGAGCTTGGATCAGGCAATGCGCAGGATTTAAAATGCATTAGCCTGGATGCTCACAGTAAGAAAGGATATTGCTGAATGATCCTAATTTTACAGAGAGAGCTCTGAGACTCAGGGAGGCAATGTCTTCTCCAAAGACTGTCGTGAGTAAAAGTGAGACCACCAGTACCTGGACCCAGGTTGTTCCTCTTCCACCTTTTGAACACTTCTCTTCCATATGCTGTTGGTCCAGAAAGGACAGGAGGAGAAGGTGGAATGCCTGGGGCATGGCGGGGCAGAGCCGTGGCACACGAGGCAGTGGCATTTGTCTTCCCTTGCCTCCCTGCCAGTGCTTCTTGTCTCTGCCACACACACACCTTCCAGGCTTTCCTGTGGCTCCCTCCATTGTGTTCCCCCGGGTCAAGCCCTGCATGGCTCCTGGGACCATGCACATCCTGGCTGGTCTCCCTCCTGGAGGCTCAAGGGCCTTTCTGACCTTGGGCCTCAAGACTGTCAGGCCTCCCTCTCTGTCAGTCCCATCAGTCCGAGGTCTTGCTCCAGGAAGGTGAGCTCCTGCCTGCACACTCTACACGCCGTGCAATTCTTGACTCCAGGCCCTTTCTGTAGCAGGTTCCCCTGCCTGAAACTTCTACTGCCCAACCATGCTCCACTCACATGAATCCCATCTGATCCATGTATGAGTTTCCTATTGCTGCTGTGACAAACGTAGCCTCTTCCCACAAATGTATTCTCTTACAGTTCTGGAGGACAGACGTCTCCTTGGGCTAAATCAAGGTATGCAGGGCGATGCTCTTTCTGGAGACTGTAGGGAGAATCAATTTTCTTCCCCTTTTCAGTCTTGAGAAGCTGCCCCATTCCTTGCTAGTGGCTCTTTCCTTCTTCAGAGCCAGCAAAGGCAGATGGAGTCTTCATGTGACTGCCTGTCTGGTTCTCTGTTCTGATTTCTTGTTCCCCTTTTGAGGATCCTTGAGATTACACCGGGCCCACCTGGATAGCCTGGGATCATCTCCCTTCCTCAAGCAACCTTCATTCCATCTGTGACCCTCATTCCTCTCTGCTGTGTAATCTAATATATGCACAGGTTCTGCGGATTAGAGCGTGGACATCTTTGGGTAGGAGTTATTCTGCCGCCCCATCCCCAGGGCATTTTGTTCCTGCCCCACCTCCTGCTGATCTGTTCTTTCTCAACTTAGCACTTGATCTCTACCGTCCTGTGTGGCTCTCTAATGGCACCATATTCTAGTTTTCTTTCTATAGCTCTTCTGTATTGGGAGTAGTTTCCAAGCCCCTTTGCACGTGCACCATCTCTGGCCTAGGGAGGGAGGAGGTTCCTTGCCCCTGGCCCTGAGAGCCATCAAGGGTGCACTCAAAGCTAATGGCTTCCAAGTGGCAGAGTGGACCCCTGACTCCCCCAGCGGTCTGTGTAAATGTGCTAGGGGCAGCTGCTGTGCTGGGAACTGTGTACAAACAGATAAGGTTCCTTCCCAGGGAGCTCATGGGATTGGGGGCATCTGAGCCAAGCTCTGACTCCAAGCTTTGCTCTTTCTCCACCCCACCCCTCAGACTGCACCGCATCAAACAGACTTTCGAACTGCTTAACCTCCGCCACTTTTCAGTTCAGACGAATTCAGGTAGAACATTTGTAGAACTAACTTTAAGGAGATCCGAAGGTTGGTTTATAAATACTCGTATAAAAAAAGAATAATAACTAATAAGAAATATTTGGATGTGCACAACTGTCAACTGCAAACAATCTCTTATGTTTTATGAGGGATGAACACATGAGCCCGCAAAGCTTGAGCTGGAGCTATGTTCGTGTCCCCACAGTGCCTCCAGTACCCTAGACGGGGCTCCAGGCCTCTGAGGAAATGACAGTCAGATCCAAGCAGGGCGTGTGCAGCCTGTTTTGTGCATTAATTAGGGGAGCTGTCGTCTGATGCTTTGCATGATTTCTCTATAATTGAAATTATCCTTTGAAAAAGAGAAAGTGTTCACATTTATTTGTGCTTTCGGTCAAAAATTAAAAGGTCCTGTTAATCCTAAATGTGTTGGGGTTGAATGGGAAGGTCGGGGGAGCGTGGTGTTTTTGTCCCTCCAGTTGGGAATTCCACCGGCAGAGTGCCACGCAGGGTGTGCCAATGAGATGTTGTAGACAGGCATGCTGAGTGCAGACCTTGGCCTTGATGTTTCTAGATTGGGGGACTTTGGAACAAATGATCTCATGTCTCTGAGGCTCAGTTGCCTCATCAGAAAGATGAGAGTCCTAATCACTCACAGAGTTCCTTGAGTGGTGACCTTAGGTGACTTCTGATTTTAAAACATTCCCTGGATCATCTCCTTCCTCTGTTGAAAGGCTCTGGTGGCTTCTAGTTACTGTATGAGGAAAGTCCCAGGTTGGTCTTGGGTGACTGGGTCTCTCTCTGAACCTTCATTTACTTATTTCCTTGGGTTGTATCTGCCCCTTCCTTGTGAGTAAGCCCCATGTTAGATGTGGCCTTGTTTCTCCTGCTTGCCCAGCCCCTGGTGTGCAGAATAGCACCTGCAACATGGGAGGTGCACTGAGGATATGGACGGAGACCTGGCTGAGGTGCAGATGGTGTTTATTCACTGACCTACCTTTCCTGGGCTGCACAGGAGCCTCACCGTAGATGGGGCGTCCAGCAGGGAGCAGCCGGCGAGGCTGTCCTCACTTCGTCTTCCTGGCTTCAGGTAGTCTTTCACCCGTGAGAGGCCCACCCCAGGCAGAATGCCAAGCTCCCCTCAGTGAATGCATTGGCTGAGCGCACTCTCCTGCCTGTGGTCAGGGTGAAAAGGAGGCCGTGCATGGGGATCACATCAGTGCTATTTGTCTTCGTGGGTTTTTCTTTCTTCAGGGGCATCTTATTTACCCTGATGCTTTCTCACAGGAAAGTCTCCGTACCTGCTCTTAGACTGTGAAGTTGCTGCTTTAATAGCCAAATCTGGGCCCGCCATCCCCAGCCTCTGGCTCTGACCCTACTCGGGTACCTGGTGTCAACCCCAGACAGGACAGTGTCGTTTGCAATGTGTGTCTGTGGGCTTCGACATACAGCCCCAGTCCCCCACGGGGAGCACACTAGGCTAAATCGAGGTGTCAGCAGGGCTGTGCTCCTGTGCCACAGGGAAATGGGGACGAGGTCAGCCCACTTTTGTGGTTTGTGTCTTCCAGAGCCAGTGCCACATGCAGTGTGATTCCACTGTCACAGGTGCATAATTAAAGTCAGTGTGTGCCAAAAATACATCTCCCCACACAGAACGGTTTGAAATGCAGTTTAAAAATAACCACATCTTGTCTCACATACGAGTATTTTGTAGGCGTGTTGAGCTAATGGGATTTTGTGATCGAGAAACCCCAAGATGTCAGAATTAGAAACTGTGTTTAATACCCTAGTGCAGGCTGTGAGCTGGTTTAGCCTAGCGCTGTGCCGGCCTAGGACTCTATAGGCGCAGATGTGGCTGTGGTCCAGGCTGGAAGGTATGGGGCTCACAGGCTGGGATGCTGGTGCTGGTCGCTCTGCTGACCAGCCATGTGGCCTCGGGTGAGATGCCCTCATTCTCCAAGGCTCAGTGTCGTCATCAGGAAGGTGCAGGTCCCACCGCTGGCTCTTCCTCCGTCATGGAATTGTGAGTGTCAAAAGGAGTAAAGAAAAAGAATTGCCTTTGGCAGTTCTCAAATGCATATTCTTACCTATTAGCATTCATTCTTGCAGCAGACCATTGTGAGGTGCCTGCTATGTGACAGGCATGGAAAGGGCCATGACAAAAAGCCCTAGGGATTCTCTGCCTTCAAGATGCTTCAGTCTTTAGCAGAGGGAGAGTGGGAATCAGCTCCAAGCATTATTGGCACAGTGCTAAGTGCCTTATGCACGTGATTTCATTTATTCCTCCAACATGGAAGACAGTACTGTTATTATTACCTCTGCCTTATAGAAAAACAGACACAGGGAGCATGGGATGACTCAGCTCACATTTCCCAGGAGGGGCAGATTAAGAATCCAGGCAGCTTTAAACCTTGAGTTGTTGCTCCTAATGATGCCATAAAATTGCCTCCCAAGTCAACAGATAGAAGTGGTATAGGTCCAACAGCTGGACTAGTGATCAAACCGTGTACATCTCTCTTTTCTGACAGTTATCTCACATTGATTTATTCATCTGCACCCTCGCCAAATGCTGAGCCGCTTGCAGAAAATGTGTCTCTTGCATTTCTGGGTATTCCCCACCCTGTGTGAGCGCGGTGTCTGCACATATGGATGCGCTGAATCAACAAAGCTTCTGTGTAGTGGCTGCAGTGCTTAAGGGAGCTTAAGCAGGAGAAGCCTAGGAGGCGGCCGGGCAGGCTGGTCTGCTGTCACATGTGTTTTTCTAGTGCATATTTGCCCTGTGTGGTTGGCAGATACAGGGATGATGTCATTATGACACAGAAGCAGCATTGGTTCATGTGTGACTTTTGCTAGTCTGTGAATGGTCTGTGGGGCCGAGCACCAGCACCTGGCCACAGAGTGCACTGTCACGGGTGAATATGGAGTCTATCAGTGGTCTGTGGGACCAAGTATCAGCACCTGGCCACAGAGTGCACTGTCACGGGTGAGTGTAAAGTCTATGAATGGGCTGTGGGACCAAGTATCAGCACCTGACCACAGAGTGCGCTGTCACGGGTGAGTGTGGAGTCTATGAATAGTCTGTGGGACCCAGCACCAGCACCTGACCACAGAGTGCACTGTCAGGGGCGAGCGTGGAAGCTGCGGAGTCCCGTGCGTGGTGCCCTGTGCCTCCTGTTCCTCGGCGTCAGTGGGGCCTGTGCTGGTGCATTGCTCAGGTTCTTCTCCGTTTTGCCCTAGCCTTCAACTCAGCAGCTCCACGCCGCCTTCCATCTCCACGCCGCCTTCCATCTCCACGCCGCCTTCCATCTCCACGCCGCCTTCCATCTCCACGCCGCCTTCCATCTCCACGCCGCCTTCCATCTCCACGCCGCCTTCCATCTCCACGCCGCCTTCCATCGCTGGCATCACCTGCCTCCCTGCTTGTTTCCTTTTCAGATCAAATCCTATAATTACAGCTGTATTTAAACACTGTTTTGAGCAACTCAACGTGTCTCCTTAATTGTGCTAATGTGTTTTTAAAATTAATTTTTTTCAGTCTTCTGCTTCTAGACCTGTATAGATTTTGAATGGGCTGGCTGGTGAGCTGGGTTTTAGACTGGGAACTTTTACTGGAATACATTTGCCGTGTTACTACAGAAATACCTGTCTCCTTTTCCATCATTTTAAGCAGAAGACTTTGAAAGAGTCCTTATAACTCAATACTTCCTTTTTTTCAAGTAGAATTTTACTTTTGTTAACTTAATAATATAAGGTTAGAGAAAAAAACCAACATTTACATTTTATCACTACATTGGGACAAAATAGACTTTTCAGGAATTCAAGGAAGACATCCAGTTCAGCAGGAGAGCAAAAGTTCGGCCCCTCACCTATGATTATTCTTCCTGTGCGCCCAGGACCCCTTTATACTAACTCACTTGTGAGGCTGTGATCTCATTTAGAAACAGTCACTGGTTTCTTCCATTCTGGGAGCAACTACGGACAGATTGGAAATTAACATTCTGAGTCTCCAAGAGAACATATTGACAATGACCTCTAAAATCATGCTTAGGGCTAGGTGCGGTGGCTCATGCCTGTAACCCCAGCACTTTGGGAGGCCGAGGCGGGTGGATCACCTGAGGTCAGGAATTCAAGACCAGCCTGGCCAATGTGGCAAAATCCCGTCTCTACTAAACATACAAAAATTAGCCGGGCGTGGTGGCACACGCCTGTAATCCCAGCTACTTGGGAGGTTGAGGCAGGAGAATCACTTGAACCTGGGAGGCTGAGGTTGCAGTGAGCCATGATCATGCCACTGCACTCCAGCCTGGGCGAGAGGATGAGACTCTGTCTCAAAAAAAAACAAAAAAAAGCCAAACCAAACCAAAACAAAACATGCTTGGATCCTTTGCCTGTAGGTAGTCTTAGGAAGTGACCCTATGTTCAGGTGGGTCATCTAATGGCAGCTCATCACCTGCCCCACCCCAAAGAATCCTCCTTTGAGGACCCTAAGATATTTTCCCTGGGTCATAAACTAAGGAAGGGGGTTCGGGGACAGCAGCCCTGCTGAAGTGATTTATTGCACCACTGTTATTATTTTGGATATTTTCCTAGCTGGCAAGCCTCAAACAGATTGCAGTAGTAAGCACTGCCGTGTCAGAGGGCTGGCTTTCAACCTCATTCTCAAGAATTTAAATTACAGTAAGTCAGTCAGGGTCTGACGTGTGATCAGAAGAAATGAAACACCAAGTGTGTGGTTGGGACTCAGGATGTCACCACAATTCCTGCCTATAACTGGGGACCGACTTACATCCCTTATAAATGGGGATGTAGAAAAGTTGGTGCTTAGATCAGAGCTTGGAAGAAACAGCTGATGTTTTGAGGTCACAAGGAAAAACGTAGCACACTCCCTGCACAGCTCTGGGTGTCCTTGTGATAGCCTGGTCACGGTCGTTTGGCACTCTGTGGACCAGGTCTTGTCTCACCCATGTTAGAAATGACTGAGAGTTTGGTCCCCTAGAGAGAGAGGCTCACCTCTTGCAGCTCTTCCAGGAGGAAACGTCTGGCCATAATAATAGTGTCTGTCAGAGCCATTTCCCCAGCACTGCTGGAAGGAATCATGAGTCCTCTCCTCAGTCATTTCCTTAAAAAAATTATATGGAGCACCTCGATGCCAGTACTAGAATCTAGTTCCAGTGTTCTCATCCACTTTTTACCTAAAATGAGGTGGGATATTTGGAGGCGGCTGCTGCCTGTGGCTTCATTTGTACCCCCGCATGAAGACATGAATGCAGTTTTAGAACATTGAACCAACTGAGTTTTATCCTGTGTCACAGCTCATGTTCCAGGGCACGTCCTGTACGTGTCTCCCTGTACCTTTTGGCCCCAGTGCTCTTGGGGCCCCACTTTGACCAAAGGTGGAGGCCACCCACATTTCTCCTGGCAGGAAGTCTATGGAGAACCTTTGGCAGTACCATTTTCCCAGGTCTCACCTGTGCCCGACCCACACCTGCCTGTGGCTGGGCCCTGCACCCGTGTCTTTGACCCTAAGCCTATCTCTTCCTTCATGCCTTCCCGATTTTCTGTTTTGTTTGTTTTTGTTTTTCCTGGCTATGCAAAACCTTACTGTGTCTCACAAGTTCTTCTTGGGGGCCATATATGTGCTAAGTGCTGCAGAGGCAAAAATAATCACAGTAGACATAGTTTCCGAGTCAAGGAATGTCGTGTTTGTTCTGATAAAGGGATTTTGTTCTACATCTGGCTTCAAGCAAACAGTCTGGGAGACAGTGTTTGGATGCCAAAACACTGGAATTTTGGGTATTTGGATTTTTATGGGAATAACAGGACTGAATATTTTAAATTGTGACTCCCTTGGAGAAATCAAAATGAATATCTAGTATGATGGTAATATGCTGTTCTTATTTCTCAAGAAGCTTACAGTGTAGACATACAAGCCGGTAGAAGGACAATGTAACCAAAGTAAAAAGGGTCCAAAACCACCAAAGCCTCCTTGACCCATGAACCACAGATTATTAAGGAACCACAGGATTATCTGGTTCAGATATAGATTCTGTTCTGTTTGCTGTGTGCATTTTTCTTTAATATGTTATTAAATTTCATATGTTGTGTCCTTGAAGCACTAACACAGAATGACCTACACACCTGATTGCTGGGAGACGTGCACATCCAGAAGACGGTCATCCTACCTGTGTACAGTGAGGCAGGTGCCCTGGGGAACCATCCCCATGAGGTATCGCTGGAGAAGGCACAGTGCAGTTATGACTGCGGAGTAGACACACAGGCTCCGGGGGTTGTCTGTTGAACAAGCCGAGCCATCACTTGGGTGCTGGAGCTGGCAGGGAAGGAGCCCTGGGTTATCTACAGCCGGAAAACTGAGATTAGGGTCTCAGGTCTGTACTTAGTAGCTGTGGGGTTAGGGCAGGTCACTTAGCCCCTGACTTCAGTTTCCTTATCTCTAAAACAAATATATATAAAATATATATTATATATATTATATATAAAAGTATATTATATATATATTATATATTTTATATATAATATATATATAATATATATATTATATATATATTATATATATATATTTTTATATATATATATATATTTGTTCACTAGCTCTTGGGCCACCCCTGCCTCTCAGCTTGTGCTGCCTTATCTCCCTGACCACTGGCTTGAGTTTCCCCTAGGCTCTCCCACGCCCACATCCAGGAAGGGCCCAGAAAAGTCTGATCTGAGAGGCATCAGTAGTCACCCCCGGAGCCTGTGTGTGCGTTCAGCAGTCAGAGCTGCTTCTCCAGTGATGCCTCATGGGGATGGTTCCCCAGGGCACCTGCCCTGCTACACACAGGTCAGATGACCGTCTCCTGGAGGTGCATGGTTGGGAATCAGGTGTGTAGGTCATTCTGTGTTAGTGCTTCAAGGACACAATAAATGCTATATAAGCAGAAAAAGCCAGGGTGGGGAGAGGGAGGGGAGAAAAAAGGAGAGGAGGAGGGAAAGAAAGAATAACAGCAGATTCTTTCTTTCTTTCTTTCTTTTTTTGAGACTGAGCCTCGCTCTGTCGCCCAGGCTGGAGTGCAGTGGCACGATCTCTGCTCACTGCAACCTCCACCTCCCGGGTTCAAGTGATTCTTGCACCTCAGCCTCCTGAGTAGCTGGGATTACAGGCACGTGCCACCATGCCCAGCTAATTTTTGTATGTTTAGTAGAGACAGGGTTTCACCATGTTGGCCGGGCTGGTCTCGAACTCCTGACCTCAAGTGGTCTGCCCGCCTTGGCCTCCCAAAGTGTTGGGATTACAGGCATGAGCCGCCACACCTGGCCAGATTCTTTCTTTTATTTATTCATTTTATTATAACAACAACACAAAAACACAACACACCTCTGGAAACCTTTCATGTACTCAGCACTGTCATAAGAACTGAGGAAACAATGCTGAGCAAAAACAGAAGAGCCCTGAGCACTTAGCAAATATTTACTGGGGGCCTATGATGTGCTGGGTCGTGTTCTAGGTGCTGAGGATGCCTAAATGACCAAAACAAGGATTCTTGCCACCTTGAAGCTTGTGTTCTAGTGCGGGAGGCAAATCAAGGCAGATGTATTAGTCCATTCTCTCACTGCTATAAAGAAACGGCTGAGACTGGATAATTCATTAAGAAAAGAGGTTTCATTGGCTCACGGTTCTGTAGGCTGTACAGGAAACATTGTGGCTTCTGCTTCTGGGAGGCCTCAGGAAACTTACAGTCATGGCGGAAAGTGAAGGGGAGGCAGGCACTGCTTACATGCCCCTAGCAGGAGCAAAAGACTGGGGAGGTGCCACACACATTTAAACAACTAGATCTCATGAGAACTCACTCATTATCAAACACAGTTCTAAGGGGGAGATCCACCCCCATGATCTAATCACCTCCCACCAGGCCCCATCTCCAACACTGGGAATTACAATTTGACGTGAGATTTGGGCAGGGACACAGATCCAAACTACATCAGCAGGAAATGTAACAAATCATAGTGTTTACTATTATAGTATGTTAGAAGGTGGCACGTACTATGGAGAGAAGGGAAACAAAACCAGCGGACAGCTGGCAGTGGTAGTCATGGGGGCAGACTCTGGGAAGGTGGCAGCTGCTTTTCAAGAAGGGGATCAATGGGGAGCCAAGGGGGTATGAGAAGAGCATTCTGGGCAGAGGGGATGGCTTGAGCAAAGGTCAGGTATAGCATGCTCGGTATAGCCAAGGGGCAGCAGGAGGTTGGAGTGAGCATCAGGGGAGAAGACATGAGCCAGAGGTAATAGGAGGCCTGCAGGCCCCCTGGAAGGACTTCAGCTTTTAGCCGTGAGCCAATTAGGGGAGCCCTGGAAAGTTCTGGACACAGGAATGACATGCTGTGGCTTACATGTGAAACGGATCAACCTAGTCACTGTGTTGACTTTTGGGGAGCAAGCATTGAAGCAGAGGCCTGTCAAGGGCGGTGACTTCAGGCCCTAGACAGGAGATGGTACTGGCTTGAGCCAAGATAGGCGTGATGGAGGGGGGTTGGAAGTGGTTGGATTTAGGTTATTTTGAAAGTAGGATTTTCTGATGCAGGGCAGATGAGGTTTGGATGAAGGATGCAAGAGAATAGAAGGGAGTCGGGCATGCTTTTTAACCTGCAACTCTGATAATCTAGTAATCTAATGGGGAGATGAAATTACTGAAAAAAATCCCACCTGGGAATGCATAATTACAATGAGTCCTGGGAAGGAGAGGAGCAGGTGCATTCATTCCCTGGGACTGCCATGACAAAGTTGGGAGCCCAGATAGGGAAACTGAAGACAACAAACACTGATTCTCTCACAATTCTGGAGGCTTGAAATCTGAAATCAAGGTGTTAGCAGGGCATCGCTCCTTCCGAAGTCTCTAAGAAAGGGTCCCTCCTTGCCCTTTCCAGCGTCTGGTGGCCTCAGGCATTCTGTGGCATCCCTGGGCTGGTAGATGCATCACCCCAGTCTCTGCCTCCCTGGTACCTCAGGCTTCTTCCAGTGAGCCTCTACATCATCTGTCCTCTGCCTGTGTGTCTCTGTGTTCAGATATCCCCTTGTTTAAAGACACAGTCATGCTGGATATGCCCATCCTGCTCTAAGCTGACTGCATCTTAACTAAGTGCATCTGTCCCAGCCCCCTTTTTTTTTTTTTTTTTGAGATGATGTCTCGTTCTGTCACCCAGGCTGGAGTGTAGTGGCGTGATCTTGGCTCACTGCAACCTCCATCTCCCGGGTTCAAGCGATTCCCCTGCCTCAGCCTCCCGAGGAGCTGGGATTACAGGTGCGTGCCACCATGCCCGGCTAATTTTTTGTATTTTTAGTAGAGCTGGGGTTTCACTGTGTTAGCCAGAATGGTCTGGATCTCCTGATCTTGTGATCCGCCCGCCTTGGCCTCCCAAAGTGCTGGGATTACAGGCATGAGCCACCGTGCCTGGTCACCAGCCCTATTTCTAAATAAGGTCACATTCTGAGATTCCAAGAGTTAGGGCATGAGCCTATTTTGGAGAGGGGGAACACAATTCAATACTGTGGTTCTGTATGCCCAATATATCTGCCTCAGGCTGGAGCTTGGAGGACTTTCCTGAGGATGGAGTGAGTACTTGGGCTAATAAATGAAGAAGGATTATAAGTTGAGAGTTTATTGGACAAAGGGTAGGCAGAGGGAGAGAAGAGCATTCCAGGTCAAAGAGAAGAGTATGTGCAAAGGCCCTGTGGTGGTGGGGAACATGGTCTATTGGAAGGACTTAGGCAAAGCCAGTGTGACTGGAGCTACACTGTGGTTATGGAGCAATGTCATGGCCAATGGCCATGAGAAAAAGAGCTTTCCACCATTAGTCGTCAAGTAAATACAAATGAAAGCCGCAATGAGACAGGATGCACAGACACCAGAATGGCTTTGAAAAAAGGATAATATCAAGTGTGGACAAAGATGTAGGGCAATGGAAGCGTTCATAAAATGCTGGGAATGTAAAGTAGCACAGCCACTTGGAAACCTGTTTGGCAGTATAATAGTCTGTCTTTATCTGGGGGATATATTCGAAGACCCCGATGAATGCATGAAAGTGTGGATAGTACCAAATGCTCTTAGATGCTAAGCGTGGATTTCTTTTTCTTTCACCACAATTTCACAGGTAGAAAATTCATTCTTACCGTAGATCTTAGCAGCGTCAGCATACGATTTTCTTTCTTTTTAAAATTAAGTTGAGACCTTTCATCTTTTCACTTAAAGGAAGCATTTTACTTGTCTCCTGGGCATATCTGAATTACCAATATCAATACCCTTGCATTGTGGGGCCATTATTAAGTAAAAGATTACTTCAACACAAGCACCGCAATACCAGCTCTTTGATAACCAAGATGGCTGCTAAGTGACTACTGGGCGGCTAAAGTAGACAGTGTGGATCGCCAGACAAAGGGAGGATTCACATCAACGTTGGATGGTGAGAAACGGTGTGAGATTTTTGTCACCCTACCCAGAATGGCATGCAGTTTATAAATTGGTTATTTCTGGAATTTCCCATTTAATATTTTCAGACTGTGGTTGACTTCAGATAACTGAAACCATGGAAAGAGAAACCACAGATAACGGGGGACTATTGTATTTATTAAAGTTGAACATTCTCATGCACATTGACCTAACAGATTCACTCTCATTCCTAAATGGAAATGTGCTCACATGTGCACAAGAAGACATACATAGGTATGTTCATAGCAGCATTATTTATAACCCCCAAATGGAAATAGTCCAGATATATCATGTCATTTTTTATGTACTACAGTGAAATACTATATGACAGTTAAAAGGACTAAATTACTACTGCATGCAATTGTCTGGGTGAATCTCCCAGATATAATAAATATTGAGCAGAAGAAGCCAGACAAAAAGAGTAGTTACAGTAGGTTTCATTTATATAAAGTTTGAAAATAAGAAAACCAACCTGAGGAGATAGAAGTCAGAGTGGTGGTTATGTCTGCGGGAAGTTAATGTCTGGGAAGGGGCACAGGGAGCTTCTGACATGGTGCTCATGGTCTACATCTTGGTCTGGATGTGGTTATGTGGGTACATGCAGTTTGTCAAAATTGGTTGAGCTGCACACTTAGGATTTGCACACTTTTCTGTATCTATTATAAAATTAATGAAAACTTTACAAAGAAGCTGCTCAACTAAAGAAGAGAGGTATATTTGATTTAGCCTTTTAAAAGTGAATGTAAGGCCGGGCACGGTGGCTCACACCTGTAATCCCAGCACTTTGGGAGGTTGAAGCAGGCGGATCACCTGAGGTCAGGAGATCGAGACCAGCCTGACCAACATGGTAAACCTTGTCTGTACTAAAAATACAAAAATTAGCCAGATGTGGTGGCAGGTGCCTGTAATCCCAGCTAATGAATCCAGGAGGCAGAGGTTGCAGTGAGCTGAGATTGTGCCATTGCACTCCAGCCTGGGCAACAAGAGCGAAACTCCATCTCAAAAAAAAAAAAAAAAAAAAGAGTGAACGTTAAGAATATAATAAATGAAATTAGGTGATAAAGGGGATAAAGGGGAAGGAGGAGAGGCAGCAGGAAGTAGAAATAATGATTTCATCACTGCCTATAGTAGGGAGTTAATGGGTACTTTCTAAGAAAATACAGAATTAAGTATGTTACGTAAGACTTAGTTACTAAATCAACCACTAAAACAAAGGTACAGCTCATTAGCATTTTCAGAGGTATGCACTTAAAGCAAAAAACACAAAAAACACAAAACCGATCAATAGATAAAAATAAAACAAAGCCACAGGAAGCAATAAAAATAGAATATCTAAGAAACACGGATGATTCATTCAGACAAAGAACATCTGTCAATGGGCTAAATGGACCTAACTTACTATTAATAGAACAAAACTGAAATTGTACCATAAAGCAAATTTAATCACAGGTCACAGCAGGCACATACTAAACATAAAGGGAATCATACTTGTACCCCCAGTGGCTTCCATGTATTGACTGTCTTTTCTGTGCCAGGCACCATACAAAATACTTGTAACTGTGACAATGGTATTATCACATATTTTATTTCTATCCTCATTTTATAGATCAACTGACCTAACTGGGGGTATTTAAATAATGAGCTGTAGAATGAGGACTTGCACTTGACCTGCATGCATTTCTGAAGGCGATTCTGAGCTGTGCTGCCTTCTTGGAGTGCATAGGAGGATACACACAATCTTTATTGGGTCACTCATAAATGAATTAATAATTGCTTAAGAATTAAACTTGTTCCATAGATATACAATGTTAATGGCTAAAGCATTTCCCAGATTGGAGTTAAATTGAATTAGAATGTTGATGTGAAAACATTTGCCTGTTTCTTTTTCAGTTAGTATATTTCTTCATCTTTTCTTCTTTTAAATAGTTAATAAATGGTTTATGGTGTGTTGAATAGAATTTATTTTTAAATATTTTTAATTTTAAACCGTGGATGTTTACTAGTTTCCTTGGCCAATGCAAGGAAATAGTTAAGAAATTGGTTTTGGTTTTAAAAGTTGCTTCAAAAACAATGAATACAGTGTTTTTGTACAGCCTACTTTACCGATGATTAAGGTTGGAATTGGGACAAGGTGCATTGCCAATTTGCAGAAGGATCAGCAGATTGCACCTGGAAAGTTTTATGGGTTTATAGCAGTGGTTTATTACAGAGGTTTATTGAAGGCAGACATTCAGACCACATGATGGCCATTTTATGGCAGATTACTTACTTTACTAATCAAATGTCACAGCTAACGTTTTTTAGATAACCTCCCCCTGAAAAGGCATTAACTTGCTGATAATCTATAGTTTCAGCTATTGCTTCTAAATTTTTTTCTCAAAAATATTTTAAAATAACTATCACTTTATCCTGTTTCTCTCCAAATAGCCCTGGGATACGTCTGCAGAGAGGCAGCTGTAAGTCAATTATCCTGGAGTCACTAAATAGTTACATTCACTTGGATATGACTTTTTATTTGCTTCCAGATGTTTCTGTGTAGAGGCAGCCCATGATTATGAAATATGTACAGTGCAGATCAGTGACTCACTGCCGCAGAATGATTTTGATATTCACTGTTGTCTCTATCTCTCAGAAATCAAAGCCCTTTGCATAATACCTAGCACGTAGTCAATGCTCTGTAGATACCTGAAAAATGAAAGAATCAACAGTAGACATTGTATCAGTCACCCTCTATATCTATGTATCCCTTTCCTTTTACTTTTTAAAATTGCTTTTTAAAACTTGTTTTAATCAATTTTATAACAAACAAACACACTTCACATTCCACCCGGCCCCTGACTACCATCAAGCACTGTGGATGGCACAGCTACTGGAAACTCTTTTTAATTGTCTCTTTGGGAATTGAAATCTTCAATTCTTTTTCTTTTTTTTTTGAGACAGAGTCTCGCCCTGTTGCCCAGGCTAGAGTGCAGTGGTGCCATCTCGGCTCACTGCAACCTCCGCCTCTCAGGTTCAAGCAATTCTCCTGCCTCAGCCTCCTGAGTGGCTGAGATTACAGGCCTGTACCACCACACTCGGCAAATGTTCTATATTTTTGGTAGAGACAAGGTTTCACCGTGTTGGCCAGGCTAGTCTAGAACTCCTGACTTCAAGTGATCCACCCACCTTGGCCTCCCAAAGTGCTGGGATTACAGGCGTGAGCCACCGCACCTGGCCTGAAATCTTCACTTCTAAATAATATGCACATATTGATCTGTATCAATTTATAGATGTAGACTTGATGTTTTAGATCCCTATTCTGGAAGATGAGGCTATCACCCATTTTTATCACCCCTTTCCTCTCTTCCATCTTTCCAATAAAATTGTAGCTCAATTTTTGGGTAAATCTGTATCTAAGGTTTTCATTATTATGACTGAAAATTTTGCTTCCTACTTACTGAGCCAAGAAATACTTTAATTTTGAGTCAGGAAATATTTACTTCATATCATTTCTTAACAACCTTTTGTTTTCCTGGGCCTGCTTGTATTTTTAAGAACATATTCTCCCCACACCCTGCAATAGGTCTGGATCTGAAAAAACAAACAAACAAAAAAAACCTTCAATATCATTTTTTATGCAGCCACATCTGTTCAGTGGTTTTTAGTCCTGCTTTGTGTTTTACGTTTCTGTTAGATACTCTTTCAGAAGCCATTTCACCTGCTGCATTCTGAATGGGCTACTCTCTGGGTCTCCTACATGTCTACTGTCTTGGGTCTTCTTCACCATCATTCTGATAATTCTCTGCTATGTTGGAACCCTTGATTTCTGGGTCTGATATATTCCTCTCTGTAGTGTTCTGCCTCATTTTTTTGGAGTGCATCCTCTAGTACAGGGTCCCCAAGTCCCCCGTCCACAGACCAGTACCAATCTATGGCCGGTTAGGAACGGGGCTTTCACAGCAAGAAGTGAGTGGCAGGCCAGAGAGCAAAGCTTCACCTGTTTTTACAGCCACTCCCCATTGCTCAAATTACGGCCTGAACTCCACCTCCTGTAAGATCAGCAGTGGTATTAGATGCTCAAAGGAGCGCAAACCCTACTGTGAACTGTGCATATAGGGGATCTGGGTTGTGCGCTCCTTATGAGAATCTAATGCCTGATGATCTGTCACTGTCTCCCATCACCTCCAGATGAAAATGTCTAGTTGCAGGAAAACGAGCTCAGGCTACCATTGATTCTACGTTATGGTAAGTTGTGTAATTTTATTTCATTATATATTACAATTTAATAATAATAGAAATAAAGTGCACAATACATATAATATGCTTAAATTATCCCAAAACCATCCCCCACCCCCAGATGGTGGAAAAACCAGTCCCTGGTGCCAGAAAGTTTGGGGACTGCTGCTTCAGTAGCTTCATGGAAATGGTGTATGAAAAATAGATTTTTTGAGAGTCTGTGAATCTGAAAATGTCTTTATTTTGCCATCATGATTGATAGTTTGGCTGAGTGTAAAAATTCTAGGATGAAAAATCTTTCCCTTTTGAACTTTGAAAGCACCATCCCTCCATTCTTCTAGCTTCAGATGCTGCTATTGAGAATTCTGATGTCATTCTTATTCCTCTTTCTTTCTTTGTGTGTGTTCCTTTTACTGCTTGTTTCCTCTTTGGAAACTTTTAGAATCTTTTCTTTATTTCTGATGTTTTGAAGTTTCAAAATGATATTCCATGGTGTGTATATTAGTTTATTATGTGTACTAGATTCTTACATGTTTTGAAGACTTAACTGGGAAAGTACAGTTTTTATTTGGTCGTTTTTTTCCCCCTAAAATTCTTCTGGATTTCTTCCTCTGCTTTTCTTATTTTTCTCCTGTTGTCTATTTTTGTGTACTGTTTTCCTTTTGTGAGATTTCTTCAACTTTATCTTTTTAGCCTTTTTGTTTTAAAAATAGAAAGCCTTTCTATTTTAAAAGTTGCTGACATTTTAAAAATTTCAACTTTCACATTTTAATTTCCAAGAGCTCTTTATTGTTCAGTGCTTTTTCCTTTTTTAGAGTATTCTGTTCTTGTTTCATGAAATCAAGACCTTTCTAGAAATATTAATTATAGATTTTTAAAGCCTTTTTTCTGTTCTCTATTATAGTTTGCATTTTTTTTTTCTGTTTGTTATAAACCTGACTGCATGGTGTTCTATAGCTGGTTGGGGGAAGGAGCTGGAACATGTCACTCTTTAGTGTGCTGATGCCCCCAGAGGTTACTGTTTTCATCCATCACGGCACCCCTGCCTCCTCTGTGCCTAGTATCCCCAATCCAGGGTCTCTACAGTTTGCTTTCTTTTCAGAGAAAAATTTCAGGTCCTCTGTGGAGTGGGGGTGGAGATATGGGGGAATTAATTGTATTTTTTTTTTTTTTTTTTGAGACTGAGTCTTGCTCTGTCACCCAGGCTAGAGTGCAGTGGTGCAATCTTGGCTCACTGCAGCCTCTGCCCCCCGGTTCAAGTGATTCTCCTGCCTCAGCCTCCTGAGTAGCTAGGGTTACAGACGTGAGCCACTGTGCCCAGTCTAGTTGTTTTTTTAATACACATTTTGAAGCAATTGCCTGTTGAGTCCTGCCTTACCCTCACCTCCCAAAGGTATCTTGAAACCCAGGTTCTCAGCTTTTCTAAGGTTCTGTGTGGCTTGCTTCTTATTGTGCTGTTTTGACGTTTGCACTTCCTTCTCTTGCTGAGTCATTCAGGATTCCTCCATCTGATTCTGTCTTCATATATTGTAATTTAGGGCTTTCATATGTCTTTTGGTTTTATCAGAGATCAAAGTTGTATTTCTGTGTCTTGCTTTCTTTGCTTGGGGTTGACTTTTGAGAGAAGAACACAGAAAAACTAATGTGTTTATCCCATCATCTTGAAACAGAAAAATCCTCTTAGATTGACCTTAGACAGTATCAGGTTTTCTCTTTGTGTTGGATTTGATAATTCCCACATTTATCTTAAGCAAAATTGAGTCTGTTAGGGGCATTGGTGTGCTTTCTTTAAGGTAAAAAAAAATGCATATAATTTAATTTCCTTTATAAAATTACATTAATTCTCAGTTTTTTTTTGGTATTGTAGTAGATTCATTCTACGTTAGTGACGTTTTCAAGACTAGTGTACCCTTTAAAGAATCAAACCTTTTGGTTCACCAACTTTTAGTTGAAATTTCTCCAAAATTTATCAGCGATTTCCCTACATTATTAAAGAGAAAGAGATGAATGCATTCTTCTCGTGGTTTCTCGGAGGCATCATCTGAATATCATTTATTGCACGATGGTATAATTTTGTAACATCTCTGGGGCTGGTACCTCCTCTTTCACTGAATTCTCCCAGGCACTTGCTTTTTAAATTCATAATCGATTTTGCAGAGGTGGCTGTCACTTCCCAATGAGTCATCTTTGGGAAGAGCTCTCCATTCCCCTGACACTGTGCTACATTTAATTGACTGTCCAGTGTGCTCAGAAAGAACTGAGATTGGCAGCAGAAACAAAATATTCAGGCTGGCAAAACCAGGAGCCTTAAATTTAATTTCAAATCCTGTTCAGTAGTCTTTGATGGACAGTTCCTTCCAGTTTCCATGATTCTATAGGGTACATGTCTCAGGCTATGTGGCAGTTCTATTCTTCTCTGCTAAGCCTCAGATGTCTAACACTGTACTGTGGTTTTGTCCTGATAGAACGCTTATGTTAGCTGGTACAGTGATGGATAGAGTTTTGCTCAGCAGAACCTTTGGCCAAGTTGTTCACGCCTATAGCTGGACTCTTAGTTTCACATTTCCATTGCCAATTAAAAGTAAGGCTGTCCCCAGAATTTGAGTTGAAATGCTCAGAGATAGGGAAGATGGGCTGGCTGATCATTTTTATCATTCAGACTTTTTTTTTTTAATCTGATCATAAGAAATAGCTTTGCAGGAGAATGGTGTGAACCCGGGAGGCGGAGCTTGCAGTGAGCTGAGATGGCGCCACTGCACTCCAGCCTGGGCAACAGAGCGAGACTCCGTCTCAAAAAAAAAAAAAAAAAAATAGCTCTGTGAAATAGCCATGGAAAAATAGGGTTAATAAACGAGGATGCTTCACTTGGTTCAAATGTCCTTTTTGGGAGGCGAGGAGTCAGGGAATTATCTCTTCACATGGTGATAATATAGAGAAAATTCCAGAGCAAAAACTTTACCTATCTTGGAAATTCAGATCAAAAGAATTTTGGAGCAGGGCATGGTGGTGTGTGCTTGTAGTCCCAGCTATTCAGAGGGCCGAGGAGGGAGGGTCATTTAAACCCAGGAGTCTGAGGCCAGCCTGGGCAACATACCAAGACTCCATCTCTGAAAAAAAAAAAAAGAATTTTTGGTAGTAATAGCAGCTGATACTGAACACATCAAATGACTTAAACACTAACAAACAAATGTTCACTGGATAAACTTACCCTTCAACACCTACTTCAAGTATCCCCTGGTCTTGGGGCTTTCTGTCTATGATCAGCCCCACACTAAGTTAGTGATTCTGTCCTTAAATGCTCCCGCAGCGGTTTGCTCATATTCCTGAAATAGCACCGGCCCCACTGTGTTCTAATTCATCTATTTTCACATCTTTCTTCCTGCCTAGATGGCGAGGTTCTGGGAGGGAACGATTCACCTTTGCGTCCCCAGCACCTGGTGTGCGTGGGCTGCTGTGTGGGAGATGGTTTATGTGTGCTAGATGAATGAGTAGTAGGAGTACTCATTAAATTTCATCTTTCACACTGGGCAAAAAGAGGACATGGTATATTGAAATATTTTCAACTTGTGGATACTAAGCAACTCCCTTTTATGATTTAGGATGAGGAGTTCAGGGCACAATTATTTTTTTCTTTAACACCTTCCTCATTTTCTTCTCCTATCCTCCCTCCCTTCCTCTCAGCCTCAGGAAAAGATATGTCTTAATTTTCTTCAATTAAGAGTCTTTTTGAAGAACACCGCTTTCTTTCTTTCTAGGCGGGCATTAATGAAAATGATTTTTATGACGGAGCGTGGTGCGCGGGAAGAAATGACCTCCAGCAGTGGATTGAAGTGGATGCTCGGCGCCTGACCAGATTCACTGGTGTCATCACTCAAGGGAGGAACTCCCTCTGGCTGTGAGTGTACCTGGACATATGCTTTCTGGACCCTGTTTTGGGTCTAGCTTTTGAGGGTCTGGACAGACACAGGTCTGGAAGTTGCAGAGAGGTGTTTGGTGATGGGCAGTAGAAGAGGAGAAAATTGGAATATGAACAGGAGGCTGGGCTCGTTGTCGACACATTCTCCTGGGGGGGATGGTGCGTTTCAGAACGACACCCTCCCCCTGTACAGGAGTGGAGAGAAAGATCTGCCTGTCAGGTAGAGCAGAGTAGACACAGACTCAGTGAAATCCAGGCGGTTTAGGCAGCTCTGGGACGAGATATTAGTGTCTTGACTGGTGGCCAGGGCACAGCCCAAGGCAGGACCTCTGGACAAACAGTGAGTACACAGTTCTGGGGTAGAGGGCATGGATTGTCCAGATCCTGGAAAGAAGGACTGGAAATCTAGGTTCCTAAATGGAGGATCACGAGAGAAGTAGTGAAAGTCAAGGATGACAGAGCTTGAGGCCTGAGAATGAGAAGGGGTCTCATTTCTCAGAATTTCACTCAGGGCCAAGGCTGGGACAGTGACAAGTGTGATCTGATGGTAATCACAGGAGAGATGGGCTGCAGCCCCTGAAAACCCTCCGTCTTATGACATATGCATACAGTGAAACATATTATTCAGCCTTAAAGAGGAAGGCATGCTGCCACATGCTACACATGGGTACAGCTTGGGGACATTCTGCTGAGTGCAATACACCAGTCACAAAAGACAAACACTGCATGATTCCACTTCCATGATGACCTAGAGCAGTCAGATGTACAGAGGCAGAAATTAGAATGGTGTTGCCAGGGCTAGGAGGAAGGGGGAATTGGGAGTTAATGTTGAAGAGGTACAGAGGTTCAGTATAGCTTGATGAAAAGTTCTGGAGATAGATGGTTGCAAATCAATGTGAATGAACTTAATACCACAAAACTGTACAGTTCAAGATGGTTACAATGATAAATTTTATGTTATGTTTATTTTACAACAAGCAAGCAAAAATACATGAACAAAATCACCCTGTCGACCGCGGCGGCTCAGGGCTGGTTGTGGAGACGGAGGTAGAGCTGCATCCCTGAGGGATGTTGTGTGGCTCCAGCCATGTGGACGGTGGTCACGCAGAGCTTGGGGGCTTTGTGGAGGGGCGCAGTAGGGTCAGCAGGACCTCAGGTGCTTTCTGAACTTATACAAGAAATCTTCAAATTCTTCTAACATCTGCCGACATTGAGAAGCCAAGATCACAAATGCCCCACGCGTGAACATTAGGAAACTGTGATCTTTGTGAGCTCAGATCCCTCCCGTCTGCAGTCCTCCCCAACCCTCCCATCTATACTGCACTCTCAAAGCTCATGTCTTGGCATCTTTCAATATTTACTGATTACTTGTTGGCAATCAAATAAAATCAGAGTTTAATTTGCTGACTAGATTAATTTTAATTTCTGGAAGGTCGACATTAATAAATAAAGTGGGATAAGTGAGATGGACCTGGCATCTGTGCTTACATTTAACCACCTGTCATTGTCCCTGCAAAGGGGACTTTCTTATACAGTGACAATTGTCAGGCAGTGACTCATCATCTATTTTACTCTGAATTTTTTTTTTACTGTAAAGACAATATTATAACATCCAGCAAAATTTTAAAACATTATGCATGATTCCGTGGTCCTTATGCGAACAGATTTTTCCCCCCATATTGCAATAATGTTACATATCCGGTTATTTTATTTTTAACTTAAAGACATACCAGTAACATTTTTCATGCTGTTACTCAGGCTTTGTAATGATTATTTTTAATGGCCTGTAATTTACTCAGCCACACCTCCACCACTGTCCCAATTTTCTATTATCATATATCATATTGTGAGAAAACATTTTCATACTTTTTCTTCATTTGAATTCTTTTCTTTGAATACATTTTCAGAGCTCAAATAATTTGTGCATTTTGACAACAGTTGATTATGCATTTATGCCATTTTGTGTATCACATTTTATTTGCCTTGCTTTTCAGTCACTTTTGTGTATGTACATGCTGATTTTTGCTCTGTGGTATGCATTTTGCTTTTAGCAGTAGCTTATTACCACGACAATTGTTTTCCCTGTTGATATTCTGAAAGGCAAGAATTTAAGGGGGCAGTTGGGTTGCTCAAGAAAAAATGGAAACTTAAAACAAAAGACTGGTTTGAGATTATCCATGGGGATTTTTGCCTTAATGCTTGCATGTTAAGCTGTCTGGCCACTGTCCTTAGAGACCCAGTAGTCGGGTTATTATTGTATTAGAAAATAAGTGAAAGGTAGGTATAAAGCTCACATTCCATTTCAGCTAGAAACACAAGAAGGGTTGGGGTAAGCAAGGAATTGCAGTGGAACAGTATCTTTCCTCAGCTCAGACAGTATGGGAACATCTCAGAGGGAAGGCAAGGGATAGAATTACTTTAAGAGTTACTTTTAAAAAATGTATTTCAAGCCAAATTATTCTCCAGGAACAATGAAAAGAAACCTGATGAGTTTTGGTTTGTCTTATCTCTGGGAATAGTACTGTCTCCAACGAGGACTGAAGAGGAAATGGGATGAGGATACATCTTGGTATCTGAGCCTTTTTCTATCTCAGTATGTCCAGAAAACGTCAAAAATGAGTATCATTAAATACTAACAGTAAAGAAGGCAGTAGTCATCTCCCTTTCTCTCTTGCCATGACCTGTCCCCACACTGCTCCCAGTACAGATGGCTATGGTATCATTTTTTTATATTTCTGTTGTTTGGTTTTCATATTTCTTCCCACTAGTCTGTGATTCCCTTGATGGCAGATCCATGTCTTGGCACTCATTATTCCCGGGACCTTACCCAGGACCAGGCACCTATTAGATGCACGAGAAATAACTCTTTAATGAACGGGTATCAATATGAAGTAAAGAGTTGACAAAGACTCATTCACATGGAATGATAATGAGTTAATTGATCTATAATGATACATGAATGAGCATTTATTTATATTATACATGTAAGGGGGGAATGTGGAGGGGTTTGGGAAGAGAAGATTGAGAAGCCACAGGTGTCTGGAGCTGGATGGCTCAGGGCTTTAGGCCCTTGCTGGTTCTGAGATTTCTCTTCTGTGACCCTCAGTTTCCTGTTCTCTAAAAATGGGATAACTACTCTCGATCTCATAAAGACGTGGTGAGGGTAAAATGAAATTATGAGGTTTTAAATGACCCAGCACATAATAAGTGCAGAGTAAGTGGTGGCTCTTCCTGCCACACGTCTTTGGGTTTATCTGTAACTGTGGTTTTCAAGCTTTATTTTTAGGTATAGATTCTTCTCTCAAATAAAATCTTTCTTGGAAATATTTAGAAAATATAGACAGAGAAAGCTGCTTTGCATGAGTCTGAGGATTTGGGGACAGTCGCCTGCCTGGTCCTCCCCTCTTCTCCCTCACAGGAACACCCCTGGAGGACAAATTGGTAGAAGTATCTGTGTGTAAGAGCCCAGTAAACAGCTTGAGGGTGGTCTGCGCAGGTTACTATCCTGCACGCTTCCCTGGTGCCTGTTGCCGCTTCCCAGGTTCTGCAGGGTCGCAGGCAGAAGTGGAATTCACACCAAGACAAGCCATGGCAGAGTTGGAATTAGAGTTTGAGTTTTCTAGTTAAGCGTGCAGAGCGTACCCTAGTCTCACAGCGTGTTGCATTTTGGTTAGTGATGTTTTAGAAACGGAAAGGGAGGAACTTGCCAGCCCGGTAGATTTTTCCAAATGGATGTTGCTGTTCAGAGTGGTTTCTAGCTGGCTATCGAAATACAGAAACACTTGATTAGCAGTTGGAGTTATAATAAACACTTAAGAAATGTACTTTTCCTTTATAGGACATTTATAGTTGGATTTTATTTTATTTTACTTTTTAGATGGAGTCTCGCTCTGTCACCCAGGCTGGAGTGCAGAGGAGTGATATCGACTCACTGCAACCTCCACCTCCCAGGTTCAAGTGATACTCAGCTTCTTGAGTAGCTGGGATTACAGGCACCTATCACTGTGCCCAGCTAATTTTTGTATTTTTAGTCGACACAGGGTTTCACCATGTTGGCCAGGTGGTCTTGAACTCCTAACCTCAGGTAATCCTCCCGCCTCGGCCTCCCAAAGTGCTGGGATTGCAGGCATGAGCCATCGTGCCTTGCCCTGTAGTTGGAATTTTAAAATGAACATGCATAATCTTATTTGTTTCTGATGCTCTCTGGATGTCTACTAATTCATTCCTATGATGTTATCAAGCACTCTACAATAAGCACTAGGGATATAAAAGTGAGCAAGAAATGGCCCTGCCTGCAGGGAGCTTTCAGTCTAGTGGAAGAGTCCAATACCTTCATGGGTCTACTAGACTCAGCAAGGCGCATGCCATGGTAAATGGGCACAGGGGAGCTGCTGTGAGACCTGGGAGACAAATGGGAGAGATGAAGCAGCGAAATCACGAGGCTCAGCCACCGCAGTCCTGACACAAGCTCATAACCAAGTTGATGATAAGTTCTACAACCGCAGTTTTATTAGTTTTCCAAATAATTCATGCTATTTGAAAGTAATACGATAACTTATACAAATATAAATTATCCAATATCATTAAAAATATAAATTATTTAATATCATTAAAACAACCAGATTGTTTTAATGATATTGAATAATTTATACTTCTCACAATTATGAAATATCCTTCCCTACTGCATTATAATTTTGTGCAATGTTAGTATACTAATGAAAAGCAGTCTTTTATTTCCCTAATGACAGAAAGTATATTAGATATATGAGTGCTAACCATTATAACCAATGTGATGATTGAAAAGTTAATTATTCTGCTTGAGGTGAATAGATGCTTCTAATGATTTGGACTAAATACAGGCAGTTTGAAGTAACCAAATCTTTTCAATTTTAACTCTTTAATCGACAAAATGATTCTCTGTATATCTTGAAGTCAGTGCATTTGTCTTTTAAGTGGGGCAGCGATTTGATGAATGAGTTTGTGAGGTGAGGGCTGAGGAAGGTTAGCTGGTTGGCTGACTTTATAAGAAGGAGGTAGGCTAATGAGAGGAAGATGGATGGAACTTCTGCTGTGAGCCAGGCTCTGTGCCTGAGAGCACAAGGACGGGGAGGCTCAGCCCTGAGCCCTGAGACGCTCGCTTTCTGGTTGGCAATGGAAAGTCTTAGCAGGAGTTCCACGTTCAGCTTTTCTTTGGAGAATTCTGATGGTGAAGGAAAGGAGTGGGTAAGATGCCAACGTCAGAAGGAAGACCAGGACAAGAAAGGTGAATTTCTCTCTTTGCTTCTTGGGAATCTGGCTGTTTCTCCGCTGGGCGGAAGATCCAGGTGGAGGGAAAGTTAGTGGGGGGTGGCTGATGGGGCAGGTCCCTGAGGGGCTGACTCTGGGACAGGGGCTCACCTGGAAAGGAGGAGGGTCTCCTTTACCCTGAGACCTCACCTGGGGGGAAGATCCAGGTGAAGGGAAAATTGGTGGGGGGTGGCTAATGGGGCAGGTCCCTGAGGGGCTGAAACTGGGGCAGGGGCTCACCTGAAAAGGAGGAAGTTCTCCTATACCCTGATATAGTTAAGGTGGGGAGCAGTGCTCAGGGCTGTTCCAAGCCTTCACCCCAGAGGGTTTCACATTCTTGGTGAAGTAGGAGGTGGAGTCCTCTGCAGACAGGGGATGTGACAGGATTCGGGTCTGGAAACTCAGAGAGTGTAAGATCTGCATTGAGATAAGGGACAGAGAGCATCTTTCTCCAGTTGCAGAGAGGGCTCTGTGGGTGTTGGAGATGTGGAATTGTCACTGTTCTTTTGGGCACGCTTGGTGGTATGTTCACCAGGGGCAGTGGAGTTGGTGGCAGTTGCAGCTGGAGGAGATCAGGAACAAGGGCGTTGTGGCACTGGTGGCACAAACTGTGTCAGGAGTGAGGGACTGTGAGACTCAAGGCTGGTGGGGCAGGAATTCAAGCTAGAGGGCTGATTACCTGGAGGTGCAGGGCAGGTTCAGGAGCCGCTGTGGGAGATGAGGCTTCAGAAGTGATGGAGGATTGGCAGGGGAAGACAGTGGCCCTATTTGAGGACCCCACAGGGCAGTGGAGTTGATGACTGGGGTCAGGGTTCAAGGGGCTGAGATGGAGCCAAGGGGAGGTTCCAAAGGAGCAGATTTCTGGGAATCTTGAGGCTTGAGGACTGGCTACTCAGCACCATCCCCGTTGCGGGGATCTCCAGGGTACACTGGACCCTGCAAGGGTCGGGAGAGGAGATGAGGAGGCAGCTGAAGTGACAGTGGGGTCTAGCAGAAGCGGAAAGGAAGGTGAGAAGGGCAGAGGCAAATACAGAAGCAGCTGGAGGACCTTGGTCCAGGGCGTCGGGGAGCCCGAGCCTCCCCAAACACCTCCTTTGGCTGAGTTTCCCATTTTCACAGTAGGAAGCATTCAGCAAGTCCACCCTTTCTCTTCCACTGGATCCAGCTTTTTGCTCCCCTGAGGCATCGTCCCGGCCTCTGTGTCCCCTTGTTCCTCCCAAGGGACCTGGGCCCACATGGCAGCAGCCTGCCATAGTGCAGAGAGAAGGCGTGGGGCCAGGCCAGGAGCTCAGAAGCAGAATGCAAAGTGAGGCCAGCACTTTATAAATCATTCACCCATCTTCTCAGGAGAGAGGGTGTGTGTGTTTTCAGAATGTGTCATGCTGTGTCTCCTCGCTTAAGGGTGAAATGAAATGTTTGGCACCTATGTGGGGCTGGGGAGAGAGAAGTTTCCAAACTCCTTTCTAACCTCTTTGAAAACTGTCAGTTTCTGAACCATAGTGTTTAGCATGAAATAGAAGCGTTTTAATGAAAACATCTCTAAGTTCAAGTAGAATGCCAGGCATGCAGTCATTTCTGCATTTTATGTTAAGTTTCAGCAATGCAGGGATAGTTATTTGAAATTAAATAAAGCTTTCACAAGGGGCTCGTTCTTGGCTTTCTGGGTGTTGATGATGAAGGCATGAGCTCTCAGACGGGGAAATCTCTGAAATGGAAACAATTTTAGAGTTTTTTCTAGGTTGGAAGCTTCCACCCCGCTTTATTTGAGGGTCCTTGTTCCCCAGGTGTGACTCCCCAGGAAACCCCCCAGATGGTTGCTGGGCACACTCTGCCTTTGCTTCCCGCCTGTTTTTTCATGGGGAGGCCCCCTTGCTGTGGGCCTCCTTCCCTGATTAGCTCACTAACTCCCCCACCCCTTGACCCATGTCTTAGTCCATTGGTGTTGCTATAGAGGAATATCTGAGGCTGGATAATTTATAAAGAAAAGAGGTTTATTTGGTGCATGATTCAGCAGTTGTGCAAGAAGCATGGTGCCTGCATCTGCATCTGGTGAAAGCCTCAGGCTGCTCCCACTCAAGTCGGAAGGTGAAGGGGAGCTTGTGTGTGCAGAGATCACATGGGGAGAGGGGAGGCAAGAGAGAGGGGAAAGGTGCCAGGCTTCTTTTAACAACCAGCTGTCATGGAAGCTTGGGGAAACTAATAGAGCAAGAAGTCACTCAGCACCCCCTGCACCCCCACCAAGGAGGGCATTACTCTATTCACGAAGGATCTGTCCCTATGACCCAGACACCTCCCATTAAGCTGCACCTCCAACACGGGATCAGATTTCCACATGACATTAGGAGAGGTCAAACAGCCAGACTATAGCAACCCACAAGGGCCTATGGAGACTGGCTCCTACTGCCCATCTGATGTCATTCCCTTCGCTCATGGCACTCCAGCCCAGGAGCATCCTTTTTGTTCCACAAACACACCAGGCCTGCTGCTGCCCTGGAGCCTTTGCACTTTGCCATTTCCTCTGCCTGCAGGCACAACCCTCCTTGTGCTCAGAGGCCTTCTTTGCCCACCTTTTAAAACCCAGCCTCAGTTGCTTCATGTCCTCTCTTGGCTTTATTTGACCACCTATCTATTTGTTTGTACTTACCCTGACGTTGCTCCTGGGGAGCAGGCAGGGTTGTCTGCCCTTGAATCTCCAGTGCTAGATTAGAGCCCTGCACAGGGCAGGTCTCTGTGACCAGCCCCTCCTGACACTGTCTCCTCTGGAGACAAGCCAGAGTCCACCTAGCATAGCGGGGGCTCTTTAGTGCAGAAAGCACTGGGAGGAAACCTGCTCCTGGACGTCCTGTGGGGATGCAGCTCCGCTCCTTTGCTCTCTGTCCCCGATTACCAGGTCCTCACCGGTGTCAGAGTGAATAAGAGCTCAGATTCTGGAGTGAGACTGGGATTCCAGACCTACCGAGCTGCACATCCTTGAACCTATTTCTGAGCCTTTCGGGCCTCAGTTTCTTCATCTGTAAGATGGAGATGTAATAGCAGCTACCACATAGGGTTGTTGTGGGGATTAAATGAGTTAATTCACATCAAGCAGTTAAGATTGTCCTTGGCATGTAGCAAGTGCCCTGTAAGGGGTCTGCTGTTGCTGCTGTTTCCTTAGGTCTCCTTCCCTTTCGTAGAGGGTCCTATTCTCGTGCCAGCACTGCCCCTACCCCATTCCTCTATCTTATCTCCAGCTAAGCCGAAATGTGCTCGGACCACATCCTCGGTTCTCTGATGGCTCTCACTTGCTCTGTGTGGTCCTAGTGGCGTTAACTGGGAGGCAGTTGCCACCGGCCTTGAGTAGGTGGGTGGGCCAGTGGCCATCTTGCCCTTCCAAGCCTCAGTTTCCTGGACTGTGCGAAGAGGAGATGCCTCATTCTTTCAGCTTGCTGAGTGTTGCTGAGATGCCTGTGGAAAGCCATGAGTGCGGTCTGGACACATGGCAGAGACACAATAAGCTGAAGCTTCTCTCATTTACCGGGTGGCCTCATCTTACCTCTGAGCACCTCCAAGCCCTATTTATCCCTAGCTGGGACCTCCAGCACCCCCAGTGCCTCCAGAGGGCACCCAGGAAAGGCCTGGCAACTGAATTATGTTGCAGCTAAGAAGTAGCATCTGACATTTTATGAAAACATTCCTGTGACACATCTGTATTTTGTTGGCATAAATTTGGCCGGCAGGAACTTTTTAAAAATAAAAGCACATGGGTTCCCTACACCAGGGCGGCTGGGCACTTTGCCTGTGTTACCTCCTATGCTGTTCATTGTAACCCTGCCCACATGGGTTCCTTTCTTCTCTCATTGTATGCATAAGAAAACAGGTTTAGAAAGCCCAAGTAACGTGGCTTAACCTTCTGTCTTAGTCTGTTCATGATGCTATAACAAAAATACCTTAGACTGGGAAACTTATACGTAATTGAAGTTTGTTTCTCACCGTTTAGGAAGTCCAAGATCGAAGTGCTGGCAGGTTCCATGTCTTTTGAGGGCTCCTCTTTGTTTCCCAGATGGCGCCTTGTTGCTGCATCCTCCAGAGGGGATGAACTCTGTGTCCTCCTCCCATGGCGGAAAGGATGGAAAAGCAAAAGACGCTCAGGTGCTCGCTTCACCCTCTTTTGTAAGAGCGCTAATCCATTCATGAGGGCTCTGCTCTACCCCCAAAGACCCACTTCTTTTTTTTTTTAGACAGAGTTTTGCTCTTGTTGCCCAGGCTAGAGTGCAATGGCACGATCTCGGCTCACTGCAACCTCTGCCTCCTGGGTTCAAGCAATTCTCCTGTCTCAGCTTCCTGACTAGCTGGTATTATAGGCGTGTACCACCATGCTCAGCTAATTTTTTTATTTTTAGTAGGGACGGGGTTTCGCCATGTTGGTCAGACTGGTCTTGAACTCCTGACCTCAGGTGATCCACCCACCTCGGCCTCCCAAAGTGCTAGGGTTACAGGTGTGAGCCACTGTGCCCAGCCTACCCCCACCTCTTAATACCATCTCATTAGAGATTTGGTTCCAACATATGAATTTTGGAGGGACACACACTCAACCACAGCACCTACTTTGCCTCATAGTAAAATCCTGTCCTTTCTGCCCCCTCCTCCCTGTCCAGTGCACATCCCTCCCCACAACACTATTGCTCAAGGCTTTCTCCTGTGTTGTGAGGCCTGTGCAAGTGTAGACACCTCCACAGGCCTGGTCTTGTATGTGCTTCATCTGAGTGCTTCTGAGTTGGGGCTGGGGCCATTGCATGGCTCCCCCAGGGCTGACTTACCGTTCAGATGCAGGAGATGCAGTTCCTGGGGCCTCATGACCTTTAGGGGCCCATGAAAGCATTTAATTTCTTTTAAAATCAAAAGAAAACCCCCAAACTTGTAGGTTGAAGAAAACATTCTAATATGTAATGTTAATATATTCATCTTTATACCACCATAGTCATAAAATATATTTAAAACTTTTCTTTTTGGAGGAAGGGGCCCATGGTTGGCAAAATAATCACACCACTGCCCTGCACCAGTCTGTTCCCCACCCCACCCCCGCCCCCACAACCCCCACCCCCTGGCACGCCCCCCACCCCCGGCCTCCACCCACAGGATGTCATTATCTTAATGCTTGGAACCTGTGAATATGGTTGGTTACATGGCAAAGAATTAAGTTTGCAGATGAAATTAAGGCTGCTAATTGCTTGACTTTAGGGTAGAAAAGATTTTTCTGGATGATCTGGGTAGGCCCAATGTAATCACTAGGGTTCTTAAATATGGAAGAAGAGACAGGAGGAAATAACAGAGATATGGCAACTTGAGAAGGGCTTGGCTATGGTTGGCTTTGAAGATGGAGGAGGAGACCTACAACAAGGCAGGGGTGGCCTGCAGACATTGGAAAAGGCAAGAACAGGGACTCTCTTCAGGGCCCACAGGAGGAATGCAGCCCTGATTTTAGGACTTCTGACCGCCAGAACCATAAGAGAATAAATGTCTGTGGTTTAAACCACTAAGTTTGTGTCAGCAATAGTAAATTAATGGTGCCCACAAAAGGCAAAGTGCCGAGGGCACATGAAAGTCCTCAAATGACTTGACCAGCCTCCTCTATGCCTGGCTGTCCGATACTGGGTCATGGGTCCTGGAGCTCCCAGCTGTAGGCAGTGCCTGCTCAACACTGGACAGAGGCAGGGCTGACCCACTTCTCTCTCTTCTTTAGGATTCTTATGAGTTCTTTCCTGGGTTTCTCTCTTCCCAGTCCCTCAAGCAACTATTCCAGATTTTGGGGGCTTTCAGTACCTTGGTACTTTTAGTTCTCTGCACTGGGGCTGTTTAGGAACTGCTTCACCCTGTACCCAAATTTATTGTGACTTGGCCCCCAAAGTGGCATTTCGCCAGCTTTCTGCCTGATAGATATTTTTGCTGGAGGTAATGGAGAATAGATAATATTTCTAAGTTTACAGCATTTCCTCCTGTGGTCTGAATTCTCAAAAAGCCATGGTAACCAGTCCACAG
Source organism: Homo sapiens (assembly GCF_000001405.40). NCBI lineage: Eukaryota > Metazoa > Chordata > Mammalia > Primates > Hominidae > Homo > Homo sapiens. The sequence continues at coordinate 123,831,026 of NC_000010.11, read as the reverse complement.
TGAAAAATCCAATAAATCAACAGTTCACACAGTGTCCCACATTTGGCTGTACTGAGAACATGGCAGAGCCATTTAACTACATGATTAGAGTTCCAGCAAAGAAAGAGAGAGAGAAAGACACACACACACACACACACACACACACACACACACAGAGAGAGAGAGAGAGAGAGATGAGTGCATACTCATGTTTCAAGTGTTGTGTGCACCCATGCTTATTGTAGACATAAGATAACATTTTCATTTTTTTTTTGCATATTATTCCCAGCAGCTGCAAAAGGCAAGCCCAGCCCTCCTGGAATCAGCAGTCCTGCCCAAAGTTATAATTTGGCCATGGGTAAGATTCAAGCCCGCTAACCTGTTGGAATGCAGCTGTCAGGAGGTGATGGACAGGAAGAGGAGGCGGCCAGCTTCCTCATGGTTCCAGCAGAGAACTGGCCTAAAAAACGAGGAAAGCTTCTGGGACTCTTTGCTCTGAGTAGAAAGGGATTTAATAGTGCTTTCCCTACTTGTGTGTAGAGGTGGGCAACAGCCAGTGCCTTGCACAAATGAAGGTTGGGGACTACTAGCGCTCCTTTTATGTGACTGACTCTGCCCACTTGCCACATCTGGTGGTGTTTGCTGTAGCTGATGATGGCTGCTTGCACGGATTTGGGGAGTTGGAGGGAGAAGGTCTAACCAGCAAGGTGATTGCTGTGAAACTCCAGCATGGTAGACCTGCATGATTGAGGTAGCTCCTCAATCTTACCTTGCATCCCTCCAAATTATTCTTTGACTGTGATTTGAGCTACTCGTATTTCCCCAATTATTCCCTTTCTTGTCACTTTGCTTATGGCACCTTTTGCTGTGCAAAAATTTTGAATTTCTATATGGTTAATATCATCAGTTTCTTAAGATATGTCATACTTTAGAAGGAGTAAGAAAGCCCTTACCCCTTCTAAACACATAAATAATTTTCCTTATATTTTCTTCTAGTACATTTATTATTTCAATTTTTACATTGACATCTTTGAACCATCTGGAATTTATTTTGGTGTAGGGTATATGTAACATATCAAGCTTTTTTTTTTTTTTTCTCAAATGGCTTCCAGGAAATCCCAACATTATTATGTGATCCATATTTTTTCCAACCGAAATGCCACCCCCAGGATAGCCTACATTCCTGTCTATTGTGGGGTTTACTTTTGGGTTTTTTATTCTGTCACATTGTTCTGTTTTTATTTGCCAGAACTACATGGCTGTGGTTATTATAGTGTGCATTGTTTTGCTATCCCATGGACTTAGTTCTTTCTCCTTATTAATCTTTTCAGACTTTTTCTGGCTATTCTTGCTATATTCTCTTTCATACAAAGTTTTCAATAAGGTCCAAATTATCTCCATGAAAAATTTCTGTTGATCTTTTAGGGGATTGCCTTAACTTGAGGGACTGAGGGAGAATTGGCATATCTGAGATCAGTGTCTTCCTCTCTAAAGACATGATGTTGACTTTTCCATTTGTTCAGATATTTCTTTTTACTCCTGGTACTGTTTGTGTTTAATTTTGTTGTTGTTGTTGTTTGTTTGGGTTGGGTGCAGTGGCTCATGCCTATAAACCCAGCACTTTGGGAGGCCGAGGCAATAGAGGGAGACTCTGTCTCAAAAAAAAAAAAAATTTTTTTTCCACGTTGGTTATACACATTTGTCTGTTCATTGCGTATTCAGTTTTGTAAGACACTGCCAAACTGTTTCCTTGAGTGACTGTTCACTTTATCTTTCCACCAGCAATGTCTGAGTGATCCAGTTTCTGGGCATCCTCACCAGCATTTAATCTTATCACTATTTTTTATTTTAGCCATTCTGACAGGTGCGTAATGATATCTCGTCACCATCTTAATTTGCATTTCTTTAATAGCTAGCGATGTTGAATGTGTTTTTATGTGCTTATTTGCCATCTAGATATCCTTTTTAGTGAAATGTTTCTTCCTGTCTTTTGTCCATGTTCTAGTTGCATTGTTTACGTTTTCACTCTTGAGAGTTCTTCATCTAGCAGATTTTTGATATATGTCTTTTGTTGGACATGTGGTTTGTAAATATTTTCTCCCAGTCAATATTTTGTCTTTCTGTCTTCTTAGGTTGGCTTCACATCAACTTTGCAGAGCAAAAGTTTTAAATTTCAACCAAGTTCAATTTCCTGCTTTTATGAATTGTGCTTTTGGTGTCATGTTTAAGAATTTCTTTTATCAAGCCCTAGATCTCAAACATCTTTCTTTTATCTTCTACAAGTTTTATTGTTTTATGTTTTACATTTAATGCTATTATCCATTTTGAGTTAATTTTTATATAAAAGGTGAGATTTAGGTCAAGGTTTGTGTATTAGTTTGTTTTCATGCTGCTGATAAAGACATACCAGAGAAACCAGGAAAGAGGTTTAATTGACTCACAGTTCCACATGGCTGGGGAGGCCTCACAATCATGGTGGAAGAGCAAGGAACATCTTACATGGTGGCAGGCAAGAGAGAGCTTGTGCAGGCAAACTCCTATTTATAAAACCATCAGATCTCATGAGGCTTATTCACTATCATGAGAACAGCATGGAAAAGACCTGCCCCTATGATTCAATTACGTCCCACCAGGTCCCTCTCATGACACATGGGAATTGTGGGAGCTACACTTCAAGATGAGATTTGGGTGGGGACACAGCCAAACCATATCAGTTGGTTTATTTTGCTTATAAATACTTAATTGCTTCAGTACCAATTGTTGAAAAGATCTATCCTTCCACCATCAGATTGATTTTGCACTTGTAAACAATCGGTTGGACATATTTGTATGGTTTTATTTCTCTTTCTTTAACTTTTTTTCTTTTTTCTTTTTTTTGAGGTGAGGTCTTGCTCTGTTACCTAGGCTATAGTGCAGTGGCACAATCATGACTCACTGTAGCCTCAACCTCCCAGGCTGAAGCAATCTTCCTGACTCAGCCTCCCGAGAAGCAAGGACTAGAGGCATGCACCACAACATCTGGCTAATTTTTGTTTTTAAAATTTTTTGTAGAGACAGGGTCTCACTATATTACCCTGGCTAGTCTCAAATTCCTGGGCTTAGGTAATCCACCTGCCTTGGCCTCTCCAAGTGTTGGGATTACAGGTGTGAGCCACCTTGCCCACCCTGATTTATTTTTCTGTTCTGTTCCACAGAACCCTTACTATCATACAGTCCTGATGACTGTAGCTATATAATATCTTGAAACTGGGGAGGCTGGTTTTCCCACTTCATTCTTTTAAGAAATTGTTTTAGCTATTCTTGCTCCTTTGCTTTTCTATATTAATTTTAAAATAATCTTGTTTATAGCTACAAAAACATCTTACTAGGAACTTGGTAGGAATTGCAGTAAAGCTGTGTGTACATTTGTAGATAGCATCTTTACCATGTTGAATCTTCCAAACCATGAACATGGGATATTTTTCCATTTATTTAAATCTTCTTTGTTTTCTTTCATCAGAATTTTACAGTTTTCAGCATGCGAGTCCCGTTTTCTGTGCTTTTTTGTAAACCTTTTGTTAGGTTTACGTCTAAGTATTTTGTCTTTTTGAGCAATTGTAAATGATATTGTTTGCTACTATTTTATTTATGATTTTTGCATCACTATTCACACATGACAGTATGGTAAAGGTTTACTTTTGGTGGGCAATCTTTGTTGGTTTTTGGTATGAAATCTTCCTTCATTTTCTGTGTTCTGAATACATTTAGGCATGGTTTCAGGAGGCTTCTTCTGATTTTTCTATTTAGTCCAAGATTGTCTAAGAGACTGATTTACATTTCCCCTGGGGGAGGTTTTTGGATTTTTAATTTTTATTAATACATTTCTCATTGCATCAGATAATGTTGTCTCTACTTTCTAATTTCTTGATGTTTTGGAAGTTTCTTCTGAGGCCTAAAATAGGGAGAGTTTCTGTGAATGCTCCACGAATGCTTGAAAAGAAAGATGATTTTTGTTTTTAGACTACAGAACTTCAAGTCTATTAATTAGATTTACCTTATTAATTATGATATTTAGTTTCCTTCATACTAATGACCCATTACAGTCTAGAGAGTTTGTCTTTATCCCTCCCTGTATTTTTCTATAATTTTTTTCATTAATGTCGATGCTATGTTTTAGTGCATAGATATTCATAACTGTTTAATGCCTTATTGTGAGCTGTGTCTTTTGGAATAATGTAATACCATTATTTGTCTGACTTGATGCTTTTGGCCCTGAATTCCACCTTCAGGTTTTACAAATGCATTCTTGGCATGCTTTCTGTGTGTCCGTAAGTCGATTTCAACTTTTCTGAATCGCTTTGTGTGTTTCTTGTGTATCAGCATAGGACTGTGTTTCCTCTGATAGTTAAGAAGGCCTCTCTCTAATTTTATAGTCATAAAATTATGACTATAATTTTATATAATGCTCAATACAGTATTTCTTCAGATACTATTAACATCCTATTATGAACAATGGTTAAATTTGTGTAATCCTTCATACCCTGTCCCCTTCCTCTACTCCTCCTTCCAATTTTAGCTGATTCATTACCATTCTTAGTGTTTACCTTTGCATTGTTAAATGTTCCTGTACCTCCACTACTTATTTATTAGCTTTGATATCTTTCAACTTCCCTTCCCTTTCTTCTGCTGTTAGTAGCACAGTATAGTGACCAGGATGCCTGGGTTTGGAGCCTCATTCTACCTGTGAGTGAACTGGGAAGTGCTCTTAACCTTCCGTGCTCAGAAGCATAATCTTGCAGGGGAGATGAAAATCCTGCCAGGTGGTGTCTTCCTGTCATTGAAGGGGGAGTAAGCTTAGCAGTGAAGAAGTTTGCCACTTTCTGTGTGACTGAGAGCAAGTTACTTGATTTCATGTGCTTCAGTTTCCTTATCTGTAAAGCAGGAATAATAATGATACCTCATAGTGTTGATTAAATGAAATAAAACAAGTATAGTAGTTTAGAATTGTGTCTGGCCCATCGTCACCATCCAGTAGATGTTTGTACTGATTGCTGGAACTACATGATGCTGTGCAATGGAAAGTGATTATGACAGGAGATGTTCACATCAGAGCCAGCTGAGGGGTGTGAGGAAAACCATGGAGCTCTTCTCACCCAGAAGAGCTGTTTCTGTGGTAATATACCAGTCTTTAAAACCTCACATTCTGCAAAATTTGTGCACTGAAAGTAAGGGAGCTTCTTTGGGAAGACCTCAAAAAACCCAAGCAACTGGGAACCAGATCACTACTAAAAGTGACAATAATCTTAATAAAAATATTAAGGTAGTTAAAGATGTGTTATACTCTATATTCAAATTTATAGAGAACTCTTTTTTTAACAAAAGGTGAAGGTAGCTTGGAAGGGTTGAGACTGCTGTGTGATGCTTATGGAGACAAGGACAGATGGGCATCATCAGTGGAAGGCAAGGTGAGGTTTAGCAGCTGTGAACGCTAGTTCAAGTGCTGTGATGCCAGAGATGAAGGTTCATTGGTTCATTGTCTTGTGTTTGTTTCTCTTGCACAAAGGCGGTAACTAACTGTACAGTAAATATTTCCAAGGGAGAACACATGGCAAAGTGAGGAGAGAGAAGAAGATGGGGAGAACAGGCATCAGGTCTGTGCCGTATTCCTCCACGGCCTGCTGCATTCAGCTGAGTTAGCATGTCTTCTTCCATTTGCTGTCTGATACTTGTTAGTGCAAACATTAACGTGCTGGGAAACTCATCATGCATGACCCAAGATGACTTTGGCCTTATATACGGGCATTTCACCCTGCCCCCTTCCTCTCTGTCTCTTCTCTAATGAGTACATACACACATACACACTGTATGTGTGGATAGAGCACATGGTGTGAGGCCTACATGTAATCTAGCCACTAGATTGTCCACAGTATGAGGCTCATTCAGAATTGTGGCCAGTTTAGATCCAGAAGGTAAATGTTTTCCCCTCAGAATCCTCCAGAAGTTTCTGGTCTTTTCGGAATTTCCGGTAAGTGTCCAATTTCTAAGCCATGTTGGGTAATTTTGATTTGAGAGAAAGGTAGACTTTCAAACAGGAAAAGACATGATTCCTCCAGGTGCATGTTTCTGTACATTGGCCTTGCCTTCCCACTGGAAGTGGCAAAATGGCAGTCAGTTGAATGCCTGAGTCCCTGTGTGTCATTCAGGGCGGGGAGATGTCATATTTCATTACAAAATGGTCATGATGACAATAACTACCATGTGTTGAGCTACTGTAATAGTAAGTATTGTTAACTGTGTTCCCTACCACATCCCTTGAAGTTAGGATTTATCAACTTATTGCTACAGAGAACCACAACCACTGGAGGTGGCATAGTTAGGATGTGGCAGAGCAAGTCTTTGAGCCCAGTTCTGCCTGGCTTGAAAGTCCCTGATCTTTCCAGGATGCCATCCAGCACTACAGGTTGACTGCAGCAAATCTCCCTGCTTGCTCTCAGCACGCCAGCTGGTCTTGAGAATATACAACTCTCATGGTGTGGATTTTGCTCACTCAGTACCATCTTTCATGCCTGCTAGGAAGCTTCTTTATTTTCAATGAAGATCTCTCTCTGTGGGAATATCTTTTATGCTGTGTTAGCTTCAATCCAGGTTGAAGGAATGGTTGAGCCTATGATTTTTGTAAGCATTTTTGACAGATGAAATATTTGCTAACTTTCACAGAAGTCAATATTTTTCTTCTTTTCTAATAACATTCTGATCTCCAGTTTTTCTTTAAAGTCCATCTGAAAAATAACATTAGCACAGCCAGCAGAGTGGTCAATTGGCAATACATTTAGAACACAAGCCAGGCAATGGAAAGTAAAAAGCAAAATGCTTTCCAATTTTATTCACATAAACTTCCACTGACTTTCTCTCCAGAGAAACATAGTAAAATATGAACTCTTAAGAAGAAAAAGAAATTTTGCTTTTTAGTCCTGCTCTGAATGTGTAACAGAGGTATAAATTGGCCACAATCCTTGCATGCATTGGAAGAAAATGACCCTAAAATGAGTGGAAAAGCTGAAAACGTGCCAAGGGAGTGAAGTGGATTGATTTTTTAATTAAAAATTATTTTGTAGTTTAAAAGGCCAAATAATGCTACTTTTAATAAAACATGGTGGCCCATGTCTCATACTTTTCTCAGTTTCAATTCTGGTCTCCCAAGACAACAATTGCAAACCCATTAGCTGTTTCTTCTGTTTTCTTTTTCTTAATCTCAATATTTTGGAATAAAATGCTTTTAGTACTCTTTCCCCAGATTCTTTTAAATTAGTTATCATCTTCTGACATTCCACTATGAAAAGAGAGAATTTGTCTCTTATTGACCAACCTCTAACACACACACTTTTTTTCTCTTTCTCATTTTGTCTCTTTCTCTCTATCTCTGTCTCTCTTTATTTTCTTATCCTTCCAAAACAGTTATATTGCCAAGTTTTGTTAAATCAGTGTTGATTTTTTACACAATAGTTATTATTGAATTGTTGTTTACAAGCCAGGTCAAATAGTGTACTCTAGTTAAATTTCCTTCCCTGTGCAACCTTTTTTCTTTTACTGGAGGTAATAATCACTTATTTTTAATGGTTTTCTAGGTACCTCTTACTAGTTAATTCCAAAGCTTTCTGACAGACGCAAAAATCTCCTCTTAATATATCCATACATATTAGCAATCCACTTTTTCATTTTCTTCCTGAGATATCCCTCCTGGAGCCATCTGGTGTCTGCTGGCCTCTGAACTGATTTGGTTCCCAGGCCTCTACATGGCTCTTGTCCATTCACCATTCATCTTAGAATTCTTTTCACCTCTCTCCTGAGTTAAATCTGTTTCTTAGCTCCTACAGCTCTCTGTTTTTCCTTTATTTCGATGGTACATATCTTCTGGAAATGGAGCTTGGGAGGTAAAATTTTAGATTTCTTGAACGTCTGAAAATGCATTTTTGTTGATATCACTCTTGGTTGTATTTTGGAAATAATTTTCCCCAAGAATTTTTAACAGCTTTATTGAGATATAATTCCCCTACCATATAGCTCAGCCATTTAATGTGTACAACTCAGCAGTTTTTAATATATTCCTAAGGTTGTGCAATCATCAATGCAATCAATTTTAGAACATTTTTATTATACCAAAAAGAAACCCCATATCTGTCATCTCTGGAAATTGTGAGGCATTTTTCAATACTTTCCATTGTCTTCAGTGCTACAGAGTAGAGGTCTGAGGGTAGGCAAGCTTCTAAAGCTTTGAGTTATTCCTTCTCGATAAAGTTTTTCAATTCTGGAAAATTCTATTATTATTATTATTATTATTATTATTTTCAGGTCCATTTTCTGCTGCCTACTTTTTTGAAATTATTATTTGCATATTCTCTTGTATAAATTTTTTTCTGGCTTAAAATGAAATGCCACCCAATCCTCACCTAGTTAGTTCATCTTGACTCTTTAGCTCAAATATCACCTCCCGAGAAGTGCCTCCCCCAACTCGCCCTAGATTAAGCTAGCCCTCACCCCCGATTTACAAGCACTCTGTATTTTCTCCTTTGAACAATATCACAATTGCAGTTCATTCATTAATTTTATAGTTAGTATGCAATCTCTATGTTCTCCACTAGACTGTAGGCTCCCTGCAGCTAGCCTCTAGGTTTGCTTTGGGATTCACTGTACCCCAGTGCCTGGCACACTCCCTCTACCTGGTATTGACAAGTATTTGGTGCAAGGGTGAAGAGAAAGAGTGGCTTATATGCTAGTATGAGAAAGATTTGAGCTGAAGTTTGCACTGTCTATAAAGAAAAGTTTTGTTAAGTAAAGGAACAGGTTAACTTTGTCCAGGACACTTGAGGATAAATTGTGTTCAGATACTTTGGAGAAACCAATTTCTGTTTATTCAACAGCTATTTGTGGCATGTGTCTTTCAGGTAGCTGAGCTCCATTGTGGAAAACTGTTTAAGCTGTTACCTTTTTCATTGGTCACACATCTGGTTCTGAATCCTTCCTGCTCTTTTAGGCAAATCAACAGGAATGTGTTGAAGAAACCTGTCTTATCTAATAATTATTCTGGTGTTTAAAATGTTATAAGTCCCTGGGAAGTCTGTACTCTAGTTTCCTCACTCATAAATTGCCAATGACATTTACCCTTTCCTCAACAGTTTTGAGCAAATCAAATGGAGAATTAACATCTTGTTATTTGAATTGTTTAGAATGGGTTTCCCAAACTTAGCACAATTGGCACAATGGGACAGATAATTCTTTGCTATGAGAGTCTGTCTAATGCATTTTAGGAGGTTTTTAGCAGCATCCTTGGCCTCCACCCACTAGATGTCCCCAGTTGTAGCACCTTACCCATTGTCTCCAGACATTGTCAAATGTCCCCTGGAGGACAACATTACCCCCATTTGACAGCCATTGTTGGACATGCAGACATAGTGTCCCTTCCTAGTCAAATACAATTGGTATACCTGCCTTCCTGACATGTGAGGAAATTGACATTCCACGGTGCTGTGGGAACACACTTACGTGGTTGGCAGAATGCTCAGAAGAGCATATTGAGCCTTGGGCTGGAATCAGAAGAGTTTTCAGAAGTCTCCAGTGGCCGATCCTATGACCTGTCAGTTCTTGCCAGTCAGGCTTACTAGGGTAAAACATAGTATGTGCCTCTTCCAGGAATGCAACTTCTAACATTGTGTAGAAGGAGCTGAATGTTTTGAGAAGTACCAGGAAACCCTAATTATGGTAAGTGGACCATGAAGTCAAACATTGATTTGTCAAGTGGGAGGAATTTTCTTAAGGAAATTTGAACTCTATGTCCACTTTGGGAGACAGACTGGTGTTTGTGAGTGTATACAGAGACTTAATTTTTGTGGCTGTGGCTTTCTTACTGTGCCCTAAGCTTTCTATTTGTTGAATGGAATTAGGGAACCATTGTTTTGTCCTGTTGGGACCCAGGTGGCAGGACAAGACTGGATCGTCAAGCCTGGGTCAGAATAGAAAGGGATCTGGAATGAGTCTTGGAGTAGAGCCAGAATCAGAGTGGGGTTCTTGTTGTAGGCAGAAATCCTCTCATAGGACATTCACATACTAATCTTCAGAACCTGTGAATATGTCACCTTACATGGCAAAAGCGACTTTTTAGATGTGATTCAGTTAAAGATCTTGATGGAGAGAAGAGCCTGAATTATCCACGTGAGTCCAATCTCATCACATGGGTTAAAAGGGGCACTGCTATGGTCAGAGGAAGCCACAGCTAGTGAAGAATGGTTAGAGACATGCACTGTTGCTGGCTTTGAAGATGGATAAAGGTGGCCACCAGCCAGGGAATGTGGGTGGCCTCTGGAAGCTGGAAAAGGCAGGGAAACAGATTATCCTCTGGAGCCTCCAGAAAGGAACCAGCCATGCTCACAACTTGACTATAGCCCAGGGAGAGCTATGTTAGATTCTAGCCTGCAGCACTGATACAGAAGGTATTTATGTTGTTTTAAGCCATTGTATTTTTGATAATTTGTTACAGCAGTCATAGGGAATTCATACAGCTCTCAGAGGCCTTCATAGGCCAAAACAAGAGTCCAGCAAGCATAAAGCCCAAAGTGGGACACTAGTGAGCAGACATGTGTGTCAGTGAGTTTAGGGGCAGGAATGGAGATGAGCTCAAGCTCTTCCTCTGGAACCTGGGGTCTGAGCTCTGATGGGACTCTCTCAGAGGGTCTCTTCTATGAGCTTCTCTGTGCTGCTCTCTCACTCTTCTGTCTCTGTAGAGTGGCCTCTGCTTCTCCAGACACATGATGTGGGATGAGTGTCATCAGCACCTGTATTAGTCAGGGTTCTCTAGAGGGGCAGAACTAAGAAAATACAGATATATAAAAAAAGGGCTTTATTAAGTATTAACTCACATGATCACAAGGTCCCACAATGGGCTGTCTACAAGCTGAGGAGCAAGGAAAGCCAGTCCGAGTCCCAAAACTGAAGAACTTGGAGTCTGATGTTCGAGGGCAGGGAGCATCCAGCACAGGAGAAAGATGTAGGCTGGGAGGCTAGGCCAGTCTGGTCTTTTCATGTTTTTCTGCCTGCTTTATATTCTAGCCATGCTGGCAGCTCATTAGATGGTGCCCACCCAGATTAAGGGTGGGTCTGCCTTTTCCAGCCCACTGACTCAGATGTTAATCTCCTTTGGCAACATCCTCACAGACATGCCCAGGATCAATACTTTGCATCCTTCAAGCCAATCAAGTTGACACTCAATATTAGCTATCACAAGCCCATCTCTTGTCAATTTGAACCCATACACATCTCCTGATATCATATATAATCTTCAAATAAAGACAATAATGAGGTCATAATTACAGCTAACATAATACCACTATCCTTTGTACAACCGGAAATGCACCAATCCCCAGCCCAAATACTATTACATAAAGTTAACAATACTTAAATGCTGATATGAAGTCAATAAATCTCATGTCATATCATAAAGGAAAAAGGAAATAAAATGAAGGTATTTTCTTAGTACAAGTGTAAACATGCACAAGCATGTTTTTAACAAAAGAAGGAGGAAATACTCATGATAATTACAATCTTGTTTCTGCAGCTGGTCACATGGTCGTAGATGGTATTAATGACTACCTTCTTCTATTACCCATTCTGTATTCCCTTTGCCTTCAGCAAGCACCCCAGCAGGTCATGTTTTTTTCCTGGTGGAGTGACCCAAACCTTCATTCCTGAAGGGTCTGGCCCACTTGTAGTCCTGCCTGGATTGGGCTGTTGTAGCTTCCCATTGACCCTAATCACAGGGCACAGTAATACACAGTTAAGAGGCAACCTAATGGATCTCCCGTAGTCCATGCATACTCTCCCTTATTTCCTTTGTGGAATGGTAGACTGATTTCATCTTGATAGTCTGGGTCAATCACCCCAGCCAACACTGTAACTCCCTTCTTAGCCTGTTGACTTAAAGGTAGGAGGAGCCCAAAGCATCTAGGTGGCAATTTTAACTTCCAGTTTAATGGAATTGTTGTGTCTCCTGGTGGCAGCATTCCTCCCTCTGGAGCTAAGACCTCTAGGCCAGCAGAACGTAATGTCGTGGGAACAGGAAGCGAAAATTTTGCTAGTGGATCACTAGGGGTGATGGTGAGTGGTGCCACTTCCACTTCCACCCCTTGATTCCTGGACCTGTGAATCCTGGCTATGGGAGAAACAGTACCATATATTGGAGGCTGATTCAGAGCATACATGGCCTTCTGGAGAACTTTGCCCCAGCCCTGCAAAGTATTGTCACTGAGTTGGCGTTGTAACTGTGACTTCAAAAGGCCATTCCACCATTCTATCAATCCAACTGCTTCAGGATGATGGGGAACATGGTAAGACCAGTGAATTCCATGAGCAGGAGCCCACTGCCACACTTCTTTAGCTGTAAAGTGAGTGCCTTGGTCAGAGGCAATGCTGTGCAGAATACCGTGACAGTGGATAAGGCATTCCGTGAGTCCACAGATGGTAGTCTTGGCAGAAGCATTGCGTGCAGGATAGGCAAACCCATATCCACAATAAGCATGTACTCCAGTGAGGACGAACCTCTGCCCTTTCCATGATGAAAGAGGTCCAATATAATCAACCTGCTGCCTGGTAGCTGGCTGATCACCCTGAGGAATGGTGCCATATTGAGGGCTTAGTGTTGGTCTCTGCTGCTGGCAAATTGGGTACTCAGCAGTGGCCATAGCCAGGTCAGCCTTGGTGAGTGGGAGTACATGTTGCTGAGCCCATGCGTAACCTCCATCCCTGCCCCCATGGCTACTTTGTTCACGGGCCCATTGGGCGATTACAGGGGTGGCTGGGGAAAGATGCTGAGTGATGTCCACAGAATGGGTCATCCTATCCACTTGATTATTAAAATCCTCCTCTGCTGAGGTCACCTGTTGGTGAACACTCACATAGGATACAAATATCTTCACAGTTTTTGACTACTCAGAGAGGTCCATCCACATACCTCCTCCCGAAATTTCTTCCTCTCTTCACCAACTTTCTAATCATGCTTCTTTCAAGTCCCTGACCATCCAGCCAAACCATTGGCTACAGCCCATGTATCAGTATGTAATTGCACACCTGGCCATTTCTCCTTACAGGCAAAGTGCACAACCAGGTACACTGCTCAAAGTTCTGCCCACTGGGAAGATTTCCCTTCAGTGCTGTCCTTCAGGGATGTCCTAGAAAGGTGCTGTCGTGCTGTAGCTGTCTACTTTCGGGTGGTGCCTGCATATCATCCAAAACCATCTGGGAACCAGGCCCAAGTCTTCTCTTCCTCTGTTAACTGATGATAGGGAACTCCCCATGAGGCTATCGATGCAGTCTGGGGGAGAGAAGGCAGGGTGGCAGGAGTGGAGACCACGGGCATTTGAGCCACTTCCTCATGTAACTTACTTGTGTCTTTAGGAGCTGCCCAAGCCCAATTACGTATATACCACTTCTATTTGATGATGAATGCTGCTATGGATGACCCACTTTATGACTAGATGGGTCAGAAAGCACCTAGTTCATGATAGACAGTTGAGGTCGCATGGTGACTTGATGACCCATAGACAAATGTTCAGTTTACACCAAAGCCCAGTAACAGGCCAAGTGCTGTCTCTCAAAAGGAGAGTCATTATTTGCAGAAGATGGCAGGGCCTTGCTCCAAAATCCTAGAGGCCTCTGCTGTGATTTACTTATGAGGGCCTGCCAAAGGCTCCAGACAGCATGCCTATCTTCTGCTGACGCCTCAAGCACCATTGGATCTGCTGGGTCATATGGCCCAAGTGGCACAGCAGCTTTCCCAGCAGCCTAGACCTGTTGCAGAGCCTTCTCCTGTTCTGGATCCCACTAAAAAATGGCAGCCTTTTGGGTCATTCAATACATGGGCTGGAGTAACACACCCAAATGAGGAATGTGTTGCTTCCAAAATTCAGATAGGCCCACTAGGCATTGTGCCTCTTTCTTGGTTGTAGGAGGGGCCAAATGCAGCAACTTATCCTTTACCTTAGAAGGAATACCTTGACAGGTCCCACACCACTGGACCCCTAGAAATTTTTCTGAGGTAGAAGTTCCCTGAATTTTAGTCGAATTTATTCCCTATCCTCTGGCAAGCAAATGTCTCACCAATAAGTCCAGTGTGTTTGCTACGTCTTGCTCACTGGATCCAATCAGTGTCATGTCATCAATGTAATGGATCAATGTGATATCTTGTGGAAGTGAAAAGCGATCAAGATCTCTCCAAATAAGATTATGATACAAAGCCGGAGAGTTAATATACCCCTGATGTAGGACAGTAAAGGTATATTGCTGGCCTTGCCAGCTGAAGACAAATTGCTTCTGGTGGGCCTTATGGACAGGAATGGAGAAAAAGGCATTTGCCAAGTCAATGGCTGCATACCAGTTGCCAGGAGATGTGTTAATTTGCTCAAGGAATGAAACCACATCTGGTACAGCAGCTGCAATTGGAGTCACCACTTGGTTAAGCTTATGATAATCCACTGTCATTCCCCAAGATCCATCTGTCTTCTGCACAGGCCAAATGGGAGAGTTGAATGGGGATGTGGTGGAAATCACTACCTTTCAAGCCCTTGATGGCGGCGCTAATCTCTGCAATCCCTCCAGGAATGCGATACTGTTTTTGATTTATTATTTTTCTAGGTAGAGGCAGCTCTAAAGGCTTCCATTTGGCCTTTCTCACCATAATAGCCCTCACCCTACCAGCCAGGGAGCCAATGTGGGGGTTCTGCCAGCTTCTAAGTATGTCTATGCCAATTATGCATTCTGGCACTGGGGAAGTGACCACAGGATGAATCCAGGGAGCTTCAAAGATGCAGTTGCTGCCCTCACAAATCTATTTTGCATGGCATTAGTAAAGGGTATATCTTCTGGACCCTCCTAGCTGGGATGAGTAGGTCTAAAGTGACTAATCCACTCCACCATCCCAATCTCCCTAAGCCTTTGGATCCCTTCCTCTACACTAGACCAAGGGAGATCAGACATTTCCACCTCTCTCACAGTGGGCCATCTTCTAATCCATATTTCAGCTAACCAAGCAAATAAACTGTTAGAACTTTTTTAACTCCCTGAGCTGCAGCATTAAACACAGAGTCCCCACTTAGTGGCCCAAATCAATAAATTCAGTCTGATCCAACTCTACATTCCTTCCACCATTATCCCACACCCTTACTATGCATTCCCATGCCTGTTCTTCAGATTTCTGTGTATATAAATTAGAAAACTCAAGCAGTATTTTCGAGTCTGGTGTACCTCCTCATGGGTCACACTCTTAACCTTACCTCTAGGGGCCTGCCAGGACTTTAATTATCTGTCTAGAAGGAAACAGGGGTGTTGGGGGTGGCTCCTGAGGAGAATCAACATCACCTTGCCTGGCAATTGCCTCAGGGGAAGCCATCACTGTTGCCTCAGGCAGCGCAGGGTTTATCTCCTCAGACAAAGGTTGAAAGGCTGATGGCAGCATGGGCTGGGGAGGGGATGTTGCCACTACTGGGTATGGGGAAGCTGTTCCTTCTGGCAAAAAAGGTTCATCAGAGTTTACAAACTCAGTGTCCCCAGCTTCATCAGGGTCCTCCAAAACGTCCCATTCCAAGTTGCAGGATCCCATTCTTTTCCAATGAATGCCCTCACTTTAACACTAAACATCTGATGAGGCTGTGTATGCACCTTTCATTGCAGGTCAGCCACTCACATGATGAGAGCTTGTGTCTGTTTTTCCACAATTTCAGCTCTTTCTCTACCAGGGATAAGGCTGTCACTCAGGGCAAACTTAGCAGATTTGAGGCTCAGTATCAGCTTGTGAAGCTGGGAGATAGAATCCCTGAGTTCATCATTTTCTTTCATCACTTTGCCCACTGAACTTAGGAGCAACCAAGCAGATTCATTATGTCCCTTGGTTCTCCACATATGGTCAAAGGTATTATGTATAGAGTCACTAAACTCCTTGCCTGTCATGAGTGATGAATTAGGAGTGTCAAATGTATTTATTTTACATAAATCTTTTTTCTTTTTTAGACGAGGTCCCACTCTGTAGCCCAGGCTGGAGTGCAGTGGTGCAATCTTGGATCACTGCAACCTCCACCCTCCAGGTTCAAGTGATCCTCCCAGCTCAACCTGCCGAGTAGCTGGGACTACAGGTGTACACCACCACACCCAGCTAATTTTTGTATTTTTTAGTAGAGATGGGGTTTTGCTATGTTGGCCAAGTTGGTCTTGAACTCCTGACCTCAGGTGATCTGTCCACCTCAGCCTCCCAAATTGCTGGGATTACAGGCATGAACCACTGCACCTGGAAATTTTGCATAATTCTCTAAACAGTTCACAACAAGGACTATCAGTGTTGTCCATACTATTAGAAGTAGAGTCCTTAGCATTTTTGGGTCTAATCATATTAAGCAGCCAACTCCAGAAACCCCCAAACCAATGAAAGAACTCCATCGTTAATATTCTGCTCCTCTAGAACCACTCCTAGTACCAAAATCTGTATTAGTCAGGGTTCTCTAGAGGGACAGAACTAATAGGATAGAGAGATATATAAAGGGGAGTTTATTAAGTATTAACTCACATGATCACAGTGTCCCACAATAGGCCGTCTGCAAGCTGAGGATCAAGGAAAGCCAGTCTGAGTCCCAAAACTGAAGAACTTGGAGTCTGATATTCGAGGGCAGGAAGCATCCAGCACAGTAGAAAGATGTAGGCTGGGAGGCTAGGCCAGTCTGGTCTTTTCACATTTTTCTGCCTGCTTTATATTCTAGCTGCATTGGCCCCTGATTAGATGGTGCCCATCCAGATTAAGGGTGGGTCTGTCTTTCCAAGCCTACTGACTCAGATGTTAATCTCCTTTGGCAATACCCTCACAGACATGCCCAGGTTCAATACTTTGCATCCTTCAAGCCGATCAAGTTGACACTCAGTATTAACCATCATAGCACCCAATGGTCAAGACTGATAACTGCAGCTACCACTTAGTCTCAAATCCAAAATCCCAGAAAAGAATGTATTGGATCAGGTGTCTAGTGTAGGCCAATCAACTGTGATCACATTATCAAGGTACTGTGATTGGCCTAGTTTCTGTCAGGTGCACCTTTAGGTATTCCACTGTGGCCAAGGTACACAGTCATGCTGCACAACACATCTGCTCCAAAGGTGATCAGGTACAAGGGTCTAAGTGGAAAAATAACTCCCACAATAGAGCTAAGCACACAAAACAATGTTTCCAGGTAGACATAATTAACGCAGATTATGATATCTGTTGGGCACCACCATGTATGGCACATCTTCCAAAAGTCTCATCTCTAATTATTGAAGACAACTGACATTACAGTCATTAGAAAAATTCACTAAGATCTAGATTTCATGTTTAGTTTATGCTTTCAATGTTCAATTTCTTAAATTCTGATTGATTATGTGGCCTCTGTGTTTTGAGAAAGGGAGATTATATGCAAGTGATGGAGAAGTGCTAATTTTAGGTTTAAGATGTAAGAATTTTTAACCAAGAACAATTACTACGCATCATGTGCAGCTCCAGATAACTTGCTTAAGGACCCCTAAAGGTTGGCAATTGATCTGAGAACACTGAAATCCTATACCTAGGACCTAGGGAAAAGAGAAGCATGATGAAGACCAAAGAATAGGGGAACAGAGCATCCAGGTATGGAGAAATAGGAAACAAGTGATCTGATCCTTTCTTTCTACCAACCTAGTGAATTACCACATCCTTGATGATGAACTTGGCTTCTTCTTAGACAAAGTAAGATCATGTGTATGGAAGCATTTTGCAAACTGAAGTGCCAGATGAATTGTTATTAGAAAATGTTAATACAGTTGCTCTTTCAAGGAAAGAAGAAATTATACCTAAAGAAATCAAGAGCAAAGATCTTATTTTTTTTACTTATAAAACATCTTTAAGAGATGAATGTGGCATCTTTACACACGTCTGTTTCACAAAAGGTAGTTGTGGCGTTTTCCTGTATGTAGGCCTATTGTACAACATTCAAATAAATATATTTTAGCTTTATCATTATGTAATATTTGATGGATACAAAAGAATGGATATAATATATGTGTAAGGTATTAAGCGTTACAATAAAACCAATGCTCATGAACCTGCCATGCAACTAAAGGGCTAGAACAGCAGTCCCCAACCTTTTTGGCACCAGGGACCGGTTTCATGGAAGAGTTTTTATACAGATGGTGGGGATGGGGGATGGGGAAGGGGTGGTTTTAGGATGAAACTGTTCCACTTCAGATCATCACGCATTAGATTCTCATAAGGAGCATGCAACCTAGATCCCTCATGGGCACAGTTCACAATAGGGTTCATGCTCCTGTGAGAATCTAATGCCCTAATGCCACCGCTGATCTGACAGTAGGTCGAGCTCAGTTGGTAATGCTCACTCACCTTCTGCTGTGTGGCCCAGTTCCTAACAGGCAACAGACCAGTACTGGTTCATGGTCCAGGGGTTGGGGACCCCGGGGCTAGAATATTGTCCTGTTAGTGTAGTCTCTGATTGATGGAAATAATCTCTGTGCCTTTTCCAGATTCCCCTGCTTCTTCCCAGAAGTGGAATCATTCTCCTTATCGGGGACCAATTAATCTCCTACCTTTAAAAACTACTCTTGTCACATATGTATTACATATGAAAAAAATATTTTTCTTGGTTCAGGCTTTATAAAAATGATTTTATACTGAATGTAGCTTTTGGAATTGTCTTTTTCCACTCAACATTATGCTTCACAGGATCATCCATGTTGTTACCTGTGGGTTTAGTTCATATATTTGTAATGCTATTTAACCTTGCAGGTATACTGCAATTTATCTATTCTTTGATGAAGATTAGATTGTCCTCTTTTTGATTTTTTATTGTTGCTGTTGTCATTATTGCAATTTTCTCTTAAGAATAATGCTGCTATTAGCATTCTTGTATATGTCTCCTGGATCATGTGTACAAAGCAGTCCCCATGATATATACATAGGAATATAATGCTGGGTTGGAAGGTATGCAAATGGTAGTTTAACAGGACAATGACATTTGCTGTCTAAGTTGATTGTCATAGTCTTCTTTAAGGTTTTTATTGTGAAACATTTTTACCAACATTTGGCATTGCTATTCTTACTTTTCAATGTAAAAGGTGTAAAGCATTATCTTTCACTGATGTCCTTAGAGAAACTTGCATTTCCGTAACCACTAACAGGGTTGAACTTCCTTTCCTATGTTTATTTGCCGTTTGGTTACCTTTGCTATGAAATATTTGTCATGTTTCTCCATTTACATTGTGTGCTTTTTCTTTGTCTCATTGATTTACAGAATTTTAAAAATATATTCTCAATATTAATCTATTGTCAGCTAAATATGCTCAAAATAGATTCTCTCAGCTTAGAATTTCTTTTACTGCTTTCTTGATGATGTTTTTTAATAAGCAAAAGTTTTAAATTTTAATGTACTTCAGTTTATTTGTCTTTTATGATTTGGCTGGTTGTGTTTTATATATAAATTTCTTCCATACTCCATGGTTATGAACTTATTCTTCTATTTGTTATTCAGGTTTTTTAAGTTTTAAGTTTCGCTTGTCACATTTAAGTAGCTAATCCAGTCAGCATCATTCTCTGCAAACTATTGCAAGGACAAAAAACCAAACACCACATGTTCTCACTCATAGGTGGGAATTGAACAATGAGAACACTTGGACACAGGAAGCAGAACATCACACACCAGGGCCTGTCGTGGGGTGAGGGGAGGCGGGAGGGATAGCATTAGGAGATATACCTAATGTAAATGACGAGTTAATGGGTGCAGCACACCAACATGGCACATGTATACATATATAACAAACCTGCATGTTGTGCACATGTACCCTAGAACTTAAATTATAATAAAAAAAAAAAGAAAAAAGAAAAAAAAAAATGATTTTGTGAAAAATGTTAGGTATAGGGTCCAGTTTTAGTTTTTTTCTATATTAATATTCAGTTACCTTGAGATCATTTATTTAATAGTTCATTTATTTAAAATCGATATGCTAGAGATCTCTTTCAGGTTTTATATATGCATGGGTCTGTTTCTGGGCTCTCAATTCTCTTACATTTATAAATTTGTCTATTCATACACCATTATCACAGTGTCTTAAAGCTTTATAATAATAAGCTTCAATATCTTGATAGGACAATACTCTACTGTTTCTTTTTCTCATAAAGTATCTTGGCTATTTTGGGCTTTATTCTTTCCTATACATTTTAGAATCAGTTTGTGAAGTTTCTTGAAAATGCAATTGAGATTTTTGGAAAGAATTGACACATTTCCAGTTTCTTCCTATCAATGAACATGGTATAGATCCCCACTTATGTATGTCTTTTAAAATGTTATTCAATAAAAATTTAAAGTTTCCTCCATAAATATCTTGCACATCTTTATTTTATTTGTAAGTGTAAGTACCTTATTTTTGGCAGCTGGTGTATAGAAATGTAATTAATTTTTTGTGTATTGGCTTATGTCCAGCCATCTTGCTGAACTCTCTTATTAATTCTATTTTAGAAATGTTTTTACCTTTATGGATAATTACATAGTTTGATAAATGTTGTATGTATGCTTAAGAAATGAATATTCTCTAACTTTTGTGTTCTGAGTTCTATGTATATTCATTACATAAAGGTTTTTATTTTATTAAAATCTTGTATATTTTTGCTATTTTTGTTGCCTTTTTAAAATAATAATTGAGAGAGGAATATTAGTACTCTTCTATGCTGATGGATTTGTCAGTTTTTAC
The DNA here is from genome assembly GCF_000001405.40 of Homo sapiens. NCBI lineage: Eukaryota > Metazoa > Chordata > Mammalia > Primates > Hominidae > Homo > Homo sapiens. Next base: position 123,810,275 of record NC_000010.11, on the reverse strand, counting down.
TTATACTGATTTTTATTTTATTTTACTTTTTGCTTATATTTTTGGAGCTCCTGTATTAGGTACATACAATCTAAAATTGTTATTTTATTCCTGGCAAACTGAATCTTTTATGATAATGTAATGACTGTCTTTATCTCTAATAATGCTTTTAGTCTTAAAATATATTTTGTCTGTTATTATTATAGCTACCTTAGTTTTCTTTTAGTATTTGCTTTTATGGATAGTTCTTCCATTAATTTCAACTTTCTTACATTTTGGGTCTGTTTCCTATGAACAGTATATTTGTAATTTTTAATCCAACTTAATGATCTATTAACTAATCTATTTATATTTGTGGTGATAGCTTTTATAATTTGATTTATTTCTGCTTTCTCTCTGTTATTCTTTTTAGTTTTCTTTTATATAATCTGAGTTTTCCCACCTTGCTTGGTTTTTCCATTATGCTGATTTTGCATAAAACACTCTGTTATTTCAGTTTTTACTCCTGGAATTTTACCAAGTATACTAAGCAAAATTGAAAGAAATATCTTATTAATTTTTAATAAGTTAATACTTCCTTAACAATAATAGGATACCTATGTGTCTCAGGTTCTTCATCTGTAAAATGGAGATAATAATACCTACCTCATAGCATTGTAGTGATACTTAAGTCAATTTATGTATATGTATGTGTGTGTGTATGTTATCTATATCTATATATGTATATATGTGAGTGTATCTATATCTATTTACATGAGTGTATTTATATCTATTTATATATCTTAGAGTGGGACCTGGCACATAACAAACACAAATTACTGCCTTTTCTATCTTCACTAAGTACTTATCATGCACTATGACTAACTTTTGCAGTTTGAGGTGCAACAGCAAAACCAGCATCAATTTCTTTTTTGTTCTTCACAATTTCACTGACAGCAGATTGGTTCTTACTATAGATCTTAGCAATCTTAGCATACCCTATTTTTTCTTCTTTCATTATTAAGTTGAGAATCACCGTTTCATTTAAAGGAAACACTTTATGGCTTCTCTTTCATATGTCTGAATTGCCAGCATCCCTACTTCTTGCACTTTGGGGCCGTTCTTAAATAAAATAAAGGTTATAAGCACTGCCATATCATGTCAGTCGATCTGATAACTGAGAAGGCCACTAAGTGACTAATGGGCAGGAAGCCTCTACAGCATGGATGTGCTAGACAAAGGGGTGATTCACGTCCTGAGCAGGATGATGTAGGATGCCGTGCTATTTCACCATGCTACTCAAAATGGTGCAATTTAAAACTTGTGAATTGTTCGTTTCTGGAATTTTCCATTTAATATTTTCAGACTTAAAGTTACTACAGTCTGTAGAAAAGGAAACCATGGATAAGGGGGGATTACAGTATTTGTGAAGTGCTTCCAAAGGCATCTGATGTGCTAGGTACTATATAAATCTTTGCTAAAGGAAAACTTAAAAATGTGATAATTACAAAATCAGAAGTTCTTTGGGACCTAGGTTTGTTGCTTTTTGTTTATGCTGCCTTTTTCTCATGGAGAATATTTTCTTATGGGTTTAATGATTTTTTAAAAATTGTATAAATAATTGTTCTTGACTCAGTAATTACTTAATTGTACCTGCTGAAACCTCCAAGAGCCTATGTTGAAGATTCTTTTCTTTTGAGGGGATTCATGTGTGCTTCTGTTAGGAACCAGTGGATACCACTGTGCTGAGATCTTTTAGCCACTTTTGAGAGTCCTGGAAAAGTCTCAAGTTCAGCTTCCCTAGCTTTCGATGGTCCTCAGGCTTAGTACTCTGATCCTGGCACTGTTAGATGCATTTTCCCTGGGGCGACCCTGGCTTTTGTGTTTGTGCATTACTCACTATTCTTTTTTTCAGCTAACAGCTGGTTGTTGTTGTTGTTGTTGTTGTTGTTGTTGTTTTTGTTTGCCCAATTGGAGAGTTTCTTTACTTGCTCACAAACCCACTGATGGTTTTAAGCATTTGTTTTGATGTCACCAGAAACTAGTTGTACACTAGTAGAAGGCTCTATAAGCAATTAATCTTTCCTTTTGTTAATGATAGGTATTCTTTGTTTTTAATTAAACCATATTAGCATCATATAGTAAAATGTCTAAATATATGCCAGCTTTTTCTATTATGGCCTGCCTCCTCTGTTTTTTCTGATTTGAAGGAAGGCTGGATTGGAGGGCAATGTGGTAATATCATACAAAGGTATTTTGTTTTGTTTTAAAATTTTTTAAGTGAGGGAGATGGCTGCAGCCCATAGAAGCCTCTCCTCATTCCGCAGTCAAGAAATCTTTGACACAAACCTTTCTTTATTTGGACTACATTGCTTGGAGTTCGTAACCTCCAGTTGCAGAGAATTAAATGTCAAAGTGGTTTTGTGATGTGGAATAATCTATTTGAGGAAAGTGGAAAAAAGCCACAACAGTGCCATGGTTTTTAAACTTTCCCTGAAGATTAGAAGACCAGGAAACAGTGACATTATAGCTTCAGTCTTCTGAGCCTCTTTAATAACAATGGATTTGCCTGTCACAAAAGAATAACATAATCAGCTTTTATGTTAGATCAGGACTATGTTCATTCACGAACCTGCCCCTCCTCCTTTTCCATCTAAGCCACGCAGACTTCCTCTGCCCTCCCACGACTTGCTGTACTTGTCTCATCACAGCACTTGATCACACTCTCTTGAAATTTCCAGATTACTTCCTTGTCTTCATCATCAACCTGTAAAAACCTTGAGTAAAGGAATGTTGTATAAGTTACCTTTGTATTCCCAGAAGCTAGTAGCTGCAGGGAGAGGAGCAGGACTTAACCACACATCTCATAATGCTTTAACCTTTTCATGTAGGTAGAGCTTTAAGACACAATTCAGTCCTCCCACAACATCATACAGATGGGCAAGTATCTCTTCTATCACCCTGGATTATCAGCCTGCATTATTTTAATGAAGATTTAATTAATTATTAATTTCCTTATGGCAATGACAGAACATTTCCATTACTAGGGCACAAAGGGGTAAATGTGAAGATCCACACCCTGGAAGTGTTTGGAGGGAGCATCTGAATTATGTCCCAGTTCAACTTTAATAGTAATCCTGTATGTTGGTATGGCATCTGACAGTGTATAATTTCTGTGTTCTTATTAACAGCTCATATTTATGGAACAGTTACTACGTGCCAGGCACTGTGCTCAGACTACTTGCATTACCCCATTCAATCCCTACTCACTATACAAGGAGGTAGAGTTGTTACCTTATCTTACAGCTGGGGCTCAGTAGACACGCTGCTATCACATGGGTTGCAGCTAGTAAGTGGAAGAACTAGAATTTCAGTTTGGTCTTTGATATGGTTTGGCTCTGTGTCCCTGCCCAAATCTCATCTTGAATTGTAATCCCTACGTGTAGGGGAGGGACGTGGTGGGAGGTGACCGGATCATGGGGGCAGTTTCCCCCATGCTGTTCTCATGATAGTGAGTTGTCATGAAATCTGATGGTTTCATAAGTGGCAGTTTCTCCTGTACTCTCTCTCTGTCTCCTGCCGCCACGTAAGATGTGCCTTGTTCCCCTTTGCTTTCCACCATGATTGTAAGTTTCTTGATGCCTCCCCAGCCATGCAGAACTGTGAGCCAACTAAACATCTTTCCTTTAAAAATTACCTAGTCTCGGGTAGGATCTTTATAGCAATGTGAGAATGGACTAATACAGCCTTCTTAATGTCAAAGCCTGAGGTATTAACCAGTATACTATAACATCTCTCAATTCATACATTAATATATAATCTCCATGTAGATAACTTTATTATTTTCAAAGACTAGGTAGCTTGCCAAGCTTATGTAGTTAGTAAACAACAAAGCTGGATTCAAGCTAAAATGGCTGACACTCATTTTTCTACTCATACTCTTATTGCACGTTTACTCAATGCCACAACAGTAGTTTCAACATGTGTGTGTTTATACAGAAAAGCAATGCCTCACAAGCCAATAAAATCAAAATTTTTAAGTGCTGAAAGAAAATAAACATCAATCTAGAATTCCCAACAAAAATATCATTCAAAAATGATGAAATGAAGAAGCCATATTCAGACAACAAAAACTGAAAAAGCGTACTATCAGCATACTTGGTTTAAAAGAAATAGCAAAGGCGCTCTTCAAGCAGAAAGAAAATGATCTCAGATGGAAACGTGGAAATGCAAAATTAATGAAGCATACCAGAAAGGATAAATGAGTAGGTTTATAATCATTAACTACACACAACAGTAGTAGGAATATTTTATAAAATTTAAAATACATATGGAATTGGAAATGAATTCCAAAATAATGCAAAAGCTGGAGGGGTAAATGGACTTGAAGTGTTGTGAAGTTCTGGCATTACCATGGAAGTAGTAGAAATTATCATTTGAATTAGATTGTAGTAATCAAGGATGCATATTGTAATCTTAAGAGAATTATGAAAAGAATATTGTGAGTGTATAACTAATAAGTCAATAAAGAGAAACTAGTAATCAAAATCTGATTATTTTGTGATTTTTTTTCCAATCTTAATATTGGCAGTGATCAATTTTGAGTGATCAAAATTATTTGTATGGAACATTGCATCCAACAATTACAGAGCCGATATTGTTTTCAAGTGCACATAGAATATTTGCCAAAGTTGACCATATACTGAGCCACAAATGAAACCTCAAGAGAAACCAAAGGGCTGACATGATTTAAAGTATGTTCTCTGTCCACAACGGAATTAAACTAGGAATCGGTAATAAAAAAGTAACTGGAAAATATCTAGTACCTAGACATTAAACAACACACTTCTAAATAGTTCATAATCAAAGAATAAATCACAATAAGAATTAATATTTTGAACTAAATGGCAAAGAATATATGACCTATCGAAATTTATGGCATGAAACTAAAGAGTGCTCAGAGGGAACATTATAACCTGAAATGCTATATTAGAAAAGAAGAAAAACTGACAATCAGTGACCTCAAGAAGCTATATAAAAAGAATCGTAAATCAAACTTAAAGAATGCACCAGGAAGGACATAAGTCATTTTAAAAATTTATAATTTATAATATTTATAATTGATTTAATATTTTTGAATGTTGACATGATACAGAGCTGAAACAACTCTGTTACAACCTAAAGACAATATATATGAAAATGAAAACATCTTGATGTTTTCTTAGAACTCTGAGACAATATGAAGAATGAAAGCAGATGGATGTCCTCTTAGAACTCTGAGATGACAAGTATGTAAAATGAATGTGTAATAAGTCCTCTTGCCACATCCACGTAGAACTTGGAGATAATGAGTATGAAAACTGAGTTCTTACACAGTCGACTAGCTGAATAAGTGCCAGCAGCATCAAACATCCAGACTCTGTTGTTATGTGAAAAAGAATGAACTCATACTTGATTAAAATAAAAACAAACAAAAAAAGAAAAAAAGTAGAAAAAGTCCTACAGGAAGCATCTTACTCAGTGGTGAAATATAGAAACCTTCCCTTGGATCTCACGAATGAGGCTGGGATGTCAGTTATTCACTTCTTTCAGCATTGGACTGAACATCTTAGCCAGTATAATAAGACAAGAAGAAGAAATAGAGGACCTAATGACTGGAAATAAAGAATCAGAACTGTCATTGGGATATCATCATATCCATAAAAACATCCAAAGGAGCCCACAAACTATTGGACCTAATTAAAAAATTAACAAGGTAGCTGGGTACAAAGTCAACATATAAAAAGCATCTATGTGTCTACATACCAGCAACAAATAAGGAGGAAGTAAAATTTAAAATGATACCATGTAAAATCATTTAAAAAATCAGCTACCCAGGAATAAAGCTAGCAAAAGATAAATAAAAGAAGACCTAAATAAAGAGGATCATATACCATGTTTATAGATTGGAAGATTTAATACTGTAAAGAGGTCAGTTCCCCCAAAATTGGTGTATATATTCAATATTAACCCAATTAAAATCCAGAGGCTTTGTTTTAGAAATTGACAAGCTGAATTTAAAATTTATATAGGACTGCAAAGATCTAAGAATAGTGAAGGCAACTTTGAAAAGCAAAAACAAAGTGAGAAAACATATACTATCAGATATAAGGATGTATTATAAAACAATAGACATTAAGACAGATTTAGGATAGGATAAGAAGTAGACCAACAGAACAGAATAGAGCATCCAGAAACATACCTACATATATACAGTCACATGATTTATAGCAAATTTCCACTCTGGTGCAATAGGAAAATAACCATATAAATGGTTCTAGGTCAGCTGGAAGCCCATATAGAAAACCATGTATCTTGGGCTGGGTGCAGTGATTCATGCCTGTAAATCCCAGCACTTTGGGAGGCTGAGGCAGGCAGATCATGAGGTCAGGACATCGAGACCATCTTGGCAAACATGATGAAACCCCTCTCTACTAAAAATACAAAAAATTAGCTGGGCGTGGTGGCACGTGCCTGTAGTCCCAGATACTTAGGAAGCTGAGGCAGGAGAATCGCTTGAACCCAGGAGGCAGAGGTTGCAGTGAGCCGAGATCGCATCACTGCACCCCAGCCTGAGTGACAGAGAGAGACTCTGTCTCAAAAAAACAAAAACAAAAACAAAAAACAGAAGAAAACCATGTATCTTGACCCGTCACACTATATGGTAATCAACTCCAAATGGATTGCAGATCTTAAATGTGAAAGGTAAAGCAATAACGTTTTTTAGAAGAAACATCAGTTAATATCTTTATCATCTTGGAGTAGGCAAAAATTTATTGAAAAGAACAAAAATACTGAAAGCCATAAAGAAAAAAATGGCTAAGATTGGATTATATTAAGAATTTTTTGTCATCAAAAGATACCACAGGCTGGGCATGGTGGCACACACCTATAATCCCAGCACTCTGAGAGGCCAAGGTGGGTAGATCACTTGAGCCCAGGAGTTTGAGACAAGCCTGGGCAACATGGCAAAACCCCATCTCTACAAAAACAAACAAACAAAATACAAAGATTAGCTGGGTATGGTGGTGCATGCCTGTAGTCCCAGCCACTTGGGAGGCTCTGAGGTGGGTGAATTGCTTGAGCCTGGGAGGCTGCAGTCTGGGTGACAGAGCAAAACGCTGTCTCAAAAAAAAAAAAAAAAAAAAAAAAAAAAAAAAGGGTACTACAAAGAGGATGAAAAGGAAGACAAATTGGAGGAGATGTTTGCAATATATATATATATTCAACTCATATCTAGAATGTATAAAGAGCTCTATAAATCAATGTGAGAAAGACAGACAACTTAATTGAAAAAGGGGGAAAACTTGAGTAGGCACTTCTCAAAAGATGGTGTTCAAATACCCAATGAACATACAAAATATCGAACTTCATTAGTCACCAAGTAACTTAAAATAAATCAACAATGAGATAAAAGGATACATCCATCAAGAATGGCTAAAATAAAAAAGGAAGATAATAACAAGTGTCAATAAGAGCATGGAATAACCAGACTCTTGTTTATTGCTGGTCTGAGTACAAATAGGTATAATTAATTTGGAAAATAATGCGGCTGAACGTAGGTATATGAGCATGTCTACCCTCTGACCCTATGACCTAGCAATTCCACTCCTAATTATACACCAAACAGAATTTTGTATAAATTCACTAAAATATACATGCAGGAATGTTCACAGAAGCACTCTTCCTAATAATCCAAACTGGAAACTACTCAAATCCCCATTAGCAATAAAATGGATAAATAAATTGTGGTGTCTGTTCTCAGAGTAGAGTAGTAGAACGCAGTGAGAATGAATAAAGCATAATTATAAGCAACGATAAGAATTATCAAAGACGAAACTAGGTCTGAAACAAAATGAACAAAGCCTTTATAAACCTAGGACAAGAGGACCCATCTGTGATCACGCTTATTTCGGCAGTGGTTCAAAGGCGGTAGAAAGGGGAGTTAGTTTTCTAAACAGGGAAAAAACAAAGACAGCCTCTGATTGGCAAGCATTCTATTATGGTGGAACTTTTGGAAGTAGAGGATACTTTCTAATTGGTCTTCAGGTACTTTGACCACCCTTGGCGAACTTCAAGAGGGGTAGCTCCCTACTGCCTGGCAGAGGAAGTTCCACTCCTATCAAATGGCCTAAAAGCCTACCATGCCCTGGCCTCTGCTCCCCTGTCCCTTCCTCTGCTCTCCTGGGGCACCAGCATCCTTTCTGTCCTCCAAGTGCCATGTGCCCTCCTTCCTCCATCTGTGAGATGCTTATACGTCAGTGGGAGAGAACGACAGTATCAAGTAATTCCAGAAAGGAGTATGAAATTACAAACTGAATTAAACTATGAAAGAAAGCATATAAGAAAGAAATTGGCTAGATTGAAGGGTTAAGACTAGCTTTTTTACTTGGTATGAGGTCTGAATAATTTAAAGGCAGACAGAGGAGGAGAGAAGAGGAGGAGTTCAAACAGCTGCAGCAGTATGTGCAAAGGCCCTGGGGCAAGAGAGAGTATAAACAGTATTAGGAATTGAAAGAAAGAACACGGAGAACGCAAGGCAAGCAAGGGTCTCGTAGAACGTGATGGGGATTTTGTTAATACTAAGATAGCACAATATTTAATATAAGAATACTTAAAATAAGAGCTATTTTAAGCAGGGATGACATGATCATATTTCATTAGAAAAGTAAGCTCTTGCCTGCAAGATAGATGGGGGAGCAATTTAGATGCCAGGGGGCCTGAGAGAGTGAACTGGGGTGGTGGCAGGGGAGGTGGAGAGAGTTGGATACATTCTTGAAAATGCGGGAGTTAAAATTGACAGAACTTGGTGATGGATTCAATATAGGGGAATGTGTTATTCTGTTTTCATACTGCTATGGAGAAATACCCGAGACTAGGTAACTTATAAAGAAAAGGAGATTTAATGGACTCACAGTTCCACATGGCTGGGGAGGCCTCACAATCACGGTGGAAAGCGAAAGAGGAGCAGTCATGTCTCACCTGGCGGCAGGCAAGAGAGCGTGTGCAGGGAAACTGCCCTTTACAAAACCGTCAGGTCTTGTGAGACTTATTCACTATCATGAGAATGAGATGGGAAGAACCTGCCCCCATGATTTAATTACCTCCCACTGGGTCCCCCCAACAACATGTGGGGATTATGGGAGCTACAATTCAAAATGAAATTTGGGTGAGGACACAGCCAAACCGTATCAGGGAGGAAGGGAAGGTGGGACACCCAGGCTAACACTGGGATTTTGGTCTCCCTGGGTGAATGGCAGTACCTTTCTTGGGGCAGGGCCTCTGGTGGACTGTCACGTCAGAGTGTAGAGCGGAAGGCGTGAATCAGTTCGTTTAAAGCAAGTTAAATTTGAGATGTCGCAGAGACTTTAAGTGGAGGGGTCAACTAGGCAGGAGGATATGATGTAGCTTTGCAGTTCAGAAGATAGTTCTGAGCCATAGAAACAATTACGATTCAAACATAAGTAGGGGATTGGTATTCTTATTTTTTTTTTGAGTTTGAGAAATTATGACTTGGCTTTCATTTCCTTTTTTTCCCTGCCCTCTCCTTTTTCTTTGGAGAACTTCTTTTTATTTTTCTCTTTACTCCCCTCTTATTGTCTTGTGCTTCTCTTGACCGAGGGGTTTCCTACATTCATCACCTCTCTCTCGGCAGGATACAGCTCCCGCCTCTGTTGTCTGTCTTGCTGTATCACCCTCGGGCCTTATCAGCTGAAAAACAGGCAGCAAAGGAACGGCAGCTACAAGTCATTCGGAAATTATTTGTGTGTGGGAAACAGGTTGCTATTTTGGGTGTGGATAATTTTCCAGGGCAAAGGAAGGAGCTGTTGCCGAGGTGCTTTTCTTGTTAAGGCAATGCTAATGCATCTCCCTCCCCAGCCCTGGGCTCAAACTGGTGACTCTCAGAGGAGGAATGTGGTGTGTGATCGATTCTGGCTTCTAACGGGTATTCAGACAGAGCTGGTGGGGAGGAGAGAGGAGAAGAAGAGAAGGTGTGAGATGAGGGTTTGTTTCCAAGCATGTATAAAATCACCTAAGAATCATTTTCATGACAAGTCAGTCGGATGAACCAGAATGCATAGAACCAGCTGTTCTTTTGAAATAAACTCTACTGGGCAGTATAAATTCAGACAGGAAACTCAAAACTTTATTTGGATAGATCTGAATCCTGAGGGCAAGCAGGCAAGTAGGAAAAGGATTCCAAATACTTCAATGGGCAGAATTTTCTAAAAAAAAAAAAAAAAAAAAAACCAAAAAACTAGTAAATTGCTTCTTAGTTCCAATATTTAAAAAATTAAAAGAGGGGGTGTACTCAGGAAGACTTTCCTATATTGTTCAACAACTAATATTATAAAAAACTGAGGCAGAGAGAAAAAAAGATGTAGGTCGCTTTTCTTGCCAAGGCTATCAGGTTAACCTCCACTCTGGAAAGTCAAATTATGGCTAATTTACCCCCAGAAATTTCTGTGCAGTAGGGTGTGATGATGGGGGTATTTATTTGGGTCCAGCCATCACTGGATTCTTCCTGGGGTGGGGATTGTCTGTGTGGCTGTGACAGCCAAGGAGAAACTCAGTATCTCTTAGAGACTCAACATTTTATTTTTGTGATTGGTAAAATCTCATTTGTTACATTCCCAAATCAGCTTCCTAACCAAAATGTTTAAACCGGTTTGCAACCTTTACCCAGATTATTTTTCCACTGAGCTTCTTGGGTGTGATGTAGGTGTTCAGTGCAAACAGTTACGTACACATTTGTATATCTTTACATCTGTGATCAACGGTTAGTGATTACTAGGGGCTAGGCCTTGTTCTAAGTGATTAAAGGGCATTAAACGGAGGCTTACATTAATTCTTTAAGGTTGATGCTTTTATGATTCCCATATTATGGATGAATATATAGTGGCATAGATGGGTCAGTTAGTTACCTGACTGAGGTCACAGAGCTGTAAATGTCCTGGAGCCAGGGTTTGACCCAGTGCCATCTGCCTCTGGCACCTGCTCTCCTCACTTCTAAACCTCTTCATGGAAGAACAAACATTTTAAAGTGTGTAGTCCTAATGATGTTTTATTTTCTCATAGGAGTGACTGGGTGACATCCTATAAGGTCATGGTGAGCAATGACAGCCACACGTGGGTCACTGTTAAGAATGGATCTGGAGACATGGTGAGTCTCATCCTCCATTTAACCATGCCTTTCTTCCTGGCTGGGTGGGGTTTTGCAAAGAGAGGCAATGTATGATCAACTCTTTGGAGATTTGTGGATTCTCTGTCAACTCAAACCTACCACTACAGTCTGATGGACAGAGACCCTTTCCCTGCCCTGAAGCCCAGCAGCAAGTGACACACATTTAGAGCTAATGTAAAATTCAGCCTTTATTTACTCCCATCAGGCAACTGCAGGAATGCAGCCTTTTATGTAATTTGCAAGTTAGCCCTGGAAGTTGCATGCATGGGGCATGCTAGGGCCCCTTGCAGCTGTTCTTAATAGTTTCCTAACTTCATTTGGTGACCTTGGCCTTTTAGTTCCATGATTAGCTCCAGCTTAGTCCTGATCCTGTCACTCTCTTCCTCAGATTCTCAAGTGCATATTCCTAGCATGGTATCCAATGTCTTACATAGTCTGACTAGTCTTGACTGTGGCCTCCTTTTTCAACCTTCTTTCTCATTCTTACCCCCTACACACAGTCCTGTGTCCTTGTACAAGTGAAACAGCTGCTCTTCTGCCTATGAATCCAATATTTAGGCTTCTGCACTCATTGTTCATTTTCTCTGGATACCCTCTCATCCCTACGGATCTAAATAGCTTTCCTTCAATGCCAGTTCAAACAGCCCCTCTTCCCCAAAACTTTGCCTGGTCCTCTCCATCTTCTGAAATCCCAAAGCTCTCTAGTTGTCCTTTTGCCGTGACACCGATAGATTTTTTCTACAGTATATAATTACCAGCCCCACTCCCTGCATACCAACTAGATGGAGGCTTCCTGAGGGCAGGATCCAGGCCTGATTCATTTCTTTTTTTTTTTTTTTTCTTTTCAATGCACAGCACACATTAGGTTTTCCTCAATAAAGTCTTGTTGAATGAGTGAATTCTGACTTTTTATCCCTTGGTAATTAAGCACTAAAAGATTTTCCTTTTCTCCCATGAGCATAAATAGATATTTGAGGGAAACAGTGAGAAGGAGATCCCTGTTCTCAATGAGCTACCCGTCCCCATGGTGGCCCGCTACATCCGCATAAACCCTCAGTCCTGGTTTGATAATGGGAGCATCTGCATGAGAATGGAGATCCTGGGCTGCCCACTGCCAGGTGAGTTCACCCTCCTGTGCTTCCTGCAGGGTGGGAGCACTGATGGAAAACAGATGCCCAGCCAAGACAAATAAAAATAAACTAAGCAGACCAGGCACAGTAGCTCATGCCTGTAATCCCAGCATTTTGGGAGGCTGAGGAGGCAGAATCAATCACTTGAGTCTGGAAATCCAAGACCAGCCTGGGCCACAAAGGGAGACATTGTCTCCACAAAAATAAAAATAAATAAATAATAAATAAAATATAAAAATTACCCAGGCATGGTGGAGTGAGCCTGTAGTCCCAGCTACTTGGGAGGCTGAGGCAGGAGGATCACTTGAGCCCAGAGGTCAAGGCTGCAGTGAGCCGAAATAGCACCACTACACTCCACCCTGTCTCAAAAAAATAAAAAGGTAAAAAGTAATAATAAACCAAGCAGTTGTTTTCTTATGTAAAAAAATACATGTCTATGGTAGAATATTTAGAAAACATAAGTGAACCAAAAAGAAAATGAGTAAACATTTCCCATAAGCCCACTGGGAAGCACAGTGAACAATCGGGCTACTAAAGTCCCTTGCCAAGTGTAGTTTTGCCTATAGTGATTTTAAGATGATGCCTACCACTCAGAAGTGAGAAAAAAGAAAATTATGTTGAAATTTGGGAGAACACGTTTATCTGTCATTGGCAGATACCATTACACTGGGTAGTGGCGGTGGGGTAGGAGGGAGTAGAAGTTCATTCTAAACCATTGACAGTCTTTTTCTGATGAAGTAGCTGCTCTTGGAAGCCTGTGTCTTTGGGTAAATGCTTACTCAGGTAGTATTCCACTTGCCTTATTTTCACATGAGATATTTGGGGGTAACCTCGGGGTGGCTTGAAGAAAGGGGGTTTGAATTCACATGTGCCACCTGCATCTTTGGTAATGTCTTCTCTGCACAGGCTGCTCTGTCTCAGCCTTTCAGGCATTCCAAGCTTGTGCCTGGATGGAGCCTGCAGGCTGCAGCCTCTTCATCCTGACCACACATCTCCAAAGAAGGTGGCTGGCCTGAGATCACCCCCTACAGGGCCTCATCACTTCATGGGGCCTATAGGAAACTTCACATTCCTGTTCACCCGCAGTCCACCCACGCAGTCAGGCTGTGGGGACATGGGGCACAGTCGTCACTCATCCCCCAAACTCTCCAGTGAGGCCTTCCCACTCCTGCCTAGTGTGAGGTGCAGGGCTGGCTACCTATGGGACTCGTAGTCCCTTCCAGCACTGCCTGGGGCAGGGTACCAGCTCTGATGCTATTTCTGTAGTAACCCCCTCTTCATGAACTTACATTTCCTGTATTTTTGAAGCATACTGAAGGTCATTTAATTGTTTTTCTCTCAATCCCGTAGTATTCATGATCTTGCTAGCCAACCTCAGATTTTTTAGAATACAAACCTCATGTTGGTGAGAAAGACAGATCTATCTACCTAACTGCTTACCCTCACACTGGTCATATTTTTTGTGTGTTTTATATTTATGTGTACTTATTCGATTGTGCAAGTTTTTTTATGTCATCAAAACCATTAGAGACCATCTGTCTTTGGGATGCTTCTCCCCTAGCCCGTGGAAAAAATGCCATGTTTTCAATCTGCCTCAGACGGTTGGAAGTTCAGTTGTTTCTAATCACTGGATTCTGTAAACAACCCCACAGAGAACATTCTTATTGCTCTGTCCTTCTTTTGTGTGTGTCCACAATTATTTCCTGAAATTAGATTATGATAAATAGGATTGCTGGTACAAAGAATGTGCCCAGTTTCAAGGCCGATGCAGAGAGAATGTGGAAGGCCTGATCGTGGATGTGGGCCTCCTTCTGTGGCGGGCTGGTGCAGGAACTGCCTCAGGACTGGTCCCGGCATCCTGGACCCGCTGGGCTCTCCAGCACAGGGCGACTGTGGGCACAGGTATCTTCAGGAGGCATTTATGGGCTCTGGCCCTCTTGATGCCAGCCCAGGAGTCTTGCTCTCCTATTCTGCTCAGCACAGCCTTGGTCTGCTTGCTTGAAAAAGTAGGGCCGCAGCTTTTCTCTGCGGGTAGGAACTCATCTGTTGTTGGCAAAGGGCAAAAAGGCAGCCTATGAGAGTCTCATGAAATAAATACTTCCCTGTGAAGTTATTCTTGGTGTGTGCGTGTTTGAAGATGGGCCCTGGAGGGCCTTTAAACCCTCACAAAGTCAGGGTTACACTGTGAAATCTGAATTCATGTATGGACTCAGAATGGTTCTATTTTCCACCCCCCAAATATTGAGGACCATTTTTTTTTTCTAGAAGTTACTTAGCAGTTTGCTCAGAGGGGAGCGGCTGTTCACGCATGCTGCCTGATGGGGTCATCATGTCCAAGGATGGGGCAGCTCAGGGGCCCAAAATGAGTCTTGCTTATCACCCCGGTGCTAGGGAGATTCCTTTGTAAAAGTTATTGAGGCCAGAGCCAGGGATGACCCAAGGTGACCTCGTGGTTTAAACGTAGCCTCTCCGAGTCTGCACTTTCCAGGCCTCTTTCTCACGAAACATTCATTTACCTTTGCTTCTGCGTCTCTTTGTTCTGTCCCCTTCTTCCCTCACTATCTTCCTGTGAACTCTCCGGTGGGGGCGGATGAGGGTGCTGGTGCTTTTTAAGACTCTATGCATAATGTTTCCAGAAATTTTTGAGCTGAAAAGTGAATTACCATATACCATGGTCTATTAATAGAATTTTTAAAGCTCAAAAGTCAAAGAAAATGGAGAGTTGTTGTTGAGTGGGTACAGACTGTCAGTTTTGCAAGATGAAAACATTCTGGAGATGGCTGGTGGTTTCACAGCAAGGTGTATGTACTCATCACTACTGCACTATACACTGGAAAAATGGTCAAGTGGTAACCTTTATGTTATGTGTAGTTTTCCACAATTAAAAATAATTTGGCAGGGCATGGTGGCTCCCACCTGTAATCCCAGCACTTTGCAAGGCTGAAGCAGGTGGATCACTTGAGGTCAGGAGTTCGAGACCAGCCTGGCCAACATGCTGAAACCCCGTCTCTACTAAAAATACAAAAATTATCCAGGCATGGTGGCGGGTGCCTGTAATCCCAGCTACTTGGGAGGGTGAGGCACAAGAATCACCTGAGCCCAGGAGGTGAGGTCGCAGTGAGCCGAGATCGCACCACTGCACTCCAGTCTGGGTGACAGAGTGAGACCCTGTCTCAAATACACACACACATGCGCACACACACACACACACACACACACACACACACACGGTCTTAAATAAATAAATAAAAATGATTTGATTGCTATTAATAAAAAACAATAAAAGAAAGTCCTCTTTTCTAAGGTCAAATGGACTAGTCCATTTTGCACTGAATATCTATGCTTATCAGAACCTGGGGAGATTTCTGAAGATAAAATTTTAACAATAAAAAAAAGCGAGTTAAGAACTGTGCCAGCTGACTGGCCAGATGGTCATGGCCTTGGTGGTTTTCAGAGATTTTGCTGTTGCAAACAGCACTGCATTACATGCTGCCTGGTTCTTAAAAGGACCAGGTGAGCTTTGCACATGATTACCCCACTAGGCTACAGCGTTGGCACCCAGCATCCTAGCAAATGACCTTCAAGATACTGGGGTGGCAGTGCTTGAGCCCCTGGAACTGCCCAGTAGCTTATATGATGAATGTGTGGGGCTTTGATGTCTTTGGGGGAAGTTGTCACTCTTTCCACCTCGTCTTCCTGGCCAGGTCTGAGCGACTGTCCTCCCTTTGTACAGCACTGAGATGTCCAGGGTTCTTGGGTGTGACTTACAGAACCTAGTGATGGGCACAGAGATCTGTGGACAGGAGCCACTCCCTCAAGCACAGAGGAGCCGCCAAAAGGCAGTGCCTGGGAGTCAGTCCTCCAAGTCGGCCAAGAGCAGGTGACACACTGTATCCTTCCTCCTGATACGCACATCCTCCCAGCCCATGTTCACTGGTTCATAATTATTGAAAAGCTATTTTAATTGTAAGGCCACCGCCTGTCTTGCTAAACTGTGATGTTTCAGCCAGCCACCCCACCCATCATGGAGATGAACAAATTGGAGAAAGGATGGTCTGTTGCTCTGTTGGGTCACCATGGGTGCAAGACTTTGTACATAAATTGATTTGCTTTGCTCCCTTCCATTTTTGCTTGCAAAGTCGGGCCTGTAGTCTGAATACCCTCTTGTGGCAATGGGTTGATCGTTCATTTGGTCCCCAGGCCTGGACTCTTAAAAAGATAGGAGTTAGGTAGAGGGCATCAAGCAGCCATTGGCTTCCTCATTCTGGGCCTCCTTTTGCTGAGGGTGATGTCATCAGCGAGCTTCTTTTTGATGGGCATAGACAAGCTTATTGGAGTTGCTGAGTACCAGCTGAGCCCTTCTGGTTGCCAGGGACTTAAAAAGCAGATGAGTTCACACCCCTTTCAGGAGAAGCCTGGTGGACAGAAGGGACATGAGCTTTGGCTCAGCTCAGACCTGGGTGCAAATTCCACTTTTTTTTTTTTTTTTTTTTTTTTTTTTGAGACGGAGTCTCGCTCTGTCGCCCAGGCTGGAGTGCAGTGGCGTGGTCTGGGCTCACTGCAACCTCCGCCTCCCAGGTTCACGCTATTCTCCTGCCTTAGCCTCCGGGTAGCTGGGACTACAGGCCCCCGCCACCACACCCGGCTAATTTTTTGTATTTTTAGTAGAGATGGGGTTTCACCGTGTCAGCCAGGATGGTCTTGATCTCCTGACCTCGTCATCCACCCGCCTCGGCCTCCCAAAGTGCTGGGATTACAGGCCTGAGCCACTGCGCCCAGCCTCAAATTCCACTTTTGCTCCTCAGCAACTGTGGTCTCAGGTAGCCCGTGCAGATGTTCTATGGTTTACTTTCCTATGGAGTAGAGGGAATACCTTCGCTGTAGGGGTGTGACTAAGTCCTTCAACTTCTGTGGTCATGCTTTCATAAAACATTCAAATAAAATAACACAAATGTTCCTCACAGTCCTAAGGGAAATCCCAAATCTCCTCCTTCCCTAGGGTTTCTGGGGGCTCTGGGGTGGCTGCCCACCTGTCTTCTACCACCTGTGGGTCCCAGCTCTGCTCTGGGTTGCCTTAGGTCTTTCCTGCCGGTGGCTCTGGGTGCTAGAACAGCAGTCTCCACTGATGCCGATTTGTGTGCATGAGTATTGCAGAAGGTGTGGGGATAACAGACCTTCTGATGCCGATTTGTATGCGTAAGTATTGCAGAAGGTCTGGGGATAACAAAGGGGCAGCCTGGGCAATCAGCGTTTCTCTTCCTGAGTTTTCTTGTCATCCCAGCAAGGGGAACCAACCTGTTGCTCACTGCCTTCCTCCTCAGTCTAGCCTGCTGCCCTGCCACACTGGTGTTAGAACTGTGCTCTCCCTGGGGAGATCTTTCCTATCTGTCTCTGCTTCTCATTTCCGGTCTCTGTCTCTGCTGTCCCCTGGCTTCCTGTCTCTGGGGCTTCTGGGTTAGGGTGGTGGGCGGAATGTCTGGGTTTTTTCTGATAGAGACCTTCTTCCATCCTGGCTAGCTGGCGCCTTGCGTTTCAAAACCATGAGTTCCGTGAGAAGAACTCTGCTACTCCCCTAGGAAGCAGAAGAGGCTGCTCTTGTTTTGATTGTAAGTTTCCAGCAGCCCCTCCATTCCTGATCGGGGACTCTGTGAAGACTAAATGAGCACCAGTGCATGGTTAGTGCTCAATACACTTGATTTTTCCCAATTTCCCCTTCTTCCTCCTTGCCCTGCCTGAGGTTTGGCTATTTTGTTCTGTGGCTGCCTCATTTCTAAGGTCACCAGATCCCATAGGTGGTGAGTGGATGTGAGAAGATACTTCCTCCCCATTAACCCTGTCCTGGTTTTGTTTTCTGTCCTCTCTGTGACTCGCTAATGGTGCTAAATCGCTACTTTTCCAACAACAAGAATGCCAAAGCCTCTCCCTGTGCAAAGTACTCTGGGATTTGAGGTTGAGATGGCAGGTCACACGGGGAACCACAGATTTCTCTCCTGGCCTGTCTCAAACTCTGGGCCTGGGTTCAGCTGCGCAGCAAGAAGCCCACTGCTCACTGTACAGAAGCAGCTCAGTTCGGAAGGATGGCCTCTCGCAGTGGGCATTTGTTCAGGGCTCGCCACGACTGACTGCACCAGGCTGAATAGTGTCCCCAGAATTCATGTCCCCCTCAGAACCTCCAATGTGATCTTATTTAGAAACAGGGTCCTTGTAGATATAATCAATCAAGAGGAGGTCCCCCTACAACCTTGGATGTGATCTTATTTAGAAACAGGGTCTTTACAAATGTTATCAATCAAGAGGAGGTCATACTGGATGAGGGTGGGCCCTTAATCCAATGACTGGTGTCCTTAAGAAGAGAAAACAGACACACAGAGGCACACAGGGAGAATGCCATGTGACGTCGCAGGTGGAGATCGGAGTGATGTGGCTACAAGCCAAGGGTTGCAGGCAGCCAATGGACATCGGAAGAAGCAGGGAAGGATCCTCCCCTAGAGCTTTTAGAGAGACCACGGCCCTGCTGATGCCTTGAAGCTCTATCCTTCAGAACCATGAGAGAGTCCATTTCTGCTGTTCCCAGGCTGGAGTGCAGTGGAGCGATCTTGGCTCACTGCAGCCCCCGCCTCCCGGATTCAAGCGATTCTCCTGCCTCAGCCTTCCTGAGTAGCTGGGATTACAGGCATGTGCCACCACACCCAGCTAATTTTGTAGTTTTTGTAGTAGAGATGGGGTTTCTCCATGTTGGTCAGGCTGGTCTCGAACCCCCGACCTCAGATGATCTGCCCGCCTCAGCCTCCCAAAGTGCTGGGATTACAGGTGTGAGCCACCGTGCCATTTCTGCTGTTTTAAGCCACCTGGAGTGTGGTGTGCTTTGTTATGGCAGTCCCAGGAAACCGATACTCAGACTCAAAGATGGCACACACTCGTGACTGTCCTCACCCCTGATGATGTGGCTTTAACTTACTGTCTCCCACCGTACCTTCCATTCTCTCTTCTGTCATGGTAATAGGGTAATAATGATAGCATCGCAGCTTCAGGTGGGCCCCAGTTAGAGACCTCATGTGCCCTAGAAAGTGCATCTTCTTCATAACTGGCCTTTCCCAAATAACTTGATTAGAATGTCCACCCATCCATTCATTCATTTACTCATTCACTCATTCATATATCAAATACGTATGGGGTGCCTGTTCTGAGGCAGACTCTTGGGAATCTGAGATAAGATAGACACACTTGCTGCCCCCGTCTCTCTTGGCACGATGGGGGAGACCTGCCTGTACCTGTGAGACGCCTTTATTCCTGGTGAATCCTTCTCAGCTGAGGTGGGATTGGCCCTGGTTGGCTGCAGCCTGTCCTCCTAGCAGCAGAAGGCAGCTTCCCCTTACTGTTAAATATAGTGAACTCCAAATTTCTCTTCAAAGAATCAGTATGTCAGTATGTTCAGCTCTCTTATTCCTTGTTCTCCATTTTAAAGTTTAACTTCCTGGTTCTCTTTGCTCCCTCGCCCCTAGTTTCGGTAAACAACCTTTTCCACGAGTTCTAATCCGTAGTTCACATCTGTTCCCCTGGTCACCTGCTCCGTCTTCAGTCACTCCTAGTCACCTGCTCCATCCTGAGTCACCCCTGGTCACCTGCTCTGTCTTCAGTCACTCCTAGTCACCTGCTCCATCCTGAGTCACCCCTGGTCACCTGCTCCGTCTTCAGTCACTCCTAGTCACCTGCTCCATCCTGAGTCACCCCTGGTCACCTGCTCTGACCTGAATTATCCTGAGTCACCTGTTCTGTAACCACCTTTCCCGCCACTCCGGCTCGCACCCCTGCTCTCTATTTATTTTTTATTTATTAATTTTTTTTAAGATGGAGTCTTGCTCTGTCCACCCAGGTTGGAGTGCAGTGGTGCGATCTTGGCTCACTGCAAGCTCCGCCTCCTGGGTTCACACCATTCTCCTGTCTCAGCCTCCTGAGTAGCTGGGGCTACAGGTGCTCACCACAGCACCTGGCTAATTTTTTGTAATTTTAGTAGAGACGGGGTTTCACCGTGTTAGCCAGGATGGTCTCGATCTCCTGACCTCGTGATCCGCCTGCCTCGGCCTCCCAAAGTGCTGGGATTACAGGTGTGAGCCACCGCACCCGGCCACCCCTGCTCTCTTTAAAATAGCCAATCGGAATTAGCTTAGACTGTGTGGTCCAACCCTAGCCAATAGGGGAACGACGCAGCAGTAGGGGCTACTGCATCAGGAATAAGAACCCCTTCCCCTCCCTTGTTCAGGTGTGCTCTCACCGTTGCTCCATCTGCACATTGCACCCTTCTATAGAAGGAAAATTGCCTTGCTGGGAAAATTCTTTGAGTGCTGGTTCTTCTTTTAAGCACCAAGGAACAAGCATTTGTTTCTAACATTACCAAGTTTAAATAAATGTGAGATTTCTCTTCGTGGTCCAGCTGCCCAATGTTGATGATCTTGGGAAACTGTTAAAACAGCCACACTCTTGAAAGCTGTCTTTCCTGACAGCTTCCCTGCCAGTCAAGCTGCAAATTGGCCCTGGGCTGTTGGCACAGCAGCATCTGCCAAGGAACCAGAGGGTTTCCTGGACTTCTGCTCCCACAGTGGAGAAGTCGTGAGATGGGGACATAGGAAATGGGATGGAAGTGAGTGAATAAGCACAGAGGTTGTGCTGCCCCCTCTGAGGGGCCCTGTGGGGCGGCAGGTTTGATGTTCTTGCTGACAGTGATGACCCAGGATCAGGTGAGGCTGTGCCTGGGGGTCCGCAGCTCCTGGGTCTCTCGTGGCCTTGCTCTATAGGAATTACCTTGTCATCAGAGCAGTCAATGGGGTCTGGACAAAGGTGACTGCCTCAGACAGCCAGCTCTTTGTGGGAGGGGTTTCGTGCTCAGCTCACACCATCTTTGTTCAGGGGTCTGCTGAGCATGTTGGGGTTTGGGGAGGTCACAAGGCCACAATGGCAGCTGCTCCTTGGGTGGGAGGCTGGCATTGTGCCAGGTAAAGAAAAATCTCTTGTGACCAAGCACCTCTGGTGTCCTCAGTCCTCGGAGAGCACTTTGGGGCCAGGGATCCTTTCTTTTTTTTTTTTTTTTCAATCAAGGTGAAATTCATATAATATACACTAAGCCTTTTAAAGTGTACGCTTTGGCGATAGTTAGTGCATTCATAATGCTGTGCAAGCCCCAGCTCTCTCTAGTTTCAAAACTTTGTCATCACCCCTAAAACCTCCCTGAACCTGACAGTGAAGAGCAGGTTCCCTGCTCTCACCGCATGCAGAGTCCAATTAACAAGAGTGAGGTCTGGTATAAAGAAAGTGGTTTATTCTGAAGCCAGCTTAGGGGAAGAGGCGTCTTGTCTTTAAATGTGCTGCTTCGCTTTTGGAGCAGAAAGCGGGCACTTTTAAAAGGCAAGGGCGGGAACAAGCAAGGGTGAAGGGTTCATGCTAGCTCTGATGCCTTCCCTACTGGTTGATTGGGCTGGTGACTGCTGGCACCTTCGTGGGCAGGCAACCTCCTGGAGGGGGGAAGTTTCGTATCGGGCTTGCTTTGGTTTGTAAATCCACTTGTAACTCTCCAGACCTGTTTTGGAGCAGATAGTTAAAAGAACTTGCCCTGTAGGGAGAGGCTGGTGAAGGGGGAGGTAAAAGGCTGTATTTGCATTCCTTTTTCTTTTCTTTTTTTTTTTTTTTTTTGAGATGGGGTCTTGCTCTGTCGCCCAGGCTGGAGTGCAGTGGCATGATCTCGGCTCACTGCAACTTCTGCCTCTGGGGTTCAAGTGATTCTCCTGCCTCAGCCTCTGAGTAGCTAGGATTACAGGTATGTGCCATCACTCCCAGCTAATTTTTGTATTTTTAGTAGAGACCGGGATTTCACCATGTTGGCCAGGCTGGTCTTGAACTCCTTACCTCAGGTGATCCACCCGCCTCAGCCTCCCAGAGTGCTAGGATTACAGGCATGAGCCACCGCTCTCAGCCTGTATTTGCATTTCTAAAGGGCTAAGTAGGAAGTGGGGAACTGGGGGGATAAGAAAAGAAGAGAGAGAAAAAATAATTAAACCATCTCTTAGAAAAATGGGGGCTACAAACCCGGAGTAATCACTCCCCAGCCCCTCCGCCATCCCCGGGTAACTTGGAATCTGCTGTCCCTATGGGTCTGCCGGTCTGGATAGAGCATTCACAGGCATCCTGAGCCCGGGCTTCTGGGTTGCAGGTGAGCCACCTTCCCAAAAAAGGAACCTCTTTTCCCCAGCCAAGCACCTACTCATTTCAGTCAAGGTCCCAACCAGAAGGCAGCAAACAGCAAGCAGAGCAGCCCAAAATCTTGGTCCCTTTGAAGTCCCAGTAATGGGACTTGATCTGGGATTCTTACTGTTCTTTTAAGAATAGTCCCATGTACAAATCACCTGAGGTCAGGAGTTTGAGACCAGCCTGGCCAACATGGCGAAACCCCGTCTCTACTAAAAATACAAAAATTAGCCGGGCGTGGTGGTGGGTGCCTGTAATCCCAGTTACTCAGGAGGTTGCAGTGAGCTACACTCCAGGCTGGGTGACAAGAGCAAAACTTCATCTCAAAGAAAAAAAAAAGTCTCATGTAGTGAGCAGGCACTTGGTTTGGGGCTCAGGAGTCCTGAGCTGTGGCTGGTGTGGGTGCTGGTACCAGCAAGAGTGAGGGTGAGATGGGTTCTGATGCTGCCAAGCCCACCTGGGGCTTCCTTCCACCTTTCCTAGATCTTCTCTTCCAATTGTGTCCCTTTTCCATCTCTGTCTGCACTGTCATCTTGTCCCCAGCATAGCTCACAGCCCAGCTGCATGGGGAACTGGCTGTAGCCACCTGGGAGCCACCTTGGAGCCTCCTACCACTGACACTCCAGCCTTAGCCAACCTCCTCTGAGGGATTGTGGCCTGAGTCCCAAATCACCACGGTTTTTGGGCCAGCTGGAGGGTGTGCCTGGGAGAAACACAAGTCACAGAAGCATCTGTGGCTGTTTTTTTCAAAGAGGTTCTCAGGAGGTTTAGTATTTATACATTTTCCTTACAAGAAGGGGGGCAGGTTGGCACTGAGGCAAATGATGACATCCTTGGGAGACTTTAGTGCCCAGTGAATCTACATTTGACATAAGATAGGTGAACATTTGAAGAAAAAGGGAATAGAGGAGGCGACGTCTCAGGGAGAGGTGAAGGATCTTGTCTTTTTTTGGTGCTTGGGAAGATAAGCTGTGCCTGGAAGGATCTTGTCTTTTGAAAGGGCTGGTTTCTGTTTAGCCCATAGGGTAGAAAGCCAAATGACTGGCAGTAAGGAATGGGGTATAATGAGATGTGTCCCGTCTCCATCCGTTGTGGTGGTGGACTCAGCTTCCAAATTTCTCTGGGATTCTCTTGGCCAAGAGGTGTTCCATTCCATCAGTTGGGGGCTTAGAATTTTATTTTTATTTCTCACTTCTAAACAACCTGTGGATGTGCATAGGGTCCTGGGAATGTCCAATTGTTTGCCGTCAGGTATGGGGTCAGTGTCTGCTTGAACTGCCTGATGCCACAGAGCTTAGGCCTCGTGTTTCAGGGAAGGCAGCTGGAAGCAGGGCCTCTGTCTCTCATTCTCTCTCTCACATATGCTTCCCAAAACAGAGGATGAAGAGGAACGCAGCCTTTGCCACCCGTCCGTCTCTGTCTACAGAAGCGTGTGCTCCTTCCACGAGCCTTGAGTGAGCCTCTCATGGTTGGGGTCATTGTATCTTTCATGCTTATTTCCCCAGCATCTCACACAGTGCTGGGCATGTAGCAGTGTTCAGTGAACAATAGGATGAAGTCAGTAAAAGCTTTTTGCTTCAAGATTAAAGCTACATCTGCATAAATCAGTGGGCATTGGCCAAATGTAGGTCATATCTAGCCCAAGATGGGATCATGAGATTGCTTTCTCATATACTGTGGTCATTACGACAGCAAAACAACAAGCTGATCAATTAATAATTAAATTTTTAACTAGAAGACATCTGCAGGCATGCATCTGCCTAGTCAGAGCTGTGATCCTTAAGAAGCTAAAGTGGGCTGGGCGCGGTGGCTTACACCTGTAATCCCAGCACTTTGGGAGGCTGAGGCGGGCAGATCACAAGGTCAGGAGATCGAGAACATCCTGGCTAACACTGTGAAACCCTGTCTCTACTAAAAATACAAAAAATTTAGCCAGGCGTGGTGGCGAGTGCCTGTAGTCCCAGCTACTCGGGAGGCTGAGACAGGAGAATGGCGTGAACCCGGGAGGCGGAGCTTGCAGTGAGCCGAGATCGCGCCTCTGTACTCCAGCCTGGGCAATGAGCAAGACTGCGTCTCAAAAAAAAAAAAAAAAAGAAGCTAAAGTGATTTAAGCCACATGATTAAGTTGTCACAGGAAAGGAGATACCAAGCCAAAGTTGCTTGAGCTAGTTGGAGAGGGTGACCAACCATCCCAGGCTGCCAGGGACTGAGGGGTTCCAACGACACGACACTTTCTGTTTAAAACCAGGACAGTCCTGGGAAAATCTGGGACAAGTTGGTTGCTTTGTTGTTAGGCCACATGTCAGAGTCCCAAGTGATACAGGTTGGGGAAGCAACAGATAAAATAGAGTGTGTTCAGAGGAGGAAACCGGGGCAGTGAGAGCCATGGAAATCATCATAAGGGCGGTGCAGGGAATAGGGATATTTAGGCAGGAACAGAGACAACTCAGGGGAAAATAGGCTACATTTCTTCCAAACCTGTAGGATCGTTATGTTACTGATGGAGGGTGTCCAGGTTCTTGGCATCTTCAATAAAGAATTGGACAAAATGCACAAACAAAGCAAGGAAAGAATGAAGCAACAAAAGCAGAGATGTATTGAAAATCAAAATGAAAGTATGCACCGCAGGGTGGGGGTGGGCCTGAGCATAGGGGCTCAAGAGCCTCATTACAGAATTTTCTAGAGGTTTCCACTGGTCACTTCGTGTACGCCCTATGTAAATGAAGAGGATGAAGTAAAATTACAAAGTCCTTTACTTGGTATATGCCCTCTGTGAATGGAAAGGATATTTCCTGTCATAGCTGAAGTGTTTCCATTTGATTTAGTTCTAGGAAGTCAGTATGAATCGGCCTTATGTTTCCTTCTTCCAGACCCTATTCTTCTGCCTCAATCGTACGTGAACGGGAGAAGGCTTAGTCATCATAGCTGAAGAGGAAAGAATTAAGATCAGCAGGTAGACTTCAGCTTGATAAAGGAGGACCTTCCTAGCAATCAGGGCTGAAAATAGCACCAGAGGCTGCTTCGTGAGGGAGTGAGCTCTTAAGTCTCCAGAGGGCTCCCAAGAATTTACATCAGGGATACCTGGGAATAGATTATTGAAAGGAGATGAAGGGTAGTCCAGGTGATTGAAGGATTTATTTTTATGACCATGTCTGAGGAGTAAGAAATGACTGAGATGAGGGTGACCAGAAGGCCCTATGGGGCAGCGGCCATCTGTTCTGGTCTCTGAGGAGTCAAAAGAAAACCACAGGAGGACTCAGGGGTGAGGAGGCAGAGATGTTTAGGGCAGGTGGTAGCTTCCTAGGGCTGGTATAACCAGGTGCCCCAAACTGGTGGCTTAGAGTAACTTATCCTGCCACAGTTCTGGAGGCCAGAAGCCGAGAGCAAGGTGTCAACAGGGCTGGTTTCTTCTGGGGCTGTCAGGGAGAATTTGTTCCAGGTCTCTCTCAGAGCTGCCAGTGGTACGATGTCAGCCTTTGACATCCCTTGGCTTGTAAATGCATCACCCTAGCCTCTGCCTTCACTCACCTGGTGTTCCCCCTGTGTGTGTCCATATTCAAATCTCCCTATCAGATGAGGACTCACTTAATGACTTCACTTGAACTCAAAAGCCTTCATAAGAACTCCATCTCCAAGCAAGGTCACACTCTCAAGCACTGGGGGTGAGGACTCCAACATAGCTTTTCTTTGGTGGGAGAGCACAATTCAGACCATAACAGGGCAGGATTAGTAGACCAATTTGGACAGAGCAGAATGCTTGAGTAGTTTAATAAGGAAGTAAGGTTGGAAAGAGCATTTCAGGCGCTACTTCTGGAGTTTGTCGATCCACATAACTAAGGTGTTGCAGAGGAATCAGCTAGTTTTCCATATACAGGAGGTATAGAAGTAACCACAGGAAGGGATCAAAGCTCCCTCTGTAAGGATAAAGCCCCCATAGACTGGATCAGCCTGAATTCCTGTTTCAAAGGTCAGAAGTCCTACTCAAATTAGGTTAAGAAAAATGTAAAGAAATTAGGGCTCACATAAGCGAAAATTCCAGGGGCAGGTCTGACTTTGGCTTTAGGCAAGAATAGATCTGACATTTCAGGGCCTTTGTGTGGAGGTCAGGGCTCCCTCTGTCACTAACTTGCAGACTGGCAGGTTGGCCACACACACCTCCCACTCACATCCTACCCTCCAAGGGCTCCAGCAGAAGAGACTGTGCTCCTGCAAGCTCTGTGAGAAAAGTCATCTGATCGGCCTGGCTTGGATCCTGGGAGATCATCTCTGAGCCAGTGCCTAGCTGAAGGAAGGAAGTGTGTTCCTGAGTCACATGCTTACACTTGCATATCTGAAGCACCTGGAATAGATTCCCCACATGAGTGTTACCGGAAAGGGGTCCCAATCCAGACCCCAGGAGAGGGTTCCTGGACCTCGTGCAAGAAAGAATTCAAGATGAATCCATAGAGTAAATTGAAAGCAAGTTTATTAAGAAAGTAAAGGAAGAAAGAATGGCTACTTCACAGGCAGAACAGCGGCATGGGCCACTCAGCTGCTTCTATTTCTTGTTACTTCTTGATTACATGCTAAATAAGGAGTGGGTTATTAATGAGTTTTCTGGGAAAGAGGTGGGCAATTCCCGGAACTGAGGGTCCCTCCATTTTTAGACCATATAAGGTAACTTCCTGATCTTGCCATAGCATCTGTAAACTGTCTTGGAGCTGGTGGGAGTGTCTTTAGCATGCTAATGCATTATAATTAGTGTATAATGAGCACTGAGGACTACCAGAGGTCACTCTTGTCACCATCTTGGTTTTGATGGGTTTTCCCGACTTCTTTACTGCAACCGGTTTTATATAAGCAAGGTCTTTATGACCTGTACCTTGTGCCAGACTCCTATCTCATCCTGTGACTTAGAATGCCTAACTTACTGGGAATGCAGCCCAGCAGGTCTCAGCCTCATTTTCCGCAGCTCCTATTCAAGATGGAGTCACTCTGGTTCAAACAACTCTGACAGGAGGAAGGGCTTCTCTTGTCCACAGAAGGAAGCAGGGGATAGCAGGCTTAGATGACTAACCGGCTCTGTCTGTGGACTCTGGGCTCGGTCCTCACTCATTTCTTACCTAAGTGCTGGGCTCCTAATAGGGAGGGTCTCAATAAAACTTTGTCTAATCAGAATAAATGGACAAGTAAGGGAGTATTTGTTCAAAATGTGGGTGACTGAAAGTTGTGAAGTTCTGAGACAGTTCTGGAAAAGGTACCCATACCTTTCAGAAGCCCTATTAGCCTTGAGGAAGGAAGAATGTTGCCAAACATAGAGCTCTTTTGTACTTAGGGCTCTCAGTTTTTCTTCAATCCTTTTTGAGAACCTTGAAGGCATAATTTGTGTTCCAAAACAAAAGGGGCTTTAAAGTCCTTTGAAAAGACGCCCCCGAGGTTTAGGGCGTGTTGAATAGCTCTTAGAAAATAGCCTGCGAGTAAGTTAGGTGTAAATGAATGCAAAATACATGTTTTGCCTTTGCTTTGAAACTGGCAGGTTTGGAAATCAAAGGGAAGGCAGCTTGCCTGAGGTGTGGTCAGCCTCCACTCCTAAAAGGAAAGGGCTTGAGAAATCACTGAGGCATCTGGCTAAGCCGGAATGACTTTGCTTTCTTGTGTGGACAAAATGCCAGTTGCACTCCTACATTATTTCCCTTCGCATAACAGTTATTTGTTTGTAATTGCATGACTGGAAAGCCGTTTGTGAATATTAAAAGCTGTGTTTTCAGTGCTTGGGTCGATATGTGATTATTAACTTGTTGCAAGTGGGCTGTTCTCAAGGGTGAAGCCAGTCTTTAAGTGAACCTCGATCAGTTCGGGTATGGCACTTGTGACCTGTGGCTGTGGGGATGCAGGCACAGGGCTGGCTCAGTTGATGGCAGATGTGTGTAACATGTGTGAGTGTTCTCAAACTGTGAATGTCTGCAGAGCCAGCTGGGATCCTGTTGCAATGTGGTTTCTAATTCAGTAGATCGGGGCTGGGTATAGCGAACAGGCAATGCTACTGGTCTGTGGACCACAGTTGGTGGCACAGATCTGGCCTCGCTGCTCCACATAACACAGAGTGTTCGGCCCCCTACTGCCCCCACTGCCTCTAGAGTGGCCCTAGGAGCCACTGGGTTAAACAGACAGCTGCATGGTTCTCACATTGCTCACATGGTTCCTAGGGCTGCGGGTTCTCTGCATTGGAGGGAGCGCTGAACACTGAGCAGAAAATGCACCACATTTCCAGTGGCGTCTTCCTGACAGAGATGCCACCAGGCTGGCTGGGGGACCTCGAGGCAGATGGAGTGGTCTCTTCCCAGTTGCCCTCCTTCTTGTTCTTGCTCCTCCCTGTCCTCTCCTCTCTGCCCTGTGTTCTTGGGTTTTGTAACTATATAAACCATACAGGCTTATAGGAATGCAGAGAGGGAGTCAATTTATATGGAAGGGAATCAAGTGAAGAGCAGACATTGCCTCCCTGACCCCCCGAATCCCAGTCCCCAAAGGTCAGCTCTGTTAACACATTCTGATTATACCCGCCAGGGTGCTTCAGCTCCCACAGCAGAAACCCCAGCTCCCACTGGCTTAGCTGCAAAGGGGGTTCTTTATCTTGTCCAAGATTGGGCTCTGGGGTTGGTTGATTCAGTTGTTCTTAGTGTTACTGGAGTTCTCTGACTTCTGCTCTGGGTCATCCACATCACGGAAGTCATCCTGAGGCTAGTTCTTCTTGAGGTCAGATGGCCACAGTAGCAAGTGGGCAACATGCTTCTGTATTCTTACTGCTGGGGAGAGATTGTTACTCAATCCTCCTCTGTGTCAGTCAAGTCTTTCCCTTCAATCTGGATCAATTACAGTGGCCAGTAGATGCTGTGTTCTGATTGTCCAGTCATGTTGGAGCCCTGGAGCTGGGGACTTGAGATCTTCCTAGAAGTGGAAAAAGGGATTCCCAAACATAGGACTTTTTTAGGAAGGAAGGAAGGAAGGAAGGAAGGGGAATGAATGCTGGGTAAAAGGCTTATAGGGTCCACATCCTTCCAGAAGTCTCCAAGTATGTGTGTGTAGTCACGATATTCACTCATTTATTTATGCAGTGTTGACAGCTTGCCAGGTGCATAGATTTGTCCCATTTATGCTAAAAATAAACCATTGAGGGAGGTACCATTCTTTTTCTTGTTTATGGGTAAAAAACCAAGTCAAACACTGTGCAAGTGACTTGCCCACTTACATACTCATACAGCATGTAAGTAGAAGAGCGGAGATTTGAACCCAGGCATTCTGGCTCCCCACTCTTAACCACTGGGTAATTTGGACTCCTAAGTTGCTTCCTGCAGGTTGGTTTTCTCATCTCTGAGCCAACGTTAGAAGCTAGAGATTGGGCTGCACTGTCCGTGCAGTCCCCATGTGTCTCTAACAGAGGTGCCATGGGAGATAGAATGATGGGAGTAAATGCAAAATCATGTTTCTGTCCCTAGATCCTAATAATTATTATCACCGCCGGAACGAGATGACCACCACTGATGACCTGGATTTTAAGCACCACAATTATAAGGAAATGCGCCAGGTAAGACCCAGATCACAAAGCCTCATGCCAGGAATTTGTCAAAAAAGCAACATATTATGTGTCCATAAGCACTTAAATTTTTTTTTCCAGAAATTGATGATTAGGGATCTGAATGATCATTTGGTTTGCTGAAGACACACTAAATGCTTGTCATTTCAAGATTCTGGGTTCAGGTGACCAGAGGAAGGCTTCCTGGCTGGCAGATTGTTGAAACACAATTTGAATCCAGGTTCTTCTCAGTTAATATTCTAGGTCTTGAGAATTATTGTGTTTTTGAGTGCTATCACTGATTTAAGGATGTTGGTCATATGCAGAGTTGAAGAAGAAAAAGGATCTAGGATGACATAGATAATAATAGTGGGAAATATTCACATAGGATCAACTTACATACATGATCACGTTCAGTCCTCCTAATAACTCTAGAAGGGTAGGGACTGTTGTTATTGTTATCTACAGATGGGAAAACAGCACTGAGAGACTATAGCACTACCCCTTATTATTCAGTTTCTCAGAGTTTCAATCTTGGTTGCATATTGGAATCACCTGGGAAAATTTGTGAAGCTACTGATAATTGAGCCCCGTCTCAGGCCAATTAAAGTAGAATCCTTAGGAGACAGGGGCCTGGGGATCCAGATTTTTAAATCCTCTTTTTGTTATTCTGCTGTCCAGCCAGGTTTCAGAACTACTGGTTAATAGCTTCATAGCTCTTAGTATTTTTAGAAAGAAAAGACAATCCCAGATGAGATTTTTCCCCAGATTTAATTATAGAAACCCAATAGTTCTGAGCTTTTGACAGCATTTGCATACCGAGTGCAGAAG
Organism: Homo sapiens; assembly: GCF_000001405.40. NCBI lineage: Eukaryota > Metazoa > Chordata > Mammalia > Primates > Hominidae > Homo > Homo sapiens. The sequence continues at coordinate 123,779,347 of NC_000010.11, read as the reverse complement.
GGGGAAGGGACGGTGTGTTTATTAGGACAAGCTAAAAAGGCAGTACCTACGCTAAGTGCGGTGCCTATGAAATCCTGTTCTGTGCCCACCCCCAGCATGTGCTAGAAAGCATGGGGAGGAGCTGGCAAATGAGAAATCCTTAGAGAGCTAAGAATCTGAAGAGACAGAACATGCAGAAATGTCCTTCTGAATACATTTACAGAACAAGGATTCAGCAAGGGCAAATTAACATGGCTCAAAGGGAGGGCTTGTAGGTGCTAAGGGAGGGGAGCAGCCATCCACTACAAATGTGGAAGATGTTTCTGAGGTCAGAGTAATTAAGCGGAGCTCCAATCCCATGGAATGAACAAGCCGGGTTTGTCTTGATGTGATCTAACTTGAGATACTCACACACAGCTTCCAGACACCTGTCAGCACAGACTTAGAGGTGGGATGTGCTAAGAAATCTTCTTGCTGTCTTGCTCTTCAGAAATCAAGAGAATGTGTTTGGACTTGAGGGCTGTGAATCATCCCTGCTGCTCTACATTTTGAGGGTATTTATATGGCTCTGCTTGCCATTCCATTTTATGGAGCACTGGTGTGTTAACTCCGCTTTGCTCACTGGACATCTCAGGACAGCTTCTTGAGCTCAGAAATGAGACAAATATCAACTCAGTGCAATTAATGTCAAAAGCAATAAATCCCAATGCATTTAAAATGAGTGAATTGCACAGAGACTCTAGGTAGCTGTTATCTGTAAATAGTTGTCATGCATGGAGACTTGGGGCTCTTTTCTTACAAGGAAAGCAAGCGGAGTATGCTTCATTACTCTAGGCGACTGATCACTACTGGAGCCAAGAGGGACCTTTGGATAATCAGTGCAGCCCCCTTGGGTGACACTGGGAGACCCCTGTGCGATCCCACAGCTCAGCAGTTATCAACTAGAGACTGTCCAGGAGAGCGCCCATCAATCCTGAAGAGTGTTCAAGCCAGAAATGATTTGCCATTTGGATTCCTGGCTCCTGGGAATGGGAAAGAAGTCAATATTTTGAGCAACTTCCCCATATGGAGTCTGCTAGGTTACTGTAGAAATCTTTCTCCCTCAGGAAAAACTTGTTCATTTTTCCTACTATTGAAAGAGACATTTACAACAAACAAAAAACAAATGAGAAACAGAAGCAGGAAGCAAGAAGTGAAAATAGAAAACCTTATTGCCTTGTACGAGGAAGATAATGAGGGGACTTTTTTTGCAGAGAGCACTGACTTGCAAGGCACAGTTCCAGGCAGTGGGAAGCTGCAGGTGGTTGGGGTGGAGAAGGGAGGAGGAGAGGAAGGAGAAAGTCCTGACATTGACACTATAAGGCGGAGAAAGGGAATTATTCCAAGAAAATACTGAGGACCTTCATAGCGTGTGTTGCAATTTATACTTGCTTAATTGCTGGTTTATATGTACATTGCCTGTCTCCCTCACTTGGGACAATGAGGGAAGAGACCCTGTCATTTTATCATCCATAAGTGTACACTTGATCAATCTGTGTATTTGAGGTCCTTACAGTCATGGGGGATGGGAGAGAGAAGGGAGCCATCTGCTTGGCCATGGTTTGGAAGGTTTTGGTTGCAGAGGGGGTCAGCTGTCATCCAACGTGCGTGGCTGGCACTGGCAGGCAGGGGTGGTGGGAGGGTGCTCTGAGCAGAGAGGACAGCAAGAGTGAAGGCATGGGGTCAGAGCCGACAGGTGTGTTCTGTGACAATTTGCAGGCAGCTAGGAGGAGGCTGGTCCTGAGTGCCAGGAGAGGCTGTTGTCCTGATGCAGGGGTCTGGGAGGTTCTTTAGGTGTGCAGAGCTGTCTTTCTGGAAGTTGTATGGAGGGCGGGCCTCTGTGCCTGAAGAAGGATGAGAGGAGAGGCATTCCTGAGGCAGGCTGCCCAGTGGAGGTCACCCGTTGGAGTGAGTTGGGGAGAGAGAGAGGCCTGGTGTGCTTCTGTGGAGAAAAGGAAGAAGTGATTTTGAGGACAAGGTTAATGACCTACTTTGGTTTGGGCACAGTGTTGTCAGGTCCCAAATGCCCAGGAAGTACTGGCTGATGGCCCATATGTAGACAGTGTGATATGGGTGGAAAAAAGTAACATAGGCAGACACAGGCTGGAAGGCAGCCATCTAATGACATTGATTTCCAGGGCAACTAAGGATGGCCGGGGACATCAGGCTGTGGGGACCATGGCTGACCCACCCACTTGCACCACACTCAGCCTGACCCTGTGGGGACAGGAAGCCAGGGCGGAGCAGCAAGCCTTTAGATCCAGACACACTCAACTCCATTCCTTCCCTCTTCCCTTCTTCTGGAATTTCTTTTCCATTGGGCCAGGTGCGGTGCCTGTTTCTCAGACAAATGAGGAACGATGGCAGAAGAGAACTTTCCTCTTCTCCACTCTCCTCTTTAAAAGACAAACAAACAAAACAAAACAAAAACTTGCATTCACTGGATAAACAATATTGTGTCAGCATCAAATGCAAACCAAAAGCCTAAAGACAAATCCTCCACGAACCCACTACTCTAAAAAAAAGGCAGTTTTCATTTTCTCCCCATTTCCATCCGGTGTTTGAACTTCTGTATTCACAGAATTCCTACGGTTTTGATGAGAGGATAGTTACATCTTGGCCCTGTGTTTCTCAGCGAATATTGGATCATTAGCCATTTTCCATGCTGTCTTCATAATTGTGATTGTGAGGTTGCAGAATGTTCTGGTGAGTGGATGCATCATACTTTTCTCAGCTTCTTTCCTGCTCTGGAGCATTTGGATTATCTCCCAATTCATAACTTTTAATGAATACTGACAAAGTATGAAACATGCCACAACAAGTGTCACTGCGCATAACATTTTACCATCTTTATGAAAAATTTCCTTCTGATATTTTGCCAGAAATTGAGGCTCTAGATTCTATATCCTTCAGTAGAGAGTGAAGCAGCAGAGCCTGGGATTCAGTAGACACTAGGATGCAAAGTTTATTTCCATCTCAGAGTTGGGAAAACAGAGTCTTGAAGAGACCAAGAGTCTTGCAAACCCTGGTGCTTTCTAAGATGGTATTTCTCAACATTCTTTTTCATTACTACCCACCTAGGGAGACTTTTCAGACTTCTTTTCTTTTCTTACTCATCCTCCTCCATTATATTAAATATTAAGAAATAGGATTTTGCCAGATAGGGTTGAGCTTTGGGGGACCACAAAGCATTGTAATACCTAAGACTTTTTTAGCCACAGTTTTCAGTCCCTTGGGGTGATGTCATCCCTTTTGAATGCATGTTCTAAGGCCATGGTGAAAATTCTATTCCTTACTCTGACTGAAGTCATCAAGACCCAAACATTTACCACAAAGACGCAAACTCCAAAAAAAAATCTTTGACCCCTTTCAAGAAGAAATGTATTCCTTTACAAGAATTAATTGCGTTTAAATGGGAAACTTCATTCCTGGGGATGTTCATGGTTGCCTTGCTCAGAAGAGCAGAGTGGCCACCACCCGTGTCTTTGATGGTGCTGGTAGCCACTGGAGAGATGCTTCCTGGCATTGCAGAGGGCCACCGTGCAGAGGGAATTGTAAAGAAACTTCACTGAGAAGAAGATTCTTCAAAGGCCCATGGTCTCATGTGGGAAAGATGCTTATGACACCATGGCACAGTGGCATGCACTTTGTTAACCAATACTTTGCCATCGGTGGGAAAGTGTGGCTGATATGAAAGTACAGTGACAGTGGGTAGAACATCAGGAGGTCATTCTGATGGCTCGTGGCCCAGCCATCTTCCCATGCCATGGCTAAGTGTGCATCTCAAGGGAAGGTGATGTTTTTCTTCTTCCAGTGTCAAGGCCGTGATCTCTAGTACTGACAGCACATTTCTCCCACAGCTAATTGGAAGGGGTTAGGGTAACAGTGAAGGAAGCCAGCCTGGGCTGAATGCTTGCATTCATTGCCTAGTTCGTGATGAGCCACCAGGCTTTATGTCCGTAGAGATAGTTACTGATCCCAATGTAAGACAGTGAATTGCCTGCCAGTTAGGATTTGCTAAGGTCGATGCTGTTGGCTGAGAATGACTGCATCAGCAGGGACGAGTATATGGGGTCTCAAAGGAGATGGCAAGTATGCTGTGGCCATCAGAATGGTCACAGTGTGCAGCAAATAAAACAAGCAGCAGAGATGCACTGGTTCTCATTTCTCTACTACACCTTCATGGACAGATAGGGGTAAGGGAAGAGCCCTGAAAGGCCAAAGTCCTGGCTTCTCCTGCTCCCAGCTGGGTGACGCAGGGTAAATTATTCGATGGCTTTCTGGGCCTTAGTCTCCAAGTCTGTAGAATGGGAAAAATCTCCTCTGCCTTCTCTACTTTACCTGCCAGTCATGATGATGAGACTTAGTAGAGAAATGGAACGTATTGTTCCTGTTCTTGTTAACACAATTGGTGACGTTATTACTGTGTCTTTTATTAAAACATGGTGCTATTCATATGTGGCCCCCTGCTGTCCTGGCAGTGTCTGTCTTCATGGTGATGGCTGTAGAAGCTACATGTCCTTTGCATGTTGCTTCTCCGTTTATGATGGGTTTCTGTTGTAGCATTCTTGGGAATAAGAGTCCTTGTAGCCAGCTTTCTCTCACCTAAATATTGTGACACAAAGTGAGTTATCATAAGGGGAAGCCTGTTTTAACCCCTGGAGCAGTAAGAGAGTTAGGCCCTGAATTCCCAGTCAAGGCTGCACCTGTCACCTCTCATAGGCATGTCATAAAAGCCAGGCTATAGTAAATCTTCCCACTCCTTTAGAAACGCTCCTTGATGCTCATTAAACCACTCTTCCCAGTCATTACAGAATGTTGTGTTATGAAAGGCATATGAAGCACACAGCCATATAACTCCAACGTATCATAAATTTTACATAATACCAATTTTCCAGTTCTAATAGATTTCAACCCACCATAAAATTTGCAACAGATTTGTTTATCTACACTTTACAAGGACATTTTATGGATAATTCGGTTGATCCGATTTTTTGGCAGCTTGCTAGAACGCACTCAGTTCCACGCCACCCCGCTGTGGGCCATGCCCTTCCTCTGTTCTGCATCAATTCAGTTCCAGCTCAGCTTTCAGAAGGCCACGGGCCTCCCTAACGGGCACCTGCCCACCGGCCACCCTGACCAGGATGGCCTTCCTGTGTGTTTCTGCAGCACCTGGGCGTCCTTCCTGGTCTTTAACACACTGTCATGAAATTGTCCCTGGAACCCTCTGGCCCTTACTGCATGGTCAGGTGCCTGGCTCAAAAAAGAGATGCCCTTTGAATCAGATCTTCTTTCACTTGGGTATTGATAAACAAATTTAGCCTAGCAAATCACAGATTTGCAGTGAACTCACAGATACTCATTCAGTGACGCGAGGCAAGGCAGCCTCTAGGGAGAGGGTGTCTCTGGCCTTTGACCTTTAGGGTAGCCTTTTCTCCTGTGACTTGCAGAGCCCTTGGTACCTCCTTTGGCCCCTGGTCTCATTTTCCCAGACCTCAGCTATCAGTGTGATGAGCTGACTAAAAAGGCAAAATTCAGAAAACAGCATGCATTTATTTCACTTCCTTGCTGAAGCCTGCTTTTCCTACCATTTAACCCCATGATTCCTGTTGTCATGGTGACCCAATGCTCTGCTGACTTAGTGGCAATGAACTGGGTCATTGCATGCCTCTTATTGGCTGTGTGCTGCAAGCTCCAGGAGGGAAGGAGCGGTGTGTATTTGCTCAACCCAACAATGTAGATGCTCATTAAATTATGAGAAAAAGTTGATATTAAGATACATGTATTTGGTCAGGCATAAAAGATAAAAGGCTGAGTCTGTCTCCTCAATGATCTGCAGTGTAGTGAGTGGGCAATAAAGAAGCAGGAAATCACAGTGAGAAAAGTAATCACCACCACAGAGGGAGGTGAGAACCACAACGAGGGAAGTGAGATCCACAACAAAGGAAGTGATAACCACAACCAGGGGAATGATGACCACAATGAGGGAGGTGATGACCACAACCAGGGAGGTGATAACCACGACCAGGGAAGTGATAACCACAATGAGGGAGGTGATGACCACAACCAGGGAGGTGATAACCACAACCAGGGAAGTGATAACCACAATGAGGGAGCTGATGACCACAATGAGAGAGATAAAAACCACAACCAGGGAGGCAATAACCACAACCAGGGAGCTGATAACCACAATGAGGGAGGGGGTGACCACAATAACAGCGATAAGAACCACAACCAGAGAGGTGATAACCACAATCAGGGAAGTGATAACCACAACCAGGGGAATGATGACCACAAAGAGGGAGGTGATGCTCACAATCAGAGAGGTGAGAACCACAACAAGGGAGGTGGTGACCACAAACAAGAGAGGTAAGAACCACAACCAGGGAGGTGAGAACCACAACCAGGGGAATGAGGACCACACCCAGGGGAGTGATAACCACAATGAAGGAGGGATGACCACAACCAGAGAGGTGATAACCACAACCAGGGAGGTGATAACCACAACCAGGGAAGTGATAGCCACAACCAGGAAGGTGATAACCACAACCAGGGAGCTGATAACCACAATGAGGGAGGTGGTGACACAATAAGAGTGATAAGAACCACAACCAGAGAGGTGTTAACCACAATCAGGAAAGTGATAACCATGACCAGGGGAGTGATGACCACAAAGAGGGAGGTGATGATCACAGTAAGGGAAGTGATAACCATGACCAGGGGAGTGATGACCACAATGGAGGAGGTAATGACCACAGTAAGGGAAGTGATAACCATGACCAGGGAGGTGATGACCACAACCAGGGAGGTGATAACTACACCCAGGGGAGTGATAACTGCAACCAGGGGAGTGATAACCATGACCAGGGAGGTGACAACTACACCCAGGGAGGTGATAACTACACCCAGGGCAGTGATAACCAGAACAAGGCAGGTGATGATCACAACCAGGGAGGTGATAACCACACCCAGGGAGGTGATAACTGCAAACGGGGGAGTGATAACCATGACCAGGGAGGTGGTGACTACAACCAGGGAGGTGAGAACCACAACAGTGAAGGTGAGAACCACAACCAGGGTAGCGATAGCTATAGCAATGGAGGTGATAACCACAACCAGGGAGGTGATAACCACAACCAGGGAGGTGGTAACCACAACGAAGGAGGTGATGATCACAACCAAAGAGGTAATAACCACAACCAGGGAGGTGATAGCCACAGTCAGGGAAGATGTCACCATAACCAGGGAGTTGATAATCACAACCAAGTATGTGATAGCCACAACCAGAGAGGTGATAGTCACAACTAAGGAAGGTGTATTCCTTCATTCTCATGCTGCTATGAAGAAATACATGAGACTGGGTAATTTATAAAGAAAAGAGTTTTAATTGACTCAGAATTCTGCATGGCTGATAAGGCCTCAGGAAACTTATAATAATGGCGGAAGGCACCTCTTCACAGGGCATCAGGAGACAGAATGAGTGCTGAGTGAAGGGGGAAGCCCCTTAATAAAACCATCAGATGTTGTGAGAACTCACTATCAGAAGAACAGCATGAGGGAAACCACCCCCATGATTCAATTACCTCCCACCCGGTCCCTTTCATGACATGTGGGGATTATGGGAACTATAATTCAAGATGAGTTTTGGGTGGGAACACAGCCAAACCCTATCAGCAAGTATCTCAGTCCATTCATGCTAAAATATTGTAACCTGAGTAGCTTATAAATAACAGAAATCTATTCAGAGTTCTAGAGGTGGGAATGTCCAAGATCAAGTTACTGGCAGATCTAGGGTCTGGTGAGGGCTCACTCTCTGGTTCACAGGGCCGTCATCGTGCTGCATCCTCCCATGGCAGATGGGCAAACAGGCTCCTTTGGGCCTCTTTCGTAAGGACACTAATCACCTCCTAGAGGGCCTAGCAATTCATGCATTGGGCATTAGGTTTCAGCCTATGGATTTTGAGAGACATAACATTTGGAGGATAACAGGAAGTGATAGCCACAACCAAGGGGTGTGGAAAGTACAGGACCGGGTGGGGGCAATGGCCAGGAGTTTCCTCCTAGGGGGACGATGATAGAGCGGGTGCTGGAAGGAAAGTGGGCATTATCCAGGGCAGAGGGATGTAAGGAGAGTGTTCTGGGCAGAGGCGATAGCAGCTGGGGTGTGCAGAATGTGGGGGCGCTTGGGAGGCTGTGGAGGAAAGCAAGAGGTGTCCGTTTTCTTGGGAGCTCTGTCCTTTTAGTGCATCGTCATCAATGCTTAGAGTTTTTGATTCACCTTGTTTTTCAGTTGATGAAAGTTGTGAATGAAATGTGTCCCAATATCACCAGAATTTACAACATTGGAAAAAGCCACCAGGGCCTGAAGCTGTATGCTGTGGAGATCTCAGATCACCCTGGGGAGCATGAAGTCGGTGAGAAGGGCCCCTCTGGGATGCTTGGCCCCTTCATCTTTGGTACTCATGTAAACAGTTAGGAGACTGTTCACCCTATGAGAAGATTCATGCCACAGGGCATCAGCTGTCCACACCACTGCTGTCTCACGTAGACAGATTTTGCCCATGTTGGCTCTGTGAACCACTCATCTTATGATATGGACTATAGAATTATTTACACTGGAAATACCCATCTTTTCTCCAAATGGAGCATATTTCATTCTCTGTCGTCCACCTCTGAGACCAATCACAATAGCCAAAGAAGAAAGTGGCTGAGGTGGGCAGGACAGAATTTCCTCCTCCTTCAGGATTCCCTGATCATTAATGGCTCATATTAGAGGAGCTTCTCCCCATTCTTAAAAAAATTCAATTATATTTTTAGATATTTCCTGTTTTCAGACATTTCCCATTCAGTCACTCCCCAGCCTGCACCTGTATAGGTCAGATGGGCTTCTCTGTTTTTCTTTTTGGTAAATCTGGGAGCTGTTTAGAAATCTGCTGATATTTAGGTGCAAAGATTTGGCTGATTTACTTTAACATTCATCAGGGTCTCAGGAGTTCCTCTCCGGAAGTGGTTTTTTTTGTTTGTTTTGTTTTGTTTGTTTGTTTGTTTGTTTTTTGAGATGGAGTTTTGCTCTTGTTGCCCAGGCTGGAGTGCAATGGCACAATCTCGGCTCATGGAAACCTCTGCCTTCTGGGTTCAAGCAATTCTCCTGCCTCAGCCTCCTGAGTAGCTGGGATTACAGGCATGTGCCACCATACCCAGCTAATTTTTGTATTTTTAGTAGAGACATGGTTTCTCCATGTTGGTCAGGCTGGTCTCGAACTCCCGACCTCAGGTGATCCACCTGCCTTGGCCTCCCAAAGTGCTGGGATTACAGGAGTGAGGCACCACGCCCAGCAGGAGTTTATTTTAAATGGTAAAAACTTTATCTGCTGGTAAAATCACATTTCCTCAAAAGCAGCAGCTTTGCCAATGAGGGAAGGAGATGTGTTGTCAGCTCGAGCCCAGCACTGATAAATGCCAGGCCCTTGTCCTTTCTGACTGCTGTAACAAAATATCAGAGGTTGGGAAATTTCTAAACAACAGAACTTTATTGCTCACAGTTCGGGAAGCTGGGAAGTCCAAGGTTAAGGCACGGGCAGATTCAGTGCCTGGTGAGGGCTGTTCCTCTTAAGACCCCTTCTTGTCTTACATGGCAGGAGCAGAAGGTCAAAAGTGCCTGGCTAGTTCTCTGGAGCCCTTTTATAAGAGGAGTTATCTTTTCATCACCTCTTGAAGGCACCACCTCTTTTATTTTTTTTCTCTTTTTGAGACAGGGTCTCATTCCGTCTCCCAGGCTGGAGTACAGTGGCACAGTCTTGGCTCATTACAACCTCCACCTTTTGGGCTCAAGCAATCCTCCCACCTCAGCCTCCTGAGAAGCTGGGATTACAGGTGTGCATCACCATGCCCAGCTAATTTTTTTTATTTTTGATTTTTGTAGAGTTAGGGTTTTGCCATGTTGCCCAGGCTGGTCTTGAACTCCTGCACTGGTGCCATCTCCCAAAGTGCTGGCATTATAGGTGTGAACCGCTGCGCCCGGCCGGCCCCTCCTCTTAATACTCACATTTGATCTTAAGTTCCAGGATATGAATTTTGGGGGGACACATACATTAAACCATAGCACCCTGAGATTTTAAAAGCTGAGCTTTGAAAGAGAAAATACCTAAAGAAAGCCCACTTTACACTGTGTCACTGCTGATTTGCCCTGATGGACTATTCTCTGCTTATATTCATTTGTCTTTGTTAAACTTAATAGGAAGTTATTTTAAGAAAAATAATTGCCTCCCAAAAGAGAGGCACTGATTGCTACGGCTTGTGCTCAACTTGTGAATGTTAAGCCCTCAGCACTATGTTATTTGATCTGTTCTTGGTACGTAAAAATGGACATTATTCCCCTGTGACAGGTGTCATGTCAGATTTTTCTACACATTTTCTTACATACCTGACTGTCTGGGAATAAGACAGTTGTCCTGATGTCATTTTAGAGGTTTGTTTGAAAGAACAAATAGGTCTAAAACGGTAAGCTTATATTATTCAAGACTTTCCCCCCAACACAATGTGACAAGCACCGTTTGGCCCTAAGTGTTTCAACGTGAACCTGTGCTTCTCTCTGTCTTTGAGTAAAGGTGAGCCCGAGTTCCACTACATCGCGGGGGCCCACGGCAATGAGGTGCTGGGCCGGGAGCTGCTGCTGCTGCTGGTGCAGTTCGTGTGTCAGGAGTACTTGGCCCGGAATGCGCGCATCGTCCACCTGGTGGAGGAGACGCGGATTCACGTCCTCCCCTCCCTCAACCCCGATGGCTACGAGAAGGCCTACGAAGGGGTAATGGCCCTGGCCCATCTCACCCAATAGGACATGGGCAGCGAGGCCCCAGCTCCAGAGTATGTCTGGCCCTAGGGCTATGCAAAATTCCACCTTCCGAGCTTTATTTATTTATTTATTTATTTATTTATTTATTTATTTATTTATTTTTTGAGTCGGAGTCTCCCTCTGTTGCCCAGGCTGGAGTACAGTGGCGTGATCTCCGCTCACTGCAACCTCTGCCTCCTGGATTCAAGCGATTTGCCTCAGCCTCCTAAGTAGCTGGGATTACGGCCGCCAGCCACCATGCCCAGCTAATTTTTGTATTTTTAGTAGAGAGGAGGTTGGCCAGGCTGGTCTCAAACTCGTGACCTAAGGTAATCCGCCAGCCTTGGCCTCCCAAAGTGCTGGGATTACAGGTGTAAGCCACCGTGCCTGGCCACACGAGTTTTATTTTTGAGTGTCTCTGCTGAGGCAGGGAAGCCTACAAGGTTTATGAAAAGTGCAAAGCAGGCATTGAGAATGATGGTGGCCTTGAGAGGTGGACATGCCGACCAACTGGAGGACGTGAAGATGAACATCAATATTGCTATATACACAATGATAATGGAATCCAATAGTAACACTTTATGTTGGCTGAGGACTTAATCATGGCATGTGTTAGCCTTGATTATTACCTTTAATCTTCTCATCAGTCTTCTGAGGATAGTTGTTTTATTATTCTGATACGTTCTTTACATTTTGTGTTCCAGTTATGATATAGAATGTATATAGGTTATAGGTGTGCATAGAATATGCATATGTACAGAATTATGTATAAATAGAACATATAGTTAGTATTATGTTGTGTTGTGTATTGACAGTGATATATCTCAATACCTGGGAATAAAATGGAAAATTATATTAAAACAAGGGTACCTATCAAATGCAAGCTTTACAGTATAGAAATGTGGTCACATTTATTGGTGCAGATATAGTCAGTTAGGAATTTGCATTGCTAAATAGTGAGCCAGAATCATGGGCAGGCAGGGAGAATGCATTACTGTGGTGGCCATTGATGAGTTCATTGCTACTCAGAGGTTCACCTGGCCAGTATAGAAGAGAGGAAGGTAGGGGTGGAAGAAGGAACCTAATGCTTTTTAAGCACTTCCATGTGGCAGGGGTGGTTCTCTGCATTCCCTCTTTGGAGTAATTTGGCTGAACTATCTATCACCCACCAAATATTAATAGGAAGTTTTTCAATATTCTCCTTTAGATGCCATCTTTGGGTCAAAGGGCATCTAGAGGCTTAGAGACATTCCCCAAGGGGAAGTGGAGACAGATGCATCTTGTATGGTAGAGGGTCCGCGTTGTCCTGCAGCCTGTGCATTCTTCACACTCTCACTTGTCTCCAGGGCTCGGAGCTGGGAGGCTGGTCCCTGGGACGCTGGACCCACGATGGAATTGACATCAACAACAACTTTCCTGATTTAAACACGCTGCTCTGGGAGGCAGAGGATCGACAGAATGTCCCCAGGAAAGTTCCCAATCACTATATTGCAATCCCTGAGTGGTTTCTGTCGGAAAATGCCACGGTGAGTCAAAATACCCGTCATCTGTAAAGCAGCCAAAGGCAAGGCTTAACCTCCATTGGTATTTGCAGAGGATAGCACATTTAAGAAAGAGACAAAACTGTTTTTTTCTTTCATGTTTTCTCCAAAAGCAGAGAAGTATGCTAGATAATAACTACCTTTTAGGTGGATATTTGGGGAGATTCTTCATAGAGGAGAAATCATCTAATTGTATTTCTTAACAAGCACATGGAGCTTCAAAACCCAAACAATCTCCCCTGAATTGCACATGTTTGTTACTACCTTTATTATCTTTCTCACTGTCGGTTATATTACTAAGAAGTTATCCTTAGCCCTCACTGATTGCTTAATGTATCTTATTTTTTATTTTAGTACATCCCCTTGGGTTTACTACATGTGGTGTTTCTTTGGAAAGAAAAATGAAATTAGATGAGAAATATTTCCCCAGATTTCTTAGGTCTTGTTTTACAAAGAGTATGTTGTAGAAGAAATAATTCTCCCATACCTCTTATTATCTTTCCTGGTCATCATAGTTGAGCTCCTTACTCTGATTCTTTGATCTTAAACACCCTTCAAGAGTTCTACCTTTGTTGATATATAAGTTAGTGTTAGGTTCAGCTGCAGCAACAGAAAAATCAAAATAGTGCCTTAACAAGGTAAAAGTTTCTTTCTTTCTTCACATAAAAGTACCCTGGAAGCCAGCCAAGGGCGTGCCAAGTAGAAACCTGGTAATCATCAGGAACCCAGGATTCATCTCTCTCTCTCTGTCTCTGCCATGTCAGCATGTGACACTCATCTTCAAGGTCATAATCCAGGGTGGCAGCTGGTGCTCCAGCTGTCACGTCTCTGAAGGAACAGGAGAGAAAGGGCTTGGGGAAAAGAAAAAGTTTTCTCTCAGGTAATTCAATTTCCTATAAGCGGTTCTACATACTACTTCTGCTTAACTCTCACCTGCCAGAATTCAGTTGCATGTGGTATCAACCACTGCAAGGAAGGCTGGGAAATGCTATATTTTAGACAAGCATATTGCAAGCTCAAAACAAACAAACAACAACAACAAAAGATCGGACTTCTACTGGGGATTCAAGGGAGCTGGAGACAGGACAGCTGCTCTCCCTTGGCGTTCCAGCCCCCAGCACAGCACATGTGGGTGCCACGTACTGGAGGAGGAGCAGCAGGGTGGGCTCCTTTAGTAACTCACAGTACGGGGTCATCCAGGCCCTCCAGAAGTGAGCAGTAGGGTGATGAAGACAGACGGCGGCAATGCCACTTGGTTCAGTTAGGATGCCCAAGGGTGCTGATGTGGGCAGTAGACTAGGGAGGCCCCTGAGTCTTCCATCTTCTAAATCTGCTCTCATGTTTCCCACAGAACCTGTTTTAGTTGTTTTTTGTTCATTTGTTTGTTTTTCCACCTAACATCCTAATGACACCTGGCAAAGTTGAGAATTCGAGCTATGTTATACTTTGGGAACACTTAGACCAAAATTGGAATTTGGTTGCCAGCTTTCTTAGCCACTAGGCTATAAGATCTAAGTAATCCTTTTAGCACAACTGTACAGAGTCTCTGGATGTTCAGTCTTTGCTTTTAGACTAGAATTTAGTTATTTGAGCTTGTTGTCTAGAACTACAAGGAGAATTACACAATTCTATCATCACCAAAACTTTTCTCAATTGTGGATAGATTAGATAGATAAGAAATCAGCAAAGATAAAGATTTGAATAACAAGGCTAACAGGTTTGACATAAGGGACGTATAAGAATTCTATAACCAATGATTAGAGAATATTCTTCTCAATAATCCTGTAACATTTTAAAAAATTGATGATAAACTGGGCTTATAAGGGAAATCTCAACAAATTTCAGAGAATAGGTGTCAGACAGACCTTGTCTCACCACCATACAATTAAACTGGAAGGTTGTAATAAGATTAATGAAAACCTCATCATGTATTTAGAAAATAAAAAACTTCTAAAGAATAAGTCAAAGAAAAAAATACTGGCAACTAAAAAATAATTAGAACTGAATAATAATGAAAATATTGCATATGAAAATTTGTGGATTACAGCAAAGAATAGTGCTTTAGGGAAATTTATAACTTTAAGTTCTTACATTGCAAAAGAAGGCTGAGAGTTAACTAACTTAAGAAGTTAGCAAATAAATAAATAAATTAATTAATTAATAACAGAAGAAACCCAAAGAAAGGGAGATTAATTTAAAAACAAGGGTATTGGGAGGCTTAGACAGGCAGATCACTTGAGGTCAGGAGTTCAAGACTAGCATGGCCAACATGGTGAAACCCTGTCTCTACTAAAAATACAAAAATTAGCCAGGCATGGTGGTGCACAACTGTGGTCCCAACTACTTGGGAGGCTGAGGTAGGAGGATCGCTTTAACCTGGGAGGTGGAGGTTGCAGTGAGCTGAGATTTTGCCACTGCACTCCACCCTGGGCAACAGAGTGAGACCCTGTCTCAAAAAAAAATTATAATACATAAAATAAATAAAAAGCAAGGGCAAAAATCAATGAAATGATAGGAAACAAAGAAATAATATGAAGTGATTTGTCTATAGAAAGGTGTGTTTGACAAAATTTAACAATTATTCACAATACTATCTCGCCAAATTTTGAATATAGCTTTTAGTGTAAGGGAGGCTATTTTAGGTAAGATACAAATGGCATTAATCATAAAAGATTAGTAAATTCGACTACATGGAGATAAGAAAGCCTGTTCATCAAAAGATTTGAAAAACTGTGACAAGCTACAAATTGGGAGGAGTTATTTATAAATTATATAACTGAGAAAGTTGAAAATTTAAAAGCTGAAGAATAACAAATAATAAAAATATGAACAATTCAGTAGAAAAATGGACAAAAGGTAAGAGAGGAGGAAACAGAGTTAATAAACATGACAAGATGTTCTACCTCACTAGTACTAAGGAAACGCAGATGAGAGAACATTATATGTCCATTGTTTGGCAAAAGTAAAAAGCCCCCAGTGTGGGAGGGAATATGGGACAGTAGATTTCTTATACATTGCGGGTGAGTATACACTGGCATAATGATTTTGGAAAGTAACTTGATTATCTTGTAAAGTAGAATATTTCTATATCGTATGCCTCTGCAATTTCACTTCTGGTGATATGTGCAAGATAAATTCCAACACATATGTACCAGAAGACAGTAAAAGAAAGTTCAAAGCAACACTGTTCGTTATAGCAAAAGATTGAAAATTACCAATGCCCGTCATCTAAGAATAGGTATTAACACATTAAATGAGATCGCCATATTGAAGTGAAAAAAGCCTGGAAATAGCTTTATTCAACAATAGGATGAATCTGGGAACCACAAAACTAAGTGGGAGGAAAAAAGAAATTGCAGAAGGCAACCAGCAGTATAGTTGCGCCCCTCTGCCCCCGCCTTTTTTTTTTTAGATCAAAAGCAAGTAAACCCAAACGATATATTTTGAGGTATACACATATGGGATAAAACAAAAGAGACAGAATGAGAATCACATCACTTAGGATACAGTGGGTGCCTCCGAGTGGGAGGCAGGAGGGTGGATAGGTAGGATGGTGTAGGCACACACAACAGAAATTGTTAGTGAGGTCTGTGGTTGGATGGTGGGTTCACAGGTGTTTTCCATATTGAAATAAATAACAGAAGGGAATCCCAGCACTTTGGGAGGCTGAGGCGGGCAGATCACGAGGTCAGGAGATCGAGACCATCCTGGCCAACATGGTGAAAACCCATCTCTACTGCAACACGAAATATTAGCCAGGCGTGGTGGTGTGCACCTGGAGTCCCAGCTAGTCAGGAGGCTGAGGTAGGGGAATCGCCTGAACCCGGGAGGCGGAGGTTGCAGTGAGCCAAGATCGCGCCACTGCACTCCAGCCTGGCCACAGAGCAAGACTCCGTGTGAAATAAATAAATAAAACCAGAGGGGGACCAAGCACAGACCAACAGTGATGCTGTGCAATGAATTAAGCTCTCTCATTGGTCCAATCCAGGGCCCCTGATGTGTTTAAACAGAAACAGCAACACTTAATGAATCCCAAGTCCATTTCATCCCTTACTCAGTTTTCTGTACTGCATGGTGAAATGATTTCCAATATCTGTTCTTTGTCATTGTCGATTTGATCTTACTGAGATTATCTTCACAGGGATTAGCAATTTATGATAAATACTTGCTTCACTGATCAATGTTTGACCATATCAAACTTTCAAATTTTAGCTTTTAACATCGTTTTCTTTTTTTCTTGAATTTCATTCTTAAACGATGTCAAACATACAGAATTAGGGAGGAAGCTGCCCAGGATCGCCATGGACCCATCTCAGCTCTGACACTTAACCAGTTCCTGTTTCATCCACATCTTTCCTCTCTTTCTCCTCCTCCCCCAGATTACTGAAGCTAAACCCAGGCATCATAGCATTTCCTTTGTAAAGATTTCAGTAGGTATCTCTAAAAAATAAAGGCACTCTTTTACAAACATAAGGCATTACCATTATTATATCAAAATAAAATATTCCTTAATATTGTCAAGTATCTGGTCAGTGCTCACATTTCCCCTGTTATTCCCCCCTCCCCAAGGTTGTTTAAATCAAGATCCAAACAAAGCCTGTTCGTTTTGATTGGTTTATGAGTCTTTCTAAGTCTCCTTCACATTTTCCCAGAATTGGTTTTGAAATTCTGAACTTTACTAAGATTATTCCACAAAAGCACTGCTTTTTCGACTATGTCCCTGTTTGACAGCTGGGGAGATAAAATGACTTCCTGCTTATTTTACTCGTCCATTTGGGATGTTCACAGGTGGCTGCCGAGACCAGAGCAGTCATAGCCTGGATGGAAAAAATCCCTTTTGTGCTGGGCGGCAACCTGCAGGGCGGCGAGCTGGTGGTGGCGTACCCCTACGACCTGGTGCGGTCCCCCTGGAAGACGCAGGAACACACCCCCACCCCCGACGACCACGTGTTCCGCTGGCTGGCCTACTCCTATGCCTCCACACACCGCCTCATGACAGACGCCCGGAGGAGGGTGTGCCACACGGAGGACTTCCAGAAGGAGGAGGGCACTGTCAATGGGGCCTCCTGGCACACCGTCGCTGGAAGTAAGCCTCCCTCTGGGGGAGAGTGGGCTGCGGGCGCAGGAGGACGCTGCAGGGGTCTCCTCCTGGCCCTCCTGGTGTCACTACTGTCCTGTTGTCACTAAGTGGTGGCTGCCACGGTGGAGCACTTAGGACCTGCCAGCACTTTCCTAAGCACAACACTCAGGCTCTCCTTCCATCCTTGCCCCAGTCTCACTTTCCAGTGCTCAAAGGAGGTAACTGGGGCTGGAGACCCAAAGGGATCTGCTCCAGCAAGAAAGGCACAGGGCTGGGGTCTCTGACTCCGTGGCCTGTGCTTAGCCTCCAAGCTATTCAGATTTGATAGGGTTAGAGATGGGTAAAATTGGAGTTAATGGCGATATTGGACAACAACAAAAAGAAACCCCAACCCAGTGAAGGGGTGGAGAGCATGCTGGTGCTGGCGCTGGAGCCCAGGTTTTTCTTATCTTAGCTGTAAGAGCTATTCTGTTCTTGGGTGATGTCCTGTGTGTAAACCCACAGAGGGGGCCAGGCATCCATCCCAAGCTCAGCTGTGAAGGGACTCTGAGCTGCAGACTGAACCTGTGGTGAGGACGGTTCCATTCATACCTGCTGTCCTCCAGCGGCCAGCGGGACGGCCCGTCACACTCATACCCACAGCCTGCGGTCAACGCCGACTGTGTGCTGCATGGGGAATTCAAAGTTTTGCTCCTGGCATCCACTCAGGACTGTAGAGGCTCCCAGGAGAGACTTCAGAAATTCCCTTACAGCAGCCAGAGGGCCCCGCGGTCCACATGTCAGGACAAGCACTTTGTTTCCTGTCTCAGGGCTGTTCCCTAAGCCAGGAGGGATGAGGACGTCCCATTTCCGAAGTCCCTCTGCATTGACTGCAGGACCCCAGGCATAATGCTTCTTGCTTGTTTCCTTCCTTTTGTGAGGGTTGGTCAAGACGATGAATTTGCAAAATATTTTCATGTCAGACTGGGGGTTCAAATCCCACTCTATCACTGGCCCTGCTGTGTGATCCAGGGCCAGTTACTTAACCTCTCTGAACCCTTGCACTTTTTCATTTGTAAAAACGGGCATGATGATGAAGAGGAGGAGGAGGATGGTGGTGGTAGTACCAGCTCCCTCTAGGAAGCTGTGAGGATTACGCAGGTGGAAGATGTGGATGTGCTTGACGTGTGGCTCACAGAAACAGTCGTGATAAGTTCCCATCCCCTGCGGACTCCCCTCTGCAGTAACACGGCTGCTGTGAAACCTCAAATGAGCACATCCTTATTGTCGGTTTCACTGTACTGATAAGCATCAATATTATTTGACTTTGTTAGAAACTCAGCCTTCACATACTTTTGAAGTATGTTCCCACCCTTGGGAAAAGAAAAACAAAGTAGAAATACTTGTTTCCCTGGCCATTTTAAAACATGTACAGAAAGCTTGAAGTTTTTCCCTTTTACAGACCAAGCGGAGGCATTTTATCTAAATCCATCATGGTTTTATCTTGTATGAAATAAAAAAAAATGCAAATCTCTATCTATCAAGAAGAATTCCTAATGGCAAAAAACATTCTTGCTTTTCAAGTTTTTAGCCCTAAAAACCCACCTACCAAAAGCTTTAAGTAAAATACCTGTTTATTTTTTATGGCTGCTGTGACTAAATTGGGCACGGGCACACCTGGATTCCGCAGTGTTGGTCACTCATAACATTTTGCGAAGTTGGCTGCCGCACAAGCACATAGGTAGCGTTTGATTTTTTTTCTATCCATTATATTTGCCATTATTTCTGGGACTTCACGGCAGAGCCATGCGGTAGCTTGAGCCTTTTTAATCATTCATCTTCCTGACAGTGTGATGAAGTCTGCAGATTCATTGCATTGTAGATTAATGAAATGTGACTTGTAATTTCCTTTCCTCCCCCTCCCTCTCCTCTCCACCTTTTTGTTCCATTTTTTTTCTCACTCATTAGCTGTGCCCTGCCAGGCACTAGTTAATGGGGAGTGGCCCAGTTGAGAGCAAGGGTCAATGCATTTTGAAATGCACATTGTTTGGAGTGTGTGTGCTTTCACTCCAGACTCCTGTGACCCTCTCTGTTCCTGCAACCCTGCACCTTCTCCTCCACGGTGAAGGCAGGTGTCGTGGTAGCATCAGATGCACAGAGCTGTAAGGAATGCGGCTGTGCCTTCCCTGCTGAAGCTGGTGACAAGAGAAAGATGCCAGTCAGGGAGAGAACACAAAGGAATGTCTCACCACCCCAGCTAGGGCCGAAGGCTTGTGAAGAACTGTCTGGGGCACGTCATGGCCCCTTGTTCACACACTTCAGACAGGAAGTCGCATTTTGCTTTTGAAGCCCTTCTCTGGCCACGTATTCTCAGCAAGGCGATACACTCTGGAAGGCTGGCAGGCAGCAGCAAGACAGCATGGCCCAAGCTTCTCCACCTCCCTCTGGTTTCTCATTTTGCCAGTTCTTCTAAAGCTTCCTATGCTCTGAAGACACATATTGCAAAATGGCAGGCTCACTCCAGAATGTTTAAATATCGCATTTATTTCAGTGCTAATGAGGACGAAAAGGGTGGAAGTGACAATCATTTTCTCTGTAGACAGGTGTTCAGCTCTCCCGGAAAGCTGAAACCTGTGCTCCCTGGTGGTTTGTTGCCCCCTGGCCTTCTTGCACTGTCTGTAATTCCATACTGCAGGTTTGACCGAAGGAATTTTGACCAATCTCCTTCAATGAGACCGGGGCCCATGTGAGGGATTTTCCATTGACTTGGCTCTGTCCCACCCTTTTTATTCCACTGCTCTCACTGCAAACACGCTCACTGTGTTTCATCACAGGCTTGATCAGAGGCCCGTTGCTGATGACGTGTGAAAGGTTCGAATCTGGAATTGGGTAGAGAGTGGCTGTATACTTAATGCCATTTTGCCTCTGCCTTCAGTGACCAGGCAGCAGATTGATAGAGTTGCTCTTGACACCCCAAAGCCATGGTTTTGATACTGAGCATCGCAGGAGAGGGTTCCTTCTGGTGCACTAAGTGAGAATGAAGGAAAGTTGTCCAAGGCACAGAACACTCCTGCTTTCTGTGACCCTGACCCTAGAGCCCAGGGAGGGTGGTCAGAGGGGCCTTCTACTGGGTGAGTCGCGCAGAGTGCAGCTTGCTAATCATCATCCTGTTCAAAAACAGAAATGCTGGGAAGGAAGCCACTGGTACTTCATGCCATCAAACACTCATTTATTTATTTCACAAATGTTGAATAGTATAGTGGGCGGGTTGGTGGCCTCCCCAGAAGATAATGTCTGCTTTCTAGAACCCCACACCTGGGAATGTTAGCTTATTTGGAAAATGAGTTTTGGCAGGTATCATTATATTCAAGGTCTCCAGATGGGGTCACCCTGTGTTACCTGGATGGGCCTTAAGATCAGTGGGAAGTGTCCTTGTAAGGGACAGAAGCAAGACAGAAGAAGAGAAGCCCGTATGAAGACAGAGGCAGAGAGCTGAGTGATGTGGCCTCAAGACAAAGAATGCCAGGGGGCCCCCAGAAGCTGCAAGAGTCAAGGAAGGCTCCTCCCCTAGAGGAGGCCCCCACTTCTAGAGGTTTTGGAGGGACCACAGACACCTTGATTTCAGACTTCTGGCCTCTGAGACTTTGAGAGAATAAATTTCTGTTGCTTTAAGTCAACCATTTGGTGGTAATTTGTATTATAACAGCGGCCCTAGGAAATGAGTCCAGACACCGACTACACATTAGGCTGGGGCTTCCTGTCCTGCTGTCGTCATGCCAGGAGGCAGAAGGCTTGTCTGCTTTCAGGCATACTGGGAGAGTGGGTTTGCCTACGAGTCCCCAAGCAGCGATGGTCTATTCGGAGCTGTGGGCAAGGGCATGCAGACCTGGGCCCAAACCCTGACTCTGGCCCTTTCCAGACACATACAAGGTCCTGGGTACTATTCTTCCCCTTCTCAACCTCAATTTTCCTATTTGTAAAATTGTGCTGTGTTGCCTACCTCTGCTGGGTTTGGGGTGAAAATTAAGTAACCTAATGGCTGCAGAGTGCTTAGGACAGATCCTGGCTTATAGGAGGCACTTGGCAAACAGTGGTTAAGGATCGCAGTTTTTGGAATCAAAATAGAAGACTGTCATAGAGCTATAGCTGAGACAGCACAACTGTAGAGATAAACTTAATCAAACACTTAAAACCTATAGTGTTCATGAATGATAGCTTTACTCCAAAAAGGAGCATTAAACTTTTTTACTTTAATAAAGTATTTTATCTAAATAGCACTTATTTCAATTCTTCTTTTGTCAAAGACACACTTCCATGTGTCTGTCCTCACCACAAACCATTCCGGCTGCATCTTCTCTCCAAACTCTTTCTAACTCACACACATTTGCTCTAATGCAAATTTTTGTCTATAGTAGATACTTCATATCTCCCTGTTTAAACAAGGCCTTCCGAATGTTCTTAAACATCCTTGCTGCCCGCTGTGCCGCATTCCCCAGTGCCATTTTGAGTATTGTTCAGTTAAAGTGTTGTCCGGTTGGCTTGGCAGGTCTGAACGATTTCAGCTACCTTCATACAAACTGCTTCGAACTGTCCATCTACGTGGGCTGTGATAAATACCCACATGAGAGCCAGCTGCCCGAGGAGTGGGAGAATAACCGGGAATCTCTGATCGTGTTCATGGAGCAGGTATATTGCGGGTGTGTGGCTGGGATGAGGGGGACTAGCTGGGGGATGAGGCTGCCGAGGTGGCTGAAAGTATGGGATGGAATTAGAGCTTCAGACCTTGGCCGTCATCCTGGGCCAGCACAGTGCTGCGAGGAGCCACTGTGTGTTGACACTTGAGCAGGCCTCAGGGAAGAGAGCTCTAAACCAATGGTCATTGTCCCCACTGGCCTGGAGCAATTGGGACTGGTTCCTGAGCTCTCTGATGCTGCTCCGCAGGGAACAGGTGCTATGTGTTTGAGCCAATGTGCCCAGGCCCCTCGTCTCAGTCTACGCTGGCTGCCATCACAAAACACCAGGTGGCTTACAAGGCAGACTTGCAGCTCTGGAGGCCGGAAGTCCGAAACCAAGCCATCCACAGGGTCGGTGTCCTCGGAGGCTTGTCTCCTCGGCTGCCATCTTGCCACCTCTTCATGTGGTGGTTATCCCTCTGTGCATGCACCTCTGTGTATGAGTCCAAATTTCCTCTTCTTAGGAGGATGCCACCTTAACAGCCTCCTTTTCCCTTAATTACCTCTTCGAAGGCTCCGTCTGTACATAGTCACATTCTGAGATACTGGGGTTAGGGCTTCAACATATGAATATGGGGGTCGGGGTGGGGTGGGGACACAACTGAGTCCCTAACACCCTCCCAGGCCTTCAGAGTCACTGTTGCAGGTGGCAGAGGTGAATGACCTGGGAGCAGCTTTAACAAGTACCGCTGGGCTCTGCTGCCCAGCTGGGGAGGGGCTGCTGCTGCCTCCGCTGAGAACCTTGGACACCTCCCTGCCGTAGGCTGTCAAGGACACATCCATCTTGCAGCATTAGTGAATTCACCAGTTCTAGTTCTGCAACTAACCAAACAGTATCCGGGCCCCACTAAGGAACAGACTACCTGGAAAGTAATGGATTAAACAGAAACAAGTGTCAAGCCTCAGGGCTCCTGTTTTTTTCTAAGTGTTAATTCTGACTCCACCTTAACCTCCATCCATTAGGAAGTAAGACTCTGAGGCTGGACACAAGGTTCCCCTTCCATGGGTTGTGCTCAGGAGTCAGAAGGCACATTCAGCCCATGGCTTTGGCTGGCACTTTTGGCTGCACTTCTGCACAGGGGGCAGAGGTTGGCACCAGGATTTAGCATCTGACTCTGTCCCATGATGGTCTTGGGATACCCAGCCCCCGGTGAGCTGCTCTGGCACAGAAGGGTGTGAGTCTGTTTTTCCTTCTTTGGGGAACCTCTCACTCAAGGAATTCCTGTTCCCACCCTGGAATTTTGTAAGAGAAGGCCCTTTTTCTTTTGCATCCCTGTAAAGAGAAAGACTTGACTGTAACAACCTGATCAGTCTTAAGTAATGATGCCATAGCCAAAGGGCCTCCTATGGATAAAATGCCCAGTCCTCGAAATATGCGTAAAGTCATTGGTAATGATGGAATGTCACCTTGGATTGGCACATCATTCTACAGGTGGGGAAACTGAGGCATAAGGTTTGAGTGCATCGCATGACACAAGTCATTGGAAGGGTCTATGCATGGAGTTGTCATCTATAGGAAGGTTTCTTTGAATTGTTTCTTTTCCCTCTGACTTTTAAGTCAGCAAGTCCCACAAAGTCAAAATAAATGTGCCTATAAAAATTAAATTTCAGTTTTTAGTAAATGTGTTTCTGTGAACCGTCTCAGATCCTAATATTTTTTAAGCCTCTGGACATTCTAATGGAAGACTTTCTGGTGCAAGAACCCAAAAGAAATGCAGAAGTTTACATTCCAAATCCACACAGAGCCAGGCAATCCTATAACTGGAGGACTCCTATTTTTCTAAGAGATAATTTAACTGGCTTTTTTCTCTTCTTTCCTCCTTTCTCCTTTCCCCTGCTTCCCACTTAGCCCTTTTTGAAATGCAAAATAACCTGTCACTTCCCCCTCAGCAGACATTCCCTGCAGGACAAGCTCATCTGTGCTCCAAGGCAGACCACCCACCTCCAGGGGCTGGCCTCAGAGGGCATGCCGAAAGCATGCCCATTGGCTACTTCTACAACTTATTTCTGCCCAGGAAGGTGCCAGCTCAACTATCTGGTAGATAAGACACCAGGCTAGCAGGGGGACCGCTGCCCTTGCTCACTAGCCCCCTCCCCTTATAAAAGTATCAGCTTTTTGCTCCAAAGGATAAGTGGCACATTTTAAAGCAGGATGCTTCCCTAATGCTAGCTTCAGAAATAAGTTCACTTTTCTTACATTAAGACCTCGCCCTTGTTAATTGAACCCAACAATGCAGTGAGCAATGAACTGCTTTTCGGTTCCAAGCCTTCTGAGCAAGACGTGGTGCTGTGTGAGTTCTTGGTGGGAACCGGCCAATGGTGGGTTGACAGCCCACTCTGTTGTGCCGGTTGTGTCCAGAGCTGGTCGGTGACCTCACCCTGTGTCTCATGTTTGCTGAGCAGGTTCATCGTGGCATTAAAGGCTTGGTGAGAGATTCACATGGAAAAGGAATCCCAAACGCCATTATCTCCGTAGAAGGCATTAACCATGACATCCGAACAGGTAACTGCAAATGTGTGCAGACTGTCTCTTGGTAAGAAATACCCATTTTTTTAGGCATTTTACTTGGGTTACAATCATGAAATGACTGCCAGAAATGTCTTACTCAGAGCCAAATTACAGTCTCCTTCCTCTAAATTTCCCACTTTTCAAGAGACCCTTGGAAGGGAGGTTTTCAGCCTGTGCTTGCTGGTTGCTCGCTGTCCCTTTCACAGGATGGCTGTGCAGCCACCAGCTGGCCTCCAGGCACAGTGGAAGTTTCTAAGGAGTTGAGGAAGCAGCTCTGTCTCCATGGAGTTGTTGCATCTGCAGGCAGCTTAGCTCTCAGACCAGGTGGAATGTGGCCTGTGTCCATGAGTGCAGAGGGGCCAGGGAGCGAGGGAGCCAGGCTGCTCCGGAGAGGGAGAAGCTGTAGACTGGGTGACTTGTGGAGGAGTGGAGAGTTTGAAGGGACCAGCAGCAAGAGGACAGCTGGAGGGGTGGGTTGGGACTGGCCAGAGAGGATGCACTTTTTCCATTAAAGCACAGGAAATCACTGAGCGTGATGTCTTAGGAAGACTCAGGTGTCTGTAATGTGAAGGGTAGGATAAGAATAACAGTAACAATAAACGTGGGCATCTCCTATATGCCACTCTCTTAATAGCTTTCTTGTATTAGCTCTGTCATTTAACTCCATCATTCCTCACATAAATTGTATTTTCTTGATGCTGTCATTAGATGAAATGCTTCAGGGAGACTCAGCTCCCACTCACTGGAAGGGATGAGTGTCTCATGGTGTTAACTAGTCAGGGTTAGTACGCGTGATTCCCTTTTGAATGGAGGGTACAAAATTCTAGGAACTTGGATAATCTGAGGGTCAGAGGATGATCTCTAAAAGGCAGTGCTGACATCTTATTCCAACTCTCTTTGCTGTGGAAGAAAAGAAATTGTAAGACCCAGGGTTTTATAAACCAAATATGAAGTGGCCGTACCACGTCAGGACAGCAGAAGGCTGCCCCTGGATCACTCAGCAACAGCAGGAACAAGGAGCTGTTCCCCACACGATCTGTTCTCAAAGAACGCTCATACATGCTTTCTCTCAGTTGTTTTCACTTTATCCCTTTGAGGGAGACAGGCCATTCTTTCCCACTTATTCAGGTGAAAAACAGAAGCTCAAGGAGGGCAGTGACCCACTGATGGTTAAGGGGTTAGTGGGGTTTGGCTTCAGGTTTCTGACCCCCAGGTGGGCTGGAAGATGCCCTGCAGGTGCCCCTCAGGGTCCCAGAGGACTCTGCCCTGTTCTTTGCTGGTTAGAAAGTGATATGAAAATAAAGGTGCTTGACAAGTCCAGGTTTTTCTTTTGTGCCACAGGGCTGTCATGACCTGGGATTCCCCACTTAAAACTGAAAATGCTGTGTCCCACTCCCCACCTCTGTCCTAGGCAAACAGGGCTGACTGTCCCATGATCTGACTTCCCACTGATCCCCGTGGACTGACACTACACGGGGGTCATCACTGCGGCGCCTCTGTCCACCTGAACCTTCTTCCCCGGGGGGTCTCTGGGTTCCTGCCTCCTCCCTTTCAGGTCTTTGCTCAGACGTCACCCTCTCAGTGCAACCAACCCTGACCCCTATGAGCATGGCACACCTCCCCGCTGCACTGTTGGTCCCTCTTACCTGCCCCAACTTTGTCCCTTCCCCGTGGCATGTCTCCCTTCTAACACACCACGTAAGAGGCTCATGTGTACTCTGCTCATGATTTGTTTCTGTCTCTTCGCCCCCATGAGGTCAGGAGCCCTTGACTGTTTTGTTGGTTTGTTCCTCAATGTATTACGAGCACCCTGCCTGGCCACTTCTGAGCAGTGGATGCTCGATAAATACTTGTTGGTGAATGGGCGGATGAACAGTCCGTGATGTTCCAGGATTACCCAGTGAGTGGCAGAGCTATGATTTGAGCCAAGCACTGGAGACTTCAAATCTGGTGCTCCTTCCTTTATTTCCATGCCATTTTTCTTGAACAGGGAGGAGAGGCTCCTTCTCTGCAAACTGTTCCCATGATCCTGTCGTGCCAACAAAAGATCCCATTCCACCTGCCAGGAAGCAGACTTTGGGACATTAGGATGAGGCGAGGCTGGGGTTCAGACCTGGCCCATGTATCCTTCATTGCCAGGCTCCCTAGCAGTGGGCCTGGCATAAAAGACCAAATATGTAAATGGGGGAAATGTGTCTAAAATGCCACAAAATAGTAGATTGCTGTGTAATGCCATAAATTGCATTTTTCCCATCTAGTTACTGATTTCTTTGCTCAATAATATTTTCTGAACATTCCTACCATTTGTCACTGATCTTATAGCCATGAACCATGAGGCTTCACACTGAATACCATGGAATTTTGTACGTAGTAGCCCCTCATAGGTGTTCATTTTTTTCATATATTTATTCACTATTCCTTAATTAATTCAGCAAATGTAGATTGCATAGCTGGAATGTGCCAGAGACCACGCAGAGTGTTGGCGATCATTATGCATGAAAGGCTGTGTGATGTGGTTCTGCATAGGATTTGTATTTTAAACATTACAAATGAAGCTCCTTTGAAATGACAATTCTAAAAGAGCCTAGAACATTCCTTGACTATTTAGTGCTTTGTATGCAATGTGAGAAAATGTGGGAGTTTTGAACTGAGTGGGAGATAAAAAGACCCTGGGGCCTCATAAGCCAAGATAGAATACTTTGCCTAATGGGTGCTGAGTTTCAAGCCCCTGCAATCAATGAGACAGTTTTGATGAGCTAATGGGAAATGCATCTCCCTCCCTTGATTTTCCCCTCTATAAATAATTTCCCAGTGTATTCTCATGACAGATAAACTCCATACTTTACACACGGCTCTTTGTTCTGTTTCAGAATCTTTCGGTTCTCAAGAAAAGCTCTGAATTTGCCTTGATTTCTATCTGAGGTTTATGTGATCTGACAAGTTTTATTTCGGGATGGATTTTG
The DNA here is from genome assembly GCF_000001405.40 of Homo sapiens. Taxonomy (NCBI): domain Eukaryota; kingdom Metazoa; phylum Chordata; class Mammalia; order Primates; family Hominidae; genus Homo; species Homo sapiens. The sequence goes on along the minus strand of NC_000010.11, from coordinate 123,751,693 downwards.
CATAAAATAAACAGGGGTATTAAATGGAATTCCACAGGGAGGGAAGCTGGTAGGAATGCTTTGAGTTAGATGCATATCAGTATGTTGGACAGACACCCGGCTCACCGTTCCACATGCCTGTCCTTTGCTTGGTGGGTACTGAACTGACCTGCTCCTGTGTGGACATTCTTTGGGCCTGAGTTGCCCCTTCTGCCCACGTATAGGAGATGTGTCAGGGTGGCGGGAGAAATTATAAGGAAAGACGCAAACCTTCTTAGAAGGTCAGGACGTTTTGCAAAACTTCGGAAGGGCAAAGGGTAGATAACAAGGGAATGTAAAGGAATTTATTTGGATGAATTTGTTTACTTATGTCTCCAGATATCAACCTTTGATCATTTGCACACAGGACTGCTCTCTACTCGGGGGGTCGACAATGTTAATTACCCACAAATTGTGTTTGCTCCAAGCCTTTGTCATTAAATCTGTACTAAATAAATACAAACATCTCTGGCTTATGGGTGCTGCACTCTCGTCAGTGGCGCTAAGCCGTGCAGTTCCCTAGCCACACGCTCAGGCAAAATACCTGTGTCTGCATACTTCTTTCATCCATCTCTTGGCCAGAGTCTGCGGGACAGGCTTGGCACGCATGAATGCCCGGGATGCCCATTATGTGTTGACTTCCACTGCAGCTCCCTAGAAGGTTCACCCTGAACACAGACCTGAGCACTCATGGGGACAACAGCCCAACACTGCATCTCCTGCTTTTCATAATGTGAGTGATTCCAGACTTTTCCAGTGGTTAGAGACAGAAGCAGAGAAAGTGAGAGCCTCAAGGAAGACATGGGGAAAACAGCCAAGAACTGAGGACAGCGTGCCCTGCCAGGCCAATGAGGGCATCAGGCAGATCCATGTCTCTGCAGTAGAAGCTTTGAGATGACATGGCCAACACCCCTCATTCTGACTGTGTGAACCCACACACAGTCCTGATCGTTGTATTCATTCTTTTGACCTTTCTTATTGAGCTCCTACTGTGTACCAGACTAGAAATACTGCGGTGAGCAAAACAAATATGACCTCTAAAAGTACACATTCTAGTGAAGGAGACCTAGAGATAATTCCAAAGGAAGATTTAAAAGTTTACTACACACTATGATCAGTGCCATGAAAAAAATAAATTAAGTGATATTTACAAATAGGTGGGAAAGCCAAGGAAGGGTCCCTCCCTAAGGGGACATACACAGGCTGGCCTTTAGAAGAGCAAAGAATAGCATTCCAGTTGGAGGGAACAGTAATTGCAAAGGCTCAGAGTCAAGAATCAAGGAACAAAAGGAAGACTTGTGTGGCTGGAGAGAGGCCGGCTGGGAGCAGTGGAGTGCAATGATGTGGAAGGGGCCCCCAGGACCTGCGTTGGGTTTTGCTCTAAGCACTGAGCCCTTATCTGAATGGGGTGAACCCTCAGGCTCTCAGGAACACTGTCTCCACCTGCTTGTCTATTTCTCCTCAAAAATTAGAGGGCTTATCTGACAGGGCCACAAGGACAGAACAAATTTCTTGAAAATTAGTAAGAATAGCTTTCATTATTAAAAATAAACTCTAGAACTGGCATGGTGGCTCATGCCTGTAATCCTCGGCACTTTGGGAGGCCAAGGCAGGCAGATCATGAGGTCAGGAGTTCAAGACCAGCCTGGCCAATATGGTGAAACCCCATCTCTACTAAAAAAAAAAAAAAAAAAAAACAAAAATTAGCCGAGCATGATGGTGCACACCTGTAATCCCAGCTACTTGGGAGGCTAAGGCAGGAGAATTGCTTGAACCTGGGAAGCAGAGATTGCAGTGAGCTGAGATCAAGCCACTGTACTCCAGCCTGGGCGATAGAGTGAGACTCCGTCTCAAAAAACAAAACAAAACAAGAAACGAACTCTAGGCATTTAAATGGAATCTTGCAAGGCCTGACTTTACAAAGGGTGAAAGGAAGTGGACCTGGCACAGGAGTTGGGAACAGCAGTGGGAACAGTATATGCAAAGCCCAGAGATGTGAGATGTGTGTGTCCTGAGACACCACTGCAAGGCACTCAGAATGGCTGGAACAAAGGGGTGTGAGATACAATAGGGGAGGGCAGGAACTGGGACCCCAGAGGCTCGGGCCACCCAAGGACTTTGGATTTCATCGCCATGTGGCCCTGCGATAACAGCAGGTTTAGGGAGTAAGCACCATGATGTGTATGAGAAGGCCAGCGACAGCACAGAGGGTGGACTAGGGAGGGGGCAGGGAGGGCTTCTTCTGGCTTTTGCAGGGATAAGGGGAATCACAAAGGCTTCTTATTAGAAATATGAACTTGAGCCAGTTATGCTGATAACCATTAATTGTGGGTTTCTTTCACTGCTCAGCTTACTGAACACCTCCCTTGGTGAGAACCTGGGCTGCCCCCTCCCTGAGGTATTTAAACCAACTTCCAAGTGCCATTGAGTCAGGTGCTCCCACTGAGAGGTTTGCTTCCAGGGGCCTCCAACGTCCAGCGCCCCACAATAGCTGTTGGTGGGGGCAGGCTCTCGGCCTTAACTAATCCCCTCTGAGCACCCTTGGTAGCTGAGACCTAATATGCTCTGCTTCTCAGGCCAGTAAGCCACATGCTGTCCTGGTTGCTCACTTCTCTCCAGCCCATTCAGATAAACCAATGTTCAGACCTGTTCGGCGTTCAGTCCAGGAGGATAAATGGCACGCATGTTGAGCACAGAAGAGGAAAACACGGGCTCTTCAGGCGCCTACAGCTTTAACACCGGGCCGAGGCAGGAAGCGGAGGCCATTTCCACTCTCAAGGACATACTGCCTGGTAGCATGGAGAGGGGAGAGGACAGGGAGGGCACGTGGAGGAGGTGGCTCGCTCGGGCTTGTCAGGGACTGTGGGGACCCTGAGGGAGATCTCCAAAGACAAACTTTGCTGCGAGGCTCGAGTCACCTGATGGCATAATTCAGCCTGTCGACGTGCTCCTGAAAAGGTCTAATGTGGCATTTTATTTAGTTGAAGAACTTGCCATTTCATTAAAAAAAGACCCAGCACACAGCGCCAAGAAGTGCCAGGGAGCCGCCCACCTGAGCGTGTACCTGGGCCTCTCAGATGGAGTCCTGTTTTCCATTCAGCTCCTTAGTGATGTACATGTGGCAAACGACTGCCTCCACATTTCATTTCCCATCATGTCCTGTGCTCCTGTGAGCTCAGTGTATTGCACGGGGTGTCTTGGATGAATTGAGATTAGAATGTGCATGATTTCAACATGATGCTTCGAAGTGTTATAGATCTGTGTATGTGGGAGACGTATATTTACAAACACACACATAGTTTTCTTCCATCCGTTAGAAGACTTCAGGACTTGCTAAGATAAGCAAACCTTGACCAGGGCCTACTTAGTACTTGATCAAACCCAACCTTTTCTCTACCTGGCTCCAAAACTTTAGACTGGGCAGGACATTCAGATTGTCACAAGCGAAAGACTGCTGATTACTAGCCGTGTGACCTGGTGCAGGATACTACACCTCTCTGGGCATCAAATTACTCACGTAGAAAAGGGAATAAGCATGCAGCCTGCATCACAGAGTCACTTGGAGTGTTCAGTGAGCCAGTGCCAGCCTCGTCTTTTTGCGTGTGGGTGGTGTTCCCCAAGATGGCCTCTGGTGTCTCCTTTTCTGTTTCATGGTCTCTGATATGCTGTGGATCTAAATGTTCTCACCAGGTTGTAGGCTCTCTGGGAGGAGAGACCTCAGCCTAGAACCTGTCTTTTTTTTTTTTTTTTTTTTGAGACAGAGTCTCACTCTGTCGCCCAGGCTGGAGTGCAGTGGCGTGATCCCAGCTCACTGCAACCTCCGCCTCCTGGGTTCAAGTGATTCTCCTGTCTCATCCTCCAGAGTAGCTGGGATTACAGGCACCCACCACCACACCCAGCCTCCCAAAGTGCTGAGATTACAGGCATGAACCACCGTGCCCACCACAGGGATCTAGCCTAGAGCTGAGGATGGACCCAGGTCACATTAGGTGCCTGGGAGGTAATCGGCTGGTAGTTACCTGGGAGGCATGGGCACCACCTCAGCTCCAGCATGGGTCTCATGTGGTCTCAAGGCTCCTCTGCCCCACAGCGTCCATGTATAGATGGCCCTGCAACTCCCAAGTCTCTCCAGGCCCCAGCCAGGGAATGGGGTACAGGTGCCAGGGCCTCTCTGGGGCCATCTGACCTCAGTCCATGTAGTCCTTTCCTTCTCTTTCCAGAAGTGAAAAGCCCACACCTTTGAAAAATGGTTGTTGTGTACTTGCAGCCATGCTAAGGAAGCCAGGAGGCCCTGCACTGATGGCTTTTCAAGATGGCATTTTGTGGCGAGGGCATACTGTTTGGAAGTTCAAGTTCATCATGAATGGCTCATATTGTCACAGAGCATTAGTGATCGGCTCTCCAGCTTTGCTCCTGTGTATTGACACTGCGGGGAGCCTATACCTCCCCTCCCTGTTAAAACCATTAAGGCAGCTTTCAGAGAGGAAAACATCTGGGCTTCCAAAATGCATTAAGAATTTGCATCTGCAGGAGCTCGGATTCCACGTTGCCAGCCTGAGAGTCTCTCTCTGGCCCAGGGAGCTGGTCTTGGAGGAGGGCTGGCGGGATCTGCATTAGCAAGAGCTGCTCTGAGTCTCCCCTGGTTTTCTTTTTCACAGCCAACGATGGGGATTACTGGCGCCTCCTGAACCCTGGAGAGTATGTGGTCACAGCAAAGGCCGAAGGTTTCACTGCATCCACCAAGAACTGTATGGTTGGCTATGACATGGGGGCCACAAGGTGTGACTTCACACTTAGCAAAACCAACATGGCCAGGATCCGAGAGATCATGGAGAAGTTTGGGAAGCAGCCCGTCAGCCTGCCAGCCAGGCGGCTGAAGCTGCGGGGGCAGAAGAGACGACAGCGTGGGTGACCCTCCTGGGCCCTTGAGACTCGTCTGGGACCCATGCAAATTAAACCAACCTGGTAGTAGCTCCATAGTGGACTCACTCACTGTTGTTTCCTCTGTAATTCAAGAAGTGCCTGGAAGAGAGGGTGCATTGTGAGGCAGGTCCCAAAAGGGAAGGCTGGAGGCTGAGGCTGTTTTCTTTTCTTTGTTCCCATTTATCCAAATAACTTGGACAGAGCAGCAGAGAAAAGCTGATGGGAGTGAGAGAACTCAGCAAGCCAACCTGGGAATCAGAGAGAGAAGGAGAAGGAGGGGAGCCTGTCCGTTCAGAGCCTCTGGCTGCATAGAAAAGGATTCTGGTGCTTCCCCTGTTTGCGTGGCAGCAAGGGTTCCACGTGCATTTGCAATTTGCACAGCTAAAATTGCAGCATTTCCCCAGCTGGGCTGTCCCAAATGTTACCATTTGAGATGCTCCCAGGCGTCCTAAGAGAATCCACCCTCTCTGGCCCTGGGACATTGCAAGCTGCTACAAATAAATTCTGTGTTCTTTTGACAATAGCGTCATTGCCAAGTGCACATCAGTGAGCCTCTTGAATCTGTTTAGTCTCCTTTTTCAACAAAGGAGTGTGTTCAGAAAAGGAGAGAGAGGCTGAGATCATTCAGGAGTTTGTTGGGCAGCAAGCATGGAGCTTCTTGCACAAATTCTGGGTCCATAAACAACCCCCAAAGTCCCTGCTGATCCAGTAGCCCTGGAGGTTCCCCAGGTAGGGAGAGCCAGAGGTGCCAGCCTTCCTGAAGGGCCAGAAAATTTAGCCTGGATCTCCTCTTTTACCTGCTAGGACTGGAAAGAGCCAGAAGTGGGGTGGCCTGAAGCCCTCTCTCTGCTTGAGGTATTGCCCCTGTGTGGAATTGAGTGCTCATGGGTTGGCCTCATATCAGCCTGGGAGTTATTTTTGATATGTAGAATGCCAGATCTTCCAGATTAGGCTAAATGTAATGAAAACCTCTTAGGATTATCTGTGGAGCATCAGTTTGGGAAGAATTATTGAATTATCTTGCAAGAAAAAAGTATGTCTCACTTTTTGTTAATGTTGCTGCCTCATTGACCTGGGAAAAATGAAAAAAAAAAATAAAGCAAATGGTAAGACCCTTCTGGTGTGTGTGACTTTTCTGGGTAGGCTTGCAGCCACCCCACTACCTCTTTCTGAGGTTGGTCAGCCTAGACAAGGTGCCTGCTTAGGGGTGGCCATCCTGCACCCCCACTAAGCTCAGCACTGATGCTGACAGCACTATGTTCTCTGCCTCTTTCCCAGGAGAGACACTTGTTTGGGACCCACTATTGGCTCTTGGAGATGCCAGTAAGCATCTTTAGAGAAAAGATTCTCATACAGCTTTTGCACAATCTATACTCAGGGTCAGCTAACTTTTCTTTAAAAGGGTCAGTAAATAGCTTAGGCTTTGCAAGCCATACAGTCTCTGTCATAACCACTCAGCTCTGCTATTGTAGCACAAAAGCAGACATACACAGTACAGAAATGAATGGGCCAGCACTTTGGGAGGCCGAGGTAGGCAGATTGCCTGAGGTCAGGAGTTTGAGACCAGCCTGGATAACATGATGAAACCCTGTCTCTACTAAATATACAAAAATTAGTTGGGCATGGTGGTACATGCCTGTAGTCCCAGCTACTCAGGTGGCTGAGGCAGGAGAATCGTTTCAACCCGGGAGGCATAGGTTGCAGTGAGCCAAGATTGCACCATTGCACCCCAGCCTGGATGACAGAGCAAGACTCTGTCAAAAAAAAAAAAAAAAAAAAAAAAGAAAAGAAAAGAAATGAATGGCCATGGCTGCATTCCAGTACATCTTTATTTACAAAAACAGGTGGCAGCTGGATTTGGCCTGCAAGCTAAGACATAGTCAGCTCCTGCTATAAGCCAGTGTTGGCCAATAGAACTTTCCGTGATGATGGAAATGTCCTATTGTGTGCTATCGAATGCCACAGTGCTGGCCACGTGTGGCTATTGAGTACTTTAAAGGTGGTCAGTGAAACTTAAAAACTGGGTTTCTTCTATTATAGAATGTTCATTTTAATTAAACTTTTAATAGACACTTGTGGCTAAAGGCTACATATTGGACCACACAGCTCTCAACTAAGCCCATGGTAGGAAAATCTGAGCCTCACAGCAGTAGATATGGAGGCAGTGCTATAAAGCATTTAAAACTATAAACCACCTTTGCAGTTCAGAAGGGGGAGTTGCAGGGGTGAAAGAGACGATGGTGCAAGTGACCCTTCTGGGCCCTTGAGACATGTCCTGGACCCACAATTTAAACCCGAGCAATCCCACATTTGCTTGGAAGATTGTGGATTTGTCCAGTCCCTGCCATGCTGACCCAGAAGCCAGGTCCTGGCCCTTGGTGCCGAGATGGCCCGGTCTTATTTCCAGTAGTCAGCTCTGGAACTTGCAGGGCTACTGCACACAGCCTACTGCATCCATGCCATTCTCAACCCTCCCTGCAGCCTTGTCACCAAACTGAGCCCGTTTGCAGGCACCTTGGGCTCGCAGGCAGGGGCTCTGCATTCAGGACTGGCCAGGGCTGTTTGGTGTGTGATCTCAGGTCAGGCATCCTCTCTAATCTCTCATCTACTCCTGCAAAGTAAAGCCCTCAGGCTTCATAGACTGTAAAGGTCAGGCTGGCTGTGGCGTCCGAAGATTTCTGGCAGAGAGCCGACATCCTGGATTCCTAAAGCTCTGTTCTGTTGGAGTCACTTCTCTCCTCAGCCCTTCCGTGACACAGCGACTCCTCACTGGACCTTCAAGCCCACATAACCTTCCTTAACCCGGAGCCCGGAACCTCCCTCCTACTTGCCTTCTCTCCTGCTTTTCAGCCGGAATTACCCTCCTAGATCTTTCCCTAGGTTCAGCTTGGGCCTCTGCATATATTATCTCTCCTCACAGCTGAAAACCCTCCTGCTTCTCTCCAGTCCTGTCTCAAATGCCACCTCCTCCAGGAAGCCTTCCCCCTCTCAGGACCATGGTGATTTCTCACTCCTTTGAACAAATCTGCAGAGCCCTCAGGGCCTCTCAGAGGAGTTGTGTTACTTCAGGTTCTCTCTGCTGTTGGTCTGGAAGCTCCCAAGGGCAGGACCTGCATCCTCCTCGGTTCCCACTCCTCCTGCGGGGCTGCTCCCCACTGCAGCAGTTGCACCATGAACACGTGTGAAGCCGAGCCAGCCTCTGCCATGTGCTGCCCTGTTTGTAGGATTCCCTTAACACGTTCAGAAAATGTGACTTGAGAAATTGAAAATCTATACTTTGAATGTATTTGGTGTCTTTTTACCTCTTGAAGAGTCTTCATTTTTATAAGTGAAACCTGGTACTTGACTGAGTTAGAAACATGTCCAGAGATTGACAGGCTGTTTGAGATGTTTTTCTGCAGGATAAAATCAACCAACGTGGTGCGTCTGCTTCTGGCGGAGTCTAGTGCCTGTTTACTGTCTTCATCCTCCCACGTGGGTCCCAGGAGGGCCGCAGCGGCTTCACCCTCTTTCATGTCTGTTTTATGTTGAGGGGCATTTAAGGAGCTGTGCAGAGAAGAAGCTCAAATCAGCATTTGTCAGCAATCACAGCCCACTTTCTATGAGTTTTGGAGCCCAGTCTTTACCAGGAACCCCTAGGCATTATTCAGTGTACACAAGGGCATTACAACACCTTGAAACTGTCATGTGATGTTAGCACACAATCATGCCAGGGAAGAGTCCCAGGTTTGCAGGTTCAGAATCAGCTCTGGAGGCTGCCACCCTGCCTGAAGAAGCCCACATGTCCATACCACTTTGTGCTGTGTCCCCGATCCCAGTGGGTGGTCACAGTGTGGAGGGAGCTGCTGCTTACGGAGCCACAGCCCAGCAGGACTGGCCAGAAGGAGGCAGAGCCTGGCTCACAGCAGCCCAAGTCTGCCTCTACTACTGAGCTCTGTGTACTAGGGCGACCTCTCCTGAGACCATGGGTGCTCTTCCTCCTGTCTGTCGATCCCCCTGACACATAGACATCCCCAACTTGCCAGCCAATTCACAGGAAATCAAGGGAAAATCAGAAAAAAAAAGTTCATGGCCTGCCGTGGTGGCTCACACCTGTAATCCCAGCACTTTGGGAGGCTGAAGCAGGTTGATCACGAGGTCAGGAGATCGAGACCAGCCTGGCCAACATGGTGAAACCCCATCTGTACTAAAAATACAAAAATTAGCTGGGTGTTGTGGTACATGCCTATAATCCCAGCTACTCAGGAGGCTGAGGCAGGACAATCATTTGAACCCGGGAGGCAGAGTATGCAGTGAGCCGAGATCACGCCATTGCACTCCAGCCTGGGCAACAGAGTGAGACTCCATCTCAAAAAAAAAAAAAAAAAGTTCAGAGAGCTGAAACACATGGGGCAGAGCCTTCCAGTACCTTCTGGTGTATACAGAGGACAATGGCAGGTCTTTAGAGCTGAGGGGCAGCCATGAGGTCAAGGAGCCTGGGATGGCACCTAGGCTTCCTCTTATAGGCCCACTCTGGTTTATTGGTAGTCCTTGCTTGGAGCTCTGTGTTAAGAAGAATTCTGAGGCAGAGAGCTGGCTTAATGAAGAGATGCTCCAGCTGATTACCTATGTCTGCTCTGGTTATGGCAAAGGTGAGGGCAAGGATGCCTGCTGTTTCCATCCCTGAGCTAGTCTAGTCCGCCTGGGGGTAGAGACAGGAAAAATGAGGCACAGGGAGGGGCATGAAGTGTCCAAAGTCCCATTTCAGTTCATGGCAGAGGCTGAACTCTCAGGACAGTGCTCTTTCCACTGCTTGACTGGGAACCTGTAATTAGGTCTCGGCGCAGGCCTGGGGGCTGAGCCTCTTGAACTGCAGGGCCAGCTTTCCCAGGAGCAGCTCACGCCCTGGGCAGTGACAGAACATTGGGAACTATGGGTGCATTTTAGCAACCAGAGGATAAAGGATGGAGCCCTTGTGTGATGAACATGGCTGGGGAATCTGCTAAGAGGGAGCTGATTGAATATGTAGCAGAGCCGGGGGAAGCTCACTGGGCCTGATTCTGGATGTCTTTTGCCATTATAGCTCCCTGTCAGCTTGAGATGACCTAAGAGCCAATGATGTCCTGACTTCCCAAAAGCTGACGGTTTTGATTTGCAGTTGGTAATGCCCAATTTGATTTACGGTTGGTAACGCCCAATTTGATTTGCGGTTGTTAAGGCCCATCCTATATGCAGCCTCCACATCCTTTGTAGCCTGGTTGGTGTGCTGGGCACTGGGGGGATCAGCACCACCCTGGCATTTCTTGTTATCTGATCTGTCTCGAGAGCCAGCCTGACAGAGGAAGGGGACAGTGGCTCTACCCGGTGCTCACAGGTGCTGCGGGTAGTGGACTCTGTCCCTGCCTCACACATGTGTCAACATCTGCAGGGAAGGCCACTTTCTGGAGCCCTCTCCCAGCCTCTCTGAGCAAGGCTGAGTGGTGAGTATCCACTGAAATGTCAGTCCGTCATTGTGAGTCAGCACCCACTGGCCTCTCTTACCTCCAAGGCCTTCAGGATAGCGGTCAGTAAAGCAAAGTGTCGGACAGCAATACGTTCATTGCTGTTCTCTTCAAATTATCTCTAAACAAGCATTTAAAAAATTCTCTGTTTTGAAATGCAAATCAAAACCACAATGAGATACCACCCTACACCAGTCAGAATGCCTGTTGTTCAAAAGTCAAAAAATAACAAAAATAACAAAAAATAACTAGGAGATGTGCCACTCTCACCATAGCCCACTTTTGTTTCAGATCATTTTGATGCTGAAGGTCTAAGCATTTCAAATATATTACATTGCATTGAATCCCCGTGACAATCTTAAGAGGCAGAGATTCCTATACGCGTTTTAGAGATGTGGAAACAAGTCCCGGGGAGATGAGGTGACTTGCTTAAAGTCGCTCATTTGGCAAGAGGTGGCACTGGGACCACACTAAAGCACATCCACCCCAAAGCTCCATCTTTTCCTTCTGTATCCCATCCCCAGGGAAGTATAGTGACACGGGTTAGGTCCCTGCACAACCTAGGGTAAATTATGTACCTTATGAATCTCAGTTTACTCATCTATAAAATGGGCATAGTAGGCCAGGCACGGTGGCTCATGCCTGTAATCCCAGCACTTTGGGAGGCCGAGGTGGGGGGATCATGAGGTCCAGGAGATCAAGACCATCCTGGCTAACACAGTGAAACCCTGTCTCTACTAAAAATACAAAAAATCAGCTGGGCGTGGTGGCACGCGCCTGTAATTCCAGCTACTCAGGAGGCTGAGGCAGGAGAATCGCTTGAACCTGGGAGGCGGAGGTTGCAGTGAACCGAGATCACACCACTGCACTCCAGCCTGGGTAGCAGAGCGAGATTCTGTCTCAAAAGAAAAAAAAATGGGCATAGTAAATAGGGCCTACCTTGCATGTCATGGGGTTCCAGTGAAAAGCATTTAGACAGGCACCCGGCACATGGCAAGCACTGAGAGGCAGAGCAGCTGCTGATTATTGTTTTCAGGTACTATGTTCCCAGCAGTGTGCTATTCAATATCCCTTGTCATCTTCACAACTACATTTAGGGGTAAATATTATTATTCCCATTTTTCAAATGAGGAAGCTGAGGCTGAGGGTGTGCATAGATGTATGTAGTCAGATGTTCTAGTATAGTTTTTCCAAGTTCATCACCAGGATGGAAGCAGCTGTTTTGATGCACTCCTTACTTTGCTCTTGAAAGCTGCATTAGCTGAGCGGTGAGGGAAGTGGGAGCTGAGCCCAGGAGGGAAGCAATCGGTTACAGAAGCAGGTTTCCTGGCCATGGAAACCCTTACTGCATGGGGTCGGTGTTCAGTGCATTTTCATTGAAAATAATGGCCTCCTGTCTGACTCTGCCATGCTCTTCATCCTCCCTAAGCATGAGCACAGCTGTCAGGCTCCCTGTCGGGACTAGGGGGAGATGGCAAAGGCCATGATCCCATCCTTTGGGCACCGCTCTTTTCCAGCTCCCGGAAGCCCAGTGACTCCACAGCATCAGGTTCCATCTCTGGGCCTTCTGCCAACCTGCAGGGAACAAACGGCACCAGGGCTGGGGCAAGAGCAAGAGAGGGGGCCTTGAGGTCCGTGGAGAAAGGCAGCCCCAGGCCACTGGAGAAAGAAAAAAGCCCTCCTCACTGCACTTACCTGGGGATGGGATCAAGAAGGAAAAGATGGAGCTTTGGGGTGGATGAGCTTTGGTTTGGTCCCAGTGCCACCTCTTACCATCTGGGTGACATTGAGCAAGTCACCTCATCTCCCTGGGACTTGTTTCTACATCTCTAAGATGTAGAAACATCTTAAGAGGCTCTGCCTCTTAGAATTGTCACGGGGATTCAATTTGATGTAATATATTTGAAATGCTTAGACGTTTAGCATGGAAATGATCTGAAACAAAAGTGGGCTATTGTTAGAGCAGAGTGCAGCCTACTTTACAGAACAGACCAACAGTTTCTAAAAATGTTAACTATGGAGTTCCCATATGATCCAGCGATCCTAGTCCTAGGTATATACCCAACAGACATGAAAACATATGTCAACACAAAATGTGTGCACAAATGTTTACAGCAGCGTTATTTATGACAGCCAACATGTAGAAACAACCCAAATGCCAAGGGGTGAACAGATAAACAAAAAGTGCATATTCAGACTGTGGCATATTATCTGGTAATGAAAAGGAATGAAATACTGATACATGCTACAACATGGATGAACCTTGAACACATTATGCTAAGTGAAAGAAGTTAGTCACAAATGGCCACATATTGTGTGGTTCCATTTATATGAACTGTCCGGAACAGGCAAATCCGTAGAGACAGAAAGCAGATTAGTGATTGCCTGGGGCTGGGGTGATAGGAGATTCAGGAGGTGTTGGGGTGGGTGAAGGCTAAGGGGTGCAGGCTTCCTTTTGTGGTTAAGTGTTTCAAAACTGATTGTGGTGATGGCTGCATAACTCTGAAAAGCCATTGTATATTTTAGACAGGTGAACTGTGTGGTATAGATTATTTCACTTCAAGGCTGTTTTTTAAAAAAACATAACCATACCTCATTAAATAGGCATCATTTTCAAATATGACATTCCAGGCAAGACTTTGGTAGCTGTAATAGTCCATTCTCCCATTGCTATAAAGAAATGCCTGGCCTGTGAGGGGGCTCATGTTGGTAATCCCAACACTTTGGGAGGCTGAGGCAGGAGGATCCCTTGAGGCCAGGAGTTCAAGACCAGTCCGGGCAATATGGCAATATCCCATCTCTACTAAAAATACAAAAAAATTAGCTGGGCATGGGGGCGTGTGCTTCCAGTACAAGGTACTCAGGAGGCTGAGGTGAGAGGATCACCTGAGCCCAAGAGGTCAAGGCTTCAGTGAGCTATGATCATGCCACTGTACTCCAGCCTGAGCAACAGAGTGAGACCCTGTCTCAAAAAATCAAAACAAAACAAAACAAAACAAAAAAAACCCCTGAGACTGGGTAATTTATAAAGAAAAGAGGTTTAATTGGCTCACAGTTCTACAGGCTATGCAGGAGCATGGTGACATCTGCTCAGCTTCTGGGGAGGCCTCAGGAAACTTACAATCATTGCAGAAGGTGAAGGAGGTGCCAGCACTTCACATGGCTGGAGCAGGAGAAAGAGAGGGCAGGGGGAGGTACCACACTTTTAAATGACCAGATCTCATGAGAACTCTACCATGAAAACAGCACTAAGAGGATGGTGCTACACCATTAGAAACCACCCCTATGGTTCAATCACCTCCCATCCGACCCCACCTCCAGCATTGGGAATTACATTTCAACATGAGATTTGAGTGGGGACACAGATTCAAACCATATCAGTTGCATAACCAACTTTTTGGGTTATATCCTAGTGAAAAAGGAGGACAGATTCCTACTATGCAAATAACCATATCAAGCCATACAAAGTAGGGAGCCTCAGGGAGAGTTTCTCAGTTCAGGAATTAAAAACCAAGGCAAATAAAATTCACTTTCCAAGTTGGTTCTCTGTAAGCTCATTCATATTCTGGAATAAATTGACACTTTACCTGAAGATAGGTATCAGGAGTCTGTGAGGTCAGGACTAATTGAATAATAATACTAAGATGTTATTAACATGCAGTACATTCACTGCTGTTCTCTTCAAATTATCTCTAAACAAGCGTTTAAAAAATTCTCTGTTTCGAAATGCAAATCAAAACCACAATGAGATACCACCTCACACCAGTCAGAGTGGCTATTAATAAAAAGTCAAAAAATAACAGATGCTGGTGAGGTTGTGGAGAAAAAGGAACACTTATACACTGTTGGTGGGAGTGTGAATTAGTTCAGCCATTGTGGAAGATAGTGTGGCAATTCCTCAAAGACCTAAAGACAAGAAATACCATTCGACCCAGCAATCCCATTAGGGAACATAGCCAAAGGAATAGAAATAATTATATTATAAAGACACATTCACACAAATGTTCATTACAGCACTATTCGCAATAGCAAAGACATGGAATCAACCTAAATGCCCATCAATGGTAGACTGGATAAAGAAAATGTGGTATATATACACCGTGGAATACTATGCAGCCATGAAAAAGAATGAGATCATGTCCTTTGCAGGGACATGGATGAGGCTGCAGGCCATTATCCTTAGAAAACTAATGCAGGAACAGAAAACCAAATCCTGCACGCTCTCACTTAGAAGTGGGAGCTAAATGGTGAGAACACATAGACACATGGAGGGGAACAATGCCCACTGCGGAAGGTGGGAGGAGTGAGAGGATCAGGAAAAATAGCTAATACTTGGGTGATGAAGTAATCTGTACAACAAACCCCCATGACACGAGTTTACCTTTGAAACAAACCTACACATGTACCCCTGAACTTGAAATAAAAGTTAAAAAAAATAAAATTCTCTGTTTCAATTGCCAACACAGAAAACAGTGATAGTTATAACCCTAAAAATCAAAATTTTTATAAGGTCTTCCATAAGTTTTATGAGTGTAAGTTATCTAGAGACCAAAAACATCTGAGAAATGTTGCTTTAAGACCAAACTACTGTTTTCCTTGAAAGACAAGCACACACTGTTGTATTTCTCTATTAGTGTTGTTTTTAGCATAGTCTCAACAACTTATATCAACTACAATTTTAAGTAAAGTAAATAATGTCTCTTTCATAGAGCAAACTGTGAAACATTAGTTGAGAACTGCTATCACGTACCAGCATTTTAGCAAATTAACAGCTCCTTAATGCAACAATTTCTATAGCCATATACCTACCTCTCCTAAAGAACCTCTACAAACAGCAAAAATGTACATGTTCACTAATATGGCCCAAAGCATTTAAAAATTAAGCAGCAAACACCTATAAATTCAAAATTATGCTGAATAATCAGTGTTTCAGTATTCATCTTAGGAATGATCTAGGCATCCCATGATTATCCATTACTTAATGCAATTTAATATCATCCAAATGTTTGAATTACTTAAAGATCTTGGAAAGTATCTTCAGGCTGACACACTACAAAGCAAGTGAAACAAACTTTTGGTTTTCCCAGTGCATTTATGGTGTAAACAAGTTATGTTTACACCATACTGACTTATTAAGTATACAATAGCATTATGCCTAAGAAAATGATGTAAATACCTTCATTAAAAATACTTTATTGTTGGCCGGGCATGGTGGCCCACGTCTGTAATCCCAGCACTTTGGGAGGCCGAGGCAGTGGCTCACTAGAGGTCAGGAGTCCAAGCCCAGCCTGGCCAACAAGGTGAAACCCTGTCTTTACTAAAAATACAAAAATTAGCCAGGCTTAGTGGCATGTACCTGTAGTCTGAGCTATTTGGGAGGCTGAGGCAGGAGAATAGCTTGAACCCAGGAGGCGGAGGTTGCAGTGAGTCGAGATCACGCCACTACACTCCAGCCTGGGTGACAGAGCAAGACTCCATCTCAAAAAAAAAAAAAAATCCTTATTTTTAAAAGGACTAATGATCGTCTGAATCTTCAAGGAGTCCTGATTTTTTTGCTAGTGGAAGGTCTTACCTCAATGTTGATGGCTGCTAACTGATCAGGGTGGTGGTTGCTGAAGGTTGGGGTTGCTGTGGCAATATGTTCACAGCATATCCACAAATAGATTCCATCTTAAGAAAATTTTTTTTTGCTTATCCTTAAAAAGCAGCTCTTCATCAGTTAAAGTTGTATCATGAGATGGCAGCAATTCAGTCACATTTTCAGGCTCCACTTCTAATTCTAGTTCTTTTGCTGTTTCTACCATATCTGCTACAGTTACTTCCTCCACTGAAGTCTTGGGCCCTAAGTCATCCATGAGAACTGGAAACAACATCTTTCAAACTGCTGTTAATGTTAATATTTTTACCTCCTCACATAAGTCACAAATGTTCGTAATGGCATCTATAATGGTGAATTATTCCCAGAAAGTTTTCAATTTACTTTGCCCAGATTCATCAGAGGAGTCACTATCTATGGCAGCTATAGCCTTAATAAATGTATTTTTGAAATAAGAAGACTTGTACAACAAAATTACTTCTTGATCCATGGGCTGCAGAATGGATGTGGTGTTAGTAGGCATGAAAACAACATTCATTTCCTTGTACTTCTCTGCTAGAGCTTGTAGGTGACCAGGTACATTGTCAATAACAGTAGTATTATAAATAATCTTTTTTTCTGAGCAGTAGGTCTCAACAGTGTGCTTAAAATATTCAATAAACCGTGCTATAAACAGATGTACTGTGATCCAGGCTTTGTTATTCCATTTATAGAGCACAGGAAGAGTAGATGTAGCATAATTCTTAAGGGCCCTAAGATTTTCAGAATGGCAAATGTACATTGGCTTCAACTTAAAGTCACCATTAGCCCCTAACAAGAGAGTCAGCCTGTTCTTTGAAGCTTTGAGGTCAGGCGTTGACTTCTCTCTAGCTATGAAAGTCCTAGATGACATCTACTTCTCATGTAAGGCTGTTTTGTCTACATTGAAAATACATTGATTAGTGTGGCCACCTTCATCAGTGGTCTTAGCTAGATCTTCTGGATAATTTGCTGCAGCTTCTCCATTAGCACTTGCTGCTTCACCCTCTACTTTTATGTTATGGAGACGGCTTCTTTCCTTAAGCCTCATGCAGCAACCTCTGCTAGTTTCATGCTTTTCTTCTACATCGTCCTCAACTCCCTCAGACTTCATAGACTTGAAGAGAGTTGGGGCCTTGCTCTGGATTAGACTTTGGCTTAATGGAAGGTTTTGGCTGGTTTGATCTTCTATCCAGACCACTCAAACTTTCTCCATATTGGCAATAAGGCTGTTTTGCTTTGTTATCACTTGTGTGTTCACTAGAGTAGCACTTTTAATTTCCTTCAAGAACTTTCCCTTTAAATTCACAGCTTGGCTGTTTGCCACAAGTTACCTGGCTTTTGGTCTACCTTAACTTTCAACATGCCTTCCTCACTAAGCTTAATCATTTCTAGCTTTTGGTTTAAAGTGAGAGATGTGTGACTTTTCCTTTCACTTGAACACTTAGAGGCCACTGTAGGATTATTAACTGGACTAATTTCAATATCGTTTTATCACAGGGAACAGGAAGGCCTGAGAAAAGGGAAAGAGATGGAGGAAGGGCTGGTTAGGGGAGCAGTCGGAACACACACAACATTCATTGATTAAGTTTGCCATATTACATGGGTGCAGTTCATAGTGCCTCAAAACAATTACAATAATAACATCAAAACTCACTAGTCACAGATCACCATAACAGATAAAATCAAAATGAAAAAGCTTGAAATATTGTGAGAATTACCAAAATGTGATGCAGAGACACAAAGTGAACATATGCTGTTGGAAACATGGCACCAACGGATCATTGTAGGGTTGCTACAAGCCTTCAATTTATAAAAAAAATGAGGTATGTGTAAAGCACAATAAGGCAAAGCACAATAAAATGAGGCATGTCTGTATACAGTCTGTCAGAATAATGATACCATTTAGTTGAACACAAATTTACATTTTTTGTAGTGTTAAACATTAACTAGGAATAATGCTAGCTTATTTGAGCAGTAAACCTGAATAAGGTTAGGAAACAGTGTGTATAGTAGAATAAAATCTACCTCGTGTTATACATAGCATTAATTAGAAAGACATAGCTGCCTTGTTATTAATCAAAATTATTAAACTAGTCTCATTTGCCAAAGATTTACCTTAATTATATGGATTCCTAAAATGCTTTTAAGTTAGCTTTGGCTGACACACTTCAAGTATTAAAAGTTTAATGTCCTTATTTTCTCGTAATTTGGGAAAATTTCATTTCTAGAAGTGTTTGTATCCAACCAAAATATAGCTCTTTTATTTTTTTATTTTTTGAGACAGAATCTTGCTGTGTTTCCCAGTCTGGAGTGCAGTGGCGTGATCTTGGCTCACTGCAACCTCCGCCTCCTGGGTTCAAGCAATTCGCCTGCCTCAGCCTCCTGAGTAGCTGGGATTACAGGCATGCACCACCACATCCGGCTAATTTTTGTATTTTGAGTAGAGACAGGGTTTCACCATGTTGGCCTGGCTGGTCTTGAACTCCTGACCTCTGAAGATTCCACCAGCCTCGGCCTCCCTAAGTGCTAGAATTGCAAGGGTGAGCCACTGCGCCCAACCTAGCTCCTTTAATTTAAGAGACTTTTAAAATTCAATTTATTAATACGCTCTGGATATACAAAAACATCAAATACACAATGAAAGGTAGTTTTCTGAATTATAGACACCTAGACTTATGATCCCGTAGATAGTTTATAGCTTCAATTCTACCATTTTAGCTGCTACTCATAAAAACTCACAGTTCCAAGTATCAAAGAGCTCTTGTCTTTCCTAGTAGGCACAAAATTATTATCTCATTTACATAGACAAATGGACAAACAAAAGACTGCTGAGAGGTGAGCTCTTACTCCGAAGAGAGGGCACTGGCCCCTCCAGGCATAGGGCTGCCCTCAGCCTTCAGAGCTCACTTGCCTGTGCTTGGAGAGCCATAGTGCCTGGGAACGCTGTTCTCTGGAGCACTCCCCCACCAATGAGTGATGGGTGTGAGTCTATAAATACCCCAGCTCTCTCGCTCCTAGATCAGGATATTTCTGAGTTGGATTCTACACGGTCCCCAGAACTTCCCATGGGACTGAGCCAAGGTTTTCCTTGACATCACATCTTTGCTTGGTGCCTTCCTTTCCTGATCGAAGGTCTCCACGCCCCTATCAGGTTTTCTTGGACTCACTTTCCAATAAATTTCTTTCACACACATCCTTATCCCAGAAGCTGTTTCCGGGGAACTCAGCCTGAGGTTCTAAATATCCCCTGCATCTGTCAGAACAGGACCCTGAGTATTTTTGGGGGAGCAATATTGTGATAGTGTGATTTACAATCAGAAATATATATTTAGTCTCTGTCCCCGGGTTCTTGTAATTCCTGAGCCATAGAGGTGCTAGGTGTATCTTTTGTTTGAATGTTTGGTCTTTGACCTCAGTTCCTGATACAGAGCACCTAATCCCTTGAAATTTTCTGGGTGATAGGAGCACCTTTTGTTCCAATGAGGCTACTCTTAGTGGGCTCCTGGATGGAGCTAATCACCAGAAATACCAAGCCATGATTAAAAGCTTGGAACTTCCAGCCCCACATCCCATCCTCCAGGAGAGGGACAGGGGATAGAGACTGGGCTAATAATTTACCATGTCTATATGATGAAGCCTCCATGAAAATTCCTAAAAGATGAGGTTCAAAGAGCTTCTGGGTTGACTCCAATTCAGGTCTCTCTGATGGTGCAAAAGTCAACATCTCCAACTCATAAGCAACACAGAACTCAGGAACAATTTTGCTTACATTTTCATAATTTAATCTGCCTGAGAACTTTAGATACCAGAAGCCAAAACACTACACAGTGACTAAAATGAATAACACTGTTACTGGGCTGTTTTCAGCTGTTTTCAGATGTTCCTTTATGCACTGAGGCCCTTTCCCAGCATCCTCCCCAAATCGCCTACAATTTCTAACATTGCCCGAGCTGTCATTGGGCCTCACCTCATAACTTGGCAGCCATTGTTAAGAATTAGAAGACGAGGGTCGGGCGTGATGGCTCACGCCTGTAATCCCAACACTTTGGGAGGCCGAGGCAGGCGGATCACAAGGTCAGGAAATTCAGACCATCCTGGCCAATATGGTGAAATCCCGTCTCTACTAAAAAATACAAAAAATTAGCCGGGCATGGTGGCACGTGCCTTGCTTGAACCCAGAAGGTGGAGGTTGCAGTGAGTCGAGATTGCACCACTGCACTCCAGCCTCGGTGACCAGAGGGAGACTCCATCTCAAACAAACAAACAAACAAAAACAAACAAACCAACAACAACAACAACAACAAAAAGGAATTAGAGGATGAGAATAAAAATGTTTGTGTACACTAACCTTGTTGGAGCTGTGAATGCTGCTGTGTTCACACATTTGGGTGGAAACTTTCAGCCTGGTAAACACCTATCAGTGATCCTGGACAATTCTGAATTTACAGAGTATGAAAACATGCTATTTCCAAACATTGCTTCCTCTCTTCTAGTTGATCAATAAAGAACTTTATGAGATCCTTCTTCTGGATAACGGAAAAGGTCATGAGCTTCCTAGGGTGCTTGCTTGCTTAGTTATTTCATTAAGGATAAAATTATCTATGTTCCTAAAACCCTGATAAAGAAAGACATCCTGTTTGTGAAAGCAGTGGGTTTTGAGTCAGGTGATACAGGAAAGTGAGAGACTGACTATATAGTGCAAGGAAGGCTTGACCATCTATAGCAATTGAATTCTGACCCACAACCTGCAGCAACCAGTCCAGAAAACTAGCCTGGGAAACCAGCCTACTATTTATAAGTCAGACTTGCAGGAAGCCAGGCCACTATATCTAGCGCAATTCAGGAAGCCACACAGTAACCTCTGTAACAGTCTGTCCAAAATGACCAAGGCTCCAATAATAAAGAACCGCTTCCCTAGTTTTTGTCCCTGCTTCCAACTTAGGACCAACCAGAGAAGGTTAGATTTTTATTTTTCCCCTAACCAATGACATAGAATGTTCTGCTTCTACTTAGTCCATCTACAGCTTCCTGTGCCCGCAGCCTCCAGTCAGGGACCACCGGAAGCTTCCTTTTCTTCTGCTATGAAGCTCTCCCACTCCTCTGCCTGCTTTTTTTTTTTTTTTTAGAGAGGGTCTCTTACTCTGTCTCCCAGGCTGGAATGCAATGGCAAAAACATGGCTTACTGCAGCTTTGATCTCCTGGGCTCAAGTGATCCTCCCATCTTAGCCTCCTGAGTAGCTGGGACTACAGGGATATACCACCGTACACAGTGAATTATTTTTTAAATTTTTTGTAGAGATGGGCATCTCACTATGCTGCCCAGGCTGGTCTCAAACTCCTGGTCTCAAGTGATCCTTCTGCCTTGGCCTCCCAAAGTGTTGGGATTACAGGTGTGAGCCACTGTGGCTGGCCTCTCCCTGCCTTTCCTCTTGTGAGTTTCTATGAAAACACAAGTGATGATGGCTGCCTCCCTTGCTGAAGCAAGCTCGGAATAAACAGCTCATTCCCATTTGGTTGGTCTTTATTTCCACAAGAAAGAGGAAGTGATTTGAGTTCAGACTCTGTCACTCACTGCCTGTGTGATTCCAAGCAAGTGACTTCATTCTGCTCTGGCTTAGGGTCCTCATCTGCAGAGGAAAGGTGGTGGAACTAAGCACCTGCAAGGTGCCCACAGAGAACAGCAGACAGCCGAGAAGGATCCTGTGCTGCTTTTAAAAATTCATGTTTTGGAGTCAACTCTATTGCCCTCATTTTTTTTCTTTTTTTAGGAATATAGGGTAAATATTTTTTTCATTTACATGGCACTTTGCAATTTATAGAGGATTTGCACATCCATCGTTTTATTTGTTCTTCTCAGCAACCCCTAGGGGAGGCAGGAAATTCCCCTCAGCTCCATTATGCAAATGAGGAGGTGAGGCTGCCTCACAGAGGGCTCCACAGGTGGAGCCATACTAAGCGCTTACCCTACCCTGACCCCTTTTAGTACAGAGGAGGCAAACCAAACCCGTGCACTTGGCTCACAGGAGTATTTGTTCATGATCCACTGCCTCTGGATAGTGATATACGGACTTTTCTTCAGAGCAGAGTTTCTCTCCATAGTGCTGCTAACTGGCGATGTCCTTCGCCTGCAGCCCTAGCTTTGGTTGTGAGAATCTCTTTCCAGCTCAGGCTCTGTCTGTTGTGCCAACACCCACAGTACTATTGGAGCAGCGGGGATCACACAGCATCAGGACGGGATGTTGGTGCTCTTGAGGGTTGTAAGGTCAGAGGTGTGGAAATGCCCAAGTTCTCCCTGCAAATCACCTCTACTTGCTCCCTAGAGGCTCAAAGAGGCACAGAATCCCTAAAAATGCAGGTTTGTTCTAAGATGAGCTTTGTGAAAAGCCTTTCTTGAGTGTCTGCTGTGGTCCCATCGAATAGGCATTGGGAACTCTTAAGGTGGAAAGACTCCAGCCTTGTGGTTCTAACATAGGTGACAGCAAAGGCATGTATGTGCACCTCGAGGGCAGGTTTTAGAGGCTGCTCATCTCTGATGACTGCAGTGGGAGGGTGGGGGTTGACTGGCAAGGAAGGTGACCTTTCACCCGGATGCAGAAGATGAACCAGAGTTCAGCTGGCTGACTGGGTGGGGTAGGGGAGGGGGAGGATAAGAGCGGGGTCTCTTTAGGGAGAGGGGACAGTCTGTGCAGTGGCTCTGAGGGACACGAGTACATTGTATTTGAGGAGCTATAAGAGGACCCCAAATTAGAAAGGGAAAAAAAACCAGGGTGGGGAAAGGCAGGTGATGCTACTGCTGGGTTCAGCTGTGAGCCTTTCCGTGTGGCTGCTCCAGGCCCACAGAGCACTCACAAAGGCCGCACTTGCAATCCCAAGAAGCACAAAGAACAGGGAGCACAGCTTCTCACTGAGAAGTGATGGGGTCATTTCAGAGTACTGTTGCTTTTGTCTAAAAGCGTGCAAGTTAAAGAGCTTTATTTTAATAAATGAAGTGGAAAAATTGTTTAGTCTTTAAGAAAGGAGGATAAATTGGCCTTTAAAAAAAGTCAAGCAACTGTGGGACAGGCCTTTGGATTTAATTGCAAGCGTATATTTGGCAAATCTGGTACCTTTGCAATCACCTCCCACACATTTGCCTGCCCAGTGAGCCAGGCAGGGAGACTGGGGAGACAGGTGTGCTTGTTTCCTTCTTCCTGATGGGAAAATGAGGCCTGGGGATGGCCAGGAACTTGCCTGAGGTTTTTTCCAATTATCAAGCAGCAGAAATTTTGAGAGACTGGCATTTAGTAAAGGACAGACGATTGAAAAGATTGCAAGATGGGAGTTTGGAGCAACAATATCCACAATGGGATATTTTGTCTAACTGTGTGCCTTGGTTTGGGGGTTCCCAACAGTCAAGTCTGAGATGAGAACTTGAGTGCAGGGAGTCATTTGGGGGGTGGTTCCAGGAAGCAGGAGGGAGGGAACAGAGAAAGGGACATGGTAGGGGAGAAGCTAGGATGAAGTTCACTGTGAATGGCAGCGGGAGCCTATGGAATGCCTCTTGCTATGGTCTTGCTATGGCCATGTGCAGGATGGGAGGTTTTGTCCCCTGCTCCCCTCCCATTGGCCAAGGCTTATCCCCAGGGTGCTCACTCCCTGCACTTTCAAGCTACACTTGTGTGAAGGCTGGTGGGCTCCTGGGTGCCCACAGAGGGCCCAGTGAGAAAAGCCAGCAATGCAGAGCCCTTGGACAGAACTGAGGAGACTGGCGCTGGTCACCATTGGCATCTGTAACACCAAGTGAGGTATCTTTGCAAGGTGAGCCGGGGCAAATGACCCATGCATGGGACAACTGAGTAGAAAGATGTTCTGAATTCACCATTTCAAGACCTGGACCAGTGAAGGCCCAGGAATCTCTCTGCCTGCATCTCTCTGATGCACTGTTGGTTATAAGGAATCCTAAGCCACTGGTAACAGGAGGGCAGGAAAAGGACTAAAGGCTGGGGTGAACACCGATTCATTGATTTACTTATTTATCAAGTATTTACAAACACCCACTGTTTACCAGGCACTGTGCAAGGCTCAGGGGATAAAGCAGAGATGGAAACAGGAAATGTCTCTGTCCTCACCAAAATGGCATTTGCTAGGTCTTCGGGTTTCTCTAGTTGTTTCGGTCCCAGTGGGTTTGCTGTGGATGTACAGAAGATGATACCATGGGGTCACAGGTGGAGGGAGTCAGGTGAGGTAATCCCTTGTCCAATGTGTGATGTACTCAGCCACCTTGCAAGTAGAAGTCATTCAAGAAGGGCGTGGAGAAAGAGCTGCAGGATGTAAGCATCTTTGTCCAAGAAAGTGGCTTTCTGGAGGGAGAGATGAGGCTGGGGTAAACCTCGAGCCTTCCTGATGGGCCAGAGGATGGTGGGATTAGGAGACAGAGGACCTGTCACTGCAGAAGAATGAAATGTCCTGGGGGAGAAAATATACCTTATCTCTATAAGGTCTGCCTGGGTGGGGATCCATGGTTCATGTGTTCATGCATAACACCTAAATTCACATCTACATGCACACATATGTGGTTCAGCAATCCTGAGAGATGCTATAGAGCCAAGGATGACTGGCCTTTCTCCAATTCATCTGTTCTATGTTTTAGTGAGGAAGCTTTGGCAGCAGCAGGAAGGATGGAGTTAGCAGGGGGGAAGACTGGGGAGAGGAGCAGCCATTTGGCTGGAAGCTCCTGCATCAGTCCACGGGAGAGAAAGGAAGGGTCTGGAACACAGCAGCAGCTGTAGGGGATAGTGATAGACCATTTCAGGCACTCTAGGGCTTGCTCGAAGGGATTCCACGCTACAGGTTCTAGTGGCAATGTCGAGTCTGAAGTCCAACGTTTCCAACTCTCCCAGTTACTGCTGATAAAACGTTAATCCTAGACGTGGCCACCAGTGCTTCCAACATGGTCCTTTCCCCCCTCACCAGACAGGATGGTGGCCCAGGCCATGACTCCTGGCCTTGAAATCAGCCAGGCTGCCATCCATCTTCCCTGTCCATCTCTCCCATATTTGGGACATTTCTTTGCGCTGAGCTGATGAAGCCCATTGGCTTTTAGCCAAACAAAACCAGGGCACTATTTCTGCATTCTAAAAGCTCATTTTTAGGTAGGATTCTCTTCCACTCTTAGAGTCTTAGCAATCAAACACTCTACCTCTTCTTTGTACTGATGGGAAAGGAACATAAGTCATCATTTGCTCAGAAGGGGAGCATATGCTTCCATATTATCAGTTGGTTATAATCCTTGGAGATAAGCACAGTATTTTTCTGTAAATTAAAAATGGATTCGAAGGTGTACCAAGTTTTCTAAATGATGTCTGTCAGTACAGTGGGTTTGCCCTGTGTGGGCTGACCAACCAGATAATATAGTTAGTTAACCTCTGTAGTCCTGGCCTATGTCTTGTATGTCATATGTCATGCAATTTTTTTTTTTTTGAAACCGAGTCTCACTCTGTCACCCAGGCTGGAGTGCAGTGGCATGATTTCGGCTCACTGCAACCTCTGCCTCCTGGGTTCAAGTGATTCTCGTGCCTCAGCCTCCTGAGTAGCTGGGATTACAGGCGTGTACCATCATGCCCGGCTAATTTTTGTATTTTTAGTAGAGATGGGGTTTCACCACGTTGCCCAGGCTGGTCTCGAACTCCTGACCTCAAGTGATCTGCCCCCCCTCGGCCCCCCAAAATGCTGGGATTACAGGCGCGAGCCACTGCGCCGGGCCTCATGCAAAGTTTTCTACACAAAGGAACGAGTATGTTTCTGGAACAGAAATGTACCTTCTATGGGAAAGAAAACAGTTGGTGGTGGTGGCTGTGCCCTGCAAAGAAATTCTGCGTTCTCCTGGGGATGCATCGAGCTACTGAAAAATTAGCAGGATTGGATTACACATTTAAGTGACTATCAATCATCCCACTCAGCATAAATGCCAGAGGCTGACTTATATTCTCGTTCCTGATGTGAGTTTTGTATTTAACATGTATCAGCCAATAGAAAAATAATTGTAGGCGAGAGCAGCGTGAGGCTCTTCCTCGGGACATCCTTCCGTCAGCATCACTTGCCTGTTCCCAGCCTCCACACCAGGAGGAGTTGCCCCCTCGAAGCCCAAAGCCCCTGGAGGACTAGACCTTAGTGGGAGGCCAGGTCAGGGAGAGCCCTTTCTGCAATTCCCCATGCACTGCCTGGAAGGTAAGTCACCCGCCTGCCCTCCTGGTTTCCTGGGCCAGACAGTAGTTTTTGATGAGGGGAGGCGCCATCTTGCTTTTCTTCAAGCTGGGGCAGCAGATGGGGGCGCCAGCCAGGAGCCAGTGAACTACTTAGCAAGGTGAAGAACAGCAGCCATCAGATCTTCAGCTGTGGGCTGTTTCAAAGGATCATGGAACTTCCTTTTCTTAAGATTGTTTAGAATGATTTGAATTAGGATTTCCCAGTCCTCGTAGTCTGACTGAAATCCTTCTTCAGGAGAAGCGGTATCTGGGCCAGCCCAAGATCCTCTTCCTTGGGAAGAGGGAGCCCGCGCAGGCTGACCTCTCAAGCCTGAGTATGCGGCTGCACCAGCCCCATGCGGGGAGGGGTGGAAGAGGAGAAAACAGACGGCCCAGAGTCTAGGGGCAGATTCTAGGTTGGCTGCTCTTCCATAGGGAGGCTGGGAGTCCCTCAAGAGAGAAGATCCAAGTGGGGGTGCGGGAGGGCCTGGCTGGAATAGCTCTTTTCCACTCTGCCACCTTCTCTCCCAGCACCCAGGCTGTGGTCACCCCTCATAGAACCTGTATGTGCCACCTGATTGCCTGGTTGCCAGGGGAGGTGCCACTACTGTCGATCCGGACGAGACTACGGATAGGGGCAGCAAACCAGTGTACCTGGTGGGAACGGGAGAAAATTACCGGAAATGCTAGAAATACCGAGCACAACAGCACAGCACAAAAGGTATCCTGGGGTTTCCAGTTCTGCTGACTCCTCCAGTAAAGCCAGAAATCAGGATTTTGCAGGGATGTCATTCTTGGCCACTAATTTAAATAAAAATAATGTCAGATTCAGTTTGCGGACATGGGTTTGTGACCTCTGATTAGAAGCAACTCCGTTAATTTTTTTCTTTTCTCCTTACCGCCAGAAGAACTAATGCGTATAACCTAGGCCTCTAAAATCATATCAATGAGTCTGAAAAAAAGGAGGCCATCTTTATTTGAACTTTTGTTGTTTGATGCAATGTTTTTAAAGCATTTTAACTCGGTCACAGCTGAAGTCAGTCCCTAAAATACTGTCCCGGGGAAATATGAGCTCTAAGAGATTACATTACAAGGATCACTTTTTTTAAAATTAACTTTTGGGGGAACAAGTCACATTTGTCTCAAAGCAATTCAAATAAAGGATTTTGTGTGTGTGTGTTAAACTGTTTTTGTAACCCCCTACTCTTTACTGATGCTCAATAGGAAAAGCTGTATTCTGTTTTCTGCATGTAGGATTTTTTTTTTTTTTTTTGCCTTTCTGTCCTAGAAAAGTTCCACAAGAGACTGTGTTGCTTCTGCCTGGCTCTCCTCTCCTGGCAGGGAGGCTGGGTGGGAAGCGTATCCCCTGAGGTCTGGGAAGGGAGCATGAGGGAGGCCTTTCCCAGAGATGTGGTATCTGGCACCAAAAATCATTCTAAGGGAAAGGGACAGAGGCAGGGACATCTGGCAAAGCAGAGGGACCTGAGCTGTTAGGAGTCCAGTGAGGGCCATTGTGGGAGGGGAAGTAGCGCTGGTTATGGGGGGATGGAGAGGTGGGAACTAAAGCTGGGGGTGGTCTAAGTATAAGTGGAAAACTGGGGTACCATGGGTGGGAGGGGTTTGACTTGTTCCTTGACTTTGCTTGCCAATGGAGCTCCATTTGCAAGTCCAGAGGCATCCTCATTATAGAGGTTAGGGCTCTTTCCATTGGAAGCTACAGAAAAGCAACTGAAGCAGGCTTAAGATACAAGAGAATTCATTGGCTAAGGAGACAGAAACTTCAAGGGGTATGCGGACATCATGCATGGCTGAATCTGGGCATAGATGATGTCATTGGGAACCTCTCTTTACATCTTGTCTCTGGTTTCCTCTGAAGTTGCTTTGAACAAATTCTCAAAACAGCATTAGAGATAAGTCTTAGCAGCATCACACTTTCATCCTACCATCTTAAAAGACCTGCAGAGGAAAGCACTTCATTTCAATAATTCAAAGAAAGACTTTGGGTTGACCAGGGATACTCCAAATGTGGATAGCATGCCCATCTCTGTCCCAGTTTCTTTGGCACAGAGATTGCAATTTTCCAAGTGGCCAGGCCTGGGTCATGTGTCCTCCCTTTCCCTTGGGGCTAGGAAAAGGAGGTTACCTTTCCTAAGAACTCAGGTGGAGGAGAATGGGAAAGAGGGTGCTTCTACAGAGGAATATTGGAGGGTTGCTCCCAGAAGAAGGTGTTTGCTGAGCTGCAGAAGCAGCACACAGCTCTGTGGAGACAGGGATTCTTGCTGTCTTCTTGACCACTGCGTCGCTGGCACTGTGTAGTCAAATGAGTGTGTGTTCCATTAACAGCGCCCTTGACCGGAAGCAGGGACAACATGATCTGGTCATTGCTGCCTCAAGTTCTTATAAGTGATCTAGATAAAACTACCTTACATAACTGGGCTTCTGTGTTCCCTTTAAGCACTACGTGTTGAGTCTGATTAATAAAATTTAACAAGTGCTGCAGGGAAATTTGTCTCCTGCCGTGATGGATATACTCCATGCTGTACCCTGTGTATATGGGGGGTCTCTGTACTGATCCCCCAAGTTAACTACACTTTCCAAAATTTAATGGCCTCATATTGGGTATACAGGAGCGGCGCCTGTCAGCAGACAGTCCTCCTTACTTTTAACTCTGCTGGGCCCCTTACAACCTGGGGAAAATCATTTCCCCCTTTGACATTTTATGGCCTTAAAGGAAATGCTATGTTGAAGGTAATAGGCAGCAGGGACTTGGGGACTGCTGGATGTGAGGGATCAAGCTCAGCTGACACATTTCTTTGATTTCGATCATGCTGCTGGTCAAGTGCACTGTCAATGGAACACACACTCATTTGACCACATGGTGCCAGTGACGCAGTGGTCAAGAAGACAGCAAGAATCCCTGTCTCCACAGAGCTGTGTGCTGCTTTTGCAGCCCAGCAATCACCTTTTTCTGGGAGCAACCCCCCAATATTCCATTGTAGAAGCACCCACTTTCCCATTCTCCTCCACCCATGTTCCACCTTATGGCTTCAGCTCACAGATGCACCTTATTTGCTTGTATTTTCCAGATCTCATCAATCTCTTCGTAAGTCTTTGCATTGCTGGTTGAGTGTCCTTCCTGAGTCTGTGTCTGAGAAAATGAGAAGGAGAAGAAGCCCTTGAACATGTAATAGTACGCTTCTACCACCAAAACTCAGGCTGTGGGGTTTCTTTTTAAATTCAGAATGTTTGTGTAAAACTGTACTTTGCAATGTCAAGATGACTCTTGGTCTGGGTTGGGGCACAGGAGCATCTGACTGAAGACTTTTCTTGAGGATCTAGTGAAGGATAAAAGCACAGGCATGAATGACAAGGTAGGTCATTCTGACCTCCTCTGGTCACATGCTGATTTCTCATCTTATTGCCTGACACTGAACGTGATAAAAGATTCAGGTTTAGTCACTAGAAACACAACTTTTCATGATCGCTGTGGAAATGTCTTGGCCATGCTCAGGCATGCGGGAGTCAGATATTCTTGGACAGGGAGGTCTTGTGTTACCTCTGATTTGGAGCCAGCTGGTCCCCACAGGAGCCTGGGATTCTGGCAGTCTTTGGTGACAGAAGGTAGTTTGGGTACTTGTTTGTTTTCAACAAAGAGCCAAGTCCAGGGAGGCTGGGGAGAAGACGCCCGAGGTGTCAGCATGCTGGAGAGGACTTCCCAGGAGCAAATGGACCTAACTCCCCCAAGCAGGAGAGCCTGACTCTTCCTGAGCCCCCAGAGGACGCTTCATGCCTGAGGCTGGCTTACAGTGCCTGCAGCAGAGAGTCCCAGAGCGAAAGCGCTGTGTCACCAGCCCTTAATGTCAGGCAGCATGACCAGAGACCTAGGCACCCTATGATGCACTCCCAAATTCCTGCTTCTCTTTTCCTGTGGAAGCCCCTCACCCACTCTCAGCCACCCCATTGCATCCTCTGCCCTGCCCGCCTGTCTTCTATGGGCTCCCACAAGTCAGCTCTGTCTTCTTTCCGTGTTAATTAGGGCTGATTCTGCATGGCCCTGGGAGCCTTCCCAGTGACTTTCATCCCACTTTAGGGCAGAAACATCCCTTTGGTACAGAGGAATGGTTGAATTTGAGTCTGGATTTGACACTTTGCTAAGCCTGAGATCCTAACCTCTATGAGCTTAAATGTTTTCATCTTTTAAATGGGAATAATAACACCAACACTTCAGGGCTGTTAAAAGATTAAATATAATAATGTTTATAAAATGCCTGATGTACAAAACACTTCTTAACTGCTGTGAATTCTTCTCTGAGAACAGTATATCTGCAGAAAGTTCTTCGGGATTGGTGTAATGCTGATGAAAGTGCCGCGTCCATAAAGGCAGGTGCTTATGAACAGTGGCTCCTTCACACACTTCACCCCCTATTGCACTTGTGTTTGTCCACTCACCTCTCTTAAGGTTTCCCAGTTAAGGGAACTCTTGATACTTTTCTTCCCTTCCACCATCTTCTTCCACCAACTCCCCATCTGTGCCCTCCTGTCCGTTTCAGAATCGCCTTTGGCTCTTATCTCAACCTTGTTCTTCTGTACAGGAACTCAGTGGAGAGGACTGTGTGGGGAGCACTCAGGTTTATTTCTTAATCCTGGCCTGCATCCCCAGGGGCCAACCCTGGCAGACTTAGAAGGTGACCCTGGAGCTTCAGAGTGGACTCTGCACCCACAGTGAGACCCAACTTTGTTCTGAGGAGTTAGAAGTAAAGTCAGGGAAGGTAAGAGAGGTGGATTCCTCCTCCAGGGTCCTTGCTGTTGGTATCAGAATGAGTCAGCCAACTTTATCCTATTAAGTCTTTTCTGGCAGTTATTCACGGGCCAGGCTTAGAGCTTTGGTCATCTTCACCAACAGAGTGGGGGCCTGGGTGACGGTGAAAGAAGACCCCCCTCTGGAAGGCTTAGCTGGAAACCATTTCTCTAAAGTAGACCTCACCATTTCCTCCTAAGGGCCTGAAGGGGTTATTATTTTTAAGGCTTTTAAAATAAATAGAGATGGGGTCTTGCTGTGCTGCCCAGGCTGGACTCAAACTCCTGGCCTCAAGGAGTCCCCTTGCCTCAGCTTCCCAAGTAGCAGAGTCAACAGCTGGCACCCTGATGATACAATTTTGAGTATATTGATGAAATTTTTCTGAGTATTTAAGTTGTACGTGTGGGTGGTGTTTTTTCCCCCCGTCAAAAATGTGTCTTTTCTTTTTTCTTCTCTTTTTGGATTTTGGAAATATTTCTGAGTGTTTTGCCCCCTCTGAGTTACTGGGAAGTGCTTTACAGAGCTGCTATCATTTTCTAAAGAAGAAATGGAAGCCTTTGTACATTTTCAGGAAACACTAGAAAATAACTAAAAGCATGTGATTTGGAATGACTCAGACCCAGGCCCAAGGCCTGGAGGCTCATTTCCTAGCTAAGTTAAGCAAATCGGTCAATCTTTATACAGCTCAACATACTCACTTATAAAATAAAATTAAAATAGTGTCAACTTTTTTTATTACCTTAAAATTGTCCTCTGAAGAACAGTTTTTAATTTTAATGAAGTCCAGTTTATCAATTTGTTGCTTAGTGAAACCTGCCTTTGGTTTTGCGGCTAAGTAATATTTGCCTAACCTGAAGTCCCAAACATTTTCAACTCTGTTTTCTTGTAGAAGTGTTATGGCTTTAGATTTTACATTTAGGTCTATAATCTATTCCTGGGAGAGAATCTTTGCATAGGATATATCTTATAAAAAAAAACTTATAGAACTCTCAAAACTCATTAATAAGAAAACAAAGAGCCCAATTAAAGAATGGGGAAAAAATTTGAGCAAGCTGTACCACAGAACATATATGGAAGGTAAATAAGCCTATGAAAATATAGTCAACATCATTAGTCATTAGGAAAATGCAAATTAAAACCAACTGAGATGCTGCAAAACAACTATGAGAATGACTTCAATTTTTTAAAACTTTACCATACCAAGTGTTAGTGAGGTTGTAGAGGAGCTAGAATTTTCCTACACTGCGGATGGGAATGTAAAATGGCCTAACACTGTGAAACAGTTTGGTCATTTTTTAAAAAGTTAAACATAAACCTACTAAATAATCCAGCAATTCTACTTATAGGTGTTTATCCAGGAGAAATGAAAATGTATGTTGATAACAAAGAGGTGTATAGGAACGAATATTCAGAAAAGCTTTGTTTATAATAGCCCCAAACTGGAAAGAACTAATATGTTCATTAAGAAGTGAATGGATAGCAAAATTGTGATCCATCCAAACCATAGAATACTACTCAGTAATAAGAAGGAATGAACTCTTGGTACACACAGCAACCTGGGTGGACCTTAAGGTCATTATGTGAGTGAAAAGGACAAGCTCAAAGCTACGTACTGTATGATTTCATTTACATACCATTATTGAACTGACAAGCAGAGCTTGGTAAGTGCTTGCATACTGGGACTTGACCTTTTGGAACGCTTGATCTTGGAGCTCATTGGCCAAACTGTGGAGTCCAAGCCACATGGGGAGGCTGCATAGAGAACAGAGAACCTCCTGTCAGCAGTCACACCTGAGCTCCCAGCCAACAGCCTGCTTCACCTGTCGTCTGGATACTCCAACCCAGGAGAGCCCCTGCATGGCTGCAGCCCAACCCTCATCACATACAGCAGATGAACCTCCCAGCTGATCCCAGCCAAGCCACAAAATCATGGAAATTAATAATGTAGTTGTTGCTTTAAGCCACTGAGTTTTGGGGTAGCTTGTTATAGAGCAACAGTTAAATAAGTTCCTACGATTCCAAACTTACATCTTGCTAGCTTACTGACTCTGGTATAACACAAGGCCTGTTTATAAATGTCTTCTACAAATATCCTGGTGTTGCTCTTCACAGGATTGAGTTGGGCCAAGTGTCCAGCTGTGAAATAGTATGACCGTGACCAAGGAAGATGCCAGTCAGCCAGACCTTGGCCATATGTCCAGCCATGGAGCTGGGATGGAGTCAGCTCTTAAACAATACCACCCAGTGAGTAGGGAAGAGCTTTCCCAGAAGAAAGTCAAAGTGCAGTTACCAGAAGAATGGCAAATAGGCATAGGGCAGAGAAGCCCAAAGCAGCAGCCCCAGAACATCTAGACCACAGGGAACTCTCAGCAGAGGGAAGAAATGAGTGGATCTGGGAATCTGAGGATATTTACAGAAAGAAAGATTAATGCTTTATGTAGATTACAGAGGATAATTTTAGGTAGAGCCTTTCACCCACTGCCTGGCACATAGGAAGTGCTCAACTAGTCGTAGCTATAATTATTTTATTTTTATTATCATTACCAAAGAGTGGCCCTATAATATTAATAGATATTCCTACCTCTGCAGGCATCAGCCCAACACTGGCAATAGTGACATAGAAGTACATTTGGTTCTCCGTGAAGGAACTGTCCCTAGTCTACACGGCCCCAGTATTTAAAGGCAGAGAAGTGTTGTGCATGTCTATTTGAAAAGTTCTTCTCTTATTAACTCATAGCCCCAGGGGCTGATCTCTGATGTAGCTCCTTATTTAGGAGACAAATAACTCAGCTTGGCCTAGTCATGTCTGGTTTCAAGGTTTCCATAGAGCCTAGGATGGAGACAGACTGAGCTTCTGAAGTCTCGGCACCTTTCCTTTGCAGTCAAGGGACAGTCAGGGGCTCTTCTGTGAGATCACAGATAGGTGGTGTGTGGTGTGTGGTGTGTGTGGTGTGTGTGTGCAGGTGTGTATCCAGACATGTGCATAGTCGGTCCTGTCTTATGAGAAACGGTGTACCCCTGGGAATCACAGTGAAACGCCACCACATGTCCCTGGGGTTAACGCAGGACAAATCTCCAGAACAGCCTGAACCAGGCTGGCTGACCACAAATCCTCCTGTGAATGGGACCTCACTGTTGAAGGCTGGCTGGGGCCACTTGGTGGCTGGCATCTGCTAACTTTTAAGCTCAGAGGCTAGACTGCATCACAACTTCAGTTATGTGAATGCAAATGGCTTGGGTGCAAATGCTTGGGCTGTAGCAAAAGCAAAGTAGGAGATATGACCTGGGTCTCATGGAGCTTGGTCTTAGTGCTGTCAGGTGCAAGGCATTCCTCTTGATGTTGGAATCCCTCTGACTTGTTTGGGAGAGGAAGTTAAATTGAGGCAATATCTGTGTGTCTGTAGTATGAATGTCTCCAGCATACATTCTCTATCTAGGAATCTATTTCTGTTGTTTCTCTGTAAACCTTTATACTGAGCACCTGTTCCTTGCTAGGCACTAGTCCACATGCTGCTGAACAAAATGCGGTCCTTTTCTGCAAGAAGCTTACAGTCTAAGTGGGGAAGCAGATAAGTAAACCAGGAATTGGAGCACGTGGTGCCTAATGCTGCAAAGTGCTATAGAGCCACGAACAGAGCCACCTCCATGCCCAGATCTCAGGAAAGTCTTGGGCTTTTTGGAGAGACCTGCTTAGCTTCCTTTCTGCCAAGGCTGGCTCCTTCTAGCCACAAAGAGAATGGGACATCTGTCTTCCCATAGTGCCCACCCCCTGGTCAGTGTTGATAGCCATATGATCTGTCACCTGGCCAGGTACCTCTCCTTTCTATCTGTGGTTTGGTTACTTAAGCCAGTAATGCCTCCCTGCCACTCTTGTCCTAGCCTAGGTTGAATTTGTCTCCTGATACCCTCAGCCCCTGCAGTTCAGCTCATCCAGGAGGTGCCTGGTGATCTACTTCTCAACAAAACATCACTTGCCAATCGGTGAAATGGGAAGAGCTCTTTCAGGAGAGGAAAGAGAGTTTGCCAAGAGAAGGAGGAGCACGTGGAAATGGCCTGATCAGAACTAGACAGAAATCGGGCTGGCTAGGGGGACTCAGCAAGGCTGGGAAGATGGGTTAGGACTGGATTGTGAAGCTTTTTATAATCGGCCACACAAAAAGTATTCGCGTGGTGTCTGCCAAAATAGTAGTTGCAAAAGAACTTTGCATTATTTTAAAAGACTATACCCATGTCCAGGTACTATTATTGCATTAGGCACTCAAAGCTCTTGTTGCAAGTGGGTGTGGAGTCGGGAGGTCAGGACTCAGACCTTAGACCTTTTCTCTCTAACTCTACTTGATCTCACAACATTGATAACTTCAAAATTTGTCCTGTGCCCAGGCCACTCTTCTGACCTCAGACCTGCCCATCCATCTGCTTCCTGGACAGGCCCACTTAACTGTCCTTTGTGTATCTGAAACTCAACAAGCTGAGCCCAGACTTCTCCTCACCCAGTCTGTTCCTCCCGCAGTTTTCCCCGCATTATGTGGGTGGCAATTCCATCCTTCCTCTGTTTCGGCAAAAACCCTAGAGCTGTTCTACTTGACTTGGCTCTTTCTCTCATACCCCAAGCCAATTCCTTAGCTCCTTCCCTTGGTACTTCTTCCCAAATAGACCCAGAGTCCCATTGAGAAATACCACCTTGCTTTGAGCTTCCATCAACTTTAGTCAAGACCTTGGCTTCCCCTGACCTCTCCCCCTGTTTCCACTCTACCTTCATCTATTCCCAACCCAACAGCCAGAGGAATCCCATTAAATCTAAGTCATACCATGTCACTCTTATGCCCCAATCTCTCCAGGGGTTCTCATCTCATGCAGAGGAAAACGTGAGTTCTTGCCATGGTCCACAGGGGCTTCATGGTCTGGCATCCTCTGACCTCCCCAGCTTCCTGCCCTCATTCCACACTCCCTCGCTTCTCCACTCCAGCCTCAAGGATGCCAAACCCACTCCAACCTCAGGGCCTTTGCAAGTGCTGTTTTCTCTTCCCAGACATTAGCATGGCTCATTGCCTCACAGGTTTTTGCTTAAATGATATCTTTTCAAAGAGGTCTTTCTTAAGCACCTTTTGAAATATGTGCCCTCAGCAGTCTCAAATCCCTTCTTTGGTTGAGTTTTTTTCTAACATATTTCTTGCTTTATAACTTCCTATGTAATTTCTCCATTCATTTTGTCTTTCTCCTCCTTTTAGAAAGTAAGCTCTATAATCACAGGGATTTTTCTCAGGTTTGTTCACTGATAGATTCATTTGTGTCTAGAACATGTAACTGTGCATCACAAGTGCTTGATAAATTTTTATGGACTAAATGAATTGTGCCCAGAAATATAGGCACAGGTGACAGATTAGCTCTTAGTTATGTCCCCAACTCAGTTTCAAAGCTCTTGAACCTTTTGTAGTAGCAGACAGTTCCTGAGGCTAGGGATAGGGTGGGAGCTGGAGACCAGGCAGATAACAGAGCACAGCATCACTGCTGCCACTCACTCGGGTCACCTGCTGCTCCACGTGGCCCAGAGCTTCTGTGCTCTGTGCAGGGCAGGGGCCCAGACTGGGATGTTCCTGCTTAAAGACTGGACTCAGTAAAGTCATGCTATGAGATCATGTATGAACTAGGAGAAAACCTGCCCAATAGCATTGAACGCCATGGAAACCCATCTACTTCATACTTGGCTCCAAGAGGGACTATCTTTTTTAAAGCCTCCCCTAAAATATTGTTACCAGAAGTTGACCCTTGGAGAAGTTACATCATTGGTGTAATTCAAGAGACCTAAGGGAGAACATTTCATTTACAGTGCACCCAGGTCCTCAGTGCCCCCTAAGAGCTTGGCAGGAACAAACACAAGTCCTCCCAGGAAGGACACACTATGCGGTTACTCAGAACTCCCAGAAAAAGACTGCCAGTAAGTTTGAGTCCCCTGTTTACAATAATTACAAAATAGCAAGACGACAAGCCCTTTGAGCCAGAGTCAGACCAAACAACATATAACAGAACAGAGCTACGATGACACTTAATAATGAAAGTATGAATTCCAAATATACAGTAAGTATATACAGAAGGCACTGTTAACATAAGTAAGGTACAAGAGACTATAAAAAATGACCAGAAGCAAGAGTAAGTTTTGAAAATTGAAAATATAATTATAGGAATTAAGATCGTAATGGAGAAGTTTAAGATCAGAATTGACATAGCAGAAGAGATCACTGTGAAATGGAGGATAGATCTGAAGGATTTACCCAGAAACCATCAGAGGGACAAAAAGAGATAAAAAAATATATAAAGGAGAAATTAAGATGTGTAGAAGGTAAAGTAAGGCTAGTCAATAGATAGGTTTTGAAGTTCAAAGGAGATCGTGGCAAGAGTGGGGAAAAAATGATACTCAGTGAGATTACTGCTGAACATTTTCTGCAAATAATGGGAGGAAAAAAATCTGACTTCCTAAATCCTTTAAGCTGGTCTGCTAAAAAGAATCCACTTCTAGATGTGTGACAGTTAAACCTCAACACCAAAGACAAATAGAATGGCTTAAAGCAGCCTGAAAGAAGAGACAAATTACTAACAAAAGAAAAAAATGGTTATACTGGGAGCAGATTTCTCAATAGCAGCAAAAATATTATTCCATCATCTTTGGAAACCAGAAGATGGTGGAAAAACATCTTTGGATAAATAAAAGAACGTTAACCTTGTACAGCCAGTGAAACTGGCTTTCAAGAATAAGAGTGAATTACCTACATTTAGATAAAAACAGAACATTTACCACCCAGGGCTGGAACTAGGTGAGGCAAGTGAGGTGCCAGGAACATAAAATTTGAGAAGGACTCATTCTCAGTGATGTGAAGTTCAGGGTTAGTGCCTGAGAGTGAGGGTTAACACTGATATGGTTTGACTGTGTCCCCACCCAAATCCCATCTTGAATTGTAGCTCCCACAATTCCCATGTGTCATGGGAGGGACCCAGTGGGAGGTGTTTGAATCATGGGGACAGATCTTTCCCATGCTGCTCTTGTGTTAGTGAATAAGTCTCATGATCTGATGGTTTTATCAGGCAGAGTTTCCCTGCAGAAGCTTTCTCTTGCCTGCCGCCGTGTGAGATGTGCTTTTGCTCTTTCTTCATCTTCCACCATGATTGTGAGGCCTCCCCAGCCATATGGAACTGTGAGTCAATTAAACCTCTTTCCTTTATAAATTACCCAGTCTTGGGTATGTCTTTATCAGCAGCATGAGAACAGACTAATACAGACACATTTACTTTAATTTTACCTCCCAGGTGCCTCACTCTAGTCCTGACCCTGTTACCACCAAAATATCCCCACTGAGGAACTTCTAGTGAATATATTTCAAGAAGAAGGGAACTAACCCCAGGAAGAAGGTATGAGGTATAAAAAGAAATGAGTTAATGAAATACAAAATGTCTAGACAAGTGTAGATATTTTGAATGTACAAAAAGTAAGAAATGTTTAATATTTGGACTAAAAAGGGAAAGATGGAGCTGGACAGCCAGATGACAGTAGCATCTGAGCCAGGAGGGGATGACTGCTGTTAAAACAGTCAGCAATTCTCATATTGTACAAGAGGGTGATGATTGTCCTAAGATATGTGCTTGTTGGAATTTCTCTGGTAGCTGCTGAGTGCTGCTTCTTGCTGGACTTCCTCTGTGACCCTTGGCTTTCTCTGCCTTGCATTTTGGCCGCATGGGAACCTGGTTGCTCTCTCATCAGGGTCCATGGGCTCCTCCACATAAAAGGCCACATGACCTGCATCTTCAAGCCCCCCTCAGTGTCTTTGTAAACAGAATGTACCCAGAAAATATGTGTTTAACACCTTAGACTCACAGTTTTGGTGGTTTCTGTTGTTGTTGTTGTAGTTGTTGTTGTTTTTTGGCCCAAACTGAATGAAGTTGTTTATTCTGCTAGACTGAAAGCTTCATGAGGATAAACTGAGACTCTTCGCTATTGAAATTCTATTGCCAGGCGCATCCCCCAGCCCACAGTAAGTACTCAAAGAATCTTTCTTGAATGGCTTTATAACCATTTTTGATGGAGAAATGTAACATATGGGTATTACCCTTTGGTTTTTCATTTCTCTAGTCTACAGATATTTGAGCACCGATCACGATGGTTAATTTTAGGTGTCAACTTGTTTGGATTAAGGCATACCTAGAGAACTGGTAAAGCATTAATTTTAGGTGGATCTGTGAGAGTGTTTCCAGAGGAGATTGGTGTGTGAGTCAGTGGATTGAGTGGGGAAGATCAACCGTCAATGTGGGTAGGCACCATCCAGTCATCTGGAGGCCCGGAAAGAAAAAAAGGCAGAGGAATGGTGGATTCTTTCTCTCTCTCTCTCTCCTGGGGCTGGGAAACCCTTCTTCTCCTGCCGTTGGACATCAGAACTCTGGGCTCCTCGGCCTTTGGGCTCCAGGACTTACACCAGCCCTCCCTGGGTTCTCAGGCTTTTGTCCATGAACTGAGAGTGACACCATCAGCTTTCCTGGTTCTGAGGCCTTCGAACTTGGACTGAGCCACACTAGTGGCATCCATGGGTCTCCAGCTTGCAGATGGTCTATTGTGGGACCTCTCCATAATCGCCTGAGCCAATTCTCCTGATAAATCTCCTCTCATATGTCTATATTTTCTATTGATTCTATCTTTCTGGAGAAGTCAAATACACATACTACCTTCAAGCACTGTTCTAAGTACTACAGAGATAGGCAATGATGAGCAAAATATAGACATGATTCCTGTCTTTACAACCCTTGCTGTCTAGGCTCATGATTTTTAAACATTTCAACTGGTACACACTTACCACACAATGATAAAGATTTGATGTATCTTTAGTACATGACGTACTCTGATGTTTTCTATTTTATTCATGTTTTTTCCTAAATTAAAAGGGCTGTCACAACCTGCTAGTTGATTTTATGACCCATGACTGCTCAGATTATTCTTGCAGTTTGAAAACCATTGACCCAGTGCAGAGGTTCGGAATCTCTTCTCTGTCATGGATTCCTCAAAAACATATTTTACAATGCACAAAACAATGTATATAGGATTAGAAAGGAAACCCACTACCTTAAAGTGCAATTACAAGAATATTTTAGTAAACGAATGTGTCATATATTAATATGTGTGCTTCATTATTAATGCATTCAACACAAGATCTGACAACCAACTCATATTGCTGTAATTTTGAAGTGATGAGCAGAAATGCTATTTTTAGAATTCTGCAACTGTAATGTGATATTAAAATATCTATGATTATTATTAGTGACAAAGTCATAGGCACTGCTAATACTACTTTTGAGTGTCACATTCATGATTGAAGGAATGCTACATTTCAGGTTAGTGAAAACAAAGAAATGTTTTTTCACCATCCAAATTAATAAATCCCAAAATGTCTGTGGATCCCCAGATAGGAATCCCTGGTCTAATGGATCCACATTTTATCTCAGTAATACCAAAAAAAAATTTTTTTTCTAAGACAGGGTCTCAATTTGTCACCTAAGTCAGAGTGCAGTGGTGCAAACATGGCTCTTTGCAACCTCTACCTCCCAGGCTCAAGGTATCCTCCTGCCTCAGCCTCTTGAGTAGCAGAGACTATAGGTGCATGCCACCACGCCTAGCTAATTTTTGTATTTTTTTGTAGAGACGGGGTATCACCATGTTGCCCAGGCTGGTCTCGATCTCCTGGGCTCAAGCAATCTGCCTGCCTCAGCCTCCCAAAGTGTTGGGATTATAGACCTGAGCCACTGTGTCCAGCCCTAATCTCAAACTTTTTATTGCAACAGGATCAGAGGTGCTACTCTTTTCTTGTAACACTGAAATGAGAGTACCAAAGAGGAAAAAGTAGGTAAATTATGTTTGCTTAACAACTGTGGGAATCAGCCAGGGGGGCCCTTAACTGCCCAAGGCTGATCATTTTCCCATAAGCCACTGGGTCTTTCCAGTAGGTCAGATCAAGAAATTCAGATCCACGTCCCAGGTAGACTTGCAACCACACCTCTTGTGGGGGCTGCTCACTGGGGACCTACTGATTTTAAAAGCCAGGAAAAGAAGAACGGCTGCATAGAGGTAAAGGCAGCAAGCCCACTGGTGAGGTGTGGGCAAACAGGAATCCCAAGGAACCCCCTGCAGCCCCTCCACCTGCTCCACCTGATCTGAAGCCAGTAACCCACACAAGGGGGAGCCGGTCCTGCTGTCTGGTTCACTCCCGAGTGGCCAGGTTCAGTTGGAAGGAAGAACATCTTCTAGAGGCAGCTGTGTGGGCGTCTCAGTGGCGTCTCACTTCCATTGTGATAATACATGTGTGGCCCTCAAGGGACATCCCTTCGAGCTGCTAATAGGTTGACATTAAAAAAAGATGGGGAAATACCAACAAGTACTCTGAACCAATTTAGCGTTGTTCAATCCACCACGAGAGCCGAGCGTGGGAGGGAGCGTTTTATCAGCTCCCCGATGTTTGTCACTGAGAAGGTGCCTGCTTGCTAACACGTCGTGGAGAAAGTCACTTCGAGACTGTAACTGTTGGGTAAATAAGAGGTTTCCTTGTGCCTTATAGGCCATGGGAGGTGAATTCTTTGAAAGAGCTGAACATTGACTTAGAAAGGACGGTTATTGCAGCCACCGCTGCTATCCCATGACTTATTGAGGGGCCAGAGGAGGAACCCCACCCCAGGTTCTTCTTGTTCCATTTTCCATCTTCTTGTTCTCATCTTGTTAAACAGAAATGAGACCGTCAGTGATAAAGCTTAGGCAGGAAATTAGCAGTTTGCATGATTTGGAATGTATGATGTTTAGTTTTATGCATTAACTTGGCTAGGCGATAGTAGCCAGTTGTTTAATCAAACAAGAATCTAGGTGTCACTGTGAAGGTGTTTTGTAGATGCGGTTAGCATATACTCTCAGTTGACTTTAAATCAGAAAGACTGTTATCCTCAATAATGGGGCAAAGTCTCCTCCAATCCGTTGAAACTGAGGTTTCCCAGAGAAGAAGAAATTCTATTTCAAGACAACTGCATTAACTCCTGCCTGGGTTTCCAGCCTAAGTTTCACACTTGCCGCCCCCAGAATCACATGAGCCAATTCCTTAAAATACATTTCTTAATATATATTGGTTCTATTTCTCTGGAAAACCCTGACTGATACAGGATGCATTACTTTTTCCCCCTGTTTTAAATAGTTTTAAGGCAAGAATCTGAAAGCAAAGTGACTTAAACACAACACACACACAGGCACACAGACACACACATACAATCTATGAGGCTGGAAGAAGAGGCCTCCGGGCCAGTGAGGGGCTGGAAAAATAGAAACATTTGTCTTTCTTTTTCTTTTTCACTTCGTTTAGTGTGCAGAGAGGAGCAGCCAGTTTTTATCCATCCAATGGGAGATGAGGTCCTTCCTCATCTCTCACTCATGTTCCTGTCTTCTGTGCTGACTTTCACCACCACGCTGCTGCCCAAACCACACCTGACACAGTCCCATAGTCCCCACTGTCTTCACTCCGCTGTCCAACATCATGGAGGTGGCCTCACCTTACTGATGCTTTCTGCCCCATTTTCAGTCTTGAAGCTTTTCCAACCTGGGTTCCTGTGGCCCTGCTCCTTCTAGTTCTCACTGCTCATCTCTCTGCATCTTCTCAGTCTCCCTGTTCTCTCTCCACCTGCCCCATCAGAGGTTCTCTGAGTCTCTCTCAATCAACACACAGTTCCTGGGTAATTTCTTCACTTGGATGGCTTCAACCACCTCCTAAATCTAGATGATTCCCAAATCTTCCTCCCCATCCTACAACTGTCCCTCCTTTAAAGCCATCAACCAACTATCCCCTGGACTCACCCACCTCAGACTCAACGTATCTCCAAATGGACCCATCATTCCCACCCCCCAGTTCTTGATCTCAGTGGGTAGAATTTCCATCCACTAGCCACCCAAGCTAGCCTCTCCCGGAATAAGAACTCAGTCATTTCGTATGCCTGATCTTAACAGGAATATAAAGTCTTTTACTTTACTCAGGTGAATGGAATTGGATTATTCTGAAGCACAATCAGTATTCCAAGTACATGGTTTCTGTAATGGGATAATTGGCTGCCCCTGGTCCTAGACAACACCTGAAGTAAGTAACAAGTGCACCTATGTTTTTAATCAAAGTAAAAAAATAATAACCAAGAATAGTCAAAAGGCACAGTGAATGTGTTAGGGGTACTTCTGATAAGTCCATGGCACTAAGCAGTTGGACTGTGACTTAATCTATTTGCATTGCTATAATGAAATATCTAAAACTGGATGGCTTAAAAACAACAGAAATGTATTTCTCACAGTCCTGGAGTCTAAGATCAAAGGAAGTCCAAGATCAAGGAACTGGCAGACTTGGTGTCTGGTGAGGTCCTAATGCCCAGTATATAAATGACCATTTTAGTGTGTCTTCACATGGCAGAAGGGGACAAGGGAGCTCTCTGGTGTCTCCTTTTTCAGGGCACTAATCCCATTCATGAAGATTCCACCCTCAGGATCTAAGCATCTCCCGAAGGCCCTGCCT
This sequence comes from Homo sapiens, assembly GCF_000001405.40. Lineage (NCBI taxonomy): Eukaryota > Metazoa > Chordata > Mammalia > Primates > Hominidae > Homo > Homo sapiens. The sequence goes on along the minus strand of NC_000010.11, from coordinate 123,708,074 downwards.
CCTAATAGCATCCCCTTGGAGGTGAGGATTTCAACTTGGGAATTTTGGGGTGACATGAACATTCAGGCTGTAGCAGAACACTTACTTGTGAGTGAGTGAGAGGGACAAGATGCGGTTAAAGAGGCTGGCAGAGAGCGAACCACAAGAGGACTTGAGACCTTGGTAAGGATATAATCTTTGTCCTAAGTACAATGGGAAACCATTGGAAGGTTCTGAGCTCCATTTGGAGCAAGATTAGATGGGGCCAGAGTAGAGCTCATACTTCTTATTCTGGTTCAGTTGGTCTGGGGTGGCCCTGGCGTCAGTGGGATTGACAAGTTCCCCACATGATTCCAGCTGCTGCCCGGGGAGGACTTTCTGCACTGTACAAAATCCTCCAGAACCTGAGACTCTGCTGTGACCCCATGAGAAAGGTTCATCTGGTGTCTACCTCAATAGCCCCAGCAGCCATGGAACATGCATTCCTCACTGGGACAGCCTGGCTCTTCTTTAGGCAGCTCTAATGGTCAGAAAAGTCTTGTCTATTTCAAGTACAAATCTCATTGGTTCTGTCCTCTGCCTTGGGTAAGCATTCCGGTTCCTTTAACAGCCCACACATAAGCTGGATTCAGGGACCTTCATTTCCTTCCTTCCTTAGCTGTCCTGAGGCACTAATTTGGGTTGGAGTTAGGACTCGCCTTTAACGTTGATAGAACCTGTTTTCATGCGTAACTACCCAGAATTCATGGCAGCCTGATCAGCTAAGCTGGGCAGGCAGGCCTGGGATGACGTCTCTATGTCCCTGATGGCCCCTGGAAGACATAGGTCCAGAGACATTGGGGCCATGACCAAGATCACAGAATTGGCAAGCAGAGTCTCAAACCCATGGGGTTCCTCTCACTGACCACACCGCCTCATGCTGCCCTGGAAGGGCTAGAAGTTCTGAAAACTCTGAATATGGCCCCTACCCCAGAGAAACTAGAGGCTAAGTGGTGAACTAGCATGAATGCTGCCTGTTGTGTGCCAGAACCTTCCAGAATAGCTCACTTAATCTAAGGGTTCAGCTACTGTTGTCAACAGTTTGCTAATGGAGGTTAAGGTGAAAAAGATGGCAAGCAATGGACTCCATTCTAGGTCATTCTGCTTCCAAAGCCCATGGCTTTCTACTCACCCATGCTGAAGTTGCTTCTAAGCATGAGCCCATGTTAAAAACAGAACAAAACTAGCACCTGCTATGTGACAGTACAGGGTTAGGAGCCCCATGTGTCCTGGGTAGGTTTGCAGATGGTTGGATCAAAGTGCAGCAGCTGGTGGGAGATGCAGGGAGGCAAAGCGGAGGAAAACTGTCTCTTGGCTGATGTCCGTTGACCTGCAGCCCAAGAAGCAGTTTTTAGAAATCTTCCCCCACCAAGAGGAAAGAGAGGAGGTGCAGCTGAGTGACATCTAGGGTTGGGGAGAGACAATGGAGCCAATTACCTAGGTAAAGTCACCAAGCAATAACTAGCTAGAGGCTTGTCCAGAAATTCTCATGGCTTGCTTTGATGATCATTTGTCTGAGTTGCGTTTCATTTCGATTTTTCCTTCAATTTAGATCCCATCTGCTGCTCTGTGTGCCTGAGCCCACCCCTAGAGACACAGGCATGCAATTTTCCAGCTCCTACGCATTTTCTTTTTCTCTTCTCTTTCTCTTTAGGTTTAATTTCTCTGAAAGGCTCTGCCTTGAGCTTGCTTTAAAACCTGCAATTATAAGGAGACACCTAATGAGACCAGGAGGAAACTTCTACACCGCACAGCTATTTTTAAAAAATGGGATTAACAGGAGAAAATGTCAAACAGGGGGATCTCCATGTTTCTGCAATGCATGACAGGTTACCCAGCGTTCCAAATAAGCATGCTGTCCTTAGCACACATCTGGTGGGCTGCATTCCTGGGGTCCCTGGGCTGTCTGACCTTGCCTGAGATGTGTGACTGGATCTCATCTGGCTGGGGGTCCTCTGGCTGGTGCTCCCAAGCCTGGAATGCCTCCTGGTCACGGTCAACAGAGAAGTGCTCCAGGAAAGGTCACGGAGTTTGGAGGCAGAGCTCTGACCCCAACCCCTACACGGCAGCATTTCCAAGAGAGGTTTGTTTTCCTCCCCAAGCACATTATGGGTAATGACTTGGATTGTGGAAATTGCAAACAGCATGTGTCATAATGAATATTTTGACTTGGAACACAGCATTCTCTGTGAATCCTAATGTCTGCAGAAACTCAAGGGGTGACAGAAAAATCTATCATGAAAGTACCATTCACACAGTGTAGCTATCAATGGGAATTTAATTAAAGAAACATTTATTTAGTGCCTGCTGTGTACCTAGCACCATGCTGAGCACTTAGGATATGAGGAGGAGGATGGGGGTAGGAGAAGAGACAGAATCAATATGTAAGTTTATGAGTAAACACAGGTGCTTCTGCACAGAACAGTGCAGAAGTAGAACAATGACCAATGTGGTAGAAGCCGATTGGGACTCAGGACCTAGTGTTTCCAAGATGAATCAGCAAACACCCCGATCCAGTGGCTCATTTCTAATCAGTCTGCCTCCATTAATTACGATCCCCACGGCTCACTGTCTTCTTGGCTGAAGCAAACCCCCAAGAGTGTAACTGCTCTAACCGAATAACTGTACTCCCCTACTTCTGGGAGGGCAAAACCAAGAAGGTGAGGGCATGTGGGGAGGAGGATAGGGGTGGGAGAGAGGACAGAGAGAATCAATACATAAGTAAACCCAGTGGCCTCTGCACAGAACTGAGGATAAAAGTATTTGCATTTTATAGGGCTTCTGTATGTGTGTTGCGTTTGACCCTCACAAACAACCAAAGTAGCTATTACTGTTTCCTTTATACAGTTGAGAAAACTGACATTCAGAGAGGAGAGGTACATTGTCAAGGTTCACACAGCCAGCAAACCTCCAAACCAGGGCGGAACGAGGTTTTCTGTCTGCAGCCCTGCAGGCTGCATGCTCCAGCAGGGAGCTCCAAACTTCCTCCATGGTTCCCGCAGGGTCCTTCCCCATCCCGCCTGCCCAGGGCTCCTCCTCTTTCCTGGGGAGAGCTCACTGCAAAGTCAGTGTCATCTCACGTGTTGAGGAAGTGACTGCCCCCTCTTCTACCCATCAGACATGAGAGCACTTGTTTGTTATCTGATAACTGATTTCACTCCCATCCCTTCATGTCAATAACTTCACACAAAACGCCCTACAGCTGCTGAAAGCACTGAGTGCAAGAAGGCCAGGTGAACTGGGGGAAATAACGTCCTGCTCACATACTCCTTAAATTTCTATGCTAGCTACTCAAGTTTTATGGAGTTAATTTAAGACGTATACCCTGCATTCATTCAAAAGGTTTGACATAGCGAGTTTGGATGCACGACAAATTGATATTCAAGGATGAAACAGAATAAACATCACCTAAAAGCAAGGGGCCCATGAGCTGATTTCTATCATCTAATGCTAAGCTTTTTGAAAGCCAAGGAAAGTTTTTGAAATGTCATCTTCCAATGAAAGAAGAAATGCAAACTCATGTCTTGGAATAGGGACTAAACTCAAGCCTGGACTCATCACAAGGGTCTTTGGATAAAAACTGATCTATAACCCAAGGGGCCACAGCTTGGAGTGCATGGACACCCCTTTTATCCCATCCCCCACAGGGTGCCCCACTTCTCCGCAGACAGTCACACGGCAGGAAGGAGTTTCTCACCTGAGACCTTGGTGACACCAACTCCACAAGAGAAAGCAGAGCCCAGAGCAAAACAGGGAGCTGGGTCCAAGTGTGTGATCCAAGGAGGAGACAGAAGCAGATTGCAGCCCTAGAAGTGGAGAGGCAGGGGGCTGGGAGCGGGAGCTGTCGGTGAGGAGGGCACACTGGGCAAGGTGGAAGGGCTGAGCTGCGGGACGCATCAGATTCCATGGACCACTGTGGTGACGTGATGGGCAGGGAGCTAAACTGAAACTCAGAGGTGCATTTCTACTAAGACCGGGGTGCAGAATCCCCTGGTGATTGAGTCAGAGTGAAGACAGATTCTGGAGAACACAGACGCTGTCCTGCGCTGCACTCACCCCACTTACGTGTGGGCTGAGTCCTAAGGCCATTGATCCAGGCCAAAGCCCTGCCCAGCTTTACTCCTTGGGGCTTGAGACGACAAAGTCCAGCCCTGTGACCTGGTTGCCATCTCTCATAGCCACTGAAGGGCAGGATAAGGGTGGGGGTCAGGGATGGGAAGTCCCACCCACATGCTCCTGTCCCAAGCCTCAGGGCACACTCCACTTGGCCCCCAGCTCAGCTAAGACTAAATTCTGGCTCCCGCCCCAGCCACCCATCCTTAGTTTTAGATGTAACCAACAAAAAGAAGTGAATCAAGTGTCTTGAACCAGATGCTCTCCCCGAGCTCTTCCCTCCCTCTGCCCACAGCTCAGGATCTCTTCCTAGGCTATACTTGGGAATGGCTCAGTGCCATGGGCCCCAAACCTGGCTGCACACTGGAGCTATCTGGGCTGCTCATTGATGGTGCAGATGCTAGGCCCCTCTACAGAGCTGCTGATTCTGTAGCGTCAGGCCTGATGCCAGCAGACATGTTTTGAGTGAGCAATCCAGGTGATTCTAATACATGGTCAGGCTGGGGAATCACGTATCCAAGGGCTAATGTGCGGTTTCACCACCTACCAGCTGGTGGTGTTAGCAGGAGCCTCTACTCTTTGCCCGGCCACATTTTTCCTGTTTATAAAAGTGCCCTGGATAATGTCTGAGGTCTGAGCTGCCTCTAACCACCTGTTTGTCCCCAGGGTGGCCTCACTGGTGCCTGTGGCCCTCCTTTCTTCACATTCCCCTGGGAGCTGGTCTGAGGGGAGGAGAGGGCAGAAGCCCAGGGCTGGCAGGGCACCAGCACATCCCCGACCTCCTGGAGACCTCGGCCAGGTCCCTTCCCCTCTCTGGGCCTCGGTTCAGGGTAAACCTGTGGGGAGGTCAGCAGGTAACCACCCCTTTGTCTTTCCTTTTCTGGGGGATGTTTTTCTGGGCAGAGAGCAAAGCACCCTGAAGCAAAGCCCAGAACCCTGGGTGGGAGTTCACCCTTGTGGCAGTGAGGTCTCAGAGGACAGCTTGTGGGGGGTGGGCTCTGGGGGGTGGGCCTTGCCCTGCCAACAGCCAGCAGCTGACTGGAGCTGTGTGAGTTGGGGAAGGGGTTTTGCTCTGTGTCCTGCCCAACCCAGGAGACCTAGAAGGCTGGGCACAAAGGCGTGCCCACTCCTGGCTCTGCTCGTCCATCCTTCCTCTAGTGCCTCAGTTAGGGCCCATAGGAGCTGGGCATTCCGGACGGGGAACCTGTAGAAAACGCTCCCTTGAGCTCTGTCTCTGTAGAGCTGTCTAGAACAGGAGAGAAGCTAAACCAGGTCCCCCACCACCACACCCATGAAATCTTGAGGCGGCTCCTTCCCATCTTGATTTTGCGTCCATTCTCCAGCTCTGCCCACCCTCAGAGGCCTTCCTGTCCTCCCTGTCCTCCCTAGCTGGTGCTCCAAGCCTTCTTTTCACCTTCCTGTGTGTGAGGGGGTAGTCTCAGAGTTAACTGAAATAAATCTGATTAAAAATTTCACACTAGGTGTAAATCACTTGTTAAACTAGGGGTTCTCAAACTGGGTTCCATAGACAGAATTCAATCTATGAAGTCGGATGGAAAATTAGGTCTTCATTCTCACTAACTTCTAATTAAAATTTAGTATTGGCCAGGCGCGGTGGCTCATGCCTGTAATCCCAGTGCTTTGGGAGGCCTAGGCAGGTAGATGACCTGAGGTCAGGAGTTTGAGACCAGCCTGACCAACATGGAGAAACCCTGTCTCTACTAAAAATACAAAATTAACCGAGTGTGGTGGTGGGTGTCTGTAATCCCAGTTACCTGGGGGGCTGAGGTAGGAGAATCGCTTGAACCCAGGAGGCAGAGGTTGCAGTGAGCCAAGATCACGCCATTGCTCCAGCCTTGGCAACAAGAACAAAACTCTGTCTCAATAAATAAATAAATAAATAAATAAATAAGTATTACTTTCAATTGCAAGTGAGGAATAGATTATAGGGATGTCAGGTGGCTTGTGACTTTGTCACCAACAGAAAGCACATGCATCTTGATATCACTTTACAATTGTTGCAGGCATTTGAAATATTGTTTCAGCTCATATTTTGGAATGATGGTAATGTTTAGGCTGCCACTAGATCTTGTCATTTAATGTGCTAACAAAGTACATATATTACTATATTGCAAATGCAAGTATTTAAAAATATTTTGGTAACTATATTTTAATATTACTGGCTTCCTTAGAAATCTTATCTATTTTACCTCCTTCTTTGAAATGTGCTATTTGGAGGAGTCCATAGGTTTCCCAGGCTGGCAACAGGCCCACACAAAAGGTTAAAGACCCCTGCTCTAAAAGAAGATGAGTTAGCATAGATGAATTTCATTTTATTGGGAGAATTTAAGGCAGTGTGAAAAAGCGAAGAATTTTCATAATGAGGAGAAGGTAATTCTGCATATTTGTCAAGGTTTCCAGGAGCTAGAAGAGATCTTAGAGAGAAACAGCTTTCCTTGTTATTAAATCAACTTCTTTTGCCATAATTTATATACAGTAAAATGCACCAATTTAAAGTGTTGCAACCCTATGAGCTCTAACAAAATACTTGCATAATCACCAGTACAGTTAAATTACACAATATTCCCTTGGCTGGGCACGGTGGCTCATGCCTGTAATCCCAGCACTTTGGGAGGCCAAGGCAGGCGGATCACTTGAGGTCAGGAGTTCGAGAGCAGCCTGACCAACATGGAGAAACCCTGTCTCTACTAAAAATACAAAAATTATCTGAGCGTGGTGGTGCATGCCTGTAATCCCAGCTACTCGGGAGGCTGAGACAGGAGAATCGCTTGAACCTGGGAGGCAGAGGTTGCGGTGAGCCGAGATTGCGCCATTGCGCTCCAGTCTGGGCAACAAGAGCAAAAATCCGTCTTAAAAAAAAAAAAGAAAAAAAAAGTACACGATATTTCCGTCACCCCCAAAATATCGGTTTTATGCATCTTTATAATCTCTACCATCCCAAACATAAATAACCATTGATCTATTTTTTATTACTGTACATTAGTTTAGTCTTTTTTTTTAACATTTTATATAAATGGAATAAAACAGAATATACCACAATTGTTTGATGGACATTTGGGTTGTTTTCAGTTTTTGTTTATCACAAATAAAGCTACTGTGAACATTCTTTCTGCAGACACATTTTCATTTCTCCTGCAACAAAACCTAGGAGTAGAGTTATTGAGTCATATAGTAAGTTAATGTTTACCTTTAAGAGAAACAGCTTTCCTTGTTGTTAAATCAACTCTATTCTGCCATAATTTAAATACAATAAAATGCACCCATTTAAAGTGTTACAACCCTATGAGCTCTAATAAATGTATATACTTGCATAACCACCAGTACAATTAAAGGACACACTTGTTTATTACAAATAAAGCTACTGTGAACATTCTTTCACAAGATACAAAATGATACAATCATTTTGTATTCCCAAGAACAATGTGTGGGAGTTTCAGTTGTTTCACATTCTCTTCAACACTTAGTATTGTTGATCTTTAATTTTAGCCATTTGAATGGGTATGTAGTGGTATCTCATTGTGGTTTGAATTTGCACTTTGCTGATGGCTAATCATGTTGAGACCTTTTCATATGCTTGTTTGGCCACTGGCATATCTTTTTTTGGAAGCAAGGCCTTAATCTTTTGCTCATTTTTAACAGGTTATTTGTCTTATGTATTCTGGATACCATTCTTTTGCCAGACTATGTATTGCAAATATTTTCTCCATTCTGTAGCTTGTCTTTTCATTTCTTAAATGGTATTTCAAGAGCAGAAGTTTTTTATTTTGATGAATTTCCAATTCATCAATTTTTAATTTTACAATTAATGCTTTTTGCATTCTATCAAAGACACCTTTGCATGCCTCAAAGTTGCAAAGATTTTCTCCCATCTTTTCTTCTGGAAGTTTTATATTTTCCATCTTTACATTTGGGTCTTGAGACACTTCAAGTTAAGCTCAGCACATAGGGTGAGGGATGGGTGGAGGTCTGTCTATTTATTTATTTTTGTATGTGGCTATTCCAACACCATAGGATGAAAAATTATCCTTTCCCCCACCGACTTATCCTAGCATCTTTGTTGGAGTCAATTGATCATCTATGGGTCAGTCTATTTCTGGACTCTATTCTATTGGTTTCTATGTCTAATCTTACATCCAGCTTTATTTTTAAAGTTGAGAAAATTACAGCTAAGAGAGTGAAGAGCCTTGTATCAGGCCAAATGACATAAGTTAGAAGCCAAGATGGAATGTGATTCTGTAAATATCCATCTTAAACTCTTGTTGAAAGTCACCAAAGAGGGAGTGTAAGTTGCAGTGTGGATATTGACGCTGGGACAGTGGTTCCCTGGGTGCTCCCGAGCTTGCCTGCGGGGCCCCTGCAGAAGGGAGAGGCATTAGGAGCTAGAGAGATGGAGCTGGCCTTTCTGGGAGCAGTTGTGTGACCTTGCACAAGTTGCTCCATCCCTGGAGGCTCCTCAATGGTAAAATGGGATAAGAAAGACACTCACCTCCTAGGAATATTGAGGTATTAAATGAGATGGTGTTTTTGGAGTATTTAGTGCAGCATCTGGGACTGGATAGGTGTTCAGGGTAGGTAGCTACTCACAGCGTTAGGCAGCATAAGGGTCTTCCCCTGGAGCTGATATTAGAGATGCTCCCATGCTGGGGAGAGTGGCCCCCACAGACTGAAGCATCCCATTCCCATTCCCAGTTACAGCAGCTTTCCTGATTCCTTTTTCTTCTGGGGCTGGGCTGACCTACAAGGAAACTCACAACTCCCCTGAAGACAGCCAAATTCAGCATTGGAGGGCAAGAAGAGGTCCGTCTGCTTAGAACAGTGGCCTGGAGCCCACCTTAAGAGAATGTTTGTGGGGCCCCTGCCACTCCTTCACTTCCCAGGAGTGAAGCCCCATACACAATGTCCATTCTCTACGGGCTTAGTGAAGTTAGAGTCAGCTGCATTAGTCCCAGGTGGGTGCTGGGCCATCGAGCACCACGGGATACCCGGCTGCATCACGTCTGGATCTTCTTGCTCAAATACCTGGCCCCAGGGTCAGGCTTGAAACTGCTGTGCAAATTCACTCAGAAATGGATCAAGCTGTAATGTTGTAAGCACTATGGGTGTGAACAAGGTTAGGGATCCCCAGCCCAGTCCCCTCATCCACAATCTCTCCCATGCCTGCCTTTACACCCCCTCTATGGAGACAGAGTGCTATCTAAAAAGACAGCACTGAGGCTGACTGGCAATGTTGACTGTGCGGCTAACCCTGTGTCAAGTGCTGTTCTGAGTGCCTGAAGCATGATGACTCAGTAGTGATGCTAGCCGGTGTTATCCACAAGGAAACTGAGGCATAGAGAGGATAAGTCACTAATTCTAGGTGGTACAGCCAGTTAGTGGCAATGCTGGTAATTTGATCATGTGTGCTCTGGTTCTTAGTCGCTGTTCATGTTAGGATATTAATTTTATGTTAATTCTTTGGCTGAGAAGGAAGTACTGTCCTAAGGAAGCAGTAGCTGAGGCCTGGGGGACCCCAGTCCCGTGAGAGCCACTGTGATGTGGATTGGGCCTCTGGTGTCTGCAGATGTGAGGCACCTGCTATGTGCTTTATGTGCCATGCTGATTTAATCCTCACAAGACCTTGAGGAATAGAGGGTCCTTCTCCCCATTTGGAGGGGAGGAAATGGTGCCACAGAAAGGGGAATGTGCTAGGATAGAAAGAGGCAAATCTGATATTTGAACCAGAAAATAGTAGAGAGTTTTGAAAGAATGGAGTAACTTGCCTAAGATCCTAGGACTTATAAGTTCTAGTATCTGATATCAGGAAGTCAGTTCCTTCTTTAGGCGTCAGTCTCCCCAGCTGTAAAAGAGAGGCCTTTGCTGAATCATCTCTAAGTTCAGGAAGCGTCTTCATGGATTTGGTAAAAATAGGAGTTTAGTATCAGTCACACCTGGGTTCAAATCTCTATGCCCCCTTACTGTGTGATCCTGGGCAAGTCATTTAACCTCTCTGAACTCAGTCCCTGCATCTACTAATTGAGAAGCCCCACCTCTGGAGCTCTATGAGAAACTATAGCCAAGACCCCTAGCAAAGTGCCAAGCACACAGCAGGCAACCAAGAAGTCTGGTCCTCCTTCTCCCAGGCCCCTCCTACTCTGTTTCTGAGATCCAAGAAGTTAATTAGTCATCTAGCAAAGCCTGAGGAACTGGGCCAAAGTGGCAAAAATTGCAAGGTATTTGAAAGGGTGGGGAATACGCATCCCCCTGGTCAGGGGTGTTTGGGAAGGGGAGGGCTGCTGTGGTTTTGGGCAAGTTAAGAGATGGACCCCCAAAGGATGAATACCTACTACTCAGAAGGCTGCGGGGGTGGGCAGGAGCACCTGGGGCATTGGAAATGGGAGAGAAAAGGGGTACAATATTGGAAGACAGGAAAGAGAAGAAATAGAAACTTTGGTGTCACCATGAAATTACGTGGAACTAACATTTCTGGCAATTAACCTGTACCTTAAAATGTGTTTACATCAGGTCATCAAAAGTGTGCAAGAGATTTTATAACAGGAGGCTTTATTGGACAGAATCACAATATATACTTTTTCCCTGTATTAACCATCAATTCTATCATAAAAATATATTACAGCATTTGATATGTATCCACAAAACACAAACCATTGTAAACAGAGCAGGCAGCATTGGCCTTGGATTCAAAATTCTTGAGTCCCATTTCAACAGAAAACAGCTGTTGGCAAGTGGATTACACAGAAGGTAATATTGCCGTATTGGGAGGGCTTCTGGTAATACTAAAAAAATGGAGCCATACTTATGTTTAATAGATTAGAAGAAAGTAAATGTAAAACTACAATGTTGACACACATGAGAGGATGCTAAACTTTTGCTTCATTTGTTTTCTACTCCGAGTGTAGCTGTTTGTGTTCATGAACATTCACCCACATGCATATAATCACGGGCACACAAACATTCACCCATATGCATATAATCACGGGCACACAAACATATACCCATATGCATATACTCATGGGCACACAAACATTCACCCGTATGCATATACTCATGGGCACACAAACATTCACCCATATGCATATGCTCATGGGCACACAAATATTCACCTATATGCATAAAATCATGGGCACACAAACATTCACCCATATGCATATGATCACGGGCACACAGACTTATGGGAGCACAGGGTTATGGGCACATTCACTCCAACACAAACACACAGATGTCCCACCCATTTTCCTAAGAGTCTGACATTAAGGGATTGCAACATTGTACAGAAGCCAATCATTTGCAGGTCACTTTGTCCCCAGGAAAGAAATATCTTTTATTTTTCTAAATCCTGGTTTCCAAAAGTATTCTTGATGTGTGCAAATAAATATAAAGTGCATTTCCATATTGAATGCTAAACCAGCTGGCACATACCTTAGGTTTCCTTAACTGGACTCCCTTCTATCATCTACTAGCCACTCTCTGGATGCCCCAAGCTATGGTTGGTGTGAGTTCCCCACCCCACTTTTCACAGACATGAAAAAAATAGAATCTATGAAAATTCAAGGAATGTAAAGAATTGGTGTTCAGTGCCCTCATTACTAGGAGCCTCCAGGAGGACTGAGGATAGCATTTAGCCAGCTGTCCTCTCACTAAAGGGAAGGGATGGTTCTCCCATTGGACACTGGGCAGAGTAAAGCCTCCGTGTGGCGAAATGAGTGTGTTCCATGAAGAAGGACGGACAGGAGTGGCTAAAGTTGTCTACTGGCATCCACTACACACGACATACTATGGCAGAAGGAGAGATCTATGCATTCCTAGGAGCTTCCTCACCAAACACCAGCATTAATAATGCACATCCAGATGGCAGGATTTGATCCTTCTCCCAGATGAGCCTGTGAAAATTAAATCTGGCCTATTCTGGTGTCTAGAAAAACCACCCCAGGTGGTAATGGGCATCAGGCAAGGCACCTTTTTAATTTGTGCTGTTTGTGATCCAGAGTTAGCCATTTTCCCCTGGGGAAATCCTGATGGGGTTGGTGGCACACCAGACTCCGCAAATGTTTCTGCACTCCAAAAGAGGTTGTATTTACATGTTTGTTGTAAAACAGGAGTGTTGAGGTTTGGAACAATTTCAGCTTGCAAGGGAACTTGACATTCGAAGGTTGTTAGAGCAGAGAGTTTGGTTACTATTAATAATTCAAGCAAAGATTTGGTAATACATGAGTTGAGTGCAAAGCAATGTCAAGCTGAGTCTTTTGGTGCAGGGTGTTTGGTATTTCAGCCGATGCATGAGCAGTCACTATGGTCTGGTCCTTAGGAAACTGACCATCTTGGGTCACCCAATCAATTGAGTGTCAACGTGATGGCATCCAATGCTCCCCCGACATCAAACCCAATCCCTGAGGATTGTCCGGGATAAGACTGAAGCCTTGCGCCTTGATGGTGATACTCTTAACTCTCACAGTTAAGAGTAGACTTCCTCTCTCCAAATACAGATTTTAGGCTCTTGAAACCATCAAATCATGGGCTTTGGCTTCTATTAAAGATGTGCAACAATTCTTCCGTGCCAGGGAATGAGTACAACAGTGACATGCTGAGCATGCATGAGAGGACACAGGAAATACCACACGCTGGTGTTCCTAAGAACACACGCATGCCCCAAGGGGTACACATCGTCTTTTGAGTTAAAAATCCAAATTACTTTAAAAGTCCTTAAATATGGGTATACGTGATGAACTGGAACACTGCTAAGATTGATTAGACTCATCAAATTTGACCTTTAAATGCTAGATGCTATTTACATGACACACTGTACGGGCAACACCCGGAGATAGGTGTGGGAGTGAAGGGAGGGTGATTGAATTGCCAAGTAGCATGAGGACAGCTTTTGCCAACTGCTTGTTTCTGCTGTGTGGATTTTTCCGTTTGTCCTGGGGGTATGTGGCAGTGCCCATCAGGACCCTGCATTGATATTAAATGTGTGGCACTCCCTACCGAAGACAAACATTCGAACCCTTCAGGATATTGTCAGAAGATGGGCCCTGGCTGGTGTGGTTGGTTTCTTAAGAGTGAATTATGCTTCCCTCCCCACGCTGTGTAATGAAGATGCCCCTCAAAATGAATGAGATTCATTTTCCTTCCTCCTTTCTCTCCTTTCTTCCTTCCTTCCTTCTTCGTTCAACTTCCTAGGGAATCTGCATCAGGAGAAAGAAGTGGCTAGGACTCCTTCCTTCCTTCTTTTTCTTTTCCTTCCTCCCCTCCCTCCTTCCTTTTTTCCTTCCTTTCTTCTTTCCTTCCCTTTTTCTCCTTCCTTTGTTTTTCCTTCCTTCTCTCCTTCTTCCTTCCTTTGCCATTCTTCCTTCTCTCTTCCTTCTTTTCTGTCTTGCTTCTCTTCTTATTTCTTTTCTTTCTTCCTTCTCTTTTTTGGTAGCTAAAAATATATGGATTTTCTCCATGTCCTCTCTTTCTAAAAGAGACCTAATTCTTATATTCCCAACCTCAAGACTTCTATCATCTCCCACTGGCCACAGATCATCATCACGTTCAGCCCATCTCAAGGGGCACTTGCCCTCCCCTCTCAGCCCTCACCTGACACCATCTCTGGACCCACACTGAGCTCTGTCACCACTGGACCCCTCACCAGGCAGGCTCCCATCTCCTCTGTGCCTTGCCACATGCTCTTCCCTACTGTAAGTTCTGGCCCAATGCCACTACCTCTGAGAAGCCTTCCAGAACCCTCCTTTCCCACCAGCTAAGTTCTCCAGCCCTCCCTCTGTACCCCCACAGCACTGAGTACACACTTCCAGGGCAGCCCCGCTTCCCACACTGCAGAGTAATGACCTGTCTCCCCCAGAGCCTGACAAAGCACAGGGCCTGGCACACAGTAGGTGTTCAGTAAATGTTTGGAGAGTGACAGGCAAGTCTGCTCATAGTTCTGGACCACAGCCTGCAGCTGCCACATGCCACCCTCCCAGAGGCTCCAGGACTCCGCTCCTCTGGACCCCTGACAGATCTCTTCTTCTGCACAGTGATGTCGTGGCCAGGCTGAGCGAAGCCACTGTGTGTCCTAGCCGCTTCTTTCTCCTGATGCAGATTCCCTAGGAAGTTGCACGATTGTGTTCCTTGGGACCTCTGATTCCTCCTTTCTAGACAGTCAACCCCCAAATGTGTCTGGCTCCTGCTCTTTCACTCCGCATTTGTGGAATGAGGTGTGAGGAGGCAGGAGCAAGCCTGGAGTTCCTGCCACCTTCCTTTGACCAGGCCAGAACTTAGGCCACAGCAGAGCAAAGGCAGCTGGCCTGGGGTTGGACTAACTTTTTGGGGGCTAATAGGCCATTGGTCTGGGGAGACAGTGTGAGCCAGCGGGGAAGTTGGGGAACTTACAAACCACACTGCTCTCATACCACTTTCTCTCCTGAATCTGCAAGAACAGACCGTAGAGGCCAAGCTCCACCCAGCCTCTCCCCGAATCCATCTCAGCCCAGGTTCCAGAGCCAACACCAGGGCCCTCTAAGTCAGTTCTCCCGGCTGCAAGGTGCAAAGAGGTCCACTTTGGTGCCAGGGGAAATGCTGGGTCCTACTGATGCTCCTGGGGGCTGCTGGCCCAGAGTTTCAGGGAAATCTAGGCTGACAATGAGCCTCACACACTAAAACAATTAGATAGATTCCCTGTCGGCACAAAGGACTTGTGAGCCGTATGTTCTGGGCACAGAGGTTGCTGCAAAGCTTCTTCCCTCAGAATTCCCCTAGAAACACATACAAAGTAAAAGGAGTCTGGAGAATTCCTTCCCAAGCAAGTGGCAGCCATATGACGGGAGAGGTCCCAACGCCCAGCTGGTGGGTATGGGTGTTAGCACAGGAGCTGAGAGTAAGGGGCTGTTTCCTAATGGCAGAAAAACATCTGCTGAGCCTAGAGCTGCCCAGAGTGAGGTGCAGGGGATTTCATGGAGAGATCAGTTTTGTCCCTCTGAGAACAAAATGGCCCAGTCCCTGAATAAAACTGGAGATTGAACCGTTTGGAGAATTAGGGAAAGATACAAGACAATTGAAACTTAGATACTTATTAATAGAAACACTCAGTTTCCCCATGGTCACTGGTCCACCCTCCTTGAGAGCCCTGCCCTGTTTTGCATTCTCCCCAAAACCTCCCTGTCTCCAGGACTTTCAAATCCTCCCAGATGTGTAACGTAGAGATAATAACAGCACCTACATCAAAAGATTATGATGAAGATTAATGGGAAACACTACCCCTAAACCCTGATCTCAAACAACTTTCTCCCCTGAACCTGCAAGCGCAAACTGCAGAGGCCAAGCTCCACCCACCCTCTCCCCAGGTCCGGCCCAGCCCAGGTCCCAGAGCCAACACCAGGGCCCTCCATGTGAGTCCATAGCCTGATGTCTAGTCTTTCCTCCATACCCACCAGCTGTTAGGACACTGTCATTACTGGCTGCTCCAAGTGACCTGGAAGGGTCAGCCACACGGGATGAGCTGGGAGCCAACAAGAGACCCACACCCAGATACTGGCATGGAGAACTGTCTCTCGCTGACCTTGCCTCAGCCTGGCTCAGCTCCTGTGTGTGAGGCTGGCTGGGAAGAGGGCAGGACAAGCTCTGGGTAGTGGCAGAGGTGGCAGATGTCATCACCTCCCACAGCCAGGCTGCCCCAGTAGAGTTTGATCCAAGACCCAAGCAAGTGCCCCCAAGGGGACACCTCTGAATGCCAGAGTTCCTTCCTCTAACAAGGCTTCCTGGCTCAGAGCCAGCCAGCTCTGCCATCCTCTGCCAGTACCCCAAATATATCTCATCCTTATGACCTGGAGCCCCATAAAAAGGAATGAAGATGGGTTTTTGCAATTTCATGGAGAGGTCAATTTTGTCCCTCCAAGAACAAAATGGCCCAGCCATTGAATAAAGCTGGAGATTGAACTGTTTGGAGAATTAGGGAAAGATACAAGACAATTGAAACCTAGATAGTTATTAATAGAAACACTCAATTTTCTATAGAGTTTATCCAAGTGTCTAAGATCATTTCTCCTTAGGGGATGGTTTGAAGAAAACTCCTATCAGTTACCTGGGCATCGATGATTAAAAGTGCGGAAACCCAGGTCCTGCCTGGCCCTGCTGAAATTGATCTCTGAGGAGGGGATGCTGGAATCTGCATCTTAAACAACCTTCCGTGGTGACTTCTGTGAATAATTTAAGAGCTAATGGCTCCCTTCCAGACACATGAAGCCCTAAATATGACTCGGACCTCTTTTTCCCATGATGCTCCCCGTCCAGAGGATAGGAGCTGACCCAAGGGATTCCTGGCACCTGATATAATATCCTCATTAAACTCAGGCAAGCTAGTTTATCCTGCATCTGGGCTAAATTCTAACAATGCACAGCCTTTGGTTCCTCCAAGGGTCACACTGTAGCCATGGGAAGGCCTCATCTACCTGCACCCAAGCATGTAAAAGGGTGACAACTGGGACATGAACCTGGCCCCATTCTTTCTATCTTTTCTTAGAAAGAAAGGCACCATGAAAAAGAAAACGAATTTCACAGACATAAGGAGAGAGTTTTATTGCTCATGGGGACAGGAGGCTGAGCTGAGTGCTAGAAGAGATAGAGTTGGTCTGAGATGGTTCAAATCCATTTCCCCTCCTGCCCAAGCCTGCTTTCTAAGTAAAAACAGGCAGGTGATTGGTGAGCCATCTTTGAGAGGCGAGCTGACCATGAGACAAACCCTAAATACCAGGGCACACATGCAAATGGACGTTCCCTTTGGAGGTCCCTCGGCTGTAAAATCCCCTCCCTCAGAAAGGTGCCATATAAAAAGCCGGAATAGTTGCAGCGTGACTTAAAAAGGCAAATTCTGATTGTGTAGGACTAGGAACTCAGCCCTATATGTGGATTTAGGAATTTGAAAGCCCCTCCTTTATGGCCTTATTTTCAAGCTTCTTGAAAGATTTCTACCCAGTCCAACAGTTCACCAGAGTTTGGGCCTTAAAGGTCAAGTCTCACCCTGGAGTGAAGTCAAGCAAGTAATTTTAGTTTGATTCAGATGCTGAAAATCTTGGTGTTTCTATGTGTTATACCTGAGAAAACAATGTTACCTTTGATAAATTAAATTAACAAAATGAGGTAGATAATTCAATTGGGAGTAATAAAGCCAGGGGGCAAATTTGATAGACTGTATAGAGATGAAAATAAACATTTATCTAAAGGTAATTACAGCAGAGTTGGCTAACACTGGTTGCTAATACATTAATTTTCTTCTCACTTTCCCTTGGGATTTAATTCATGTGTCCAAATAATAATGAAAATACCCAATCAATGGATTTATCTGGAGTTTTTGTCTACGTGATGTCGGTACAATTGGTTTTAGAGGTATAGTGAAAATTATGAAAAGCATCTTTTCAAGATATGTGGTGTTGTGGGTGACAGATCTTGCTTCTTGGCTAAAGAAGAGGTAAAAGAGATCTAGTTGCTACTGGGAGTACAACATGTTGCCTATACAGTACAGAGAAAGCAGAAAGAGCATGTGCCACAGTTATTCTCCCAAAGTGATATTGATGAAAATGTATTTTGCTGCTGGAATTTGGCTGTTGACTGACCTCACGCACTGGGCCACTTTTGCCCAACTTTGAAAGCGTTTGTGTGAGAAGGGAGCTACTCTCCTCCAATTCAGCTGTGCATCCTGTCTTGGCTTCTGCTGGTTTTCAATCCCACTGGTTCCTCTGGGGTTGGGATGTTGGAGGGTGCACAGTTACTTGCCACCAGGAAGCAAATGTCTGTTGCTATTGTAATATGAGTGGCCAAAGGAGCTCTGAGCCAGAGCAATTTTGTTTCAGGGACACACACAGTCATGTCTGGCAGTGGTGTGCTAGTAGATGTTTCACAATCAGCTCTCTGTGGGGCAAAAGGCCTGATTTACAGCACTTGCTGATTTTCATGGTATAAACACTCCCACCGTGGCTGACTTCAGCTACCGACATGATGCCCCAGATCATGAAATTGGGAAGGATTGTGCCCCATTGGCTTCCCCAAGCAGATATGAGCCCATCTCTGACAGCAACTGCAAGATGCCAAGGCCTCCTTGGAAGCTACACCTGTCTCCATTCTAGTCTCCATGGTAACTTTGAAACTAGACAAGACTAAGCCAGGTGAATTGTTTTCTAACTGAGGAGCTAAGAGTTAATAAGACGTCTTTTCAAATAAAGATGCAGATACTTCTCTGCCTTTAAAAATTGGGACTGCCTAGAAGTAAAAACCAATAGACTCTTCACTTCCTTCCCGTTGGACCACATCCTTCCTTCTATACCTCCAAAGTTAGGATGTAAAGAGCTGGAAGGAGAGAATGAGCCATCTGATTCCATTGCTCCCCGTGCTTCCCACCCTGGAGGAATCACTTAGAGTGGAGGATTGAAAAATAACTGCTCTGAGTATTCACAAGTCAATTTGAAATGGTAGACAAAGAAGAGATGGCCAGAAAGCAGGGGTGGCTCTCCTTGGTTTTTATTAAATCAAGTCAGGACTGCTAACAGATTGGCATGTGTTTTATAGGTGCAGTATTCCATAAAAATTTCACTGTCTCTAATCACTTGAACCTGGAAGGCAGAGGTTGTGGTGAGCCTAGATCGCACCATTGCACTCTAGCCTGGGCAATAAGAGTGAAACTCCCATCTCGAAAAAAAAAAAAAATTCACTGTCTCATCATTAGCACAGGGCACTTTCTTGATAACCTTGAATAGCCTCTACTTTCTGTTAACAGGCTTACAGAAACTAAGGAAATGGAGGTGCCAGGACAATGGAACCCAGTGACTTAAAATCAAGGCAAAAATCCCTGCTCAGGCCAGTTCTTGCCCATCCATCTCCCAGGACATGCCAGATAAGATGCATAAGACAAGTTGAAACACTTCCTGTAAATTCAGGTCACAAACAGGGGGAAGGGAGGACCAACCAGCCACCTTCCTCCTACCTTTACTGAGCTCCAACAATTAGGACTTGTAAATCAGAAAAAGGTGACCTCCCAGTCAAACTTGAAAGAACCTAATACATGTAGGACCAGCCTATTTAAACCATTTTCATGCTAAGATTGTCTGCACACACAAACATTCGCTTTTAGGGGGAAGGAGAGGACTAAAGTTGAATCCAATTGACCATTTCTAAGACAACTGGTCAGCAGCAATTGGGCAGCCACTAGTTGTGAAACATTTTCCCTCAGGCACAGAGCCCAAGAGTCCCAGCTGGGCACAATGTCGTTAGTACCAGCTGAATAATATTTGGGTTGAAGCAGCCACCACTACCCTGTGGAGACGAGGTGCCATGTTAGATCCGGGCCAAATGACCACTGCCAGCCTCCCTTTCAGCATGGCTGAAATGTCCCCTGGAGACTGTCACTTTTCTTCAGCATGGAGCAGCGTCCAGTGGTCAGCAGGCAGGTGGACACCATGCTTCCCACCTACCACCAGCTCTCTGCATCCTTGACAGTGACAGAACTGAGTGTCATCCCCCAGGGAGCCTCAGGTGAGTCCAGGAGCTCAAAGCAGCTTCTTAGAAAGAAAGGCCAGCACACGGCCTACAGTCATCCTTTGGTGACAAATAAGGAGTGTCCAATATCTGCCCTTGAGGAACCAGGAAGCAGGCTCTGGAGCCCCTACAAGCCAGGGAACCAGGATCACTGGGCATGCCAGGGACTGGTGGCTGGTGGTGTCCACCCAGGGGCCCCCACGCCCTCCCACCCTTCTTCTCACCGCTGCCTCATTCTAAACTCTTCAGCAGGAGCGCGGTCCTTCACTCAGACACCGGCAGAATGTTCTGGCTGTGAGAGTCGCCTGTGAGGCCAGAGGAGTGGATGGAGCGTCTGTGCAGGAGCCTGTTCAGAATCTCCTTGCAGCTTTTGCGGTACTGGTGTCGCAGTAAGGAGTACACAAAGGGGTCGGATGCGGCCTTGCTGTACGCCAAGCACTTGGACAGCACCCCCCAGTGGGAGCCGATGGGCACCGTGGAGAAGAGCTCCACTAGCCTGTGGAGAGACAGGGAAGCTGTTAATGAGGACATAGCTAAGCACCGCTGGGAGTGGCCATGGGCCAGGGCCTGTCTGTGCCCTGCAGACCACGGTTTCGCAGCCCAACCCTCAATTTATCTGAGACTGCCTCCTCAAATAACAATAACAGTTTACACCAATGATGATGATGGTGAACATTCATCAGGCTGTATTTTATTCTACACACTGTGTTAAGCACTTTCCATATGTGGTTTTGCTGAGCCCTGGGAGATATGACCATCTCTGTTTTACATGCAAGGAAACAGATGTCCCAGGAGGTTAGATACTTTGCCCAAGGTCACATGGCCAGTAATTGTAAAGGCAGAATTTGAACCTAGGTCCGTCTGACTCTGAAATCCAAGCTGCACTGAGAACCCAGCTATTAGCTAATAGCTGGCTGTCTTGGCTTTGGCGCCAACTCTGCTGCTGACTTGTCATATGGTCCTGGGCATCTCTGTTCACTCCTTGGACCTGCATGTCTCATGTGAAAAACAAAAAGGTGGGACAATATCGTCTCAATGATCTTTTAACTAGAAGAGTCTGGTCCCATTGTTTGCTTCCGATCCTGGCTCTGTGTTCCTAAGGAAGTTGCATGGAAGGAAGGGCTCAGAACAATTTTGAAAACATTTTGCAAAGCTCAAAGTATGTCATGCACAGGAAAGAATGCTGGCAAGGAAGGCCTCTTCCCTGGGTTCGGATCCTGGTGGTCTTTGACAATAGCCGCGGTCAGGTGATCCTAAAGGGACCTTCATTCTTTGGGGGAGGGCAAGGAAAGACACAGCCCATGTATCTTAGAGTCCTCTCGGTGCCACCAGACAGCTCCAGGCAAGGGTGCTAATACCATGTTATGAGGTCAGGGAAAGCCTTCAACAGAATTCTACCCTCCACCCAAATCAGGCCATTTACTCTCTCAAGTGTGTCCAGCACCCTTGGCCATATTTGGACATTATCCAGCATTAACATGAAATAGAAAAGACCCACAGAGCTGGGAGAGAGTCTGGAGATCATATAACACTGTCTCCTCCACCCACTGTCATATGAAAAAATTGAGGCCCAGAGAGGGAAAGGGGTTGCCAGATATCACACAGCAAGTCAGTGGCCATGGAAGGTGCAGCACCTGTACTCCCCTCTGACTGGGGGTCTAGTACCTGTATTCTACCTGGAGTACCTGCAGATAGAAGGCGGTGGTGGCTCTCAGCTTGGGGATCTGGCCAGGTGAGGACCCAGGTACAGAAAGAACTGAGCTTGAGCTGGAACTCAGTGCTTCTATCTTTAATTGGTTATACTTAAGCCTTCTTTGGGCTGTAGAGCTGGCGAAGAGGAGGAGGAGGAAGCTGGTGGAGTGTGATTCTCCACAGAAATGCCCCTTTCTGGAACAGGCTCTCAAGGAGTCCACTCTGAGGACCCTCTAGTTAGCATCCCATTTTCAGCACCACTGTCTACCTTTGCCCTCTGACCCTGTGGGGGACTGTGGCTATGTCTCCTCTCATATGCTTGGGAGCCTGAATGGGGAAATGGAGCTGTGAACACTTAGGAAATCTATACTTTAAAGAAATCTATTTTGAGAAGTGATGAATTCAAAGGGACAAAAAAACCTGAATTTAGAATTCACACCTAATAATAACAATGAATTAGCTGAATGCCAACACATTGTTGCTATGCGATGCCAAATTGCTTTTTCAAAATGTCTATAGTTTTTTATACCTTGCTAAATTCAGGCTTAGCATTTTGGCTCTCCCAAAAGGATTTATTGAAAGAACCAGATATCATCAAACCATCCAGCAAGATCAAAATTGTTATTTGCAGGCTCTGTAGATTTCACAGAATAAAATTATTCAAGACAATCTAAAATTTCACCATTTAGATAATTAAGAGGTAAAATCTATTGCATTTCCTTCTCAGAGATTTCATGGCAAGTCTCAGCTCTCCACCTGGCTCAGACATCGTAATTCCCAGTTGAGTGTCTCCTTTGGGCCGAGCACTTATGTGTACAATCTCTAACCGTACAATTATCCAGCAGAATGAGAATCATTATTCCCACTTTACAGGTGAGGAAATTGAGGCTCAGAGAGATGAGCAGCAAGTCAGGGTCTCCTGCATGGGAAGCCCAGCTCCATCTAACTGCAGTCCAAGTCCTGGCTAGTGGCCACGCCAAGATGTGAATCTCAGCATTGCAGACATGACAAAGGAAGCTCTGGGGTCCCTTCCGGCTCCAAGAACCCCTTTCCCATGAGGTCACTATATGCTGTCTGGAACTTTTGTCACTTGCCCGTCCACACTGTGCACAATGACAATTTCTGCTTTGAAAAGCCAATGTCTGGCCTTTATCAGGGCCTCCAAGCAAAGAGATGCTTTGGCTGAATACAGGCCTGGACACTGCTGCCACGTGGCCACTGGCGGGGGGTAGCTGGGATGCCCCCTCCAGGCCCGGCTGTGGCTGGCTGAGCTGCTTTCTCGCGGCCCCATGCAGGTGGTTCCCTGCGCCTGCCGTGGCTGGCTGCTGGCTATGCTCCACACTAGCTCTGACAGCCCCCAGCTCCTTTCGTTGATGAGAAGAGGCAAGGGTTTCGATATTGCCACAACGACTTCTTTCTAATTCCAGATCCGGGCAGGCATCTGGATGAGCACCAGATCCCTTCCAGATGACCTTTTAGAGAGGGACAATTCAGTCCATGTTTTCCTGCCAGATCTAGCTCTGCTCACCCCTTCCTTGTGCCCTTCCCTCCAGGAAAGGGGCATTACAATTCTGCCCAGTCACATGTCAGTAGTGGGCAGGGTCACAGTGTGCTAAAGGGAGCCTCTCCTCCTCCGTGTTGTCAGTTTATTTAATGCCTTTCCCCCTCCACAGTCAAAGTTAGTGGATGGTCTCAGGACGGGACGTGGGAGGCAGGCAGCTCGCAGAGCAGAAGTCTCCAGTGTAAGGCCCTATCTCCTGCTCAGTTCTGGCAGAAAGCCCTACAGTGAGGGGTTATTGGGCTCAGGTGTTGACAGAGCACGACTTGGCTTCCTTTTGTCATGGCCCCCATTGAGGGTTGAATTGCATCTCCCCCAAAAATTCACATGTTGAAGTCCTAACCCCTAGTGTCGGAATGTGATCCTACTTAGAAATACGATTGTTTCAGATACAAATCAGGTCATAATGGAGTAAGGCGGTCCCCTAATTCCGTACTATTGGTGTTCTCATAAAGGCAGAAACTTGGACAGAGACACACACACAGGGTGAGTGCCGTGTGAACACGAAGGCAGAGATCAGAGTGAGACATCTGCAAGCCAAGGAATCCAAAAATGGCCAGCAAACCACCAGGAGCTCGGGGAATGGGTGGAGTGAGCTCTTCTTCACAACCCTCAGAAGGAACCAACACCTTGATCTTGGACTTCTGGCCTTGGGAACTGTGAGAGGTCTTTCTGTGTTAGAGCCGCTCGGTTTGCGGTACTCTGTTACGGCAGCCCTAGCAAACCAAGATGCCACCTGAAGAACCCCATGGGGAGCAGGGGAGGCTGTGTGGTTGTGTGGTTGTTCTGGGGACCCCTGGCCATAACAGCATCAACCAGCCCCACCCCACTCCTAGAGCACGTGTATGCCAAGGTCAACCCTGGAGATCTGACAAAGATTAGCAGCCCCAGGAACAGGGTGCCGCCCCTTGCCACCCTCTAGAAATTAGGGCCTGTCCCCACAAACATCGCTGCCTGCCACCTGCCCAGACCTTCCACTGAGCACAAGATGACTTTCCGTGTGCTCTCTGGGACATGAGGCTCCATTCGGGGGAAACGTTCATGCTTATGTGCTCAAAAGGCTCACATGCCTGCCCTGACACAGCTCCCCCCGGAAAATCCCCTGGGGTTAGGTCCACACCCTCGGTCAGCAGATCAGGTTGGGGGAGGGGATGGAGCTGGGGAGAGGCCGGGATCCCCTCTTCCAAGCATGTCAGGGGATTCTGACACAAGAGCCCAGCCCCTATGGAAGCCTGGGGTGTGTGGGTTTGGAGAGGATACAAAGTGCTGCAGGGCGCAGAGCTTGTGGATGAAAAGGAAGCAGAGCACAGAGATGTGTATTTTTCTGACTTAGGGTGAGACACAGAGCAGATACCCACAGATCTTGCCAGACCCCCAAACCCTGTGTGCTTGTACTCCTATGTTCTGACAGCTGTCCAGGGAACTATTCCATGGAGCCATGCCTCCTCTCTCAGTGACAAGCCCCTCTGATGTGGGGGACTGGCGCATCTGAGCTGGCTGCCGCAGTCCAGGGCTGATGGAGATAGGAAGCTGCCCACCCTTGCTCCTCACCCATGGGGACCTCACATTCCCACCCAGCAGCCTAGGCAGTCCTGGTCCCGGGAGGCAGGAGGGAGGCATGTCTGCCAGAACTCCAAGGCCTTCTCTGAGCCTCTGGAGAGACCAGTGTCCTGATCTTGCTCCACAATGGGAATCCCCAAGGGAAGCAAGTTCCAAAGTGAGAACAGGACCATAACCCCTGCAGCCCCTGACCCAGCACCTCCTGTGGGCCCCCAGGGGCTCTGTGTCTCCTTAACTGCTTCACAGAGACCATCTCAGGACCCCAGTATCACTCTCCCTATGGTACAGAAGATGGAACCAAGGCAGAGAAGTGTCAAAGCTACACAGCCGGAACATTCAGGAACCAGGATTTGAAACTGGAAGGTGGGTGCCGGTGACCATGTGCCTTCCTGGTGCCAGGCTGCCCCACTGGCCTCCTTGACTCAGGTTCCCATTCCTCAGTGTGATCAAGCACCTGTACTTTCAAATCCTGAGTTTAAAGTGACAAATTAGCACCCTTTATTTACACCTTCTATACCACCATCATCTCTCCTCTCTTCTCTCTTCCTCTTTCCCTCTCTCACTCACACACACACACACACGTAAACACATGCACACACATACATACATACACATGTATACATACACACACACATACGTTGTGTACTAAATGCAACTTGGGCCACAGAACATTCCTTGGACAGCCAGCCCAGGGTCTTCCCAAGACTTCTGGAGAACTCAGCTTGTGTATTTGAAGACCTGCATATTTGAAGTAATGAGCTGATGCTTTAAATTTTTATGAGACAGAATGGAGAAGTCATTTTATTAATAGAATATCAATCTTTGGGAATCCCCTGCATATGAGACCCCTCTCCCATCTACACATTTTCCTGACTTTGAAAAGCCACAATAATGGTGCTGTCAGATTTTCAAGTGCCTCAAAGGCTGATTCCAATGATTTATGACAACCACAATTATTTGTAAGCGTAGATCGCTGTGGAGAGCATAGCCTTACAAATGCTTCCAGACATGTGGATTTTAATTCAGAAAATATGTCATTTGAGCTTTTGGATGAGAACCTGTTGTGGATGTGCAGGCCCTGCTGCTCAAAGACTCTGGGAAGAGTCCTCTGTGACCTAGGGCTTTGAGGACACAGAGCCTGTGTGACTGTGACTTGGAGGTGTCAGACTTCTATTAAGAGTGAAGGTGCAGCTTTGCAAATATGTTTCCCACTGTGGCCTCGTGTGCCCCAGTACACAAGTGCAGGCGGCTCTTTGGCTGGTAGAGTTGGATGTCCTGTCTTTCTGAGATGCCAACTGCATCTGCCAGTGGCTCTGGCTACCAGTGCTGATGGTCTCTTGGGAACTCCAGCTACATAAACTACTGTCAGTGACATGGGAGACTGGGGATGACTGCAGGGGAACCCACCAATTTTGCTAGAGAAACTCAAATGCCTGCTTCACTCACAGGAGCTTGGAGGCCATCTGAGTTCATGTCATGGTACTTATGCGTGGCCCTACTGGAAATCAGGCCGAAAACATACACATGTGGCTTCTCTGTGTTTCCAGCGCCTGCCCCAGTCTTTGGTGTTGTGGCATGGCCTAAAGGCTGAGTTATAGCCAACTGGCCTGACGCTGACCTTTAACTCTTGGCTCAGTCACTCCCTACCCATATGTCTTTGAGCAACTCATCTCACCTCTCTGAACTTCTGTGAGACCAGGATTCTAGCACTTACCTTGTTAAAGCTATCCCAGATGCAATAAGGTATGCACTGATAGCCCCAGGTGCTTGGCAGGTGTTCACTAAGTGACAGGTATGGTTATAAAGACTTCATGCTCTCCAATAGAAAGCTTGAGAACCTACAGGAACACTGGAATGTTTCTTTTAAACACTTGACCCAAGAATTATGCTTTCCTATCTGAGAAAGTTAACAGGCAAATGTGAAGAGAAGGGAATCCCCCGCCCAGCCAGTGGGATCTTCTCCATCAACTCAAAGGGGTGGCAGATATTACAGCAGAATCCTCCTCTCTTCCTCAATATCCTGGCCTCCCAGCTCCCAGCATTCCCAGCTGCCATCTGACGTCAACCTACACTCTTGACACGTCTCCATTTATAAGGTACAAGGCGGGTGGAAGCGGCAAGGCTGGCTGCCTAGATAGTCACTGGGGAGTTGTGGGGAATATTAGTTTCTGCGCTGACAGCTCAATGAAGGGTGTAAGTGACACATGAACAACTTGGTTTCAGTCATCTCGGAAACTGCAGCATTCCGTTTCTGAGTGGGTTGTGCCTCAACGTGTCTCCCCACATCCCTCTGGGAGGAAAGTAGGAACCTTTGCTTCTGCTGAGAGAAGAAGCAGAGCGGTCATTGTGAGGGGCTGGGCACGGCCGCCGGTTTCAGGCAGAACACTAGAACTGAGGCTGAGTCACTTGATGGAATTGGGGAAGGCTGGAACCTGACTGAGCCTCAGTTTCCTCATCTTTAAAATGGGAATGTTAGCGCCAGGCATGGTGGCTCATGCCTGTCATCCCAGTACTTTGGGAGGCCGATGCAGGTGGATTAGCTGAGGTCAGGAATTCAAGACCAGCCTGGCCAACATGGTGAAACCCCATCTCTACTAAAAATATCAGAATCACCCAGCCTGATGGTGCGCACCTGCAGTCCCAGCTACTCGGGTGGCTGAGGCAGGAGAATCACTTGAACCAGGGAAATGGACGTTGCAGTGAGCTGAGATCGCACTATTGCACTCCAGCCTGGGCAACAAAGTGAGACTCTGTCTCAAAAAAAACAAAAAAACAACCCCCCCCCCCAAAAAAACAAAACAAAACAAAAAAAACCCAAGAGAATGTTAACTAGGTGCAGAGGGTGTCTGGACAGCTTTGGTACAGCTTCAGGTACAGAGTGAGGACTTACAGGATTAAAAATGAAGGGACATTCCTGAATTAATTAAGGAGATAGAGCTTGTCCTTACTTTTCCTTTCTGAATTCCCCGGGATCAGCCTGTCACTGCCTTGGTGGGTTTTGATTTTTATTTCTATGGACAGTGAGGAGGCTGAGAACAATGAGGAGGTGCTGCATGCAAGGGAGACATCCTTCTGCCCAGGGGGCCCTGGAGCTGCCCAGTGGCATCTGCAGATGGGCTCAGGCTGCCTGGTTCCCTGAGTCTTCCTAGCTAAATGACCTGTGCAGTCTCTTTCCTCTCTGAGCCTTGGTGCCCCCATTTGCAGAGTGGAGCTCACATAGCTCACCCAGTCCATCTCTTGGGGGTGCTGTAGGGCCCAGGAGAAAAACACCTGAGCAAACTGTGGAGTGCTGTGGAAGGCACAGCAATGTCAGATCCAGCTGAACCTGTTGCGGTAATACATTTCTTAGCTCAAACAAGCTCCACCCAAGGGCTGCCTCCTGGTCCCCATTAATCCCATCTAGGCCAGGAGTCTCCCATCTCAGGGATCTGACTCGGAACAGGGTTCACACCTGCCACATCTTCTGTGTTGCCTCTTTAGTGCTGGGGCTGCAGCTGAGCTCAATGCCCCTGGGCCACCACCACTGAGCACCTGGCAGGTTGGAGGGATGCAGCTCGGGCTGCTGTTCTCAAGAGAGCCTGTATGTGCAGCCAAGGAAGTGACTTCCTCCATATGGAGCTCCAGAACTTTCCAGGACCTACCCCTGGATGTTCCCCCAGGCTTCTGCCTGCCCCAGGGCTGCAGTCCACGATTGCAGCTGCAGTGCAGTGGGCTGATGGGAGTCCAGGAGTATGACTCGCTCAGCAAGCCTCGGGAGATCTGCCTTGGGAGTGGGTAGAGGATCCTGGGGAAGGGGTTTGGGAGCACTCTCTGCATGCCATGGGCTTTAATGCCACAGCCACAGATCTACACAAGAGAGAAGGGGAGACCTGGGTCTGCAAAGACTCCCCAGAGGCCTCTGAGAGCCTGAGGGGCAGGTGGAGAGCCCAATGAGGTTGGAAGTCCAGTTCCACTGCTGACTAGATGCATAGCTCTGGGCAATTATTCAAACACTCCCTGACCCCAGTCCTCAGTTCCTCCAGCAGTAAAATGGGTTGGGATGCAATAGAGACATGGCTATCAGCACACTGGCAATTAGAATCATCTGAGGCGCCTTAAAGCCATCCATGCCCAGCCCCACACCAAGGGAGTCTAACTGAACTGGTTCAGTGTGAGGTCCAGATATGGATTTGGATGTAAAGCTCTCCAGGCGATTCTAACGTAAAGCCAAGTTGGTAAACCGAAGAAAAAATTCAAGCTTGCGTGCCTCTCCCAGCCATTCCTACCACTTTCCCGCTAATCCCAGCCTGGCTTCAGCATTGCTTTCAACACAGTGCTCTGCTAATCACCAGCAGTGGGTTAAAGTTGGTCTGCATGGTGCAACCAGCTCACCCTCCCTGCATGACATGATAGCTTAGAGGGTCCTTTGCCTCCAAAACCCATGGCTTTTGATTCTCCACAAGGGCTCATTTTCTGTAAGAAGTTAAATCTTCAACTACATTTCAGAGGTCTGCCTTCAGCTTCTTCTGAGACTGGTGATGTCTACACTTGGAAATCATCTTGAAAAGAACAGCAGAAAAATAAAAAATTGCTACTGGAAATGTCAGTGATCCGGATTCCAGAGTGGATGATAAGTCCACACTGTGCTGAATGCTTTGCAGGGCGATCTTATTTATTCCTTACCATTAATTGGCTTCTCCTCACAAGCAATGTGTGTTTCTCAACCCTGACTCAAAGGAATATGGAAGTGTTTGCATCAGGCTCCCTGGAGGTGACTGTGAGATTAATCCTGTCCCCTCCACACCCTGCCCAGCCTGGCAGTCCATGTCCTGGCAGGGGAAGCAGAACTCTGATGGGGTCCTGGCCGCACCCATGCACAGCTGGGGCTCAGACGGCCCCTGGTGCAGTAAATATAAATTCACAGAAGCCCATCAGGGTGTGCCTGGAGGGGGGCGCCCAGCCACCCTAAAGACTAAGCATCTGGTTGGACATTGTGGAAGCCATGTGGGGGTAGAGGGATTGGCAAGGTCAGGTGGCTCCAAGAGGGGTGTGATTGCAGGAGGACCCACCAGGAGGCTCTATTTGCCTTGCACTCCTCTCCCTGCTGCCTTGTTTCAGGGTCTGATGTCTCCTCCCTTCAGGCCTCCTGACCCCAAGGAGGAAGACACTGATTTGACTGCTCAGGAAACATTCCCAGATAAACCCTGACATCGAGCAGGGCCCTGACGGGAGAGAAAGGTGGAGGAGGAAGTTCTGAGCATCCTCTTAGAGTGGCTGACATGGAGGTCCTGGCCACTGAAGAATGATATGAGCAGCTCAAGGTCTAGGAGGAGGGGTGGGGAGAAGGGCACTGGCACACCTCACACCCCTGACTTCCCTGACCACAGGCCAGTGAGGGCTGACAGAGAGAGAAGGCAGGCACGGGTGTCACCTGAAATGTTCCGCTAGTGAATAGAAACAGGTGCAATTAATTTTAATTACATATTTTATTTAACTTTATCATTTCACTATGAATTCTATATAAAATTACTAGTTATTATTTTAAATGTTTTTTCAGAGAAAGAGGTCTCACTATGTTGCCCTGACTGGTCTCAAACCCCTGGCCTCAAGTAATCCTCCCACCTTGGCCTCCCAAAGCCCTGGGATGACAGGTGTCAGCTGCTGACCCTGGCCAAAAATGTATTAATTTCATATATAGAGTGTGTCATGCTAAGTCTCAGAGCTCGTGTGTTTTTAAACCTATAGCATATCTATCTGGACAGGCCATGTTTCAAGTGCCCTGTAGCCACCTGTTGCTGGTGGCCCCCGTGCTGGACAGCACAGCTCTAGACCTGGCTCATGCTGTCCCTTCTCCCTGGACAGTTGCCCTGAACAGCCAGGCCCACTTCACAAGGCTTGTCCGTGAAGCCCCAGCTGTGAGAGCTCATTCCTGCCCCAGAACCTGTGGAGCCTGGGCCTTTCCCATGACACAGTGCTCCATCTGGGTTAGAGGACTACAAGATCAATGTCCCCAGCAGAGGGGAACTCCCGGGGTCGCACCAACCCATGCCTCCGCTGGAGGGATTCTTTTATGCTCCACAGAAAAGGTGCTCTAGAGATGTGCTGGCCTGGAATGTGGGTGTGTGCTCATTTTAGGAGGTGTTCTTAGGATGGCACCTCCACACACATGAGAAAGCCAAGGCAGGAGCAGCCGGGGTGGTGGCAGTGGGGCCCGGCGGGGTTCTGCCAGACATATTTTGTACTCATGAGGTTTCCTGGGCATTGCTTCTCTCCCGGGTAAGGTGCTGCTCATCCCCATGGAGGATGAACTGTTCTGTGAATGTTTTTAAAACCCAAGATGCATCAAATCCATTTGGAGGGAGCATATTGAGTTGTAATCCATCATCATCCATTTTACTGAAACGTTACTTCCTGGGCACTATTAGAGAGAACCTAGCTGTAATTTTTTTTTTAAAAGGAAAATGTTGTTGGGAAATGAAATTAAGCCAGAGAAAAGTCCAATAGTTTGAAGTTGGAGCCGTGTCACCTATCCTCTGAGGGTGCCCATTCACCTCATTAGCCCACGGCTGTCCGGCTTCTGGGACCTAAGAGGAGGCACTCTGTGTGCCCTCCCTGTCTGATGCACCTTCCCACACTGGATCAAATCCCCTCTTGGTGCAGCAGCCAGTCCGGGGCAGGGGCACTGTGGATGGTGCTGTAAGTGCCAGAGGGAAGGAGAGTGAAGACCACAGATGTCCTCTGCAGGCCTGTGCTGCCTGTCTCCATGTTCCCTGTCCTTAGATCCTCACAACACTGCACTCCTTTCTGGAGGCCCAGAGAGGCCACATCACTGACCCAAAGTCACACAGCAGGATGTGGGGGAGCTGAGGTTTGGGCTCTGGAGAGGCACACTCCAGAGTCATGCTGCTAAGTCCTCTGCCACGCCTCACTTAGGGAGCAACAGAAATCCTTTCTCCTCTGTTGCCTGGGCTTTGTGTCTTGTGGAAAACCCTGAATGATGTAAGCTGTGGCTTCCTGGCTAGATGTGGTGGGTCTAGACTACTGGTTCTCAACCAGGGGTGATTCTGGTCTCCAGGGAGCATTTGGTGATGTCTGAAGACATTTTTAGTTATCAAAATTTAGAAGGACTGGAAAGGTACCCCTGCCTCACTAGGAGGTGCTACTGGCATCCCCTGGGTAGAGGCCAGGGATGCTGCTGAACACCCCATGATGCCCAGGACAGCTCCTGGCACCAAATAAGTATCTGGCATAGAATGTCGGTGGTGCTGAGGTCTAGCGGACAGTTTTAGAAAGAAGAACCAATAGTTCTGCTCCAGTCAGACCCATCCAGAGACCTGCAGACAGGCCTTGGTTCCACGTTCAAAATGAGACACACGCTAACTAGATCTCCCCTAGAGAAAGCAGCATGCCACAGAAGACAGGGGAAGGCACCCCAGAGTTGTCTATCTGGGGAAAAGAAGAAGAGAGCTGGACTCCAGGAAGTCAGACCCAGTGTCTGCAATCCACAGGGGGCTCCTGTGAGTAGAGGACAGCCTCCTGGATGGCAGAAAGAAGAACTGGGAGCAGCGGCAGAGGCCAGAGCAAATCATGCTTCAGCTGAGTGTAAGGACAAATGGGAGGAAACAGGGCGAACTGTCCACAGGGCCCCCTCCTCACTGGGGTGTGCAAGATGCTGAGTGATGGTGAGGCAGGGGTGCCCCTCCTGGTTCCTGCAGCTGAGGATGCTGGGGGCTGCTGGCAGCTGGGATCTGTTCTTTTTCTGGGTCTCTCTCTCTCTCTTACACACACACACACACACACACGTACACACACACACGTACACACACACACACACACAGAAAACCCTGCACAGATGCTGCTTCCCAGATTCAATGAAAGCTTCCATATCCACCTTCTAATAACCATCAAAGTTCCTTTTTTATTGTCAACTTCTCAACTAGTTAAGCCCCTTTAGATGCAAAGTTCTGGAGTTTTTATTTTCCCTCCAGTGCACAAAACTGATTGAGTAATATATATTTTCCTTCTTTCTGGCTAACACATGTGGGGAGTGCTCCAGTTAGAGCAAGCTGGCTTGAGAGATACACAACCCAAGGCTAGTGTATTGCAATCTTGGCTGGCTCGAGGATCTGGAGATCTGGTAGAGAACACAACAAGCCTCACAGCACCTGGCCTAACAGTGGAAGAGCCCCTGAGCCACAGGACAAGTATGCCCACCTGGCTGGACACAGAGCATGCTACCTGCTCCCTGTGCAGGTGGCAGGTGACTTTGCTGTTGACCTGGGTGTTCAGGTTGGGGACACCTGGGGGTTGGGCCATCTTGCATTCAGTGGGCAGTAAAGCAGGATGTGGGGAGCTGGGTTTTGGGGAAGATGATGTTTCCCTCTGTCTTCTCTCACCCTCTCCTTCTCTTTAGGGCCTCCTGGGGGTTGGGAGCCTGGGATAAAGGGTGTAATTATGTGATTTAGAAATCGAGTGGGAGAGAGTCTTTCACACCCTTTGGGTTCTGAGTTGAATCCAAAAGAATTCGAGGGTGGAGAGGAAAAGCAAGCAGCCTCCTGTTCACTAAATCTGGCAAGTTCACTCTTGCCCCCCACAACACACCGTGCAGAAGAACGTGTGGCCAAGAGAGGCTGCCACTGCTAAAGGTCACTGGGCCCTGCCTTACTCTTCAAAGTCCCAAGACACACCTGCCAATCAGGCTCACCTGGTGATCACATAGGGCGCGAAGCACACAAGGAAGGTCCCTATGAAGGTGCTGATCTTCTTGGTGGCTCGCTGTCGCCTCCGCTTCTGCTCCTCCAGACAGCGTTCCCGCACACTGCATGTGAGAGAGGAGAGAAGGTGAACTACGAGGCACCCTTGCTAGGTCAGGATGAGGCACTATTTACTAACACAGGCAGCAGTCTCTAGTGTGAGAACTTGACTATGGAGTCGGAAAGACCCAGCGTCAACTCTTGGCTGTAGCTATTGACCTTGGGCAAGCAGTGTGACATTACTAAGCCTCAAGGTCCTCCTGTGTAAAATAATAATATGCATCATATATTTTAGTGTATTACACATAATGTAATAAAATGCTACAAGAGGCTGTTTTGAGAATTAAATGCATAAAGCACAGAGATGCATGGAATGCATTCCATGTGTGAAGCACACAAAGCCACCGGCACAGTGCCCAAGTCAGTACAAAGAAACATTAAACATTACCTCTTATTATTGCTCATATCATTCACTGATCATCTGCTATGGGCTGGCTCCAGAGTGCCCCACTCTCTAAGTAGTATCTCAGATTCTTCTCTTTACCACAGTTAATCCTGGCAGGTGTGTTTTACCTGCAAGGAAAGTTTTTACCTGCCCTGGTTTACAATGAAAAACCATGAGCTCGGCCTGGCACAGTGGCTCACACCTGTAATCCCAGCACTTTGGGAGGCCGAAGTGGGTGGATCACCTGAGGTCGGGAGTTTGAGACCAGCCTGGCCAACGTGGTGAAACCTCGCCTGTACCAAAAATACAAAAATTAGCCATGCGTGGTGGTGGGCTCCTGTAATCCCAGCTACTTGGGAGGCTGAGACAGGAGAATCACTTGAACCCAGGAGGCAGAGGTTGCAGTGAGCTGAGACCGTGTCATTGCCCTTCAGCCTGGGCAAGAAAAGCGAAACTTTGTCTCAACAACGACAACAACAAAAAAGAAGAAAAGGAAGAAGAAGAAGAAGAAGAAGAGGAAGAGGAAGAAGAAGAAAAAAGAAGAAATGAAAAGCATAAGCTCTGTGAGGCCAAGTGATTTGCTTAAGTGGAGGCAGGATTTGAACCCTCGTGCATGACTCAAAGCTGGTCTTTTACATCTGAGGCAGCCTGGACTCCATGCACACAGTATGTGGCATGAGGCTTCCTTTCCTCCACTTCTTCATGCTTCTTCCATCCACAGCCTCATCCCTGCCTGGAGCTATGGACACCACATGATGGGGTCATTGAAGGAGTCACTTGGTTCCTCCAGGGACCAAGCTTGAAGAAGCTAAGAGACTCCCAAATCCCCATGGAATCAATGACATAGCTTTGAGGATGGAATCAAGAGCCACCTGTGCCTCCAACTGTAACCCTGTTTCTGCTCCACTCTGCTGTGGGACCTTTCCAGAGGATCAAAAATGAACAGGAAAGAAGACTGTGGACACAGTTGCCCAGGAAGTGAAGATAACTTGGCAGTGCCAAGCCTGAGCTGCAGTGGCCTGGCTCCAAAAATAGGCAGTCTGTTAAAAAAATGCAAGCAGTGGAGAGAATATTCATGAGCCAGGTTCATGTACATCGCTAATGCCAGGGCAGCCTTCCCTGCCTGCCAGGAGACTCATGATTTTGATACTTAATCAAAACTCCTTTTAACTAGATTTCCTATCACAGATGGACAATTTCACATTAGTTTAGACTGAAGCCTCCTAAAATTCTTCCAAGATTTTTCCCCCTGACTTTTGCATTTCCAGGAATTTAAAGAGTTGAGAACTGGAGTTGGGCTTGGTACAAACAGATTTCGTCCTGGCTGAAAATGTATTACTCATGACTAATATTACTAATTAATTTCTAGAAATTAATATTAATTAGCAACTCACATTTCTTGAGTCTATAATATGTGTGCCATGCTAGATATCGTGATGGGGAATTATTCATTTATTTAAAACTCACAACATTTATGTGAGTGAGGGACTGATATCATCATGGTCCCCATTTTTCAGATGAGAAGATATAAATTACAGAAGTGTTAAGAAACTGGCCCAAGATCACACAGTGGGAAAATGGTGGTGATAGGGTGACCAATTGTTCCAGTTTATCTGGGACTGTTCCTGAACAGTTTGCAGGAGACTATCCAAGTTTTAAAAGGAAAAGGCTCAGATCTGAGAATCCCTCCTCTACCTCGGGCAAACCAGGACGGTTCGTCACTCTAGGTGATGGCAGGACCTGAACCCAGACCTTCTGACTCTGGGGCCATGTGCACCACCTCCAAAGCCACAGAGCTCCCCCCACTGCAGAAGTTCTCTTCCTGCCCTATGCATTTGACAGAGACAGCTGTAACCAGAGACTGTGCCAAAGGTGCAACAAGAGTGAACCAAGAGTCAGGAGGCCTGAGGTGGAGATCTGATGCTTGTGCTGGCTCTGTGACCCTCCCTGGGCCTCCAGGGACCTGGTGGACATGATTTCCTAACCTTAATGGCACCGGGCCTGCCATGGAGCCCAAAGGGTGTCTACACAGTGGGTGCTGTGCCTGGGGTTCACATCCACATGGGCCCGGTCATGCCTCTGCTTTGGGACAGACCAGCTAAAAGACTCCACAGCCATGTATAGTATGAAAGGTCGGCTCATCCACGCACCCCAGATCACAGATGGGGGAAACTGAGGCTCAAAAGAGAGAGTGATTTTTCCACTCAGGGAGTACAGTGCAGGTGGGGCTAGCATCCAGTCACTGGCTTCTAGTCTGGTGCTCCTAGTCAGGAGCCACATCACTCATTTCCTGAAATCTTCCAAAAGAAAAGGATGAATCCATCTCCTCTGCCTGGGGCTCTCCTGCTTTCCAGGTGAGAACAGGGAGGTGGCAAGAGGTGAGCAAGGCAGAGCCATCCCCAGGCTCCGAGGGAAACATCACGGCCCTCTTGCTTATTATTATGATTATTATTTAAGCACAGTATGAGAACAGCTCACCCGCTCCCAGAACAACATCACTTTGCACTTGCTGTCATTTTGTCCCCCTCCATAGCTTTGCAAAACTGAGCTCCTTGAAATCTTGCAGCCCTATGAGCTGTTATTTTACTTATATTCAGATGAGAACACTGAGGACTGGGAAGTTTACAACATGCCCAAGGTTACACAGAGAATTCAGGACAGAGTCAGGGCTCTTCCCAGGTCTCCTGAGTGAGTTCTGGGGTGGCTCCCTGAGACCCCACTGCCTGCCATAGAATCACTGAGTGGCGGGCATTCTCAAACATCCCTGGGCCTGGTGGTGGTACCCAGAGTCCTCAGACCTGCAGGCAGAATCTATGGTGCAGAGCGTGTGAGGTTCAAAGCTCTCCCGAGGCAACCCGGTCAGGTACGTTCAGTCAGAGTGCGAGCATGTGTGCAGGTGTGGCTGAGTGGGGGAGGGAGGAGGTCCCAAGGCTGTGACATGACAGTTTCCTTGAGACAAAAGGAGACAGGCCCTCCAGCATTGTGACAGGTACTGTTCAGCCAGAGTGCGAGCATGTGTGTTGGTGTGGCTGAGCGGGGGAGGGGAGAGGTCCCGAGGCTGTGACACAACAGTTTCCTTGAGACAAAAGGAGACAGGCCCTCCAGCATTATGACATGTGGGGTGGAAGAGATGTTCCCCAGCGGCTCCAGTCATAGGGCAGAGGGGATGGCACATTCTGGGAATATCTGAAAAGTCAATCAACGAGGTGATCTCAGCTAAAACCTTCCATCCACAGACACCTCCCTTCTCTCCACAAGGGGCCAGGGTCCTGAAGGATCCCTAGACAACTAAAGTCCAGCCAGAGCCCACGCTCTGAGTATTTAAGGAGTGACTCAGATTGGTTTTTCTGGCTTTTAAGGCAAGGGAACAAGCCGACTGATGGAGGGCAACAGCCCTGAGTTTGGGGTCAGGACACTGGCATAAGCAGTCTGGCCCTCAAATCCAGCAAGAGGGACCCCTGCCCTGGGCCCTGCACATTAAGAGTCCCTCATCCCTCCCCACACAACAAAGAGTTCATAGGGCTAAGGGGATGTGCCTACCTACAGCCCCGACTTTCCATTCCAAACCAAGCTCTAAATGCCTAAAACATGGAATTCTTTGCCCAAACGCCCTCATCCTGCCTGCAAGACATGTGTGGGCATCTCCCCTGGTCCCACCCTCCTGAGGATAGACTGTGCCATCTGTGTGCCCAGCTAGACGCCTGAGGGGTGGTGTTTGTGAGCAACACACGTGCATGGAATATGGGTGTGCAACGTGCAGTGTGCAAGGGAGGCCCCTCGTGGTGCTGGTTAGAGCTGGGGTGGGAGGCAAGGCAGGTGGGCCAGCTCGGCTCTCCCAGCACATATGAGGTTGATCCCCAAGGAGCCTGAGAATTCTAAATGCGAACCCAGCCTTGCCGGTCATTATAAAGGTATATTCACCAAGGCAGGAGGGCAGAACACATTTAACAGTTTGTAAGCTGAATATAGAACATCTAAGTCTCTATAGACACAGTTGGTGAGCCTCCATTTGCACTATTTGCTCCATCCATAAATCTTAGGGGCAGACCTGAGTGTGAGTCTTAGCTTGAGACACTTTCTAGATCTGTTGAATTAGGTGAGTGCTTCTCTTCTCTTAGAAAATTGGGTCTCTCATTTTCTCATCTGTAAAGTCAAGGGCACAGTGTAGTTCCTGTCTACTGAGCCACAATTCTGACACCCTCCAGAGTCAGCCACTCAGGCAACATCTGCAGACATTGCTCACAGGACACAGAGGACACACTGGGGGAACCAGCAGAGCCTGGGGCAGCCTCAGAGGAAGCTCCAGTTAGGTTTGGCACTGCTTCCCTTTGAGACCTCATCATCAACATTCTGTTTCTGTTGAATCACTAAGCCAAGCCAGTGAGTCAGGGAAGAGCAAGGTCCCTGCAACCATACCCTGGGGCCCACCTGCTCTGCCATGCCTGGGAGCACCAGGGAGAGGGGCTGCCTATAACTAGTCCCCAGCTATGGTTTGGGAGAAGTGAATGCTGCTCATTCAGATGGAGCACCAGGTGTTTAACAAATATTAGAAACTCCAAACTGCTTCAGAAACGTAACTCAAGAAATCACCACAGAAAGGCAGGAGTGCGGAATGCTTCCCAGGGCCAGGGTCCCAGATTGAATTAAGAAGAGAGGGTCCCGGGTATTTTGGAGGTGGCTGAAGCAAAGTGGTGAGGACTGCTACTTATGGTGCCAAACATCCTGCAGGTAGAGCAGACACCACCAGGAGCTTCCTGACAAAGACAAATGCCACCCTGGGTCCTCAAAACAGGTCCTTTGTAATTAAGTCCTAGCAGGCCATCAGTGTGGAGGCTGACAAAACTTCCAGTGAGCAAAGACTCCGGCTGCTGTCCTGGCTGTCCAGAGGGAGAAGCCAGCTCCTGCTGCCCAAGACCAGCACTCCTGGGTCCTACAGGCTCTCAGCACCGAATGGCCCTGAGAGGCTCACTGCCTGAGACTGGTGGTGCCTGGGGCAGCCCCTGAGCTAGCTCTGTACTTGCTCATTTGTAGGGAGGAAGAGTTTAGTGCTGTCAAGATAGAAGCTGGTGGACTGGCTGTCAGGGTCTCTTGAGGACTGGTCATCCCCTCCTGTGTTGTCCCTCCCACATGCTTGGCGGGGATCAACCCCTCAGAGAAGGACAAGTTTGTATTCACTAAAGGGGCAGTGCTATCAGGTCTGCCACTATTCCATGACCTCAGGGAGCATTAGTCCAGGGAGCCTGTTGGCACTGGCCGATGGCAACCCCGGCCCCAGAAGTCTTTTCTCTCTCCAATGAGACTGGGCCTGGAGGGTCCCAGGGCACTGGGAGCAGGGGCTCTTCAAAGCAGCCCGGGGCTAGGAAGAGATCAAGGTCCTCCCAGAGGAATGGAGGGGAAATCGAAGGCAAGCAGAGTAGCTGCCTCCACTCCTGAGACCCCAGGACTCTCTCTGCAGTGTCTGGCCTGACATCGGCCAGAGGGATTTGCAGGAGTGGAGCTGGCCCTACATCCCAAATAGGCTGAACAGGAACCACGGCCCCTCCTCTTCTGGAAGTTGGAGGAAGAGTGGGAATGCAGTTTGTACTGCTCTAAATAAGAACTGGTTCCACTCC
Source organism: Homo sapiens (assembly GCF_000001405.40). NCBI lineage: Eukaryota > Metazoa > Chordata > Mammalia > Primates > Hominidae > Homo > Homo sapiens. The sequence goes on along the minus strand of NC_000010.11, from coordinate 123,668,825 downwards.
CAGCTCAACCCTCCTCCGCTGTTAGACTCATGGTGAGAGGGCCCCCTCTAGGAGTCTTTAGTCCCGGGAGTTAAACAACATTGCCCTACATCTTCTAAGAGCAGTCCCAGCCCAAGCGCTAAGGATGCACCCTCTAAGGAAGAGCCTCTCAGCTCTGAGTCATGGAAAGGGCAATAGCTCTGCAACTGTGGCTGCAAATATTTCCTTGAAGGACACTGAACCATGCAGAGACATGTGCTGTGACAGCCAATGTATGTCTTTGTGGCAGAATGCACTCGTGTCACTCCTGTAAACCTGTGTACACATGGCCAGCTGTCTGGTACATATACAGTTTATGTGTGAACACATGAGATTGTGTGTGGAGCTCCCACGTTTACATGGCCTGGTATCTATGTGCTCTCAGTCACTCACATGTACATTCTGTTCCTGAATCTGTGGGGATTCTGTGGCTGGAAGATTGGTCCAGTGTGTAATCAGGAATGGCTGTGCTCAGGGGGACAATGAACACGTGCACACTTGCCCTTCAATGTGTCGGCATTGTGAAGGTCAAGGACTGCTTGTTACTGCTCTCGTGCAGGAAATACTCAGAATGCTCAGCCTGACACCTCCAGCCTGTCCCCTTCAACCCTGGTGTGGAACATATCCACCAGAGGATAGAGCTTCCTCTGCCCCGAGGCTCCCCTGGGTTCCCAGGGTTCTCCCACACGGAAGGCCCTCGCTGGCCCTGTCAGAGCTCTCTGCCTGCCTCACCTGCGACACCATCTGGACCCCAGCACCCCCTTATCTAGGGTCCCAGGACACAGAGCAGGGAGCCTGCCTTCCCCTGGGACAACAGGATGTAAAATAGCAGAGTCCAGACGCTGCCAGCTGTTTCCCTCCTCGATTTCCTATTCTCCTGGGGAAAGCTGAGGTGAGCTCAGGACAGCGCAGCTAAGAGTTCCCTCCTTCTCTCCCTGACAGGCTCCTGCGATGGCAGGGGTTCCCAGAGGGTACCCATGCTTGCCCAGCTCCATCTGCCCTCCTGAGAACAGCAGCCAGCGTGACGACGGAGGTGGGGGCAGATTCAGCCCCAGGAGCCTTGGGGCACACTCCTTCTGCAGGAGCCTCTAGGCACCAAGTCAGGCAGACATTGGACAGTGCTCTCTGGGGAGGGCAGGAAGAGCCCCCCACCCCACCCCTCAGGGCCCACCACAGAGAAGGACGCAGCCCGAGTCCATCAGAATTCACACACACACACACACACACACACACACACACACACACAGTCGTGAGACAGAGGCAGCGCCACACACCCGAGAAGGGAAAGACTCAGAGAAGCGACACACTTGGGTCTGAAAAGCTCTTAAGGAGCTCCCTAAGCATCGAGGCCGCCCTCTCGGCCAGAATCAAACACTTTGAAGGTCTTTAATAGGGAACAAAGACCACGGACTTCCCATGTGCCATTTAAAGTGAAAGCTACAAACACAGAAAATGTGCATGAAGAAGCCCAACAGAGTTCTGACTGTCTGTGATTTCTACCCTGATGCTTCAAAAACCGATGTATAGATGGGCTCACCCGCATTTTTTGTGGCCCTGGTTTGCTGATACCCTAAGCACCTCCTTAAGCCCCACAGCTGGGCCGCTTTCCCCACCCTCGAGTTCTCAGAAGAAACAGAGGCTCGGTGGAAAAGAGCCCCTGGGGCTAGGGACCTCCCACTCCCGCCGAGATCCCGCGCGGCTGTTCCCAGAGCCTTAGCTGCGCTCGGCTCACCTGGGGTGCAGGTCCACCAGCAGCACCAGCGTCTGCATGGTGATCACGTCGATGCGCTTGCAATGGAAGCGGGCCACCTTGAGCACCTTGAGGTACGTGCAGCAGAGCACGACGAAGGAGAGCAGGAAGCTGAGAGCGTGGAAGGCGCCAGTGAAGACGGCGAAGCGCAGGCGCTCGTCTGGCCGCCGGCTGCACAGCGTGCACGAGGCGTACAGCTGGTGGAAGCCGAGCCAGGACAGGGCGAGCGCGGCGGCTGGGAAGGTGAGCGCGTGCAGCCACGTGTAGGCCACCATGAGCGCCGCGTCGCGGAGGCGCATCTTGGCCCGGTAGCTCAGCGGGAAGACCACGGCCACCCAGCGGTCGATGCTGAGCGCGGCCATGCTGAGCATGGAGTTGGCAGCCAGGAAGGTGTCGAGGAAGGCAGCCAGGCGGCACAGGCGGTCGCCCGCCGGCTGCCGCTGCGCCACGACGCCGGCCAGCGTGAGCGGCATGTTGACCACGGTGCACAGCAGGTTCCCGCACGTGAGGTTCAGGGTGAAGAGCGCCGGCGCCTGGCGGCGGATGTCCGCGCTGTGCAGCAGGCAGAGCAGCACCAGCGCGTTGGACAGCAGCGAGACGCCCATCGTGCCCACCAGTAGCCCCGCCAGGCCCGCGTCCCACGAGTTCATGGTGCGCGCCCCGCGCCGGCGCTCAGGGTCCGCAACCCGGCGCCGCCATGGCGCTGCCCGCGGCCGGCTCAGCCCCTCGGCGCCGCCGCCGCCCGGCGACCACCGGCCCCAGCCGCCATGGCTCCCAGGAGGGCGCGCGGCCACCCCGGAGCCTCAGGCGGCCTCCCGGGCAGGCGTCTGGGCGCGCAGCCACCCGGGAGCCCCGCGCCGCCTCACGGGCAGGCACCTGGCGCGCGGCAGTGAACCCTGGCCCCCAGCAGCACCTCTGGAGCCAGCGACTGAGCGTGCGGTAGAACCCGAAGCCTTTAGCGCCCCGGGATCCTGGGTTGCAGGCACCTGCGCCCCTGCTCCGCCTCTGCCTCTGCTTCCTCCCGCTCTCACCCCATGCCCGCGAGCTCTGTCTCCGCTCCGCTCCGCGCACCCTCCCGCTCTCTTGCTTTCTCTCTTCCTCCCTCTCTGCTCTCTGGCTCGCTCTCTCTCTCTCTGCTCTCCCCTCCACCTCTCTCCCTCTCCCCGCCCCCCGCGCTGTTCTCTCCGTCTGTCTCTCCCACCCCCAATTTTCTCCCCTCTCTTGTTCTTCCCCCTCCTCTTCTCTCTGTCTCTGGAATCTGGCTGCTTCTATCACAGAAATCCCCACTGGTGCACACACAGACACACTCGCGCACACACACTCACACTTACAGGCTCGGAGGGAACCAGCCCCGAAGGCTCCGGTGCAGGGTGATTGGCTCACTGTGGCTCCCTTCCCCCAACATCCTCCATCCCCCCGTGTGTGTCAAAGACAGGCTGAGTCAAGGAAATCTCTCTGAGAAAAGGAAGGGATGCCTGGACACCTTCACGCCCCAGTGCCACCTGTCCCCGCCTGCATGCTATCCTGGCAGACCTTGACGTGAGTGTCCCAGCCTGTCTGTCCCAAGAACAGCTGCTGCATGACTGAGGTTACTCGATTCTCAGTGCCTTCTTTCCCTCGCCCTACAGCCAGAGCTTCGGCTGAATCCTAAGCCTGCTGCAGGGACCCCGAGGCTCTCTGTAACATCCCCTGGGCATCTCTCCAGCTGGGAGATGCCTTTGCTGACCCTGACTGCTCCCACCTGGGCAAGCCAGGCTGTCCACAACCAGCCTAGACAGCTAACCCTAGTATGGTGGATACTCTGTTGTCCTGCTCCAAGTTCCAGCAGCTGCCTCCTGTAGCCCTGAAGCCACACACCCCTCTGCCCTGAGACTGGTGAGGCAGCACATTCTAGTTTATGAGGGACCTGCCTGATATAAGGTGCCAGAACTCTTCAGAAAATGGGGAGGGTGTCAGCTGGCAGGCATGGTCCAAGCAACAGAGACCCTGGACACAGGGGACCCCTGCCTCCCCTCAGCAAAGTGTGCAGGGACTGTGGCCCTTCGGTTCTCAACCAAGACTCTGTGGGGAAGGGGTGGGGATGGACAGGCAGGGGCAGCTCTCAGAACCCCTGCAGCCCCCTTCAACTCTGTGAGATGCTGCCCTGCAGTGACCCCCTGCACCATGTCAGCAACCTCAGATCCCTGTCCTGGACATAGAAAGCCCTGTTCTGGAGCCTCCTGGTGTGGCCAGTGGTGACTGGACATTCCTGGGCCTCAAGCCACTAGATAAAGTAAGCCAAGCAAGGACGTGGTGGACTCTACGCCCTGAAGGTAGAGACCTCATTATACTTAATTATCTCCTTCACATAGTACCAAGCACATTGTAGATGCTGTATTGTGCCATTTTTCTTTGCTGTAAAGGAATACCTGAGATTGGGTAATTGATGAAGAAAAGAGGTTGAATTGGCTCATGATTCTGCAAGGTATGCAATCATGGCTCCAACATCTGCTCAGCTTCTGATGAGGGCCTCAGGAAGCTTCTAATCATGGCAAAAGGCAAAGTGGGAGCAGGCATGTCACATGGCAAGAGTGAAAGCCAGAAAGAGAAGGGGGAGGTCCCAGGCTTTTAAACACCATATCTCTCATGGACTGAGAAGTCATTCAGGATGGTGCCAACCCATTCATGAGGGCTCTGCCCCCATTATCCAATCGCCTTCGCCTCCCACCAGGGCCCACCTCCAACATTGGGGATTATGTTTCAACATGAGATTTGGAGGGGACAAACATCCAAACTTTATTAAATGCTCATGAAATGAGGTGTCAGGAGGGCAGAAACAAGATTCCCTCTCTTCTCTGTGTGTCCACAGATGACACTCATTGACAGTTATCTGAGTGACTGACAGCTGCAGACAGTGGAGTTCTGAAGCCAGCTCACACCAGCTCAAAAGGGCCCATTATGGGCATCTCTCTCCATCTCTGCTTCAGTGACAGCATGTTGGTTGCTTAAAATCCACCACAATGAGTTTTTGCATTATAGAAATCAGCAAACTCCATAGATCAGGGCTTCTCCCACCCCAGCCTGTGGTTAAACATTTAACGACACACCACTCACTGATTTCATAGGACCCTGGGCAACTTACTCAACATCCCTGAGGCTAGGTTTTCTTATTTACCTTTCAGAGCCGTGGTGATGACTACATAAGGTAATGTGTACGTTTAGCTTTGCTTCCCAGAGAAGGAAACAGGGCAGAATGCTAGCAATATCATCAACCCTTGGCCCCCTCATGTAGCCTACAGATTTTAGTGTTGGCTACATGTCTCATTAAATACCTGTTATATGACAGCAGAGGACGCTGTTCATCTGTGTGTCTCTCCTGCTGCCAAGGAAGTGTCCCCTACAAATAGCTCCTGGCAGGAGATAGGAGCTATTTGTGCTATAGTTTGAATGTGTCCCCCAAAGTTCATGTGTTGGAAACCTGACCCCCAATGCAACAGTATTGGGAGGTGGGTCCCAATGGGAGGTGTTTGACTCATGGAGGCACTGCCTTCATAAGTGGATTAGTGCCATTATCATGGGAATGGGTTCCTTATTAAAGGATGAGTTTGCCACCACCCCCTCCTTCTCTCTCTCTCTCTCTCCCTGTGTGTCTCCCTCCCTCTGCTCTTCCACTTTCTGCCAGGGGATGATGTAGCAAAAAGTCCCTCACCATATGCCAGCCCCTGAATTTTGGACTTCCCAGCCTCCAGAACCATGAACAATAAATTTCTATTCATTACAAATTACCAAGTCTCAGGTATTCTGTTATATCAGCACAAAATAGACTAAGATAGTGCCCAAGTACTGTCTGTGGAGTAAATCAGCCAATGTTTTGGGGTCACTATTGGATCTGTGATTCTCACACTTTTGTGTGTATCAGAGTCACCTGGTAAGCCTGGGGTGCTGGTTAAAGAGTTTGATTCCTGGGCCACACCCCCTGGGGTTTCCAAATCAGAAGGTCTGGAAGTCTGCATTTTCATGAGCTCCTTAGATAGTTCTGGTGAGGGTGGTCTGTGGTCATGCTCTCAGGAGTGTGCTCTATGAGAAATGGTCAGGGTAAGCCACTGGATGCCAAACAATCACCTGGGCACATCCTCCAACCATGACCTGATGTTCTGGCCTGGAGGCACTCACTGAAGCCTCACCAGAGACTCTAGACATGCGGGATCCCATTTATATTTTTATATCTTTATATAAATATTTATTTATATTTATATTGACAATATAACATGTCAATTAATATTCTCCTAGCACATTGGAGTTTATAAAACATGTCCAAACATTACCATACTTTATTTAGTTCTTGCAACAAAGACAGGAAGAAAAGCTTCTATTGCTGCCCCACGTTTTCCAGATGAGAACCCAAAGACTCAAAGAAGTTAAGTGACAGAGTTGGTGAGGGATGAAGCCAGTACCTCTAGCTCCATGGCTTGGCTCTTTCTGCACACTCCAGAGGTCCTCAGCCACCTTCTCAGGAAGGTGTCCTTGGGCTGTAACTTAAAAGTGTCTCAATTTTGCAACACCAAACTGATGTTGGTGACTTGGTAACTAGGTCCAACATCAATAAACAAATGAACACACACACACACACACACACACACACATTTATATACCCTCTCACATATTTTAAAGATCATTTGCTTTCTGAATTCCTAAAGGCAACATTGAAAGGTTAAAATGCCAGAAAGACACTCAGAATATATTAACTCAGTTTCCTAAAGAGACTGAGCTCATTTTCCTCTAGTTTTAAGCAAAATTTCCTGCCTTCAGTTGGACCATGGTTTGAGGGGGCGCTGATATCCCATAGTAACCAGGGCCCCAATCCTGTTAGCTTCAGCCAGGCTGAGCCTCCCCAAACATGGATTCCAACATGGCCCCAGACACCAGTTGGCAGTGAGATCACACTCAGCAAGGAGGGGAGATGCATGTCCCTATCCAGGCCTTGATACAAGTCCTCACTGCACCTCCATGAAAAGCCACATGATTGATCCCACCTGACCAGGGGCAACAAGGCCTGGAGTGTGCCCACCAGGAGAACACATTGTGGCTGGATCTGCATGGCTTGCTCCTTCAAGCTGGAGGGAAGTCAGCAGCAATGGAATGTTCGTGACAGAGTCAACGTGAATCACTAAATGCTGTAACTGGTACCCAAGGGAGAGCTCAAAACAGAACTATGGTAAAGGCAGATGGAAGTGCACGTCATCGCCTATCCTGCAGCAACCCTGCGGCATAAATATCATGATTCCATCTTGACAAGTGAAGGAGCTGAGACTCAAAGAGGTCCATATTTGTTTAAGGTCACTCCAAGTAAGCACCAATAGATAGAATAAAATGAATTGATGAAAAGTCAGGATTCAAATCCATTGTTATTTCCACTGTGCTACTGTCTTTAATCCATGAATATGCCTGAGTACACACTCCAATGAGAGGTTGCAGACTGCAGTGGTCCTTTCCACCACTATCTTTAGAAAGAGATGAAATATTGATATAAAATGAACACAAACCAGAATGTCACCAATGCCCCAAGGGAAGTTTTGTAAAAGTGCCATGGACACAGAGAGCACAACCCTTGGGGAAATCTGGAGCTCTGCAAGTGGAGTGGGACCAGGGCCTGGCATTCCATGGGAAAAGAAGTGCCTGAGCAAATGCCTGGAACCTGAAGCCTGGCATGTGGTTGTGGCTCTTGAGCATAACATAGGTCTGTAGAAAAGCAGGAAGAAAGAGCATTGGCAAACTCTGGATGCAAACTGTGGATGCCAGCCCAATGTCAGGCTGGACAGGAAGGTCAGTCCCATTCAGATGTTAACTTCAGGACCTGCAGCATCCAGTCATTCTGGGGATAGGTCCCTTCTAGTCTCTCCACCTTGGCCCACCAGCAGTTCTCTATTTTTAAAGCTTTTACAAATCTGATTCTTCATGGGATTCTTGTAGAACCCTGGGAGTTGTAGGAATGACACAGAGATAAGAATTCTGAAACCCTACAGGAGATGTTCATTGCATAAGAACATGTGGCAAACCAGGGCCTGGAACTCAGGATCCTGACTGCTGTCTAATGGTCTCTCTGCTACTACTATCAGACAGGTGGTCCCTGCCCCCAGGAAAGCTGTTTATGCACACCCCTGGCCCAGTCCTCAAGTGGGGTAAGCCGAATCATGAAAGCAAAGTCCAACAGCACCATTGAGCCTCCAGCTCACTTGCTCATTATCAGATAGGACAAGAATTGGCCTGCTAGACAGGGCCTTTGCCACTCCTGAGTCTCTGGCTGGCCCAGGCCCCATAGGCCAGGCAGAAGGCCCAGCCAGAGAGAAGAGGAAGCCTACTGCCTGGAAGTGTCAGCTGATGAACTTTTGGAAGAAGCTGAGGCCCCACTGTCTGAAGGGACTCAGAAAGCTGAGCAACATCTATTGAAGGTTTGCTAGGATCCCTTGCTTTACCTCATGTAAGTTTCATGGCAGCCCTTTACTAGAGATACTTTAGTTACCCCATCATACAGATGAGGAAACTGAGATTCAAAGAGATTAAGCAGCATTCCCAGGGGGCCAGAGCTGATGAGGGAGGTGATGTGGACCCAGGCCTATGTTCATAAACATGCTGACTCTGTTCTAATGCCCAGGTTTGATTCTCCCAGTCTTTCCAGATGATGCCCAAATGCCCATCACTCCCATTCTTCTCTCCTCTAACTCTCTCCCCAAACCGAGTGCTTGGACTGAATGCCAGCTGAGTAGTATATAAAGTCAGTGTCTATCTGAGGGCTCGCTGTGGACTAGACCTTCTGCTAAGAACATTAAATTCATTTCTCCTCTTATCATTCATAGGATAGGGATAATTACCCTGATTATGGACTGGGTGTCAGAAACTTGCAGCCAAGCAGCTTGCTTAAGGTCTCACAGATGCCCCGTGGCAGATCTGAAATGAGAACGCAGGTCCTCCCTCAGCCCAGGACTTCATCGCCTACACCACAGTTGCCCCACAGTTGGAGAAATAGAAAGAGTTGCAGTTCAGCTAGAGTCTACCTGACTCAAAGCCATTCCTCTCCACTGAACTCACAGGCACACAGCCAGCCAGTGAGTTTGCACCTTGCTTTGAAAATCCATTAAATGTGTCTGTGGTGGCAGCAGCTTCTTTATTTGCAATGCAGGCTGACTCCAGGAGCAGAGAAGCGTGTGATTGATCTTCCTTAGTGTTAGACTGCGAGGCATTGAACTGGTTCATGAACAACAGCTTCTCTGGGTTTAAACTGACTTCTAAAGATGTCTGGCCCTGTTCATTTCCTGCCTCTGAGCTGGAGTGAGGCAGTGGAGCTTGTCTTGTATTCCCAGGACTGGAGCCTTCAGGAAAAGCTATTTCTCCTAGTTCTTTGTCCCACTCCAGCCCCCACTCACCCACAACCACAGCCTAGAAATTTACCAGGGGGCCTGAGTGGTTGCAAGCCTGCAGGGTCCTGCTCAGGATGAAGTTCTCAGCAGGTCAGCACTGGGACTGTGGACAGCTCCTCTCCTCCCACTCATCCTCCCGCCCTCTGATCACTTTCAAGAACACTGAGGGGCGGGCGCGGTGGCTCACGCCTGTAATCCCAGCACTTTGGGAGGCCGAGGCGGGCGGATCGCCTGAGGTCAGGAGTTTGAGACCAGCCTGGCCAACATGGCGAAACCCCGTCTCTACTAAAAATCCAAAAAGTGCCAGGCGTGGTGGCAGGTGCCTGTAATCCCAGCTACTTGGGAGGCTGAGGCAGGAGAATCGCTTGAACCCGGGAGGCGGAGGTTGCAGTGAGCTGAGATTGTGCCATTGCACTCCAGCCTGGGCAACAAGAGCGAGACTTTGTCTAAAAAACAAAAAACAAAAAACAAAAAAAAAAACACTGGGCCCTGAGAGGTGGCTCATGCCTGTAACAATCCCAGCACTTTTGGAGGCTGAGGCAGGAGGATTGCTTAAGCCCAGGAAGAGCTTGGGCAATATAGCAAGACCCAGACCCAGTCTCAATCTCTCTCTCTCTCTCTCTCTTTTTTTTTTTTTTTTTTTTTGAGACAGAGTCTTGCTCCTGTCGCCCAGGCTGGAGGGAAGGGGGGAAATTTAAGTTCGTTGGAAGCTCCGCCTCCGGGGTTCACACCATTCTCCCACCTCAGCCTCTGGAGTCGCTGGTACTACATGCGCCCGCCACCACTCCTGGCTATTTATTTTTCATTTTTTATTTTTAGTAGAGACGGGGTTTCACCGTGTGTTAGCCAGGTTGGTCTCGATCTCCTGACCTCGTGATCCCCCCGCCTCAGCTCCCAAAGTGCTGGGATTACAGGCGTGAGCCACCGCGCCCGGCCGAGCAAGACCCAGTCTCCACAAAAAGAAATTAAAAAGCAACACTGGGGCCAGGCGTATAGGCTCACACCTGTAATTCCAGTTTGGGAAGCCGAGGTGGGAGGATTGCTTGGGACCAGAAGTTCAAGACAAGCCTGGGTAACACTGCAAGACCCTGTCTTTACAAAAAAAAAAATTTTTTTTAATTAACCAATGTGATGGTTAATATTGAGTGTTAACTTCATTGGATTGAAGGCTGCAAAGTATTGTTCCTGGGCATGTCTGTGAGGGTGCGGACAAAGGAGATTAACATTTGACTCAGGACTGGGAGAGGCAGACCCACCCTCAATCTGGGTGGGCACCATCTAATCAACTGCTAGCGTGGCTAGGATAAAAGCAGGCAGAGGAACATGGAAGGACTAGACTGGCTGAGTCTTCGGCCTTCATCTTTCTCCTGCGCTGGATGCTTCCTGCCCTTGAATATCAGACTCCAAGTTCTTCAGCTTTTGGATTCTTAGACTTACACCAGTGGTTTGCCAGGGGCTCTCAGACCTTTGGACACAGACTGAAGGATGTATTATTGGCTTCCCTACTTTTGAGGTTTTGGGACTTGGACTGGCTTCCTTGCTTCTCAGATTGCAGATGGCCTATTGTGAGACTTCACCTTGTGATCGTGTTCGTCCATACTCCTTAATAAACCCTCTTTCATATATACATCTATCCTATTAGTCCTGTCCCTTTAGAGAACCCTGACTAACACAGCCAGGTGTGGTGGTGCATGCCTGTAGCCCCAGCTACTGGAGAGGCTGAAGCAGGAGGATCTCTTGAGCACAGAAGTTAGAGGCTGCAGTGAGCTGTGATTACCACTGCACTCCTGCCTGGGCAACAGAGTGAGACTCTGACTCTACAAAAGAGAAAAGAAATAAAAAAATTATATTCACTGGCTATGAAGGCCCAGAGCTGGCCTCTGGGCACTGTGTCTCCTGAGTTCTGAAACTAGATCTTCAAAGCAAGCCATCCTCAGGTACTGTTCACTGAGTAGATGCTGGGATAACTGTTCCTTTCCATTTACAGGCTCAGAAAGTGGGGTTCATGGCTACACATACAGTGAGAGGCAACATCCAGGTCTGTTGAATTCCAAAGGCCATGCTTTTAATCGCTGAACTATACTGTCTCATCATTTTGAAATAAAGAATTTTTTTTGAGACAGAGTTTCTCTCTTGTTGCCCAGGCTGGAGTGTAATGGCACGATTGGCTCACCACAATCTCCGCCTCCCGGGTTCAAGCAATTCTCCTGCCTCAGCCTCCCGAGTAGCTGGGATTACAGGCATGCACCATCACACCCAGCTAATTTTGTGTTTTTAGTAGAGATGGGGTTTCTCCATGTTGGTCAGGCTGGTCTCAAACTCCCAACCTCAGATGATCCGCCTACCTCAGCCTCCCAAAGTGCTGAGTTTACAGGCATGAGCCATGGTGCCCAGCCAGAATATTTCAAAACTATGCCTTCCACTTCCTCTGTCCATCCTCCTGTAACCTACACGACATGGAGCACATACAAGGCTGCTCTCAGTGGTATGTGTGGCCTGACTTAATCTGACTCCACTGGGCTTCCTGGGAACCGTAATCTGTCCCTCTGTGGCTATGTTCTCAGTGAACAACTAAAGGGGAGAACCTCCCTTTACTGGTGATTCTGAAGCTGCTCTAATTGTGCCCTCAAGCCAGGACTGGGAAAACAGTCCTGGTGGGGAGCCCCCAGCAGACTACTGGGGAAGCCCATAGCCTAGGTGCCACCTTCCAGTACTTTCCAATGGGAATAAGCCACCTTCTCTGTTGGAAAAGAGACTGTCGGCTGGCAGCATCGTGTAGCAGACATCACCCTGGACTGCAAACCAGGAGTTCGGGATGCTGGTCTAGTCAGTGACCCTAGCTGATCACATGCCTTTGGGCAATTCCTTCTGCTTTTGTAACTCAGATTCTCCACCTGCGAAATGAGGTGGGTGGATGAGGTGATTTCACTGGTCAATTTAGGCCCCTTGAAGATGCCACACAAGGAACTTGGATGAGGGGAAATGGGCCAGTAAAAGGAAACAGAGACAGGCATCTTAGGGCCTTCCTTCCCCCATATAGCTGAAATTAAATCCCTTCCACTGCAGTGGCAGATGAAGCCCATGCACCACTTTTGCTTCGGAGGTCTGTGTGGGTAGACATGTGGAGGAGGATTCACTCTTCTCTGGCCGCACTGCTGGGAACAGTCACTGGGCTCAGCTTTTGGCCCTCATCATGCATAAAGGGCCTATGCATTTCAGGCCCCACTCTGTACATGCATTCAGGGAGAGAGCCTACTTGTAAGTCTGCTGGGGATGGGGCAGTGCATATGTGTGGATGTGTCTGAGTGTGTGCAAGAAAGAGAAAAAAGCTCAAGTCTGGTTTGTAGCCTCAAAGTGATGTTTTCTTATGCAAATTGGTGTAGGTACGCAGGGAAACCAAGGCAGACATATGTCTCTTTCACTAAGTGACTCAACTCCTCGGGGCTTAGCAAGATTTGGAAAGCAAAAAAGGTCATTTCTTTATTTTGCATGACTATTCAGGGCACTTTATGGAAAACCAAACTATTCACTCATGGCAGAGAGGTTAGAGGGAGCCTGTTACAGAAAGGGGATTGCCAAGCTCATCTGGTGCCTCTGTCTAACTGTAGCCTGACTATGCATTCTCAAATATCACTTGTCAGCCTCAGAAGCTCACCATTCCAATCAGTTGTGGTGTTGACACTTGGAGATTCCACCAGGAGGTGATGCAGGGCCTGGCCTAGCCGGATGGGAACGGAAGCCTTGATCCTGCCCACCCCACCTCCCCTTCCTTTCCTCTCTTGGCAGCCCCTCCTCCCCTGTTGGTGATGCAGTCCAGTAGTCAGACCACCTGAGTCATTCTGTTCTGGCTCCTCATGGCTCTGAGAGTAGAGGCATATTTTCCCTCTGTGCAGATTCAAATTTTTTCTTTATTGTAAGAAATTGTTTCTTAGCAAGGTATGATTTACATAGTGAAAAGTAAAAATCCTAAGTATACTATTTGATGAGTTTTGATAAACACATCTTCCAAGTAACTCACATACCTATTAAGATACAGAATATTTCTATCACCCCAGAAAACCCCCTCATGCCCCTTTCCAGGCAGTCCACGTCTCATCTTCCCCAGCTAACTATAGAGTTCTGCTTTCTATCATTGTAGATTAATTTTGCAAGTTCTAGAACTTCATTTGAATGGAACCATACAGTGTGTGCTCTTTTACATCAAACTTCTTTAACTCAGCATAATGTCTTTTGTTTGTCCATGCTGTTGTGTATTTTAGCAGTTCATTCCTTTCTCTTGTTAAGCAGAACTCTATTGTATAAATATACCACAGGGTTGTTTTGTTTGTTTTTTTGTTTGTTTTTAGCTATTTTCCTGTTGATGAACATCTGTGTTATATCCAATTTGGGGACATTCTGAATAAAGCTTTTTTTGGACATTCTTCCACTGCTTTTTTTTTTTTTTTTCGAGACAGAATCTGGCTGTATCACCCAGGTTGGAGTGCAGTGGCGCTATCTTAGCTCACTGCAAACTCCGCCTCCTGGATTCAAGCAATTCTCCTGCCTCAGCCTCCCAAGTAGCTGGGACTACAGACACCCACCACCACACCTGGCTAATTTTTGTATTTTTAGTAGAGATGGGGTTTCACTATGTTGGCCAGGCTGGTCTTGAACTTCTGACCTCATGATCTGCCTGCTTCGGCCTCCCAAAGTGCTAGGATTACAGGAATGAGCCACTGCACCTGGCCCTCTTCCACTACTTTTTAAATATACATATGTTTTAGTTTTTTTTTTTTTAGTAAATACCTACATATATATTTAACTTTAAGAAAGTGCCAGTTTTCCAAAATGTCTGTACAATTTTACAATGCAACCAGCATTAAAATAGGTTATCTTTCACTTATTGAGTTTTAAAATATATTTTGGATATAAGTAATTTATTAGATATATGTGTTCTAAATACTCTCCTAATCTGTGGCTTACATATTTCTTTTCTTAATGGTGTCTTTTGATGAGCATAACTTTTTAATATTTGTGAAGTCCAATCTATATCTTTATGATTCTTTGTTCTGCTAAGAAAAATTTTCTTATCCCAAATTGGCAAAGATATGTTTTCTACTAGAAGTTTTATAGTTTTAACTTTCATATTTAGGCAAAGGATTCATTCAAATTAATTTTTGTATATGATGGTGAGGTAAGGTTAAGGTTCATTTTTTTCCATTTGATATCTAGTTTTGTTGAACAGATTTTTTTCCTACATTAAATAACTTTGGGGGCTTTGTAAAAATCGCTGACTGTATAAGAGAGATTCTATTTTTGCACTCTTTACTGTGTTCTATCTCTTTTTATATCTTGACATCAATCTATCCTGTTTTGATTACATTTTCTTTGTAGTAAGTCTTAAAATAATCACCTTAAAATAAATATCAGCTTCAGACCCCTTAGTGGGATCTCCAAGTGCCAAACTAAGGGTACAGGAGTTCTTCAATTTTATTCTTCTTTTTCAAAATAGTTTTCATCATTCTAGGTTCTCTAACTTTCCATATAATTTTTATAATTGGCTTACAAGTTTTAAAAACATGCTGAAATTTTGACTGGATGGCACTGAATTCATAGATACATTTGGGAAAATGTGCCATTATAACAATATTGAGTTTTTCAGTCCATGAACATGGTACATCTTTTCATTTCTTTAGAGCTCCTTTAATTCTTCTCAGCAATATTTGTCATTTTCAGCCTTACATTTCTCTTTTTTATCTCTAGGTATGTTATGTTTTTATGTTATTCTATGCACCATTGTTTTGTAAATTTTATTCTCTATTTATTTGTTCACTCCCTTCCCTTCCCTTCCTCCTCTTCCCCCTCCCCTCCCCCCTTCCCCCTTCTCCCTTCCCCTTCCCCATTCCCCCTTCCTCCTTTCCTTTCCTTTCCTTTCCTTTCCTTTCCTTTCCTTTCCTTTCCTTTCCTTTCCTTTCCTTTCCTTTCCTTCCAACAGGGTTTGGCTCTGTTGCCCAGGTTATGGTGAACTGACGTAATCTTGGCTCACTGCCACCTCCGCCTCCCAGGCTCAAGTGATTCTCTCACCTCAGCCTCCTGAATAGCTGGAAATACAGGTGGCCACCTGGCTAATTTTTTTTTTTTTAGGGGCAAGTTTT
Organism: Homo sapiens; assembly: GCF_000001405.40. NCBI lineage: Eukaryota > Metazoa > Chordata > Mammalia > Primates > Hominidae > Homo > Homo sapiens. The sequence goes on along the minus strand of NC_000010.11, from coordinate 123,653,529 downwards.
CACCATGTTGCCCAGACTGGTCTCAAACTCTTGAACTCAAGTGGTCCTCCCACCTTGGCCTCCCAAAGTGCTGGGATTACAGGCATGAGCCACTGTGCCCTGCCCCTTGGGCTTCTTATTGCCAAGCAGCATCCAGAACCCAAATGAATGGGTCAGGACTGAGGCTTCCTATTGAATGAAGAGGCAGGTGGCCCACACCTTCCAGGGACTCCTGCATTGTACTCAGGATTTTCCAAATACTGGCCTTCTAGTATTGCATCCCTTAATAATATAAAACATTTGTAAGTATTAGTAAGACCACTGCAAGTATTTTTTCACCCCAACTGTATAGCAAAAGAAGACAGTTTGGTGTTATTATATCAATTTCACAGATGAGAAACCTAATAGAGTTTAAGTGACACAGGTAGCAAGTGGCAGAGATGGGGTTTAATGCTCTGTCTACTCTTCCCACTCCACCATCGTTACCTTCTGAGAAAATTTGATCTAAAGCACCAGCAACATATAAGAAAATGTAGGTTTACCAGCCAGGTTTGGGGAGGGAGATGGGGTCTGTGGGCTCGAGAGAGTAGGGTTCTTGCCAAAGCCCTTCTGTACCTGAGATCAGACTTATCTTTGCAACATCTTTGCCAGCACTAAATCTTGCGGCCACAACAGCACAAAACCTCAAAAGAAGATTTCTGGTTTGTCAATAAAACCTTTTCTTTGTTTTGTAGCAGAACCCTTTTGTTGTAGCTTTATGTAGCAAGATCCTTCTGGTTGTTGTTGGTAACTCTTTGTCTTTCCTCGCATGCATGGGCTCTTTAATTTCATGCCCAACTTGCTGAGGAGGCACGAGTCTGGATTTCAACCATGTCTTCCAGGCTCCCCCAGCCTTCTCCCCTCTTGATCAGCTTTCAGTAAGTCCCCAATAAAGTAAGCCCATATCATCAGCGTCACATCCATGGAATGCTACTAGGACCCTGAGGATAATCTACTGCAGCCCCCGAATTTTACCCGTTGGAAATCAAAAACCCTGGGTGGGGGTGAGGGTGCTGGTGAAGGTCACACAGCACTGGGACCTAGAACCCAGAGCCCCAGCTCCAGTTCCCCAGCCTGTGTTCTATCCTTCCTTATTTCCACTTGATATAATAGAGAGACAGCACAGGAAGGTAATCCATCTTCTCCCCAACTCCATGTGACCTGAGAAATCTGTGATAAAAGCTGTATTTCGGCTGGGCATGCTCTCTCACACCTGTAATCCTAGCACTTTGGGAGGCCCAGGCAGGAAGATCCCTTGAGCCCAGGAGTTCAAGACCAGCCTAGGCAACATAGTGAAATCCCATTGCTATTTTTAAAAAGTATAAAAATAAAAACAGGAGCTCTATTTTGCACTTAGAGAATATAACTTCCCTGCCTTCAAAGAGAAGGTCAATCAGAAGTCCCACAGGTGGTACATTTGAGGGCTGACACTGTGATTATTGAGGGAAGGGGAGTGAGCCAGGCCATGCCAGGCTGAGGTAATGCCTCTCTTCCTTTTGAGCCCCTGTCTTCCTGGGCAGGTCAGCCTCAAGGTTTTTTGGCTGCAGTGAGGGACTCATTCCAGGATGCCCACATGCCTGCAGGGCAAGCCAGAGGGGCGGTCCCCATGATGGGACCCTGGGAGGAGCTGCCCCAGCTGCAGCCCAGGCAGATTCACCCTGAGACTAATTTCTGGCTTCCTGCGGGCTCCTTATCTCCTGCTTCTTGCAAGACCCCTTCTTCCTAAATACCCAGCAGTCAGCCCCCAGCTTCCAGCTTTTTTCAGGAAGCTGGGTCCTCTCAGGAGAGCACAGGCAGCTCCCCTCTCCTCCATGTCAACACAGCATCAGAAGAGAGGAAAGGGAGGGGTGGCTCCCAGCTACTGAGCCTGCTGTGTGCCAGCCAGTGTACTCGGCTTCTCCTGCAATGTCATTGTCCTTGTCACGCAGCCCCATGAGGGGCCCATCATGAGCCAATTTTACAGCCGGAGTTTCCGAAAAGTCAAGCAACCAGCCTGAGTTACAACAAGAGAGGGCAGGACTGTTAGAACCAGAGCCTGCTAGTTCTTTTTCTTTTTCTTCTTTTCTTCTTCTTCTTCTTCTTTTTTTTTTGAGATGGAGTCTCGCTGTTGTCACCCAGGCTGGAGTGCAATGGTGCAATCTTGGCTCACTGAAACCTCCGCCTCCCGGGTTCAAGCAATTCTCCTTCCTCAGCCTCCCAAGTAGTTGGGATTACAGGTGCCTGCCACCACGCCTGTCTACTTTTTGTATTTTTAGTAGAGACGGGGGGTCTCACCATGTTGGCCAGGCTGGTCTTGAACTCCTGACCTCAGGGGATCCGCCCACCATGGCCTCCCAAAGTGCTGGGATTACAGGCGTGAGCCACCATGCCCGGCCAGGCCTGTTAGTTCTAAAGCCCATGTCCTTGGCCACGCCAAGCAACCTCTGGGCTGGGCCACCTCTTTTGTCAATTCTAAGAGGGAATCAGATTGGCCAGCATGTGGGTTCACTGCTACTGGCTGCTTCTTCAAGCAGCTCCTGGAAGGTTCCACTCACTCCATCCAGGTTCTGTCCAGTCATGTCCAGGGGGACTTGAAGGCAGCTTCCAGAACTTCCTGACAATGCGCAGACCTCGAATCCTCAACACTGGGGGCACAGTCCTATAGCAGGAAGGCAAGGAAAGGGCCAAGAGACTTCAACACCAGGGCCCTGAAATCCTGCAGAACCCTCTAGGCTGGCCCTACGCTGTCACTGAAGCTTCAGCTATGGGAATCCCAAAGGGCTCAAAACCCTAATGGTAGGTCACAACTGTGCTTCAGCCAAGACCCAGGGCCCTGGCTCCCCTGGGCTGGGTACGGCTCGCTGTGTGAATCCACGAGGCTATCTGGTGCTTTCTCCAGTGGAAGGAATGGAGCTTCGACAGGAAGCCCGTGCCGGCTGGGGTGGGGCTTCTCAGGGTGTGAAGTTTTTGGGACCCATCCAGGAGAAGAGAGGGAAACCTGGGAAAAACTTGCCCCATCAGAGTGTTGGTTGTTATCCAAGCTCTCTCAGTTAGTGTCTCATCAAATTTTTGGGACATCAGCTCTGCATCCAGAAGCTTTTAATAATTCCAAGTCATCATAAAGCTCTGTGCTATTTGTTCAGCATCCCATGTGCTGCCCATTCCTTCACTCAACAGGCTATGGAAGGTCTCTGGGTATTGCAGAAAGTGCGAGAACCAAGAAGCTCCAGGCCTTGCCCCCAAGGCTGGTACCTGGCAAATCGCAGGTACCTGCTTGCTAAAGATGTGTTGGCTGACCGAGGAAAGACGAATGTCTGAGCTATGCTTTGAAATTATACCATGAGGAGGGCATCTTCCGAAGAAGGCAGGGTGTGTGCAAATGCAGAGTGAAACACTGGGAGAATCTCTAGTGCTTCAGGTGAAGGGGCCAGACTTCTTATTCCTCAGTCTTGCTTCATACTTGGGAGTGAGCAAAAACCAGCCACAAAAAAAAAAAAAAGGTTTTGAAAGGCCCCAGCAAGGTGATAGACACCACTAACTGCAAACAAATGGTGCCAACAGCCACTCTCTGCCCCTGTTGGAAGGGAGACCATCTGTCAGGACCATGTTCAGCCGCGTGGGCAACCTGTCACATGGTGGTGCCCTGCAGACAACAGGAGCTCCTCTCCAATCAGAAGGGGGCTCCCACATCTCCCCCAGCCAGTCTTTTCCCCTGTGAAATATGGTTAGAAACATCCCGAGGAGTTGACAAGCAAGCTGGATGTAGAAAACACCTGTCACTCACCAACACCTGAGAAATAAAACCCTGGGCATCTTAGCACGCTGTTGTTTTTGAAGATTGACTATTTCTGAATATTCAGCCAGGGCAGACAGGATGCTGTTTTTGTGTTTAATCACACACACACACACACACACACACACACACACACACACACCTTTGTTTTCTTCCCTCTAGGAACAAGGGAGCAAACTAAAACCCACAGCGGTAGCATCAGACCACACTGTCCCTGATGTCTTTCTTGTTTATAACTCTCTCTACAGTTAGAATTATTTGTTCAATTTTCTCCTTTCCCCAGAAAAACTGTCCCAAGAGGACAGGGACTACATCCAAGTCCCAAGTACATAGCCAGTTATTTTAGTAAGGGTATTTGTGTTTGCAATGGACAGAAACCCAATTTTAACTAGTTCAGGCAGAAGAGAGTTCTTGGGCTTCATGTACCCTTGAGCCGGGAGCATCTGGAGCTGCAGATGTCTGGAAGCAGGTGCTGGAACGCACCCTCTCTGACACCTTCTTTCCCCAACACTCACTTCTTCCTCTTATTCCATGTCAGCTTTCTTCTCCATGCTGTTTTCATTGGTCTGATAGCCAGAGACTTGTGAATCCCAAGTCCTATTAGTTTACCTTCAAAGGGAGCCCAAACCTCCTTTGTTAGAGAATCAGTGTCTGATGTTTCAAGCTCCCTAGTTAGGTGCCGATTTGTTATGGCAGCCCTAGGAAACGAATGCACCACCTTACAGAGGAGCAACTGGCTCAGACAGGTACAAACACCTTGCCCAAAGCCACAGGACCAGGAAGTGACAGAAGTAGAATATGTCAGGGGGCAGGAACAGGGGCCCAGGGTCTGAAGCAGGCCAGCAGGCACAGCCTTGCCATTCAGTCCTGCATACTGAGCAGCCTCTGCAATCCCAGGCAACCTGCTGAGCACGTGGTACACTGTCCTTGGTCCCACTCCGTGGCTGTGTGGCTTTGCTTCTGGGATGGAGCTGACTATGGTCTGGCTGTTACCTTCACCTCCCTGAGGCTGCTCCCCAGCCTCTGCCAAAGTCCCACTTTCCAGCCTGGGTCTTGCCTTTGGCCAGGCCTCCTTCCCCTTTGTCACTCATATGCCCTTCCTGGGAGGTGGGGGCTCCTGCTGGCTCCCAAGCATCCATAAGAATTGCTTAGCCTATTGGCAGCTGCCATTTATGGCCCTGGCTAAGTTGATCTTTCTGCATGTCCAAAACTTTCACAACTTTCTCAAACCCCAAAAGACTTCATGGTCAGCCTTCTATTCTTTTCTAGCTCCTCATTATAAAAGTAATAGGCATTTGTCAACATCTGGATATAGAGAAATGTCATTCCACCTCCACAACCCAATGGTGTGAACGTTTCTGTGTGTTTCTTTATTGTATTTTTAAATCCTTCTTTTTAACTATTTGTTTTTCTCAGTTGGGACTGTACTGTTAATTGTTCTTTTACTTACTTACGTTATCACAAAACTAGACCACATGCATCTCAACTTTCTCAGGACACACTGTCACCACTGCCTGGTGCTGTATTCAATGGATTTAGAACAGTCTACTTGACCATCCTCCAAATGCCGGATGGTGGGAGGAGTTGTAATTTTTTAGAATTATAAATAATGTAATGAGCATCACATTTTTCATATTATGGTTTCTTTTTTTTAGAAGAAAGAATCCCAGAGATGGAATTGCTGAGCACAGACAGCTTGAAGGGTCTTGGTGTTCATTGCCAATTGAACTTCCATGGTGGCAGTGCCAGTGAGTATGCCCACCGGCGCCCCCTCTCACCATCCTCAGGGCAGGATCTTCCTTTTCTTCTCAATGCTTGTTCATTTGTTGGGTAGAAATTTGGTTCTTCTTTCTAGTTTGCATTTCCTTGATTACTGATGAGGCTGAGCATTTTAAGTAGATGCGTCCTTCACATTTCCTCGTTGGTGGATTTTCTAGTTGCCTCCCACGCCCGCGGTTCCATTCCTGCCTTGGCTTTCTTATTAGTTTCCGGGAACAGTTGCCTTGGCTTATGAGCCCTTTTCTGCCATGCTCACTTACTAATATTGCCCAAATTGTTTGGCTTATAAATTTTAAATAATCTTTCATTGTTCCAGAAGCTCCACGTGTGCATTGTAAAAAATGGAAAATACAGTCAAACAAAAATAAAAAGGAAAATTATCACATTCCTACCACCCAGAAATTTCCACTTTTAACACCTCAGTACACATATCGTTCCCTTTTTACTTCACCAAATGAGATCATTCTGCACATAATGTTTTATAATCTGATTTTTTCAGTAAATGATCTCCACTATGCTGTCTGTTTGGAACATTTTAATGCTATCTAATACCCAGACTATATTCTGATTTTCCTGATTGACCCAACAATGTCTTCTAGAGCTGACTTTCCCAAAGCAGCATTTGATGCAGGACCCCTCAGACCATGTGTTTATGTCCTTAGGTCCCTTTGAGCTCAGCAATGTCCCAATTAAGTGATACAAACTTGATGAAGAGACCAGGCCAGTGTCTACAGACAAACCCACTGGCGGGATTTGTCCAGCTGCTTTCTCTTCCTTCCTTCCTTCCTTCCTTCCTTCCTTCCTTCCTTCCTTCCTTCCTTTGTTTCTTTCCTTCTCTCTCTTTTCTTTTCTCTTTCTTTCTCTCTCTCTTTCTCTTTCTCTCTTTCTTCTCTCTCTCTCTCCCTCTCTCTCTCTTTTTTCTTTTCTTTGAGACAGAGTTTCACTCTTATTGCCCAGGCTGGAGTGTAATGGCATGATCTCCGCTCACTACAGCCTCTGGTTCCCAGGTGCAAGCAATTCTCCCGCCTCAGTCCCCCAAGTAGCTGGGATCACAGGTGTGTGCCATCACGCCCGGCTAAGTTTAGTAGAGATGGGGTTTCACCATGTTGGTGAGGCTGATCTCAAACTCGTGACCTTAAGTGATCCACTTGCCTCAGCCTCTCAAAGTGCTGGGATTACAGGTGTGAGCCACCACACCTGGCCTTTGTCCAGCTGCTTTCTCATGATGTCGTTAACTTATTCCCCTCTCCCCTGAATTTTCTGTAACCATTTTTTTTTCTCCTGTAACCAACATGCATGAGTTCACTGATTTCTCCTTTAATTTTGTCTCTCACTTTGGACTTGGGGGCCTCGCGCTGTGAGCAGTGGAAAGCCTGTCTCTGTGTCTTCTGTGATTCCTTCCCCTATGGGTTGGATATTCCCACCTGGCCCTTTCTGGAATTTGGAGGAATCTTTGAATTACTCTAACATCAGAGCCACCTGTGAAGGACAAGGCACTTGCCACCCTGAAACTCATTGCAAATTCCCTGGGAAGATGCTGAGCTAGGCTGAAAACTAGGGCCTGAGAGGTATACCAGTCTCTGGCAAATAATCTTCCTTCAAAGAAAATCTGAAGCATATATTTTACACATTTCTCTAATTTTAGGGATTACTCTGCCTCAGCCACCTGCCTCAAAATAAAAACTATTCCAGTCCCCAAGTGTTCAATCTGCTTTAGCTGCACAGACCCATCCACAAGGCAGCAGGGGTCTCTTCCCGGGGGACTGTGTGTTCCTAGGAACAATTACTCATGGGGTCTGTTCTGAAGGAGAGGCTTGGCATAGAATGCAGCAGAAAAGAAGCGAGAAGGCTGGATAGGAAGAGAGGGAGAGAGAAACACAGGTCTCATTTGTGGCTCTGACTACACAGTCTGTGTACCCCAAAGAGCCAGCAGCAATGCCTTGCAAGCAGGGTCCGAACCCTGGAGTCAGAGCAGCCATGCTGGGGCTCCTGAACCTGTAGGTGCACTGCCCATCTCTCCAGATTCCAGTTTTCGTTGTTCAGTTGTACCATGGGAATAATAATAACTACATCGCAGGAAGGCGTGACTACAGGAATAACAGAGAAACATATGTGTGGGGGGTGCTGAGACATCACACACCTGAGCAGGAGGCCCCGGAATGGTTCTGTCTGTGCTCACGTTCATCAGAGCAGCCAGCACCAGGTAGATGAGCCGGAAGGTGAGCTCTCCCAGGTCGTGTTGGGTGGATATGCTCCTGGGAGCTGGTCCTTTTGGAATGGAGGCTAAAGGGAGATGCTCACCGTGTAACCACAGTGTCGTCTCATTTCCTTGCCCTGTCCCTTCCCCACCCTGCTGAGTCCCAGGTGCCATCATCACCACCACCACCCTGCCCATCATGAGTATTTCATACTTCATGGTCCCCAAACACAAGCTGTTCACAAAAAATGTGACATTCACAGCCACTGAGATGCCAGTGTCTGAAGACATCCTCACCTGTGACCCCTCAGGGCATCTCTGATCCTCCTCCTTGGCCTCCTTCTTTTCTCTCTTCCCCCTCCATTGAGGGAAACTCAGACATGGCTACATCAACAGTAGAAATAAAATCAACCGAAGTGGCCTAATTCTGGGCATCCAGGACTGTCCTGGGATACAGGGGGTGGTCTTGCATTTAAGTGTCAGTGTTCTCGAGTTACTGGCATATCTCCAGCGTCCCAGGGGCACCAAACGTGGAGCAGAGTGTGTCTCTGGTGTGCATGCATGTGTTCATTCATTCCCCACATCCACACTCATTATCAGGCTGATAGCACTGGGGATGTGCTGGTAGATGGCCGACACAGCCTTCTACACGGAGAAGGCTTACTACTCCCTTCTACACAGAGAAGGCTCCTTACTCCCACAGAGCTCACAACCTGGCTTGAGGAGAGCAGGTAAGCAGGGAATCACAGTCTAGGATGGAAGGTCTGAGAAGAGGGCCTAAGGAGGGTTTCCTAGGTAGAGTGATGGGTCAGTGGGGACCTGAGAGCTGAGTGGGAGTTGGCCCAGGGGGCAGTGGCACAGAAAAGGATGTTCATGAACAATGCTGTGCAGAGCACGGGAAGAGCGCTCTGGGGAAGCATGTGGCATGGCTGGCTCCTTCCCAGTGGATTAGGAGTTCAGGAAGCACATGGCAGGGGCAGGGGGGCCCATAGGCTTCCAGGTGCAGCTCCACGCTGAAGACAGTGGGAACCCCAGGCCGTTTTTTTTGGAGACAGAGTCTCGCTTTGTTGCCCAGGCTGGAGTGCAGTAGCACGATCTCTGCTCACCACAAGCTCCACCTCCCGGGTTCATGCCACTCTCCTGCCTCAGCCTCCCGAGTGGCTGGGACTACAGGCGCCTACCACCACACCTGGCTAATTTTTTGTATTTTCAGTAGAGACAGGGTTTCATCGTGTTAGCCAGGATGGTCTTGATCTCCTGACCTCGTGATCTGCCTGCCTCGGCCTCCCAAAGTGCTCGGATTACAGGCGTGAGCCACCGCCCCTGGCCCCCCAGGCCGTTTTAAACAGAGAAAGGCATAGGCAGAGTTGCATGTATGGGACGACTGTGGGAGGAAGGGCGGGTGTGCAGAATTCCACATGAGGATGAGAATCACTCCTCCGTGGTAATCCTAGAATTCCCTTCTTTGTGCTCTGGAGAACAGAGCATGGATGGGGGATTCTGGACACCCAGTCTGTGGTCCCACATGGGGTAGTAGGTGACCTTTGGCAAATCCCTTCACCTTGTCTTACCTTACTTTCTTCACCTGTAATATGAGTGTAATGCAGAATTCTACACATGCGCACAAAAATACGTGTCTAGGGATGGTCATTGTGACATTACTGCAACCTGAAATCCATCATTAAGGACCTGGACAAAAAGAGATCAGCCAACAATAGAGCACTGAAAATCCTTGAAAAATGAGGCAGCTGATTGAGAAGGCTCCTTCAGGCATACTGTTGAGATCAGATTCAGTACGATATATATTGTATGGCAACATTCATTTTAAAATATATTCACATGAATATGTATGTAAATGCTTAGAAAAGGGCTGGAAGGATGTTCCAGAACCTTCATGGAGGGAGTTTGGGTCGGGGAGGCATGGAAGGGGTTGGGGCCAAAGAGTAACCTTTCATGTCCAGCTCTTACACATCCCTTACTTCTTTTACAAGAGACACTGATGTCACCTCTGTGAAAGACACTTGATACCTGAGGCTGGGAGGCGGGAGAGTGAGTGGTGGGTGGTGGGCTGTCAGCCCTGAGGCAGGGGCTGCAGGGCTGATGGAGGGGTGCGAGCTCCAGGCTACAGTGGCTCCACCAGCCGCTTTCGCCAGGGGGCAGCGGGGGACACAGACACCCGACTTAGAGCCAGTGAACCTGTGCCAGGTGGTCTAAGTTCCCAAGTCTCCTTTGGCTCATTAGCTGCACAGAAATAATGAGCCACATGCCCTCACCTTGGGGGAGGACCCGATAAGGTGCTGGATATGCAGATGCTCAAGTAAGGGATTCCTACTACCATGCTACAGAGTGGAACCACCACTCCATCGTGAGCGGAAGAACAGGGAGGAAGCCACAGACTAGGGGCGGGGGGGGGGCGGTGAGGATGGGGAAGGGAGTGGCCATTTGCTGCCACTCAGCATCTCCTTATTTATTGTCACAGTCATTGTTAGGTATTGTAAGCTCCTTTTTATGGATGAAAAACAAGGTTCCGTAACTTGCCCAAGATCATGCAGTTGGTAAGGTGCAGAATGTGACACCAGGGTGGCAGTGAAGGACCTCTCCTTTCCAGGAGTCTGTGGCAAGTGCCTAACCCCTGTTTTCAGGTTTATGGGCGGCAGTGCCTGGACACCAGGATTCTGGGCACTTGTCCACGCCAGGGTCCTCCAAGTCTCCCCATCACTCAGGCATGCCAGCCCATGGGTGCTGCCTCCCACTGTGGGCCAGGTCCTGAGCCAGGTACTGGGGCAGAGGAAACTGATTTGCTGGGATAGGAAGCTCTCCTCACTGCGGCTGCTCTCCACTCGCCCAGTCCTAATGAAAACTCACCTTTGAACTTCCCATTGCTCAGCATCTGCAGTTAGCACCACCTTCTGGAAGCAAAACGTAGGCCCTTATGTGTGCTCGATTCAAAAGAGGATTTGCTTCCTGGGTCCCTGTACAAGGAGAATTTGCGCTTCGCAAAGAGTGTGTTCACCCTGGAAGGCACGGGGCTAAGAGGAGTCTGTGGATTCTAATGTGGCTACACAGCATGGAAAACTCACCAGCACCTCCCCATCATTGAGGCTGCTTAGGAAAGGGACTGACATCTCAGTCCTTATTTATCCACATTGTTCACTAGTGGCTCTAGGTTCCATTAATTGAGTCAGTTTCTCTCCTTTCCATCCCCAGTAACAAAAGAAGATGTGGAGACACCGCGGGCGCCAGGCCTTGGCTGCAGGCCAGCCCCCTCTGGCTGCTCTCTGGAACAGCTCACTGCTGGCAGCTTCCGAAGCCTCTTTGCATCTGTGGTTTCTTCTTTTTACCTGAAAATGGCTGCAAATCCTTGTGCAGGATAGCAAAAAGGCCAGGAGCTGCCTCCAGGGTCTATTAAAGGAGCAGAAGAGATTGGTGACATTTTATCATTCAAATTCTCCTCTTCAAATACAGTTTCTGGCCCCCTCCCACCTGTGGTGCCTCACCTTGGCCCATTGTGGCCCAAATGCTTAATTTATTGTCCCGGACCCTGTACCAACCCCTACCCACCTCGCCACCAGCACACCCACCCGTTTGCTCCTGCGTGGCTCGTTTTTATTGCCTTCTGCCCAAACCCTGGTTCTGTAGCCTTTCAATTTGTATTTCTCAGTTCAGGCCTGAGATTTCTCTCTGACAATTGTGCACATATATGTGCATGGCAACCACACGTATGCACACACACAGGTTCATTCATGATTCCTTGGATCATGCATCAGTATTTCCTTCCTTTTTATTGCCAAGTAATATTCCATTGTATGAATACATTATATTTGGTTTATTCGTTCATCAGCTGAGGACATTTCTATGTTTTCACTACTATGGCTACTGCTACTATGGACATTTATGTACAAGTTTTTGTGTGAATATATGTGGGCTTTCAGTTATATTGGTTATATATCTAGGAGTAGGATTTTTGGATCATACGGTGATGCGATGTTTAACACATTCAGAAACTGCCAAACTATTTTCCAAAATGACCACACCATTTAAAATTCCTACCATGAATGTATAATGGTTCTAAGTCTCCATATTTTTTGCCAACACTTGTTATCTGACTTTTGGATTATATCCATTCTGTGGGTTCAGAATGATATCTCATTGTGGTTTTGATTTGTGTTTGATGAGTAATGATGTTGAACATCTTTTTGTGTGCTTTTTGGCCACTTGCATAGCTTCTTTGGAGAAATGTCTATGCAAATTATTTTCCCATTTAAAAAATTGTGTTATTTAACTTTTTCTTTGTGAGCTGTAAGAGTTCATTATATATTCTAGATACAAGTCCGTTATCAGATACGATTTGCAAATATTTTCTTGCATTCTGTGTGTGCATGTGTTGTATTGAAGTCAAAATTAGATTAAATGTAGAACTAGACATGGGGCAATATCTTTCTACTTTTGAATCCCAAATTTGACATTTAGTTTCAGCAAAACTGCATCATCTGTCATGCCAGTAATGTAATAATTTGAACGTTATTGCTTTATAGTTTTAATTATTTTTTATAAATGTGCTTTACTTCTATAGTTCTGTAGAAGCTACCTACAAAATTAGGGAATTGATATACAGTTTTAGATTTGAATATATTTAAATAATATTATAATAAGAATAACTTAAATCAACACTTTCCTTTAAGAGGTAACCTTTTATTTTTCAAAGACTGCCTTAGTCTGTAAATTCCATGAGGCTACACAGCGTCTGCCTTATTCGCCATTGCATTACCTGAGCTAACACATAAAAAGTGCTCACGAAATAACAGGGCTAACCAAAGGTTTTCTGGCCCAAGTGCAATGATAACGGGCACAAGTCAGACATCTGAGGAGGCCAAACAGTGCACAAAGTCAATGTTTCTCCCTGGCATTAAAAATACACAAGAATGGAAAACCAGGGGGGAAGAAAGCGTGTGTCTGCATCAGCAAAGAATAGAATCAAGCAGTTCAGTCGGCCACAGAAAAATGGAATAGGGAAGATGTTGGAAATAGCTTCCTTATCATCTTTGCCTACAAATTTGTGTGCCCTGATTTCAGCCCATGACCCTGAGCCCTCTGAAGCCGCTCTTCCCTCATTTGGCAGCTGTCCTCACTCCCAGATTGTATTGGCTTGGGCTGTCCCTATGTCCACAGCACTTTTAGAAAAAAAACCCAGTGTTGCACCCTTCATGGAGCTGGTCCCAGTTCTGACCCAGATTCTGCCAAGAAGGAATAAAATCTAACCTTAAGTAAGCTCTTCCTAGATTCCATGTACTTTGCATTTCATCCTTTTCACAACTCTGCAAGATGGTTATTAGCATCTCATTTTGCTGATGAGGAAACTAAGACTGGGAGAGGGGAAATCTCTGCCCAAGGTCACTCCACAGGTGAAGGTCGCAACAGGGATTCCTTTTTCGATAAAATGACTCAAAAGCCCAGGCTTGCCTCTTTGTCCTGCTGCTCCCAAACAGCAATGCTGTCTATTTGACCATTGAAGCTACTTGCAAATTTACAATGAGTGAGTCACAGAGACTGGAATCCATCACAAAGGCCTGTCAGCCCTGACCCCGAGCAGAGTTTGTTGCAGTCTCTGCCTCCTGCTCCTTTTAGAGAAGAGCTGATTTTCCAATAAGGTCTGAGGTCAGGGGGTCTTTTCAGCATCACCCATTCCATAGCTTGGGTCCACTTTGTCCCAGTCTGCATAAGCACAGCAGACACACAGGCTGAGAGAAGTCTCCACACAGCTCTCGTTTCTCTCTTTAGATGGAAGGCCTGCTAGTGGATCCCAATGGCATCGCTTCTTCCTTTTCTTCAGAAGCTTTGGTCTGCCACACCCAGCCTCTTCAATGGCTGTTGCATTCTACGTTCCCCAAGAGAGCTTTCCACAGCCTTCCATTTCTACAGCTTTAGAAGGCATCTGATCCAGGAGCATCAGTGTCAGAGCCTGATGTCAGACTAGAGATAGGGAAATCCAGAGAAAAACCTTCTTATCATAGTCAATGCTGGCCCATCATGTGTCCCTGGCATCAGAAGGTGGAAGAGGGTGGATGGATGGTGAACCCAAGTAAGTTTGTAGAAACTGGCCATTAAAGCAGCTGAAACTTCTCTCATTCGGGGTAAAAAATCCAACAACTTGATCCCTGAGTTTTGCGTGGACCCAATCTCTTCTAAAGGGATGGGAACTTGGCATTCCCTTCTAAGAGGAACCTGTCAGGAGAAATGAGGGAGGGATTGCCTTGGATTCTAAAAATGTCACTCTCTCCCTCTTGACTGACATGTGAAGCCCCACAGAAGGCTCAAATCATGGTGACAAAGTCTCCTGCAAGGACACTGGCCTCTGCCCCGGCTGGTAACAGCATCCTAACACAGGCTTCTTAGACAGCAAGACGAAGGCTGCAATGCCAGGGAGCTGAGGATGCATCAGAGCACCAGGCTGGGTCCCTGGTAGGTTCCCATGTGGGTGCTCCTTGTACACCCTGGGGGAGGCATCCAGGCTTTGGGCCTGCGAATATGCAAAATAAAGCAGGGGAGAAGACTTCTGACTTGTAGGCAAAGATGATAAGGAAGCTATTTCAAACATCCTTCCTCTTCCATTTTTCTGTGGCCAACTGAACTGCCTGATTCTATTCTTTGCCTGATATAGACAAATGCTTCTTCCCCTCCCCACTGCCGATTTTCAGTTGTTATCAACTTTTAATGCCAGGGAAAAATACTTAAATACTGACTTTGGGCACCGTTTGTCTGCCTCAAATGTTTGATTTGTGTCCGATATTGCCATTGCATTGGGATGGAAAACACTTAATTAGACCTGTAAAAATTTAGCCAATTACATTTTCAAATACTTGGGCAAATTCTCTGCATGCAGACAATTGACAGATGGTCTCCATTTTCATTAGGCTGTTTGTTTTTGTGTTTAGAGACATAAGGCCCAGAACATGTGGGTTGAAGTTTACACAGAGCTAGTACCAGCCCAAAGGTGTTCACAGAGACCTTTCTGCTCTATTTATTTCATTTGAATATGTGTTGTTTTTAAATGGATTTTTCATGGCATAAAAAGAAAAATAAATTTTTCATAAACTGAAAGGATATGATGCATTTGGATAGTATTTTTAAAGAAACTTTTAAGTCCATGCTTGTATATAAATAATTCAGTCTGTTCATGATCATATTGATAAGTTCATTGTAGCTTTGGAGAGAGCTGTCCACAGGTAATACTTGTCCTGAATAGAAAGTTCCAGTCTCCTAAGGGATCTGAGGCATGACTACATGGTGGGGATTTTAGGAATCATGATCCATATTTCCAAAATCCTTATTGGAGCACCTTCTATATACTTGGCACCATGTCTGGAGCTAGAGACACCAGTTAGGATAAGGTGCAGTTCATGATCTTAAGGAGCTTGTGGTGTTGATAAGGGACATTTACCTAAGTCACTGTAATATGGGCAGAGAGGGATCATCACATCATTATAGCTACAACATGTTATAAGGGCCCAAAACGAACTTCTATTTCAACTGTGGATTAAGCAAAGACTTTATGGAAGAGGTGGCATTTCAGCAGGCCTTGAAGGAGGGGCAAGAACTCAACAGTATGAAATGGGGACAGGAATGAGGGCTCAGTGTGAGGAAGGACACAGTAAGAAGTTCTGGGTGTGTTAGGGGAAAGGGATGCACTCCAAGTATGTAGATTATTGAATGGAGAACTTATTGAATTAGTAAATGAGAAATTGCAATGCCAAGGGAGTCAAGTGTTGACGGCTGGGAGATGCTGGGGGTGTAGGAGGGCAGCAAGAGGCCCAGTTTGATGTGAGCAGGGGCCCCAGGAAGGAAAGAACGAAAGACAAGAAGGGTGGCCTGAATAAATCATAACATTTCTGCTCTATCCTTAGTCATATTGCGGGGGCCAGAAAATGTGGAACCCAAGGCAAGCCAACCTTGCCTCCAGCATGGAGAGATCTTGCTACTCGTGTCTAGGTGGTTTTCTACTCCAGTGATGCACAGCCTCTTCCATATGTGTAGAGGGAGGCATCTCCCAGTTTATCCAAGAGAGCAGCCCTGACCTACATGGGACTGGTGACGTTCCAGACTCCTGGGGCCCCACTGGGACTTCCTTCCTCATTTTAGAAAAGGATGACACATAGAGGATGCAAACAGAGGCAAGAGTCTGTCAAAAGTGACACAGAGAGAACTGGCGGGGACCTCAGCAGATTCTCCCCGCTTCCCAGCGTCTCCTTCTGGGGAGTCATTGTGGGTCACATCCTTGAGTTCCTGTAGCTTAGAAAGATACTTCAGTAAGATGAGTCACCAGTAGCACTGGTTTTCACTTGGAATCTTTTCATGTGCAGTCATAGCACACAGACCAAACTGGATTTAGAAACCCAACTCTGCCTTATAGCTATAAGTTAGTCTTTGGAGCATGAGCCCTTTAAAGACAGGGTTTTCTTTTGACCATCTATCTGGACATTAGAGTCATAGACTATTGGACAGTAGTGAAGTTTTAGAATTCATCCAGTCAGTGTCACGCTGTGAAGAAAACTCTCAAGTATTCATCAAATTGCTGGTTGTCATTTGTTCTCAAACACTTCCAGCGATGAGTAACCTGCTCAATTAGTCACCCATTATGGGGCCAATCTGCTGCAAAGTCAACCCACAGTTCAAGCTTCTGCGCTTCCAAAGCTGCTTATCTATCTAAGTAAATGGTTGCAATTTTGATCCTTTAAGTTAATGTAGTTTGAGGTCAAGCTGACCCAGCCTAAGTCTGTAGTTGAAGAGGCCAAGGGAGTCGGAGAGCTGAGTCTCACCCTTCAGTGCGGCCTCTTGGCCATAGCTGACCAGAACACTTTTTGGCCAGCCTAGCGTCACTGCCCTGGTTCAGAACTTCATCATCACAAGTCTGGGTGTGTGTGACAGTGTCCTGATCACCCTCCTTTGTGCTGCTTCCTCCTATTCCTGGCTGCTGCCCACTCCACCATTGGGTTGAGTCCTCCTCCTCTATAGCCTTAAATCTTTACTACTTTTCTTCCTCCCCCTGCCCATTTTCCAAATTCCACCCAATAGCCCAAGGCCCGGCCTCATCTCCCCATCCAGCCCCACCAACATCAACCTCGGCACCCTGTGTTCTGCTCCCATGAAATCATTTGATCACTAGCTAGCATTCTTACATCTCCATAATTCTGCAAGTCTTGTCCTTCCTGGCCTTGGCCATCTTTCCAGACCCAACTCCAATGCCACTTTGATTTTTAAGCCTCCCTCAGCCCCTCAGACTTGGACTGTTCTCCCAGGACCCCTTCTCTGGGCTGCATCACACTGAGGATCCCACTCTGGAAGCTCTGACCCTTGTACCTGAGATGTTTCTCTGTATCTCCACATCCTTTGCTGAGCTGCACACCTTGAAGACTAAGTTATGGCATGTTCATTTTTATGTCCTCAGTGCCTGGAACAGAGCAGATGATCAGTTTACAGTAATGGAATCCATGAATAAATGAATGAATAAATGAGGTCAATGCCTGTGTGTCTACATGGAACTGCCAAGCAGAGGTTGGTGAATGCCATTCAATTACCAACAACCATGGCAGGTCCTGCTTGGTACCAACAGACTGTCCAGAAAACAAGACACAGCCTCTCAAGGAGTCTAGTTGGGCAGACAATATATAAACTTTTAAAGAGTGATGGCCTTCACCAAGGCTAGCCTCTGCCCTGCACATCTTTTGACTTAAGTCAATCTAGAGGTGCTCTGAAAATATATGAAACTCAGCCCAGCTTACTCACCTGGCAGGTATTAATGCCAAGCCTGGGAGTCTCCTTCTGTTGGGGGATATGCTGCCGGTAGAGGTCACCTAGAGTCAGCATATCTGCTGGGTGACTCATCTTGAAAAGGCTGAACAGTGACAATACTTTCTTCTTTTTCTTCTTCTTCTTCTTTTTTTCTTTTTTTTGGTCCCCTTTGAGTTACAAAGATCGTGGTAGTATTATTATTATTTCCACTTTGCAAAGAAGCCACAAATAATTATAGCAAAAGCCTTCTCAGTAAATTACAGTAAATTAAATGGGAGTGCTTCCCTTCCACCAAGACATTTGTATGTTCCCTACTTCACCTGATGCTCCCTGAACACCTGCTCTGTGCCAGGCACTATGATGGGTGCCAGGAACACAGACACATATGGGAGCTGATCCCTATCCTAGAGGGAAACCTAGCTAAGTATGACAGATGCAGGAGTAGCACTGGCCTTCCCTAACTGCCATCTGCCCCTCCCTAAATACTGATGTGGGCACCATGTCTATCCCTTATCCCTTCTCCCATGCAACTTTATGTGGGGACTCGGATGCACCATAACATGCAATTGCTACTAATTCTCCTCTCTTTTAAGATGTGCTGTAAGCCCCTTTGAGGGCGACTGGCACGTGCACTTCCTTGCACTCATCACTAGATTGATGCAACATCCACTTTGTATGTGATGTAGGTGCCACCAGTAGCGGTAGAAAGGGCTTTGGATTTCGATCCATGAGGTTGTGAAAGCAGCTCCACTACTCACTTACTATGTGACTTTGGCCAAGCCATACAAACTCTCTGGACCTCAGTGTGTTCATCTGTAAAATGGAGATAATTGTCTCATCTCAATGGGGAGAGGATATGCAGAGAAAGCCCAGGGTTCAAGGGCAAGGAGTGTCCATTCCCTGGTAGCTTCACTTTCAAAAGCAAGGTGGCAGAAAGGGGGCTTTAGGGCAGTGATGACCACCAGGATGTTCCTCTCCTCCCTGTCCACTCTCCCCATCCCCCTCCAATCCCCATCTCCTCCTTGTTGAGGGGGACTGTCACCATGAACAGTTGGTACTATTGTCCTAGCCTGAGGGAGTGTTGGTGGGTTGGTGGTGGACTGCAAGCTTGAGACCCACGGATCGAGGAAGAAACTTTTGAATGCCTTCCTGTTTGGGGAAACACCAGGGCTGAGCTGTCATAGCTGACCTTTTTTGTGGCTCTGAAGAATCTACCAAGAAGCCTCCATCAGTTATATATCTACTCTCGGAAACTCTGGTCCCTTTGGCACATCAGACTGTCAACTCACTGAAACTCCAGTTAAATGTCAACGGTGAGGAATCAACTTAGTTCTTGGGCTTCTTGGCAGAAGGGCAAAGTGAGCCCATTCTGAGCCCACACATGCACCCAGGCCTGACAGGGTTGACACACAGTGGGGTTTTAGTGGATGGGGTTCAGCCAAATATCATCATGACTGAGCCGGCGACAACTGAGCCAAGCCCTGTTGGTCAATGTCCCCCGGAATTCCTAAGGTCCAGAGAAACTGTGGGCCCTTCTGAGACAGCACAGTGCAGCATTTGCTTCCTCTGAGATTTTCCTGTCATGTTCTTCCAGATTCTGCCATCTGAGGTGACAATATCTCTTCAGGTGCCCCCTTGCCAGCCCGGCACCTTCCTGTGATCCCTCAGGGAGACCTTGCAGTTCCTGCTGCTTGATCAGTCTTGGTTTGAAACACCTTCCTTGAGTGGGCGGCAGGCGACACAGACTCCTCACCCTGAGCTGTGTTTTCAGCTTGGTTGTCTGACCCCCCAGCCCCACCCCAGTGGAACTCCTTCACCATTTCAGCAGGGTCCCCTGGCTGTCGTACCCAGAGCTGTGGGGTCAAAGAAAGGGTGAGCTATGGGAGAGCCTGGATCACAGATGTCCCTGCCCCATTGACAATCAGGGATGAGACTGCCCACCCCCTTCCAAACTCTAGGGAGGCAGAAACACACCTAGAACCCTTTCTGCCCTCTGTGACTCCATGAGGGGACAGTGATGGGACACCAAGGTCCTGAATCTGCTGACCTTCCTCGCCCTGCTCCTTATGCCCTCCTCATCTCAAGATGGATGTGCAGACAGCTTCCTGCCTCCAGGTCATGCTCGTCTGGTTCCCTCTACCTGGCACACTGCTCCCTCTTCTCCCTCCTCTGCCTTCCTCTCCTGACAAACTCCTTAGCTCAAGGGTGCTCTATCTTTCCTGAATACCCCAGCCCCGCGGTAAGGAGATAATTCACCCCCATCTCCTTACCCCGCAGAGACAGCTGTCACATTGCTGACTCTGCTTTGTTTACAGTAAGGAGCTCCTCTGCTCACAGAGCACAGAATACGTCACAGAACATGACCACCTTGCCTGGTGATGAGCATCCACACGTGCTGCCCACAGACCTGAAGACATACAAACTCCAATGCTGGGAGGTCCTGCCCCTCCCCAAGCCTTCATTTCTCTAACTGCAGAACACAGGTGGTAGCACCAGGTGATTAAAACTCTCTTCCTGAGACTTCTCTATGAGTCTCCTAAGGGGAATTTCTCCAAGAATGTACTTCTCCCCTAGAAGTGCCTACTTCCCAGGCTGCTGTGTTCACTTCACTCCTAAGAGAGTGGGCACACTGCTGGGTGGCATCCTGTCTCCAAGGGACACACTGGTAAGATGTAGTAAGATTGGATGTGCAGCCACATGCCAGGGCCCTGAGTCACACCACCTAGGAAGCCAAGCATCTTTGTGCCATCAGTCGAAGGAAACATTATCCGGAAATGTTATTTGTTAAAGTGGCATAATAAACAATTATAGCTTTCGGTTGCTGTTCAACATTACAATTTTGAGATTCATCCACAACCTGACATGCAACTCCATTCATTTTAGCTGCTGTGTGTGATCCAGTCATATGAATATTCCATAGCTGATACACTCTCCCATCAAGGGACGCTTAGTTCTCCTTGTAGAGTACTTCCCTTTTTAGCTGTATTCCTCGGCATTTTATTCTTTTTGTGGCAGTTGTGAATGAAAGTTTGTTTGTGATTCAGCTCTAGGCTTGAATACTGTTGGTGTATACGAATGCTAGCAATTTTTGCACCTTGATTTTGTATCCTGTGACTTTGCTGAAGTTGTTTATCAGCTTAAGAAGCTTTGGGGTTGAGTCTATGGGGTTTTCTAGATATAGGATTATGTCATCTGCAAACAGGGATAATTTGACTTCCACTTTTCCTATTTGAATGCCCTTTATTTCTTTCTCTTGCCTGATTGCCTTGCCCAGAACTTCCAATATTATGTTGAATAGGAGTGGTGAGAGAGGGCATCCTTGTCTTGTGCCAGTTTTTAAGAGGAATGCTTCCAGCTTTAGCCCATTCAGTATGATATTGGCTGTGGGTTTGTCACATATAGCTCTTATTATTTTGAAGCATGTTTCTTCAATACCTAGTTTATTGCAATTCCTTGACCCACCAATCACAATACTGGGTATATACCCAAATGAATATAAATCGTTCTATTATAAAGGCACATGCACAGGTATGTTCATTGCAGCACAATTCACAATAGCAAAGACATGGAATCAACCTAGATGCCCATCAATGATAAACTGGATAAAGAAAATGTGGTACATATATACCATGGAATACTATGTAGCCATAAAAAAGAATGAGATCATGTCCTTTGCAGGGACGTGGGTGCAGCTGGAGGCCATTATCCTTAGCAAACTAACGCAGGAACAGAAAACCAAATACCATATGTTCTCACTTAGAAGTGGGAACTAAATGATGAGAACACATGGACACGTAGAGGGAACAACACACACTGGGGACTACTGGAGGGTGGGGGGTGGGAGGAGGGAGAGGATCGGGAAAAATAACTAATGGATACTAGGCTTAACACCTGGGTGATGAAATAACCTGTACAACAAACCTCCATGACACACACTTACCTATGTAACAAACCTGCATATCCTGCACATGTACCCCTGAACTTAAAAGTTTTTTAAAAAGGGACATTGAGGCATTTTTCATGTTTCCATATATCAAGCACCCTTTTCCTTGCCCCTGCACAAAGGTGGATAGTGTCTTTGCAGTGACTCCAGGCATGGGAATAAAGGGTGAAGGGTTTGCTTTTCATCAGCTTTATTAAATAATACCAATTCTTTTCCAAAGTTATTGCAACTTGTACCTCCTTCAGCCAAGCCCACATATTTAAAATAAGTAAAACTTTTGCCAAACTGAGGGATGCTGTCTTATTCTTTCCATTTTTGTTTTATTATATGTGTTGAGGCTTTATGACTGGGTGCATATAAGTTCAGAATTGTTATTTCTTCTCAGGGAAGTTTTTATCTTACCATTATGCACTGATCTTCTTTATCCCTATTTTTTTTGTCTTAAAGTTAATTTTGTTTAAAACTAATATAGCTACCCAGCTCTCTTTTTATGAATATTTTCCTGATAGATCTTTTTTCCCCTTTCTTATTACTTTCACCTTTTTTGTAACCTTATGTTTTATTTCCCACTGAAAATTCCTAATAGTTTTTTTTAAAAAAGAAAAGCTTTTAGAAATCTCATTTCACTCAGTCACAACACTCAACTGATATGGAGGAAAAATCTTATATATTCTTTTTCCATTTACCTTATATAAGCAGCTTGGCTACACAATTCTTTCCTAAAGTAATTTTTCAATAACCACAAGAAACAGCTTTATAAAAAAGCCAATCTCTCAAAAATTGAGGTCATTCTTAAAAAGCACCCAGTAAAAGATAGAGAAAGATATGGGACAAATTAAAACTTAATTATATGGACACAAAACCCACACCATTATAGACATTTAAGTAGAAAAATTATAAACTGTAAATAAGTGCCTATAATCTAAGTGTCTTTTTAATTTTGATAACTAATTTTTTTAGAGATAAAAAACTAAATCAACCATTTCTACACATATAAATTTCATGTTTATATTTATTTAAAGATATAAATTTTATTTATGTTATATATTGTAATATAAATATTTGGAATTATGAAAACAATTGGAGAACAGATTTAAATTACTCAATATTTTCAACATTTAAGTAATTCAACTTTATAGCAACTATTTTTTTAGAACAATGTCATGTGTGTTTAACTCTTACAATTCAGATCAGTGTATTGATTCTTTTTTTTAAGGCAAAACACTCAAAAAAGGGCAAGTGTTACAGTTACACCAACTATGAAATGCAGTTCAAAGTTAGCCAGTGTGCACAATTTTTTTAAATATATGAATGTAAGATGCTGGAGAATAAGAGCAACATGTAGGGGATGCAACTACACCACTGAAAACTTCATGTGTTTTCTTTTGAGTAAATGAATATTGAAAACTAAATATTCTAACTTAAAAAGTAACTTCTAGAAATGTAAAGTTTAAAATGTAAAAGTAAAAGACATTTTTGCTTTCTTAATACAAATCTTTTCTATATATTGGTAAAGCAGCAGTATCAGCATCTCTTTAAATACAAAAACAAAAACAAAACTGCAGCTTATATATGGAAAGATAAGCATTACTCTTTACATGCATTTTCCCTTTTTACTTACATTTTTCATATTGTAATTTAAAATATACAACTCCAAGAGCTCTTCATACAGATGGAAAAAATATGAGGTTAATGTCACCAACTTACATGGAAGCACCTGAATCTTGTTACTTAGCTATTCCCCCACACCTGGGAGAATTCTTAAATGAATTCGCCACAAATGACAATTACTGCAATGAAACATACCTGAACCATTTAACGCAGATCAGCCATCACAGTTCTCTGAAAATGACAATGATATTCTTTACTGTTATTACAAAATAAACATGACTACTTTTTCTGTAGAAATATTTTGTCAGCTTCAGTGTAGATTACATGAGGCCCTAGGCTACAATAAAAGCAGCTGCAGGCCGGGCATGGTGGCTTATGCCTGTAATCCCAGCACTTTGGGAGACCAAGGTGGGCAGATCACCTGAGGTCAGGAATTCCAGACCAGCCTGGCCAACATGTCAAAACCTCATCTCTACTAAAAATACAAAAATTAGCTGGGCATGGTGGCATGCTCCTGTAATCCCAGCTACTCAGGAGGCTGAGGCAGGAGAATCACTTGAACCCAGGAGGTGGAGGTTGCAGTGAGCCGAGATTGCACCATTGCACTCCAGCCTGGGCAAGAAGAGTGAAACTCTGTGTCAGGAAAAAAAAAAAAAAAAAAAAGCAGCGCAATTCATTCAGAATTGCCATGGTGTAGCTCATGTGGAAATAATGGACAATCGGTCTCCTTTTCTTTTGCCTCTAATTTCTTCCTGCAATACCATGTCTCCATGTGAGATCATTTTGTTATAGCCCGAAGAACTTCCATTAGTATTTCTTGAATTCTCTAAACTTTTGCTTTGTCTGAAAACAGTTCTATTTCCCCTTTATGTTTGAGGGATTTTTCACTGGGTATAAAATTCCAGATGACTAGATCCCTCCCCACCTTTCAATGTTTTAAAGGTATTATTCCATTGCCTTTGACTTCCATGTTTACTGCTGGGGAGTCAGTCATCACAGTTATTTTTTCCTTCTTTGAAGGTAATGGGAAGTTTTTTCCCCTAGTTCCTTTTAACATTTTCTCTTTGTTTTCATTTTCAGTAGTTTTACCATGATGTGCTTAGGGGTGTGTGTGTGTGTGTGTGTGTGTGTGTGTGTGTGTGTGTGTTTAATGTATTTAATTCCGTTTGGGGATTGTCAAGCTTCTTGGACTTTTAGATTAATGTCTTCCATCAACTTGAGCCTAGTTCCAGCCATCATCTCTTTAGATCTCGCTCGTATCCCATTTCCTCTTCACTTTCCAGTACTGTAATGACATGCATGTTAGACCTTTTGACTGTGCCTGGTATGTCTCTCATGCTCTTTATTTTTTATGGTTATATTATTATGTTTAGTATTATTTTATTTCCTGTTGGAAATATGCCAATATTGGGAAATGAAAACACTTCTAAATAACCTGTGGATTGAAGAATAAATGACAAGAAAATTTAGAAAATAATTTGAACATAATAAATACTAAAAACATCAAAAATAGTGGGATTTAATTAAAACAGTATTTATAGGGCAATTTATAGTATTACATACATGTAATAGGAAAGAAGAAAGATCTCAAATCCATAATCCAAACTTCTACCTTAAGAAGCAAGGAAAAAAACAAAGTAAATCCGAAGTAAGTAGGACGAAGTGAACAATAAAGACAGAAATTAATAAAATAGAAAAACTAGTAATAGCAAAAGTCAATAAAATGCAAGGCTGTCTTTTTTATTAAGATTGATAAACCTCTAGTTAGACTGATCAGAAAGAAAAAAAGAGAAGACAAAATTTCCCAAAGCAAAAGTAAAGAATGATTACTGCTACAGATGCTGCAGCCACTAAACAGCAAATAATGAAATGTTTAAACAACTTTATTACAATATATTGATGACATAGGTAAAATAGACACGTTCTTTGAAAGACAGAAATTGCCAAAGCATATTCAAGAGGAAGCAGAAAATCTGAATAGGTCAATATCTATTAAAAAATTGAATTCAGAATTAAAAATATCTCCACCAGAGGAACTCCAGTTCTAAATGTCTTTGTTTGTGATGTTTTAAAACATCCCAGAAACTTAAATTTATCTATAAAAGTAAAGGACCTAGAATAGCCAAAACAATTCTGAAAAATAAAACAAAGTTAGGGAACTTACACTACCTGATTTCAAGTATTATAAAGCTACAAAAATCAAATAAGATACTATGATAGTGATGTGATACATACATTGATAAATATAACAGAGATTCTAGAAATAGACCTACATATACATGACCAATTGAAGTTTGACAAAGATTCCCAGATTAATCAATGGAGAAAGGCTAGTCTTTTCAATATATTGTGTTGAAAAAACTAGATATATATACAGAGAAAAGTGAACTTTGACTCTTACCTCATTCCATGTACAAAGATGAAACTTGGAATAGATCACCGAGCTAAATGTAAAAGCAAAAACTATAAATCTGCTACAAAAGAACATAAGATTAAAATACAGATAAGATATTCACCAGCTTAGAGTAGGCAAGTCTTAGAATATATGAAAAAGCACAAACCACTTTTAAAAAGATGATTTTGATTTCATCAAAATTAAAAACTCTTTTTATAAAACTATCTATAAGAAAACAAAAAAAGCAGGCCAGGTGTGGTGGCAGCTCATTCTCATAATCCCAGCACTTTGGGAGGCTGAAGCAGGTGGATCACCTGAGGTCAGGAGTTCGAGACCAGCCTGGCCAACATGATGAAACCTCGTCTCTACTAAAACTACAAAAATTAGCCAGGTGTGGTGGCAGGCACCTGTAATCCCAGCTACTCAGGAGACTGAGGAAGGAGAATCACTTGAACCCGGGAGGCAGATGTTGCAGTGAGCCGAGATTGTACAAATGCACTCCAGCTTCGGCAATAAGAGTGAGATTCTGTCGAAGGAAGGAAGGAAGGAAGGGGAGAAAAAGAAAGAAAGAAAGAAAGAAAGAAAGAAAGAAAGAAAGAAAGAAAGAAAGAAAGAAAGAAAGAAAGAAGAAAGAAGGAAAGAAAGAAAAGAAAGAAAGAAAGAAAAAAACACAAAAAAAGAAAATAAAAAAGCAACCACTGACTGAGAGAAAATGTTTATGATTATATATCTGACAAAATTCTTGCTTCCAGGACACCTACGAAATAATAATAAAACACACCCCAAATTTAACATGCAAAAGATTTGAAGAGACAACTCATAATAGAAGATATATGAATGGCTAATAAACAATGAAAAATGATCAGTAGCATTTGTGATCATGAAAACAAACTAAAACACACAGAAATACTATTATATACTTGTTAGAATGGCAAAAAGTTCAAAGACTGCCAATATCAAGTGCAGACAAAGATATGGAGCAACTGAAACTCTCGTACACTGCTGGTGGGAGTGTAAAATGATATATCCACTTTGGAATAAAATTTCACAGTTTCCTAAAAAAAAAAAAAAAAAGCTAAAAATACTCTTGTCATAGAACCCAGTTGTTTCACTCTTAGGTATTTTCTAAAGAAAATTAAAGCTTACATTCACAAAGAGACTTTCATAAAATATTCTTGGCAGCCTCATTCATGGTATTTCCAAAACCAGAAAATTAAAAATGTCGGTCAACAGGAGAACAGATAAGCAAATTGTGATACAGTCATGCAATGGAATATTACAAAGGAATAGAAAGGAATTAACTTCTGATACACAACAATGCAGATGAACCTCAAAAACATTATGCTGAATAAAAGAAGGCAAAGAGTACATACTATATGATGTCATTTATAGGAAAGTCTAGAAAAAAACTGTCTACAGTGACACACACCAGATCAGTGGTTAGCTAGGTCTGGGTTTGAAATGAGATTGATTGGGAAGAGTCACAGGAAGCTTTTTGAGAGGATGAAAATGTTCTGTGTAATAATGATCGTGGTTGTGGATACACGAGAATATACATGTGTCAAAAATAATTGAACTATACATGTCAAACGCTTGCATCTGTTGTATGTAAATAATACCTCAGTAAAGTAGGTTCTAAAATATGCAATATGAATCTTATGTTAGTATAAGACCAATTTTACCAGTGAGAAACTGAGGCACAGAAGTTGCAGAAATGCACAAGGTCATAGAGCTAAAATAAGTGGTGAAGCTGGGACTGAAAGTGATATTTATCTCTCTCTAAAGCCTATCGTTTTCATCTGTATTATATTACTGCCTGCTTATGTAATGGTCATATAAATGCAGTAATACAATAATAATAATCCCTTGTAGCTGTGGAGTACTTTTTAATTTTTTCAATTCCCTTGATGCTGAATACTCATTGGAGTCTTACAATTTTTGAGTCAGGTATAGGTCTTGCCATGTATAGGTCTTACACGGAATGTCTTGTAATACCCATTTAGAAGGTGAGAAAACTGCAAGGGCCACAGTGCTTGCCAAGAGCTAAGGTAGAGCTGGACATTTAGAGCCAGAGTTCTAGCTTCAGCTCTCCTGCTCTTCCGACCAGCCCGTACCTCGCCCCGTAGCTGTCCAGCTGACCATCCGCCAGCTACATTCAGTGCAGCCACCACGTCTATGGTACTTAGTTATGCCAGCCCTAGCCAACTAAGATAAACTCAGAGATTCAAGGTATTTTTGAGGGAGGACTGACCTCTTTCCAAGGCAGTCTTAGGCAAAGAAGAACCCTGGGCTGGTGAGAAGGTGGTCCTGTCTCCAGCTGTCCAGATGTTGGCCTGGCTGGGTGCAGCTGGGCAGGGATGGCCCACTGCTCCCTAAAACAGCAAAGCTGGTTGAACAAGGAGCCTTCCCCACTCTTCTTCTGGGGCTGAGTAACAACCACAGCCACTCATCTCCTCCATCTTTCCCTGCACGTAAAGCGCCAGTTTTGGAGTCTCTTCAGCCAGGCCCTCTGAGCTTTTGCCCGTTGCCTGGCACTTTCTGCTCCAACTGTGCAGAGCGTCTTGTCTTCCCTGGTGGGTCATTCACTTTTCTTTCTGAGCTTTCTCTGGAACACCCTTCCTCCTACTCCTCATCTCCTCAATGAACTCAGCCTTGTCCTTTAAAACCAGCACAAATGGTTCCCACTGATGCCTAACATCACAAAATGGGAGAGAAGCAACATTTTATGCTCTCTGATGGAAGAACACAGTGCTAGCAGTAAAATGGTCCTGCCAAGAAAACCCAAACAGAATCAAACTTGAACCTGATGAAGGCTCTAGCTCTAACCATCGATTTAACAGAAAAATAAGTTATTGAATCCATTGGGATTAAATTAGCAAGATCCAGATAATAGGAAATCCTATAGGACTAAGGACATGGATGGGTTCTTCAACAAAAAAATTGTAAGTGGGGAAAAGTATAGATGGAGTGGCCACCCGCCATTCCTAATACACAAACATTACTTGGATCCCAAGTCAAATTGTGGAAAAAAAAAAAATTTATAAGGCAACTAAGGAAATATAAACATTGGCTGGACATTTGATGCTAGATGGAATTCTTGTAAGTTCTTGTTTCTGTGTATGCCCCAAGATGTACAGTTTCCCTGAAGACCCCTGATGTGCAGCTCTAGCCAGCAGGCCTCCCCTCTCTGGAAGGGCTCAGGACTGTGAGCAGGTTGTGAGGGTCTCTGACACATGCATCAGTTATGACATGATAGTTATCTGGGAGATTTTAGGGATACATGTGGAAGTATTTACGGATGGAATGATATGCTGTCGCTAACCAGGACAAGATGCTAGAGACAAGCTGCAGGGTCTTTTCCAGTGGGTTTCCTTTCTATTTCAAGAGGCTGCCAGCTGGCAGTGCCCCACACACCATGTGAGGAGGAGCAGGGCAGCTGATCTGACTCCTCATTGCTGCAGCCCCTGAGGACCAGCAGTGGGGCAGGCAGACCATGCCCACTGCCATCTGCCATGGGCCAGATCTTAATTCCCAATGCTGTCCACCTCTGTCTTCTCTACTAGATTCTGACACAGACACAATTCAAACAACAAATTATTTTGGCTGCATTAGTAAGTAATGAAGGGCAGCTTCCAGACTGATGACTAAAACTGGAAAGTGGAAGTGTTGAGACCAGCCCTACTGAGATGCCTTGAACCCTCTTTAGAGATAATCTGGTGTGCCGGGCCTTCATAAGTCATCCCAATGCTGTGTTTCCCTCTGGAACTATGCTAACAGCTGGAGTGCTTGGCCGGCTCCTTGGCCAGCTTCTCCTCCTCCTCCCTCTCATTCCCCACTGATCTGGCCACTGTGTCTGTGGAAAGAAGCCACCATGTTGTTTGTTTCTTCTCTCTGGCCTGCCCAGGCTATTAGCCCAGTGGGTTTGTGTATGTGAATGTGAAGTTTTTGGACTTCAGGTTAACTTCCTTGTCTAGGGGGAGAGTTACTTTCCTGCTGCTCCCCAGTGGGCTTGCAATTCACTGTGTCCACTCAACTGGCTATGGCAGAAAGAAGGGCTTGGAGGTTTATGCAGAGGTGGAGCTGAGCTGTGATCTCTTTCCGGGACAGAAAAGGACTCATGTTCCCCCCACCCTTACCCTCTCATGGTCTGTCACAGCTACCATCAAACCAGGCATTTGGTCATTCAACAACTGGGGCACGTTAAAAAAAAAACAGGCATTTGGTTGTAATCTGTGGCTCTCACTGGCAGGACATGGATGGTCACTGTCACCTTCATTATAGCATAGCTATCTCCTGTGGTCCTCCTCACTGCCGACATTGCCATCTTCTCTATTTTCAGCAATTGTCCAAGGCAGGTTCCTTAATGTCACCACCATCATCATTGCCTTCTTCATCCTTTTCGTCATCTTCACCGCCATCACCTATGCCTTCTTCATCCTTGCCATCATCATCATTGGCCTCCTCACCCCCCTTACCTCTTTCTTTACAATACACTCCCCCTTGCTCCAGAGGTTTTGGTTAAATGACCAATGGTTCAAGCAGGTGAAATGCTGAAGGTGTGGAGGGCAGGCAAAAGTTGACCTCGTCATCCAGAGCCACAGATCTCTGAGACCCTACCTGCATGTGGCCTCAGTCCATTCAGGCTGCCATAGCAAAATACCTTAGACTGGGCAATTTTTAAACAATAGAATTTATTGCTTACAGTTTTGGAGCAATACATTCTTTGATCTTTGTAACGTCCAAGATCAAGCCTCCAGCGGCTTTGGTGTCTGGTGAGGGCCTGTTCTTCATAGACAGCACCTTCTTGCTGCTTCCTCGCATGGCAGAAGGAAGAAGCATAGGGGCGCCTCCTTCAAAATCTTTTATAAGGGCACCAATCCCATTTATGAGGGTCGGCATCACTTCCTAAGGGCTCCACGTGTTAACACTATGACACTGGGCATTAGTTTCCAACGTATGAATTGGGGGTCTGGTACACTAATGTTAAGACCCCAGCACATGCCACCTAATCCCCCACTCACATCCCAGCCCTGTGCTCAATATGGAGCTGCAACTATATGGAAAGAAAAAGGGGAAGGCTCACATGAGATGCAGCACTGGCACCAGGCTTTGAAAGGTGAATGAGGATTTTCTGAGTGGAGAAGAGAGGACCTGGAAAGGCATCTGAAGTTGAGGGATCAGCATGTGCAAAGTTTTGGGAGTGTGGAAAGTGTGTTTCATGGAACAGATGTAGAGCAGTGGCTGGAGAAAAATAGTCTCTAAATAGTGAATTTCAGTCATTTGTTCAATGAATATATGTTGACTAAGCACAGTGCTGGACAGTGGGGGAAAATGGCAAGAGGATTAGGAAGGCCGTTAAGGGTCAAATCATAGAGATGCATGTGTGGGGAGCCGGAAAATGTTTATTTGGTGCCGGGAGAAGAGTAATGCAGAAACAATTTAAGTAAGGATGTGACTTGATTTTGAAAATATGACAGCTGGGTCCACAGAGCTGTGTCCAGATGGGGCTGCTGGGGTAACTATTTTGGCAAGTTAATTTCACAATGTGAGTAATATGATTCTTGAACCATGCAGATTCTGCTCCTCCAATAAATCTGTGGTTTTGACAGTGTGTAGCTGCAGGCTGGGGCAAGGGCATCATGAACAGAAGGCAGATTTGAGAAAGAACAGTCTCTGAGCTTATTTGATTGTGTTTTGTAATCTTAAAGTTTTAAATATCTCATAATATTTTATTTTTTGAAAAGGTGATACACACACATGTTTAACGAGCCCAAACAGCATATAAAGGTATTCAGTGGAAAGAATCCCTCTCCCATCTCTCTTGCAAGGAATTCCACTGAAATTCCACTGAAAAGGCATGCCGTAATGCCTTTAAGTGCAATGCTCCCTATTCCACAGGCATTTGGGGTTTTTCTGGTTTTGTTTTTCTTGTACATCATAGCTGTAATGTTTTTATATGTGGGACATGGTTGTGGTGTTTTCTTAGCTTTTCCTGTCTATCAATCCTAGTGACTAAAGCAATTGTGTTTACAGCCCAGAAGAGACACAGAACCACCTGGGCAGTAAGTGGCTGAGCAAGAATGGATGGCAGGTGTGGTTGCTTCCAAGTTCATGCCCCTCAACCACCATCCACTTCCTCCTTTGATGTTTTCCTGCAGCCTCAACTCTGTCCCCACCCTCAGACCAGCGCTTATTCTCATCTCTATCAGCTGCAACCTCAACTGTGCTCTAGCCACCAGCACCATCTCTGACATGGGAGGGCACCCACTGCCTTCTCAGGAGGCTGGGTGAGTTTTCTAGAGCCAATCTGCTGGGACTGGCTCCAGATTCATAGGAAGAAGCCCAGGCAGAAGCCATGCCTCAGGCTCCTTGGCTTTTCTCCCAACTGCTCTGAATCTTGCACTGTGTACATTGTTAGCCAACATAAACCACCTTTCCCAGCAGTGCTGGCCTTCAGGGAAGAACTGGGTGGTGAGAATTCTGATCCTTTCCCCCTGCATGTTACCTCTAGGGCAAAAATAATATAAAAATGCCCCGGTGGGCCTCCTGTAACATTTTGCCAAGGCTCAGCGTGGAGTTCTTTTGGATTTGGTAATTTGACATTTGCATTTTCTTCTGCTGCCTCATCTTAAATTGATCAGCCGGATGAAACTCAAGATCGCCGGTCCTATTTCAATATTTAATCATTTGGCTAGTCTGGAATGTCATTAAGCTAAAAATAGGAAACTTATTTTCAAAGAGCACTTTGAAAAGAACCTGCTACTTTGCTAAGGCTGTCTGTCTCATGGTACAAAAATATACATTTTCTTTCTCTTTCTCTTTATTTTCTAACCTTTATAACTTACAGATTAGCTAGAAGCTTAAATGTGATTTCCTCACAACACCCAGCTGCCCGGTTCACTCGCATGCCTTAGAGATGTAGGGATGGGCTTTCTGACATCTGCCTCTGGCTGGTGAGGCTGAAACAGGCCAGATAAACAGAACTGCTAAGAGAAACAGCAACAATACACCAGCAGCAGAACGCATGGAGCACTGACGGCGTGTCTGATAGTGGAGAAGGGCTTCACACGCGTCATCTTACTCATTTTGGGTTAAGTATTTTCTGATAAGAGAACTGAGGTGTCAGGCAACTAACATGTCAAGATCTGTACGGTGTAGGGGTAGGAGAGTCCCAGGGCCCAGGTGGGGCAAGAGTGCATTAACCAGAGGACACAGCCGGTGCCCTCTTGCATCAGAGACAGCCTTGGTGGCTGGGGCACAGTTAAGATTGCAGCTGGTGGAGCAACAGTGAGCACTGAGCTGCAGGTGGAGGCAGAGCTGAGGACGCAGGAAAATATCAATGGAGGAAGTGGATGGCGGCTGGGAGTCATGAGCTTGGG
Organism: Homo sapiens; assembly: GCF_000001405.40. Classification (NCBI taxonomy): domain Eukaryota; kingdom Metazoa; phylum Chordata; class Mammalia; order Primates; family Hominidae; genus Homo; species Homo sapiens. The sequence continues at coordinate 123,620,649 of NC_000010.11, read as the reverse complement.
AGCAGCCACATTTGCCATCCATTCCTGCTCAGCCACTTACTGCCCGGGTGGCTCCTGGCATGCATGGCCCCTGTCTCCTGAGTGTCAGATTCTGATCTTTAAAATGAAAGTGATCGTCTGGCCTACAGGTAGTCGTGAAGCTTCGATGATGAGCTAAGATGAGAAAAGCCCAAGCAAGGGCCCAGCACTGAATCTGACAAATAGTCCCCTCGTAAGAAACCTCAGGCATCTCTGTTGTCCTTGGAGTGCACAGCACCCCTCAGAGAAGTCACCCTGTTGCAGCTGAGGTCCAGTCCTCAGTCCCTCTCTGGTCCCCATCTCTAGCAAAAATGGCTGGGTCACTGGAGTTGCAAGGACCCCTTCTACTTGTCCTAAGCAACTTGAGTAGCGCCTCCTTTCCTCTGGGCCACCAGCCAGTCCCTTCCTGGCTTTCTGAGGAAGGGGTGGGCTTCTGCTTCTAATCCAAAGGAGGCCCTGGAGATAAAGGACAATCTAGAACTGGGGGACGGTTCTAAGAGATGAAATGCTTCCCGGTGAGCTTACACCGGGGAGGGTCCAAATACCTTTGTCTTCATGCTGTAGCCTCTGACCCCCAGAACCCTGGTCCGGCAGACCTCTTTGTCTTGGCCAATGGCTTTGGCCTTTCTCAATAGAGAATGGAGACAGGATGGGTTCCGAGAGAGGCAGGGAAAGATCCCTCTTTTTCTGACCTTAGCAGGCCTTCTGCAAGGGTCCACTATCACCAAAGTTGTATTCATCCTTTTTTTTCCAGAAGGGATAAGCCAGTTTTAATGTATCCAAACTGCCAAATATCTGAGAGCTCTCACGCCTCTCTGCACCCCTCATCTGTGTAATAAGAACATAATTTCCTCCTTCTTAGGATCAGTTGAAATGAGGGATGTGCTGGGATGCAAAAAGCCTGGCTGCCCCCGAAATGTGCGAACACCATGTAACAGCACGTGTTGCTTCTGCTGTTAGGAGAGGCCATAGCGACTACAGGTCAGAGGACGGGAGCAGCACAGGGAGTGTGGCTCCAATACTCACACTGACCTCAGGCCTTTCTGCTGTGGCTCCCCAGCCCCTTCTCCCCTCCTCCCTTTTCCCTCCTTCTCTTCTAAAAAGTAGAGTAGTGCTCCCACCTCAGCATTCTGAGAGCCATTTCAGAAGCCATTTGAGCACTCTAGCAATTTACATTACAATTTCTTAGAACTACCTGAGGAGGTAGCAGGGCTGGCCTGTGTTGCAGATGAAAAACTGAGACAGAAGCTGCTGTCATGAACCATTGTCAAGTTTTCTGGTCAACCAGGACCCTTTGAACAGTCTTCCTGTGTTTGGGCAACTTTCCGCCTCTGAGTCTTGCTTCCCACCAACTCCAGTTTCCTCTCTCCCTGTAGCTGGGTGGAGGCTTGGACCTGGGCTCCATCTATTGAGTATATTGGATGTGTTTGGACTGAGGAATGTGGCTTCTTGCAAGATGCATTGTGAGGATGGGGAAAGTGACAGAAGCTTAAGGGAATGACTGTGTGGACAAGTCAGTGCTTTGCAATTAGAACAGCAAGAAAATGCCAGCGCAGATGTGGTTTCTCATCAGGCCAGTTCTTCAGTGTCATTTTCAGCATTGCTCCTAGAAGCCAGTTCTCCTCTTCCTTCAAAAAGTATGTGAAATTCCAAATGTCCATTCAATAAACTCCTTTCAGCTTCATTCTCTTTTCTAAAATCCCTGCCTGAATGAACAGGCCACACACAAAATGGCAGGCCTAGGATTGACCCCATGTCTCCTCTTTCCAAGACCCATAAACTCTCCTCCTTCAGTGACTTTGTAACAGACCTTCCCCGGGTCACACGTTCATGGAATTTAATTTTATTCAATTCATTTTTTCAACAAACAATGGATACCCACCACGTTCCGGGCACTGGGGACACAGCCATGAACAAGTCAGCTGCAGCCCCTTGGGTGAACCTCACTATAAACAGGAAACAAATAAATAAACAAGTTGATCACATATAATCAATGTAGGAGGGATATAAACAGGGTGATGTCAATAAAACTCTGAGTGAGGGCTACTGAAGATAGGGTGGTAGGAGAAGAGATGGGCAAGGCAATGACTTGTGTGCATAGCTGAGTGTGACCTGCTGACCCCTAACCATTTTCATATGTTCTGCTTTGGGGTGCAAACTGTGGTGGCCCCTGCTGGCTCCTGGGTCCTTAAACAGCATCAGGGGAGCACAGTGCATTATTTAGCTGTGTGTGTCCTGGTCACTCTCCCAGCATCACTTCTTGGTCCAGAGATAGGCAGCCCCAGGGTGTCCTAGCCTTTCCAGGGGGACCCTGCCAAGGACACATCTTGCTTCTCTTCCATGCTGATATCTACAAGAAATGACTTGCCCAAGCTTTTTCTTCAGGAAGCTCACAGGGCCAGATAAGGCAGTGAAAAAAATCCAAAATGCCTATAGTTGCAGTCATTCAGGTCTGTCTGAAAATGCTTGGCCTCAGAAGCCAATCTCATCTAACTTTAATCTGCATGCTCAGAGCACCTGTCAGTGCGCAGCTCAGTCAACAGGAGAAATTATGGGGAAGATGACTTTGCTTCCAGCTGGAGTTCTGGCTAAATATTGAATGGGAAATTAACTTGCCACATTAAGATTTTAAATTCAATGAATTTGCTCTGTAATAATTGTAAGTGATGCCATAACCTAAATGTACCTCTCTAAAGCCCTCTCCCCATTGTGTGAGTCTTTGTGTGGCGGTGGGGAGGGGGTGGTATGTGTGTTTGGTAGAGGGCAGTGGGATATAGCCAGCCTAGTATCTATTCTTATTCTCTTACTAAATAATGGTGAATCATGTAACAAGTGGGCTTTTTTCCTTCTTATGTAAAAGGAGAAATAAACTTTAAGATCCCTTTCTTCTTCCAAACCCTAATCTATATGTGCACATATGTGTACATCTCTGAGATCCCATATTGAAATTTCCTTCTGGGGTGAATTATACCCTAAATGCAATTCCAAAGTTGACATTGGGGTCCTTGCTCACCCTGCCACTTCAGCACAGGACTAAGAAGGAGGATGATGAGATTCATTGTGGAGATCATCTAAAAAAAATTGCCACTGGGCCAGGCATGGTGGTTCACACCTATAATCTCAGCACTTTGGGAGGCTGAGGCAGGCAGATCACCTGATTTCAGCAGTTCAAGACCAGCCTGGCCAACATAGTAAAACCCCGTCTCTACTAAAAATACAAAAAAATTAGCTGGGCGTGGTGGCAGGTGTCTGTAATTCCAGCTACTTGGGAGGCTGAGGCAGGAGAAGTGCTTGAACCTGGGAGGCGGTGGTTGCAGTGAGCTGAGATGCACCATTGCACTCTGGCCTGGGAAACAAGAGTAAAACTCCGTCTCAAAAAAAAAAAAAAAAAAAAAATTGCCACCAACAATTCCTCCCCTCCAGGTGCGCGACTCCTCCCAGCAAAGGTTGTAGTCTTTCCTGCTTCTCACCTTGAGTTTCAGCTCTTGTAACTTGCTTTGACTAAAAGGATGTAGAAGGAGTGACAATATGCCAGTCAAGGTCCTACACTTTAAGAGGACTGGCAGCTTCTACTTTTGCCCTCTTAAAGCCAATTTTTGTATAAAAAAGTTCAGGTTAGACTGCTGAGTGATGAGAGTCCATGAATAGAGAGAGACCACATGAAAAAGAACCACAGCCTTCTGTCCGAGAGCCAGACAAGCCCTACACATGCAAGTGAGGTCACCTTGGATTCTCTGGTGGCAGGTGAGCTGCCCTATTGGTACCAAGTGCAGGAGAGAGGAACCTTCCCCACAAGTCTTGCACAAACATAGAATCACAAACAATAAAATGGTTGCTATTTTAAGCCACGAAAATTTGCGGTGGCTTGTTACACAGCAATAACTAATTGAAGGACTCCTTTTTTTTTTTGCTTTTATTTAAAATTTTTGTAGTTTTAAATTGTGATCAAATATACACAACATAAAATTTACCACTGTCTTAGTCTGTTCAGCCTTCTGTAACAAGACGTCATGAACTAGGTGGCTTAAAAACAACAGAAGTTGGCCGGGCATGGTGGCTCACACCTGTAATTCCAACACTTTGGGAGGCCAAGGCAGGTGGATCACCTGAGGTCAGGAGTTTGAGACTAGCCTGGACAACATGGTGAAACCCCATCTCTATTAAAAATACAAAAATTAGCCAGGTGTGGTGGCGCACCCCTGTAATCCCAGCTACTCAGGAGGCTGAGGCAGGAGAATTGCTTGAACCCAGGAGGCAGAGGTTGCAGTGAGTGGAGATCATACCATTGTGCAATGGTATTGTTCCCAGTCTGGGGAACAATAGCAAGACTTCATCTAGAAAAAAAAATTATTTCACACAGTTCTAGAGGCTGGGAAGTCAAAAATCAAGATGTCAGTGAATCTGGAGTCTGAGGAGGTCTTTCTTCCTGGTTCATGGATGGCACTCTGGGGCCTCTTTTATAAGGGCACTAATCCCACTCATGAGGGACCCCCCAGAGGCCCCACCTCCTAATACCATCACGTTGGTCATTAGGTTTCAACAGTCTAGTTTGGGGGAGACACAATCATTCAGACCATAGCACAATCTTAACTATTATTAAGTGTACATTTTCAGGTTCTGTGGCATTAAGTACATTCATGTTGTTATGCAACTGAAGAACTCTTATATATGCTCTAAATGTGTCTTCATGGAGCTACTGCAAAAAAAAATGCATGGGGCACAGATGCCTGCAAATGTTTTAACACATCATCAGGGATAAATGTGCATCAATTCTGCTTGATGTAAGGGTTTCTTCCCTAGTTCTGTATTCTGGGAGGAAAGTGGAAGAGGATGGGAAACTTCCTGGAAATGAGCAACCCAGGGCTGCACAGTGAGCCACCAACCTCTTTCCAGGTGAGCCTGGGAAATGCCAGAGATTTGCTTTTCTGCTGGACAAAGCTGGACAAAGCCTGGTTAGGTTTTGCTGTTTAAGCTTCATATCCCTTACAAATACTGGCAGATTTTGGCCTTACCTCACATAACATCAATCTTAGTTCTCAATATTGTTGTGACGGGTTGTTTCTTTTCCAGGCTTTGCGAGTATTTGAAGCAGAGATTTAGAAATATTGTTTAAAGATCTGTAGCCAGATGACATTTTTCCATTTGGGGAATTTAAAGATTCTTTTGTTACTCATCCCACTTTTTCTATCAATGTTAAACATTTTTCAGGAGCTCCTGACACTATGTGTGCTAAGATCTTGGCGAAGGGGCTCTCAGTTGGATCTCTGCCTGAGCCCAGGGGCGATCTAGGCCCTGGACAAAGTGGACACTAGTGAGAAAAAGCACAGAGACCTGAAAGAACATCTCCATCACCAGCCCGCAGAGACCCGAATCGCCCAGGCAGAGCCCACATCCACTGCCAGCCCTTCGCTGCAGACATCACCATGTTTCTAAGCCCATTCAAGACAGTTACCTGCAGTGGCTGGAGCTAGCCAGGATCCGGAGATAGCGGCGCTTTCCTATTCCTCAATATGAAGCAACAGGGGAGCTGTCCATGGTGCTGACCACAACCCCACATTACTGCACCGCGTCACCTGGATCCTGTCTGCTCACCGAGCTTGCTGCCTGCTTATTTAAGCAAGTCTTGGTCCTCATTTCTGTTCTAATATCTGCCTGGCCCACCCCTGCTCTGAACTGTGGGTTAGCGAATCAGGCGGCTAATACCACACTTATCAATGACACAGGGCCCCATGCTGAGGTAGAGCCAGGTCATCAGAGTCACCTCCATAGTTGTCAAATGCTGTTCTGCATCGGACAAATGGCTTAGATTTTTGAAGCTGTACTTTCTTTATCTGAAAAGTGGTAACAATAACATGGTTTTGAAGAGTAAAATTAGATAATAAATGTGAAAAAACTGGCACATGGCACATATAATGCTTAAAACAGTAGAAAACCAATCAATATGAACTTCCTTTCTATTTCCTGATCTTTTCCAAATTCTTAAGAATTAGTTTGGGTCACTGTTCAAGTATTTCCCAGAGAAAAAGTAAAGGCAAAGCCCCATCAAAAGCTTTTTTTTTTTTTCAGAGTCATGGTCTCACTTTGTTGCTCAGGCTGGAGTGCAGTGGGATGACTGTAGCTCATTGCAGCCTTGAAATTCTGGGCAGGGGGATCACTTGATGTGATCTGGACTCAGGCCACCATCGACCTGGTCAATCCTCAGTATGGGGCAGTGGCCTGCATTGCACCCCATGCCTCTACTCTGGAGGTCTCTCCTCCAAGACAGCCAGCCTGCTGGGGGCCATCAACCAAAGCCTCCACCCTGGTAAAGTACCAAGTGGAGAATGTTGCCTGCCTCACCTGACAGATTTTAGAGCAGGGAACAAGTCAGCTAACGTCTAACAAACAGCTGAATGGGTTTCATCTAATGATGCCAATAAACTAACAATTGCTGAAATTTTTAAATCTTCCACTTCAAGTAGACTTGGTAAAATTATTCAAGCAAAGCCTCAAATCTTCCTCAACCCCAGGAGCAGAGCCTCACTCAGACTAGAAAGATTCTTTCCCCATTTTCATGAAGGTGATTTAAGGCAATTACCACTTTGGGGTTTTACTTGGCTGTTAAAAATATATATAGTTCAACAGCAAATAAGCAAAACTTTGTCAAGCGATTTAAGTGTTTTTTACGTGCCAAGATTCATCTTATTCAATGAAGCAGAATTTGAGATCCCTCTGAGTGGGTCACATTTTTCAAACATTTAAAGATAGAGGACTTAATGAGGTTACCTTTCCCTCTCTTGTTGTCAAAGGCCCACAGGTAATCACATATAATATTTTGGGTTACTAATAAAACTCACAGTTGGAGGTAGGCTTGTGAAAAATAGGGCTGACCTCCTTCCCAAGCCCCAGGATGCTAGTGAAGCAGCCTTTCTGCAGATTTCCTGCTTCCTGCTGGAGGCCTGTTCTAGCCTCTGAAGCTGAGTCATCCGCCTGATGTCAGGTGCCAGACAAGGGATGTGTGGGAAGAAACACGAGCAGTGACCCATGATGTCTCGCAGGACCATTCTTGGCCAAAGTCAGAAGGCGTTGCCTGTGTGCTGTTCTCACTGTTCCTCAGGTGTGCTTTGAAGGCTGGGGGGACAATGCCAGGGCTTCCTGACGCTTCTATCAGGAGGAGATGTAGTCGAGAGGAATCTTGTCTGACAAGGGCCTGCTATGTCTGGTGGCTACGTGACACTGGCTGTGGACATCTACAGAGTCTGTTCCCTGGGTTGACTCCATTTTGCATCTGTCAGTCACACCCATTGCTGCCTTTTCTGACCTGGAACCTTTGCTATGTATTTGCCAAACCAACAGTGAAATGAAGATGGAAAAGTACATTGAGACCCATCTATTCATCTAGAATTTCTCAGTCTGAAGTTCCAATTCAGAAGGTGCAGGCTGAAGTCTTGGGCTCTGCATGATAAGAAAATTGCTCCCAGGTAATTCCTATGGAGGGTGTCTTCGCACTAAGTCAGCACACCTGAGAAAGGACCTTCAGGGCTGCAAATCAAGTTACTGCTTACCTCAGTAAAGTGAAACCAGGGTTCCCAGGAGTCTGTCAGCAGGTGTGCAGGACCAAGCTTTGAAAGCCCAAGTTTTCTTACTATGAGGTCTGGAGACAGGCAGCTCAGGGTGGGAGACTGAACAGTTAGAAGCAGAGCTGATGACTTTGCCAAATAAGCAGGGGCCATTGGTAGGCTCTCAAATGGGTGGATATTTTCCTGAGTCCAAGGATGGCAAGCTTATTTTCTCCAACATTTTATTTTGAAAAATTAAAACGCGTATGGAAAAGTTGAGAGAATAGTACAAAAACAGTACAAGAAACATCTGTAACACATATACACGTTGTTCTTCATCTCTATTTACAATTGGTAGTATGTTCTTCATTTCCTTTTTCTCTCTCTCTCCCTGGCCCCCACATATATGCCTTTCATTAAGTGTATCTTTCAGTATACATATATTTTACCATATATTCGTATACATATATGTGTACTTTAAAACATAAGTCATTTATGTCACTGTTTTTTAAACAGCTTTAAGATGTAATTCACATACTATAAAATTCATTCATTAAAAGTGTACAGTTCAGTAGTTTTAATACATTCAGAGCTGTGCACCCATCAATACATCTGACTTAAGAATATTTCATCACTCCCCAAAAAGATGCCATATACCCATTTGTTGCCAGTCATGCCCCACTCCATGGAAGGGGGGAAGCAGCAGGAACTGATGTGTCTGGCTCCTGCTTCCTAAGAATGAAGACTTGCCCCCTGCCTTCTGGGGAGTATTATTTAGCTCTCAGGAAGTCCCACAATGTGACCTTCCATCCAAATTTGAAGTGGAGGTCCTTCAGGTATGAATCAAGCTTGGCACGTTGAGAATGAGAGCCATGCAGACCTGAAGTTTCAAATGGGGCTTTGACAAGCTCAGAGCTCCACAAGGCTGCCAGCAAAGGTGCTCAGCACACAGATCCAGGGCCCACCACACCTAACAGGAGGCAGGGGTGGCAGGGGGTTGAGGTCTGTGTACCGTTTGTGTGGGATATGGGAACTCAGCCAGGACCACCCAGCTGGTGAACTGAAAAGCCAGGATCAGAGTTCAGGTTCTTCCCCTACAGGATCCTTGCTCCTCAACTCATCTCTCTGTCTTGCTCAGAGTCAGAGCTGCCGAGACAGCAGGGGCTGTCTGAGACAGTTGGGAGCTTCTGATCCCTGGATATATAAAAGCAGAGATGAGAAAACCACAACGGGAGAGGGTTCAGCCTGGCATGAGGCTTAGACAAGATGGTCTCTAAGGTCCCTGCAAGCCCAAGTTTCTATTTGATGGAGTACAAAAGACAGACCCAAGGTGCAACAAGGGTGACCAACCAGCCCAGGCTGCCCAAGACTGAGGGATTTCCTGGAGTTTGGGACTTTAAGTACTAGAACCTGGAATGTCCCAGCCAGAGCCTTTCCTGGGTCTAAAGCCCCACATCTAACCTATAGGGAGGTTCCTGTTTTAGCTCCATACAGAGACACCTTATGTGGAGGGAAGAGGAAGAGGAGGAGGAAGGGCTTGTAAGGTAACGTTCTTCAATGGTCCCTTTCCTCCTCACCCCTACCTTCCCCCAACCCTGAGACTCTCCAATGACAATCATGATGATGAGGGTGATGATGATGCCAGTAATGATGGTGATGATGATGGTGGTGTGAAGATGATGATGGTAGTGATGGCGATAGAGATAGTGACAGTGATGAAACATTGTCATGCCAATAATCATGGTGATGAAGTTGATTATGTGGAGATAATGATCATGGTAGTGATGGCGATGATGTTGATGGTGATAATTATTTGCTAAGCACTTAGTTTACAGCAGGCACCATGCTAACCTATTTTAATGCATTATCTCATTTGATCCTCACACCATTCTGAGGCAGATATTTTATTATCTCTATTTTATAGAGAAGGAAACAGAGGCCTTAAAAATTTTAAATAACATGCCCAAGGTAGTACAGCTAGCAGAGGGTGAATCAGGCAGTCTCACTCACCTACCTCTGTTGGGTTTTTGTTTGTTTGTTTGTTTGTTTGTTTAGCATATGTGGCTCCCAGGTGTGAAATGTCTGTTGAAATGCGATTGAATTTAAAATTCCAGCTTAAGTTCCAGCTTAGTTTTCTACTGATGCTGTTAAAACTTACCACAAATTTAGGGTCTCAAAGAGTACAGATATTATCTTAAAGTTCTGGAGGTCAGAAACCCAACGCAGTCTCACTGGGCTAACATCATGGTGCCACAGGGCTGCGTTCCTTCTGCAGGCTCGAGGAGAGAATCTGTGCCCTGGCCTTTCCCAGCTTCCAGGGGCCACCCATCCCTTGCTCATGGCCCCTTCCTTCATCTTCAAAGCCAGCAATGGCAAGCCAAGCTCTTCTCTAGTCGCCACCCCTCTAGGTTTTTCTTTCCTGCATTCCTCTTCCACTTACAAGGACCCTTGTGATAACACTGGACCAACTTGGCTAATCCAGGACATTCTTACCCTCTCAAAGTCTGCGATTAACACCTTAATTCCATCCACAACCTGGGTGCTCCTTTGCCTTGTAAACTAACATATGCACAGATTCCAGGGAATAAGACATGGATATCTCTGGGGGGCATTTTTCCACCTGCCACCACGGTAACTTCAGTAAAGACAAACTTGAGTTTGACTCTTGACCTGGGCATGCCGTTTACCCTCTTTAAACCAACTCACCTTGGTAATGACATCCATTTTGCAGAGATGTTACAGGGATTGGATAGAGTATTGGACAAGAAGCCCTTCTACCACTCTCTGGCACGTCATTGGTGCCCCAGCTGTGAGCTTCCTTTGCAACTCCTGACTTTCCCAGCTGACCACCTATCTCATCCCCCCCATTCTCCTCCATGCAGACCACATTTTATACCTTCCACCCTTGGCACTTGATCGTGTCTAATTTTCCCCTCCTAGCATTCCAGGTACTCCATGATGGAGTCTGTCTCTACGGTAGATTGCAAGCTCCTTGGGAACAAGTAACCTCCCTTAATTCACTATTCACACTCCAGCACCTCACTCAGCCCTTGGCTCAAAGAGGTTTAATAAAAACTGAGTGAATGATGAAGTGACAAAGCAATCTTCCAGCAGATCTCACCTGTTCTTTTCTGAATACCCTGAGATAGAGGGCAATACTCTTTAATTTTGTGTAATAATAAACCAGGGTTCAAAAGTCCACATACTTAAAATTTCACCTGCAGGACTCCTGGTTTCCACATGGGATGCAGAGAGCTGGGAAGACCATTGTTCCTAACCTCATAACAAAACAACAACAACAACAACAACAACAAATGCAGGCAGTCTGCAAACTCACACCTTTTCCTGACCCATCACAGCTGAAGTCACAGGGCTACCAACCAGAAGTCTAAGGAAAGACTGGCACGTCCAAGTACAGATTCGCCTGCATGTATGTAGCTGGGGCAGATGCTGTCGACACAACTAAGGAGAATTCAGCTACAATTTTAACAAATTGCTAAGGGCTTCATGTGGGCCAATGAGAGACTATTGAGGCCCTGGGGCCACAGACAGAAGGGGGAAGTTGCACCCACATGGGTGCACGGTCCTCTCCACAGGCCATGCTGGGTACTCACACGAAAGCCTGGGGGCAGTGAGAGACCCTCGAAAGCCCTCCAGTAGTGCCCAGTCGAAGAGAAGCAGTAGCAGCTGCTAGGGGCTGGGCAGAAAGTCCTGCCCCAAACTTTCTCCCCGTTTCCTATGGAACAAAAGCTTTAAGCCCTGGAAAAACAGTGTAGCCCTTTCTTACAGAGTTAAACACACACTTACCATACGCCTTGGCACTCCTACTCCTAGGTACTTACCCAAGTGATCTGAAAAATTATGTTCACACAAAAATCGATACGCTAATATTTATTTTTTTTTTTAGTAATCACCCAAATGTGAAAACAATCCACATGTTCTTTAACCAGTGAGTGGGTAAACAATGGATGTGGTCCCTCCACGCAAAGGAATCTACCCAGCAATGCAAACAATGAGCCACTGATAGCCACAGCGACATGGATGAATCACATGATTCCACCTCTGTGATATTCCAGAAAAGGCAAAACTCTGTGGACAGAAAACAGCTCAGCAGTTGCCAGGGGCAATGGGTGAGGGAAAGGGTTGGCTGTAAAGGGACACAAAGGAATTGGGGGGTTTGATGGAACTGTTCTATATCTTGATTGTGATGTTGATTACACAATTGGATACATTTATTACAATAGCAAAACGTGAACACTAAAAGGGAGACATTTTGCTGTATGCAGATTTTACCTTAAAATAAGTGGAAAAATACATAAATGCACAGAATGGAAGGAAAAGAAATTTCACCAGCCCTTATATATTGGACACAAATTTATCTGCCTGAAGGCCCATGGCGAGAAAAACCACAGTCATGCTGTTTGGGATCCTTCTCTTAGGGTCTGGATTGGGACCCCTTTCTTGTAACACTTCTATGTGGACATTTTGGTCCTGGGAAGACACCTGAGAAGGGGATGCTTGTTTGAGGCACAGCACATACCATGTACCAACTCTTATCTTGATTAGATCCTATTTATATTTGGTCCTTGTTATTTGCATTGGAACCTAACATGAACTAATTATAGGCATTTTCAGCCCACCCATCACTCAGACCACAAACCCCTAGACCCAATCATCTCAGCCTATTAGTTCTACGTAGGCTTCCAAAGATCTCTCTATTCTGTCCTCTTCTTTCCATCTCCATTTTCTTGATTTGGGACTCCTACCACTCACAGATTACAGAGGCTCTTTACAGATCTCTTTTCCTCTTATCACCACCCCAGGCCATATAATGGCTCACAGTTGGAGTGACGCACCCAACAAGGCAAACCCAGCATGTCACTGCCTATTCAGAATTCTTCAGCAGCTTCCCATTGCTGCAGGGAACATCCAAATCTATGACCCATCATGATGTTTATGATTCCCCTTAATCATAAAATAACTATACATTCAACATTTTATTTTAACTTAAAACCTATGTCGTTCATTCACCCATAATTTCATGGACTGCCAAGAGCTTTTCTTTGAGAATGAGTCCTTTGTTTGGAATTTCCAGTTTTCTTTCTTACATAAACCCCACCCCAACCATATTGTCTATAATTTCCAATTTTGTTTTCTTTAAAATAAGTGAGAACTTAAGCAAACGCAGGCATTTCTAGATGCGTACAATTCTCCCCAAGCTTTTAAAGTTATCTCGCCCACACCTAATTTAATTGCAATTATTTTTACTGACTTCCCTTTATAGAAAGAGCCTTTCTGAAGAACTAAACTTAGTTTTTATGAAAACAACCCTTTTTCTTTTGGCACTCTTATTTCATCAGTTTTTGTAAACTGTTTAATTACAATAACAAGCACAGCTGATCCTGGGAGGCATTCAGCTCCAGCCGGAGCAGAAGGGGCCAGGTCTGTTAGGCAGCAGCCCTGGCTCTCAGCATTCAGGAGCTGGGAGCTTCCCTGTGAAGGCAGCCACATGCTGTGAGAGCTGTTACTTGGGAATTCTCAAATGGAATGGTTGCTCTTTTAACTGACTCCTACTTGCCCCATCCCCCAGGTATACCTACAGTTCTCTCTCTCTTTTTAAAATATATCCTTGATACCACCCTAAACTCTGTGCAGCCTGTTGATGAACCCATCAACTACCATCCCAGCTCCAGGAACTAAGCTGCTTCTACTTCTTTGAGAGATTGAGTTTCATGACTACTTTTATATTTCTGACTCTCCCTGTGTAATTGAAATGTTCAGATTAAGATTTTACTGATCACATGTTTCAAAAATCTTGACAGAGGGTCAGGGGCACTCGGTGATCAGCAGCACCCCTGGGTTGAATTGTTTGTGGTGCACCAAAGGAACTGGATCACCACCCTCGCCTGACACCTTTCCCAGGGTGAAGGCTGCTTAGCCCCTGGAGTAGAGGTGAGCCCCTGCCTCTAGGATGGCTGCAGCTGTGTTTTTGTTTTTCTAGAAACTGCCTGGAAGGCAATACCATGCCTTGACAGGTGTTAAAATGCCTTCCTCTAATTCTCCCTTCTCACACCCCATACTCTCGCACACCACAGAACTTTGGCTTACATAGCATTTATTTCCAAAATTAAAATGCTCCCTGGATATGCAAGTAAAAGGAAGCAAGAAGAAGAAAGCAGAGGGGAGGGGAGAAAAGAGGAAGAGAGAGGAGAAGAAGAGGGGGATAAAAATGAAAGGAGTCCAGGCGCAGTGGCTCACACCTGTAATCCCAGCCCTTTGGGAGGCCGAGGCGGGTGAATCACGAGGTCAGGAGATCGAGACCATCCTGGCTAACACAGTGAAACCCCATCTCTACTAAAAATACAAAAAAAAAATTAGCCGAGTGTGGTGGTGGGTGCCTGTAGTCCCAGCTACTTGGAAGGTTGAGGCAGGAGAATGGCGTGAACCCGGAGGCAGAGCTTGCAGTGAGCCGAGATCACTCCACTGCACTCCAGCCTGGGCAACAGAGCAAGACTCTGTCTCAAAAAAATGACAGAAGGAAATAAGCAAACTAGGTAGCTTCCCAAGTCCAGGCACTGCACTTTTCTGTATAGATTTTTCTAAACATCAGTCTTGCATTAGCTAATTCTTAGTAGCAAGTGCTCTTAGCGGTACATCGGTATTAAAATTGGATTTGGGAATGGACATTCCCTGAAGCACTTAACTGTGCATATTCGCTTCAGAGGCTCCGGAGTGAGAGCTGCTTGGAAGTAGAGACCAGCTCTGGTTTCTGGTGAGGGAGGGACATTAAAAGCAGAAGCCAGGGCCATACAGCGCCAGAGGCCCCAGCCCGCTGCAGACGCCAAGGTGTGGTTCTATTAGCCCCAATGGCTAGTTGTCCCTTGCAGATTCTCCTGGTGTCAAAAATGGCCTATCACGGTGGCTTTCAAATGCACTGGATCTTAGATCCCCCCGCCCCCGGAGCTTTCGGTAGAAATAAAGTGGGTGGATCCCATTTCAAACTTACTACACCAGAATGGAGGGGGAGTCCTATGCCTGCATTTTTCACAGGTCCCATGCAGTGGCTTCAAAGGCTATGTTAGTCCATTTTCCGTCATTTATAACATAGTACCTGAAACTAAGTAATTTATAAAGAAAAGCAAGTTATTTCTTACAGTTACTGGGGCTGAGAAGCCAGGGGTTGAGGGACAACATCTGGTGACAGCCTTCTTGCTGGTGGAGCTCAGTGCAAAGTCCAGCCACAAGGTATCACATGGTGATGGGGCTGAGGATGTGAATGTGCCCCTCAGGTCTCTCTTCCTCTTCTTACAAAGCCACCAGTTCCCCTCCCATGAAAACCTATTGTCAACCTAAAATCATCGAAAGGGTCGGAATCCAATTTAAAGAGAATGTATTCAAGGGCAAAGTGCAAGGGTGAGCGGCCTGGAAACACCAATTCCAAAGGAATGGAACCAGTGTTCTGAAGTAGGACATTTAAGACTTCATTAATGTAGGCAGAGACGGAGGAGTTTTTAGCAGGATTGCAACAATATTCATACAAGGTTACACATACTTACAGCAATTTGATTGGTTATAAGCAGTGTTTCTTTTCGGGAAGGGTACATTTAGCATTTTTTACAGAGGATGTAACAGTCTTGGGTTTTCTGTCGTCTGATCGAAGCAAAGCAGGATAACAATGGGGAAGTTAATCTATCAGAAGGATCATGAACAGGAGGCAGGAGGTTTTTGTCCCTGACATCATTTAATTCTCTCTAGTCATTGTACAGAACAAGGAAACAAATCAAGTTCATCTATAATCTGAGAAACAGAAATTGTAACCATATGTGATTCAATTCACAGTGACATGTCTTTCAAGGCTTAAAGTGTTTGGGGATTCCAACAGCTTTTAAATTATATTCCTTTTTTTTTTTTTTTTTTGAGACGGTGTCTCACTCTGTCGCCCAGGCTGGAGTGCAGTGGCATGATCTCAGCTCACTGCAACCTCTGCCTCCTGGGTTCAAGCAATTCTCCTGCCTCAGCCTTCCAAGTAGCTGGGATTACAGGCACGTGACACCACACCCAGATAATTTTTTTATTTTTTAGTAGAGACAGGGTTTCACCATGTTGGCCAGGCTGATCTCAAACTCCTGACCTCAAGTGATTCGCCCACCTCAGCCTCCCAAAGTGCTGGGATTACAGGTGTGACCACCACACCCGGCCTGTATTCATTTTCAAAAATATATATATTCATTTTCATACTATTCATCCATTAACCCATTCATCCATTAATCCATCAATAGATGAATCCATTCATGAGGGCAGAACCTTCATGACCCAGTCACCTCTTAAAGGCCCCGCCTCTCAATATCGCCACATTGAGAATGAAGTTTCGACATGAGTTTAGGAGGAAACATTCAAACCATAGCAAAGGCCTTCCTCAGGGTCACTTTCTGCAAGTTCCTCATTGTCCAGACAAGGAAACCAAGGCTCCTCTTTCTTCTGGCTGCCTAATGCAGAGTGGGGACCTGCAGTTCCAGTGGCTTCCAGGACAGAGACATTTCGACATCTGACTCTGAAGCCAGTGAAGTTGTTGAAGGCTGCCAGCGGCAGACAAGCAGTGAGGAAGGCTTTCCTTCCTTAAGATTCCAATGGGACCCCAGGACCCATGGATACATGGGCCCTTTCAATACCATGAGATCTATTGCCACCTGCTCACAACGGGCTTCCACTGTGGAAGACAGCAAAGTGCAAGGAGAGGGGATTGTAATAGAGAAATGATTGATCCGTCAATTGATAGATTGGATCAATAGACAGAAAGACAGATAAATGATAGATAATTTGGTGATAGAACATCTAGTCTAGACCATTCAGGTTTGTCTCCACAGAGCTGTGGGTCTTGACGTGATGTGAGATGATGTGGGTCTGTGGGTCTCATTTCCTCTCTGAGCCATGCATTGGTTATCTGCAAAAGAAGGAGCTAGGTCAGTCCTGGAGTTCTAAGCCCCCTCTGCCTGTAAGTGCCCTGGACAGCTGGGAAGGAAGGAGGTCACTTTCCACTGCACGCATCATGGCTGCACCATGGAGGTAGTACGGGTAAAAAGAGGAAGAGGTGCAGGAATAAATTCCACACGCCGTGGAGGTTGGGATGAGAAGGGGAAAGAATTTCCACTTAAAGACAGTGGGCAGAATAGAGCTGACTTCACTTAAGGAAGACACGTCAGGACTAGGGGTAGAGGCAGCTTTAAGTGGGTGTGGCAGTTGGCTTCTGATTGGAGACTGTTAAGTTGAGTCTTGCTGGGAGGAGATGAAAGGGGTGGCATAGGGTGGGGTGGGAAAGGACCATAAAATCCGATTTCCCTAAGCTCTTTCCCCTTATGTCAGAACTCTGCCACTTTGAGAAACACAGCCAAGGTGGGGGTGGGTTCTGCCCCTGAGGGGAGGGATAGAGGCTGAGAAAGAAGAAATTCTCCAATAGTAGTCCTTTTTCAGGAAGCATAGACTTTCCAATATGATTGCATTGATTTCCAGCCTCTCTGAGAACAAGCTTTTCAGAATGAGCTCTGGGCATCCCCAACAGCTGCAGAAGGCTTTGCTCCAGAGGGAGCTCCCAGCGTCTGAACCTGGGGCTGGCAGAGCTTGGTGACTTCCAGGCACCTTTCTTCCCAGGGAAATGGCATCAGCCCGTTCCCAGCAGTGACAGAGATGGACTGATGAGGCTGGGGGGATTGATGAATCCCAGGATTGGAGAATGGCCTCCTGTAGAAATCAGGAGGCTGCCCTCCTGCGGGCCTGGCCTTGTGCCTAACTCATTCTGGGATTCTGAGCAAGAGGCTGCCCCTCTCTGCACCTTTAGTGTGCATGTGAATCACCTGCGGATCTTGCTAAAATGATTCCACAGGTCTGGGGTGGGGTCTGAGATTTTGCATTTCTCACAAGCTCTCAGGTGATATTGATGCTGCAGGTCCACTGGCCACACTTCAGCAGCAAGGATTTAAGTAACTTGCCTGCAGTTATGGGGTTATTAGGGCACAGAGGATAAATTCAACCATTTTTCTGTCTGTCATCTTTACCCATGCCATCACAGAACAGCAGTGACAATCACACAGGATGGTGGATGGTTGCATCTCTAGCTTCCCTGTTAGGCTGTATGTGGACATCGTTTATCTTTGCATCCCTGCAACCTACATAAAGCTAGGCACAAAGGAGGTTTTCTAAAATTTTTTGTTGGACTGAAAGAAGTAATAGAGTAGTCAGGAAATAAACAAAGGTAAAATAGAAGGAAAAGGAGATCGAGTCAAGGATCACCCCCAAGTGGGGCCATCCCAAGGGGAGATCAGATCAGGCCAACCACACCTTGCCCCACCTTAGCATCCTGGTCTGAGCACATGGCCAGAGTCATTGGGGGAGGAAGTATCATTCATACAACCCTATTTATTCCTCGAGATTCTTCTGATTAAAAACAAAAGGAAACAAAATGCAAAACAAAGAAAGGCACTACCTACCTATTGGAATGACTAAATTTAAAAACTGAATAATGCCGATTGCTAGCAAGGATACAGAACAGCAAAACCTTTTACTTGTTGCTGGTGACAATGCAAAATAACAGACAGTTTGGCAATTTTTTACAAAGACAAACATTATTTTATCATGTAGTCTAGCAATCCTGCTGCTATTTACCTGATTTGAAAAATTATGTTTACACAAAAACCTGCACAGCAAATGTTTTTGTTGTTGTTGTTGTTTGAGACAGGGTCTCGCTCTGTCACCCAAGCTGGAGAGCAGTGGCTTAATCTCAGCTCACTGCAACCTCCACCTCCTGAGTTCAAGCAATCCTCCTGCCTCAGCCTCCCTTGTAGCTGGGATTACAGGCATGTGCCATCAGGCCTGGCTAATTTTTGTATTTTTAGTAGAGAGAGGGTTTTGTCATGTTGGCCAGGCTGGTCTTGAACTCCTGACCTCAAGTGATCTGCTCTCATCAGCCTCCCAAAGTGCTGGGATTACAGGCGTGAGCCACTGCACCCAGCCAAATACTATGGCACCTTTATTTACAAACATCAAAACCTGGAAGAAACCAAGATGTCTTTGAGTAGATTAACAGATAAACAGTGGTACATCTGTATAATGGAATACTATTCATCAATAAAAAAGAAAGCTATGAAGCCACAAAAAAACATGGAAGAAGCTTAAATGCACATTTCTAAGTAAAAGTAGTTGGTCTGAAGAAGTTACATGCTGTATTGTTCCATTTATATGACATTCTGGGAAATGAAAAACTATGGTGATGGTAAACAGGGGGTTCAGAGTGGGAGGAGGGTGAATAAGTGAAGCACTGGGGACTTGTTAGGACAGTGGAACTTTTCTATAGGGTACTATAATAGGAGATGCAAATTACATTATGCCTGTCTCAAAACCCATAGAACTTTACAGCAGGAAGAGTGAACCTGAACATGCAAACTTAAAAAAATCATTTTGGAAATTAGGGGGTCCCAGGATAGAATGCAGAATGCTAAAAAAGAATCTAACTAAATTGCAGATGTATGAAACAACCTCATTGAGACAGATAAGGCAAAAGGTTCTGACCTAAGTAACTTTGGAAATAACTAGTGACTGTAAGACTAAAGGCAAAAGGAACTGCACATAAGCACTGTGCTCTAGTTGATAAACTGTTTCCCTCAGGGGTATGGCTTAACAATGATGAAGCCACTGTCCATGTATCCTGGAAATGAACAATTAAGTAAATGGATGGCAGAAGGTGGGAGCCAGGTTTCTCTCTGTTGGAACGGAAAGTTGTAGATAAGCAAGGAGAGAAGTCTAGAATAACCCTCATGGGGACAGATGGAGACATTAGTACGAATTCATGTTGAATTTAATACAGATGCAGATGGATGTATGTGTATGCATATATTTATAGCCTTGTGTATGTATATGGCTTAGTATACATACACATGGCTATAAATTCCTTGCTCTGTCAGCTGACAGGGCCTAGAAGCAATGACATCCCAGTAACAATGAGCACACCTAGCACCTGATCTAGGTTTCTATCACCATTCTCCAATAAAAGGAACCAGTGCTCTTTGGAGAAATGACTGATTCTAGGACTGAGGCAGGAAATATACAAAATACGCTTGAGGCATCTTGTAGAGTCAGAAAGTAAGGAAGTACTAAAACACACTCACATGCACAGTGATGGAAGCATGTCAAAGGCACACATGAACCAATGGAAAGAGCTCCCAAGTTGAGCAATAAAGTAAATATAGTAGTATCAGATTATAACCTAGAGTAGAAAATAATCTCCATGAGTCCATACTACTATAAGTAAATGATTGAATAAATAAATGGAGGAGAGGAGGGAAATCTCCTGCATGGAAGAATTCCAAATAATTAATGTGGATACTTCATCCTCAAGGAGATAGAGCATAACTTCCCTCTCCTTAACTATAGCTTCACGTTGTGACTTTATATCAAAGAGGACAGTATGGAAAGGGGTTTAAAAACAGAGTAACCTTACAGTGGAGAAATCTGATAAACACATCTGAGCCAGGTGATTAACATCAACAGTGATAAGTCATGCTGATAGTATGTACCCTTGACATAATGTGATGAAGGACACTTTAACCTGTGGTCTTCTTCACCAAAACCCATATCACCAGTTGAATCATGAGAAAACTATCAGACAAATTCCACTAGAGAGGCAGACTACAAAATACCTGAGGAGAACCCCTCAAAACTGTCAAGGTCATCAAAAACCAGCAAAGTCTAAGAGACTATTGGAACCAGAAGAAGCCTAAGACGAGATGATAACAAATGGAATGTGAGATCCTGGGTGGGATCCTGAGACAGAAAATGGATATTAGCTAAAGACTAAGAAAATCTGAATAAATTATGGACTTTAGTCCATAACACTTTTCATTAAGCGTGACAAATGTGCCACGCTAATGTAAGATTTTAATAAGAGCAGAAGATGCATTTGGGGTGTATGTGAAGACTCGACTATCTTTGTAACTTTCGTATAAATCTACATTTATCGTAAGATTTAAATTTTTATGAAAACAGCAACAATGAAAGAAGGAGAGGGATAACTCCACTAATATATTCCCAGAGTGACTTCGACATGTGCTGTAAGAGCTATGTTCACTTACATCTCTCGGGGCTTTGGTAATTAATCATGAATAATGAATAGATTTAAAATTAGCCCAAGCATTTTGGTAACAGCTGGTCCTCCAACCTCCCAGAATCCATAATATACAATTTATTTTGACAGGCTGCTCCTGCAAGTCCTGGTGGGAACACGAGAACTTTGCCTGTGCTTCGGAAATGGTCCTCGGGGGTCCCCAGTTGAGACTCAGCCAGGAGAGCTGGGAGCTTGGGTCAATAACCCACAACTCTCTCAGCCCTGGCTGGATCCATTGCCTCCTCCCAATGGGGAGGTATGCAGCTGCCCCTGCGGAGCGAGGGAAGTGTGTGCTGAAGCTGACCAAGTACGGTTAGGCTCTGCCTCTGCCAGAGGACACGCCACCCTCCTCCTCCCACAGCTTGTGAGTGCTCTTCCAGGTAGGAGGGCCGGTGCTGAGACTGATCCATGGGCAGACAACAGCTGAGCTGGGCTGGGGCCCAGGCTGGGCTGGGAGTGGAGCAGGATAGTGAGGCTCTGAATGATGAGTTAGAGAGGCTCAGCTTGCTCTGGATTGTGACTCTAAGAGGCTGAAGGTCTTCCAGAAAATTACTTCCTCTCTTTGAGCCTTAGTTTTTCCATATGAAAAAAAGAAAAAAAAATGAAAAGAAAAGAAGAAAAGAAGGAAGGGGAGAGAGAAAGAGAAAGAAAGAAAGAAAAAGAAAGAAAGAAAGAAGAGAAAGAAAGAAAGAAGAAAAGAAAAGAAAAAGAAAAGAAGGACGGAGGGAGGAAGGAATGAAGATTTTAAAAATCTAATCTTAGCTCCTTTTAGAAGCTAAGAGGGCATAATGAAATAATACCGTATAAAAGTATAAAGTAGGGGCCGGCCATGGTGGTTTATGCCTGTAATCCCAGCACTTTGGGAGGCCGAGGTGGGCAGATCACTTGAGATCAGGAGTTAGAGACCAGCCTGGGCAACACGGTGAAACCCCATCTCTACTAAAAATACAAAAAATTAGCTGAGTGTGGTGGTGGGCGCCTGTAATCCCAGCTACTAGGGAGGTTGAGGCAGGAGAATCGCTTGAACCTGGGAGGCGGAAGTTGTGGTGAGCCAAGATCACGACACTGCACTCCAGCCTGGGTGACAAAAGCGAAACTCCATCTCAAAAAAACCCAAGAACAATAACAAAAGTATAAAATAGGGCTTTGGAGAGCTGTGGCCACGCATGGAAGGGAGGTTCTACCAGCACCCGCCTGAGCCTCAGTGTCTGCTCCCGTGTCTGCTCAGCGTGCCTGTGAATCAGTTAGTAATTGTACTTAGATGAGCAACACAAGACCTGACAAATAGTGGCTTAAATAAATATAGCATTTCTATTTCTCATGAGATGGGGTTCCATAGGAACTGAATTCTGCCAACACCCCAAATGGGCCTGGAGGAGGACCCTGACTTCCAAATAAGGACACAGCTGGCCCACACGTGGTTTCAGCTTGTGAAACCCTAAGCAGAGAAGCCCCACCTTGTGCCAGGTCTGGACTTCTAACCTATAGAACTGTGAGCTCATGTACAGTGTTGTTGTAAGCTGCGAAGCTTGTAGTAATTTGTTACACAGCAATAGATGATGAATACTCCCACCAAGACCAACGGAGTCACGGCTAGGACTGTAGGGATGCCCAGCAGGAGTGAGCAGGCAGCCCCCTGGGGCTCCAGATGCAGGAGTGGCTCCCAGGAGGAGCGGGAATGGAAGTGAGGATCTGAAGGCCAGAGGGTGAGCTCACCTTCTGGCCTACTTCTCACCCCTCACGCTCTTGGGCCGGTAGCCTCCATGCCTAAGGCTCAATCCCTCTCTCTGTGAATTAGAGGTCATCAAAATTAGAGCTCTTCTGAGCATCCACAGAGACACTGTGCATAAGAGCATTCCATGAGTCATCAGGCAGCATGTCCTATACATGACCACCATTGCTGTTTGGTGGGCAATAGAAGAGGCAGCCCCTGGGCTTTGGGAAGTGAGGCAACATAGAAGATGTCAAGGGTATCTCCTCAGTGTCAGGTTCCCTCATCCCATTCACAATGCCTAGATGTTGCTTTGGTGAGTCACGTGGGTCGGAAGGAAATGTCCCACCCCTCTGGCTATGCAAGTGGCTCCAAGGTGGCCATGCCCACAGCAGTGAGACAGGGAGGGGCCGTTGACCTACCTAGGAAGAGATGTTCCCCCTCTTCCCTTCAATGATGTGGGGTGAGAGTCGGGGACTTGGGGCTGCTGTGGCCTTCCTGTTAACCATGAGATAAGGTGTCTGAGGCTGTATCTAATACCAGGGAACAGCCAGGAGAACCAATCCTGGGGTGGACAAGCCAGTTGTGTTGCACTGAGTACACACACGTGTGTGCACACACGTGGTGGATGCCAGTCTGCATGTCCTAGACACTTGTTTACTCATTGATTGCTTTACATTGCTTCCAGCAGATTCCAAATCTGCACCAAACCCTCTTGGAAATAGGGCCATGACTTCCTTTTCATCCCACCAGAGAGAAAGGCAAGTGCATCAAAGGCGACCCAGCCACCGTTCATTTCCTCCCCACTGGGTTTTTATTTTTAAAAAGCAAACAAATAAACCACCCGCCCCCCCAAAGATGTAGATCTACTCTGCAAATAATGTAAATAATAATTAGAAAATTCTAGATAATAAAGGGCATTTTTTAGAACTTTTGCATCCCAAATCTTACAGAGTAGAATGCGTTCTGGAGAGGTCCTGGCAATAGTTGAGGCTGAATGTGGATGCAAAGACTCTACTTCCCATCTATACGGTGAAGCCCTAGCTGCACAGTTACCCAGGGAGACCCCTGTTGAATTTGCCCCAGGTGACAATCCTAGTAACTCACATGTCTCAAGCTACACAAGCACACTTTTGTTAAAATCAGACCTCCCTGATCTGGTGCTAGAGGAAAGTGGAGTGCTCAGGGCCCTAGGAGCAAGTGATTTGAGAACAAAAACCTGGTGTTTCAGGAGTGGAGAATCCTGCCCTCCCCAGAAACAATGGTGAGTCCCTGGGCCCTGCCTCCTCATCCATCACCCTCAACTGTGACAGGCACGATGCCATGTGTTTTCTGCCTCCCCCTCCTCCATTCTTAGGCACAGAGTGAGGATGTCTGGGGACACCTCCTCATAGCTCTCCTTGGCCACAAAGCCGGTGGAGGACAGACACAGAGACAGTGCCACTTGTTGAGATCTGAGGGTGAGACACATGCCATCTTTGCAATTTGACATCTGGAGGTGCTAGGGTTGAAGGAAAGAGAGCCATTTTGGGAATTCTTCCTCAGCTGAGTTTTTGGGATAAAGAGTGAACCTGTAGGGCAGAGCAGCCATAGTGTCATCTGGCCAAAATATGCAGGTTGGAATGTGCCATGCCTGGACCCATGGAGCTAATTGGAAGGCTTATTGGTGAAGTTCAGAGACCACAAAGGAGATTCTGAGCACCCAATCTGTGGTTAGAGTAAGATCAGAGCAGTTCTGGGGCCCTCAGACGAGGGACCATGGGCCTTGTCCAGGTGTTTGTCATTGAAGTAGCCCAATTCCAAAGATCTCTGTGTGTCTCTTGGCACCAGGTTTCAAATAGTTGGATCAGGGAATGTGATTGGTCTGGCTTGGATCAAATGTCTCTACTTGGACCAACCAGTTATGGCCATGGGGACAAGATCACAAAGCCCAGAAAGCCCTTGGGGGCCACCCCTGTGAGTGGGGGCCACTTCTAAATGAGGAAAATGCCTGGGAGGTGGGCAGCCAGACCCTTTGTCCTCTTCCTCAACATGTGTGCCTACAAATATTTTCATATTTATGTCTGCTTTTTTGAGTGACTTTCTTGAAAGCAACTTTTCCTTCTGCTCCTCACATACCTATGAGGAAGCCAAACTGAGCATTTACCTCCAAAGAAGCAGCATTATTCTGCCCCTCTCATAACTTTCTTTAGATAAGAGGGGTTCCAAGGAATCATATTTCATAGATAAGAGCTGTTTTGCTATTGAAAGCCTTGTGGAAGCAGAACGACTCCAGTGAGCAACTATTGATGTGCCTGCCCACGTCCCAGGGCCTCTGGAGACACATGGGGTGATAAGTGTGCTGAGCAGGGTGTGGCTGGGCCCCTGCCAGGTGCTCAAAGTCCATCACTGACCACATGGAGTGACAGCACCTTCCCACCTTGGTCCTCAGAGCCTATCATCAGACCCAGCTATGCCCAGCCTCCTACCTGGTAGCCTGTTACTTCACTGAAGAGAAGGAGAAAGAAGACAAGCTTGCCCAGTAAAATCTGGGCAAGTAAAATCTGACCCAGTAAAATCTTGAAAGTAAAGTCTGACCTTTGGCTTCCTTCCTCACCTGTCCATTCTCAATAGGCAATGTTGCCCAGAAGGTGGCAAAAATTGGTTCTTTGGGGGAGAATAAAATCTTACTATTTTTATGTATGAAGCACAGATATGCATACATAACATAAATAGCTGTACAGTACATCTGTATTAAAATGTCATGGGGGTGGATCGATTAGGAAAACAGGTCTCAAAACGCTCCTTAGGGGGCGATATGAATAAAAATGTGTAGCAGTGCCTTCAGCGCTCTCCCTGAGTGGATGCTACTTCTACAGACATTGAACATCTTCCAGGGATGCTGTCCCTCCCAGCACCACAGATACACAGAGCAAAGATGCTGGTCCTCCCCTAGCTTCTCTCTTTTCAGGGATTGGAGACCCAGAGAGTGCAGGAGGTAGGTACCATGGAGACCAGATACTATCAGCCTATCATTAATCTTTGTCAGCTCTATTGAGGTAAAATTTGCATACAATCAAATTTGCCAATTTTAAGTGTACAATTCAATGAGTTTGACAAATATATCCACTAGTGGGATACCACTACAATCGTGATAGAGACTATTCCACCTCCCTGAAAAGGTCCTAAATGCCCCGTTGTGGTCAATCCCTTGCTACTCATCAGGCACTGGCAACCATTGATGTGATTTCCATTACTATAATTTCCTTTTAAAGTATTCCATATAAATGGAATCATATAATACATTGTTTTGTGTCTAGCTTCTTCACTTGACATAATACTTATGAGATGCACCCATGTTGAATATATTGGCAGTTTGCTCTTTTTTATAGCTAAGTGATATTTCACTCTATGGGTATGCCACAATGTGTTCATCTATTCACTAGTTGATGGACTTTGGGTTGTTTCTAGGTTTTGGATATTATGAATAAAGTTGTTATAAACATTAGTAGGCAGGGCCTTTGTGTGGACATATGTTCTCATTTGGTAAAGAGTGGAATGCCAGGGTCATATCCTACATGATTGTTTAATTTTCTAAGACACGTCAAAATGCTTTCTTCCTTTCTTTTTTTTTTTTTTTTTTTTTTTGAGACGGAGTTTTGCTCTGTCACCCAGGCTGGAGTGCAGTGGCGCATCTTGGCTCACTGCAAGCTCCACCTCCCGGGTTCACACCGTTCTTCTGCCTCAGCCTCCAGAGTAGCTGGGACTACAGGTGCCTGCCACCACACCTGGCTAATTTTTTATATATTTTTTAGTAGAGATTGGGTTTCACCGTGTTAGCCAGGATGGTCTCAATCTCCTGACCTTGTGGTCCACCCTCCTCGGCCTCCCAAAGTGCTGGGATTACAGGCGTGAGCCACCGTGCCTGGCCTCAAAATACTTTCTAAAGTGGCTGTACCATGAACCATGTATTAAAAATCCAACTGTTCCTCATCTTCACCAATATTTGGTGTTGTCCATCTCTTTAATTATAGTCATTTGTGTGTATGTGTGGGGGGGTGTGTAGCATTTCATTTTTGTTTTAATCTGCATCTCCCTAATGACTAATAATGTTGAGCATATTTTTGTTTCCTTACTTGCCATCTGAAAAACATTTTAGGTAAAGGGTCTGTCGGAATGTTTTGACCATTTTTAAAAGATAGGCAGATCACCTGAGGTCAGGAGTTCAAGACTAGCCTGGCCAACATGGTGAAACCCCATCTCTACTAAAATTACAAAAATTAGCTGGGCGTGGTGGTGGATGCCTGTAATACCAGCTACTCGGGGTGCTTAGAGAGGAGAATTGCTTGAACTCAGGAGGCGGAGGTTGCAGTGAGCCGAGATCACACCATTGCACTCCAGCCTGGGCAACAAGAGCAAAACTCCATCTCAAAAAAAAAAAAAAAAAAAATTGGGCTGTATTTTCTGGATGCAAGACTTTTGATTGGATCTATGTTTTGCAAATATTTTCTCCCAGGCTGTAGCTTACCTTTTCATCTTTTTAACATTATCTTTGAAAGAGCAGAAGTCTATAATGTTGGTGAAGTTCAATATTTATGTGTGTGTTTTCTTAAAATTTGTGCTTTTTGTGTCCTATTTAAAAATATTAACTTAATCCAAGGTCAAAAAAGGTTTTCTGCTCTTTTTTTTCTTCCAGAAGCACAATAGTTTTAGCTCTTGGATATAGGTTTATGACACTATTTGAGTTAATTTTTTATTCAATGTACAGTAAGGTTTGGGAACTTTTTTCTGTGTAGATATCCAGGTATTCCATTAACATTTACACATTGAATTGCCTTGGAGCCTTGTAAAAAATCAATTGACTATATATGTGTGAGTCTATTTCTGGAGTCTCTATTCTCTTTCATATATTTATATATGTATATATATGTATATATATGTATATACATATATATGTATATACATATATATGTGTATATATATGAAAGAGATGTATGTGTATATATATACATATATATACACACACATATATATATAGCCAAAATCCACACTGGCTTGACTACTGAAGCTTTTTAGTAAGCCTTGAAATCAGTTAGTACAAATCCTCCAATTTTGTTCATTTTCAGAATTGTTTTGGCTAGTCGACATCCTTTGTATTTTTATACAAATTTTAAATTGTTTTGTTAATGTCTACAAAGGACCCTGCTGAGATTTTGATTATGATAATATTTTAACTATAGGCCAATTTAGGAAAATTTATATCTTAGAATTAATGAGATTCTTATCCATGAGCATGGTATATCTCTATTTACTTAGATCTTCTTTAATTTCTCTCAAAACAGCTTTGTAGTATACATGTGTTGTATATCTTTTGTTAAATTTATTCCTAGATATTCATAATTTGGGTGTTATTTTAAATGTTTGAATGTGTCCTTTAAAAAGCACGTGTTGGAAACCTAATCCCCAATGCAAAAGTGATGGGAGGTGTTTAGGTTATAAGGTCTCCACCCTCATTAATGGATTAAATATTATTTAACTCCAATTTCCAATTATTTGTGGTTAGTATGGAGAAATACTGCTGACTTTGTATAACAACTTTGTACCCTATGATCTTGCTAAACTCATTTATTATTGCTAATAAATTTAAAAATATTTCTGCTGTGGTTTGAATGTGTTCCCCAAAAACCACGTGTTGGAAACCTAATTCCCAATGCAATGGTGATGGGAGGTGTTTAGGTTATGAAGTCTCCACCCTCATGAATGGATTAATGCATTTATAAAAAGGCTAAAATTAAGGCTGAAAGTTAAGCATCTTGCTCTCTCTCTCACCCTCTCTTTACCTTTCTGCCATGGGATGATATAACAAGCAAGGAAGCCATTGCCAGATGCCTGCCCCTTGATCTTGGACTTCTCAGCCTCCAGAATCAGGAGTCAAAACATTCCTGTTCTTTATAAATTACTCAGTCTGTGGTGTTCTGTTATAGCAGCACAAAATGAACGAAGAAACACTGTCAGTATTTTCTATATAGACAATCAGGTTGTCTGTGAATAAAGACAGTTTTACATTCCCCATTTTGTTCTTTTATTTCATTTTCTTCTGTTAATAAACTGACTATGACCTCCAGTACAATGTTGAACAAAAGTGTTAAGCAAAGACATTCTGGCCTGCTTTCTGATGTTAGGGGGAAAGCATCCAGACTTTTACCATTAAGACTGAGGTTAGCTGGAGATTTTTTCTAAACAATATTGAGGCAGTTCTTTTTGTTCCTACTTGTTGATAGTTCATGTCATGAATGGGTATGAAATTTTGCCAAATGCATTTTTTGCATATACTGAGGTGATAGTATTGTTTTTTATTTTTTGTTGGTTAATATAATGAATTATATTGATTGCTTTCTAAAAGTCATACTATGCATTTCTATGATAAATCCCATCAAGTCATAGCTTATTTTTATATACACTGATGCATTCAATTTAATACTATTTTGTTGAAGATTATAGAATTTATTTTAATGAGAAATTTTCATCTGTAGTTTTATGTCCTTATAATGTATATCACTGGTTTTGGTATCGGAATAATGATGGCCTCATAAATTAGTGGGAAAGTGTTTCTTATCATCCATTTTCTAGAAGAGTTTGTGTAGAGTTGGCATCATCTTCTCGTTAAATGTCTGGTAGCATACTCATCATTGAAGTCATGCAGCCCTGGAGTTTTCTTTGTGGAAAGGTGTTTTAACTACAGACTTAATTTTTAAATAGATTTAGGACATCAATTTTGTTGATCTTTTCAAAGAACCAAATTTTGGTTTCATTGATATTTCTCTACTCTTTTCTCTTTGTTTTCTATTTTACTAATTTCTGCTCTCTATTGCAGTCATCCCTTGGTATACAGAGGGGATTGGTTCTAGGATCTCTGCATATATCAAAATCCACACATACTTAAGACCTGAAATCAGCCCTGTAGAGCTTGTGTATATGAAAAGTTGGCCCTCCATATATGTGGGTTTCAGATCCCACAAATACTGTATTTTTTATCTATGTTTGGTTGGGGGAAAAAACTCTATGTATAAATGAGCCCATGCAATTCAAACCCATGTTGCTCAAAAAAAGGCTAAATGCATTTCCTTCCTTCTGGTTATTTTGGGTTTAATTTGATCTTCTTTTTTGTAGTGTCTTTAGATGGCAACTCAAACCATTAATGTGAGACCTTTTTTATTCTTTAATACAAGTATTAAAAGCAATAAGTTTCCTTAAAGCACAGCGTTAATGTCATCCCACAAATTTTGATATATGTTCATTTTTTATCAATTTGGAATGTTTTATAATTTTCCTTAATATTAACTATTTGACCATAGCTTATTTTAAAGTGTGTTTTTCAATTTCTAACTATTTGACGTTTCCAAATATCTGTTATTGATTTTTAATTTAATTCCCTGCGGTTAGTCTTCCACTTCTAGCCAAGATATGAAGTCACAGGCACCAGATTTACACTCCAATGTGAAACAACTAAAAATACAGACACAGTATATAGAAGGCAATTTTAGGACATTGGCTTTCAAGACATTGAATATCGGGGGAGAGAGAGAGTGATTTCTGAGAGACAGGAAGCAAATGAGATATGCCTTATAATTGCCCCAGCTTGCAGTCTGGAGAACGTTTCCCGGCTTCAACATGGAAATACAAAACCCAGGCAGAGGCTAGTGAACTCCTTTTGTTGAGGAGATGGAACTGAGAGCTTCAAGAAACCAAGGAAGCTTGAATTTACAGGACAGAATCCTGGAGGGAGGAGGTGTGAACAGAGAATTCCAGAAATTGCAAAGGTCTCCTAGGAGTATTCAAGTAAGTAATGATCAGTTTGTGTGTCTGAAGAAAACTACCTGAGGCCTGGGAATGAACCACCCAGAAGCATAATAGGTATTAGAGTGAGCAATACTCAGAGATCACAGAGTCAAGAATAGTGTTCCTACTAGTCAGGCTAGAAAACCTCATAATTCATAGGCCAATGGATATTCAATCACATTTTCCCTCAGTAGTGAGTAATTACTAGTCACAGTCTAAATGCTTCTCTCATCTTGCCTAACAAATCTTAAAAGCAGTACCCAAAAGGATCAAACTGATTTCAAGTAACATTCCCAGAGCAAAACACTATTTACAGAAATTCAAAAATACCCAGCACTAAAATTCACAATGTTTGACATCCAATCAAAAATTAACAGGCATGCAAAGAAGAAGAAAAATAAGGCCCAAAATGAAGAGAAAACTTAGTCAATAAAAAAACCAAACATGACACCGATATCAGAATTAGCAGATAAAGACATTTAAAGTTATAACTATATTCCATGTGTTCAAAAAGGTAGTGAAAGACTGAACATGTTAAGAAGAGACATGGAGAATCGTTTTCTTAAAAATATCAGATTGAACTTCTAGGGATGAAAACTACAAAGTCTGAGATAAAAACATACATTGGTCAAGATTAATGCCAATTAGGCACTGGAGAAGAAAATACTGTGATCTTGAAAACATAGCAGTAGAAACTACCCTAAGTGAAACACACAGAGATAAAAATTTTTTTTTCTTTTTTGACACAGAGTCTCACTCTGTCACCAAGCTGGAGTGCAGTGGCATGATCTCGGCTCACTGCAACCTCCGCCTCCCGGGTTCAAGTGATTCTCCTGCCTCAGCCTCCCAAGGAGCTGGGACTACAGGTACGCAACACCACTCCCAGCTAATTTTTATATTTTTAGTAGAGACAGGGCTTCACCATGTTGGCCAGGATGGTCTCGATCTCTTGACCTTGTGATCCACCCGCCCCAGCCTCCCAAAGTGCTGGGATTACAGGCATGAGCCACCGTGCCCGGCCAAGAATTTTTAAATAAACAGAGCATCATTGAGCTATGGGACAACTTCAAGAAACTGAATACACATGTAATTGGAGTCCTTAAAGGAGAGGAAAAAAGTGGGAGACACTTTTAACTGTTTTATTCCAGGAAATAAATAAGTGCTCATAGGACAGAATACTGATATCTCTCTGGAACATGCAAAAGGAAGGAGTCCCTTTTCAGCGTTCTTGTCTTTGAGAAACACTGGAGTCTCAAGCCAGGAAACCTATGCACTAACAAATGACTACAGGACATGAAAAGAGCTGTTGAAGTCCAAAGCCAGGCAAGAGCTCAGTCTTAGACTGCATGGGCGTTTGTTGGTTTGAGTGATTCCTTTGCTCCAGGTTGGTCAAGACAGGTGCAGCCTGGATATTTCTCTGTAGTTTGAGCCACATGCTTCCAACAGTGAAAGCATGTTTTTTAAGTCATCCTATGTTTTAGGTCTGAATGGAGAGTTTGCATGTTGGAATGCAGGGGCCTCAGTGCTCCACTGATGGTGTGGCTGGTGTAGCAGAGGTAAGAGTCTCAAAGGTCTTCTGTGCCCTGCAGCACTCATCCTCGTCTGCTTCCTGACCACATGGGCCTCTGAAGGCAAATGTAGCCACGTTAACAACGCGCACTGTGCCTGAGAGGCAGCCCAAGGGATGCCCTCACCTGCTGAAGTCTTAGAGCCATCCCTAGCACTTTGGGACCCTTTGGATGAGTTAAAAGCAGATGCCCCTGCAGGCAGATGAAGCGCACGAGTCTCAGCTTCCTGTGAACTAACAGAGCCCTGCCCAGTTACATAGCTGCACACGCAGACTTCTGTCTGGCATCTAGACCCCACTGCACCCCCTGGGCAAAGTGCCTATGGTCAGGGTACAGTGTGCACCATCTTAAGCAATAACTCCTTAGCCAGCTCCACTTGTCCTATTTCCCATGGCATGTGCACACTGCCTGGCCTGTCCAGCAGCTCTCACAGAGTGGTGGGGTTGTCTCTGTAAAGGATCCTCGTGGCCTCGGCAGCCCCTCCCCCACTGATAGAAGGAAGCTGTTCTCTTTCCTCTTTCTCACTCTGACTTTGCCTTGCATCTTCAGAGAACTTGGTTGATTTTCCATTCATTTCTGTCTGTTCATTCAACAAAGAGCCATTTCACATAGGAGGAAATATATATGGTTGATTTTGATAAAATGCACATTAAAACAATAATGAGAGTTTATTTTCACCCACCATATAGTTAAGAATTAAAAAGAGGGATAATATCAAATGTTTGCATATATGCAGAGAAACAGGCAGGCTTATACATTGTCATAGGAGTGCAACTGGATGATGAGTTTCAGAAAATAATTTGATTATATATATATCTATATATATATATCTCAAAACTGCAGCTCTAATAATTCCACTTCTAGAAATCATCACATTTTGAAACACTTCACATGTCTTGAAAGATATATGTAACAAAAATATTCATTGCTTCATTTTCTTCAATTGTGAGAAAATGGAAAGAACATTTAGGTTCTTAGGTTCATTAATAAGGGGTTGGTTAAATAAAATATGCTCCAACTATCCTATGGAATATTGTGTGGCCATTAATGAATGGAGCAGTCCATGTGAACAGCTGGAAAGGCCTCCAAGACAAAATGTTAAATGAAGAAAGCAAGTCACAGAATAACATGCACAATATAACACAGACCTATTCATACATGACAAAGGTAGAATGTGCATGCCCGTATGTGTGTGTGTGTGTGTGTGTGTGTGTGTGTGTAAATGCATGCACAATTGACCAAAAGGATATGCACATTGCCTCTGGGAGGGATATAGGTTCAAATCAGCCTAGCTGTGTGAACTCCGATCAGGGCTGAGAGATTTCATGATGGCTCGGTGGCCAATTCAGTGCTTTTGAATTCTTAGTTTATCATGAGACTGTCACACACCAACAATCACACAAATATATTCAGCCCACACACAGGCAGTGAGAAGAGAGAGGGGGACTGAACCACTGAGAGTAGCTTGGGAGCACTCTGACAGATGAACCCGACTGGTCCGAATTCCCCTCAAAACACTGACCAACTTGGGGGTGGGAGGGCCACAGCTCTTCTCCCATCAGAGCATCCAGCACCACTGCCCATGCAGAAGAGGCCTGAGTTGTCACCAGCAGAGCCTCTGCGTCTTAGCCATGGTCAGTTTCTTTGCTGTTTTTATGGCATCTGCAGGAATGTCCATGGCCATTATCTCAGTTGCCTTTTGGCTTCACTTTCTTGTCAGGTCTTGGTTGTGCCTGGCACATATTCTCACCTCAGTCCACCATACATAATGTTGATGACTTTGAGAGGGCCTGCAGTTTCTTTTTTTTTTTTTTCCTTTTTCTTTTCTTTTCTTTTTTTTTTTTAAGATGGAGTTTTGCTCTTGTTGCCCAGGCTGGAGTGCAATGTCACGATCTCGGCTCACCGCAACCTCTACCTCTCGGATTCAAGCGATTATCCTGCCTCAGCCTCCCGAGCAGCTGGAATTACAGGCATGTGCCACCACACCTGGCTAATTTTGTATTTTTAGTAGAGACGGGATTTCTCCACGTTGGTCAGGCTGGTCTCAAACTCCCAACCTCAGGAGATCTGCCTGCCTTGGCCTCCCAAAGTGCTTGGATTACAGGCATAAGCCACCATGCCCGGCCCTTGGGGGGCCTTCAGTTTCACTGTGGTCTGAGTCACTTGTCATAAGGGACTCCATTTTGAGACATTTGGGATCACAAAACAATATTATATATTAAGGGGGGGAGAGAATGAAGAGTGGAATAAATGAAAGACACAAAGAGCCAATGGTAAAAAGGGGTGCACAAAACAGTGGGGGTCATTCACTTTCATTCATTTGTGATCTGATGAAAGCAAAGAAGTATCTAGATTCACTCCTCAAACACAATCTTCAAAAGTTAAAGTGTAAAATGTAAAAATGAATTATAGAAAAAGCCCAAATGAAGTATTTATGACTTCTTTAGAAAAGTAAAATTTTTTCTAAATGTTGCGGCTCTGGAAGAAATCACCAAGGGAAATGCTGACACATTCCCGTACATCACAATTGGAAACGTCTATACAAAATGCCCTAACAAACTCAAGAGACACAAACAGGCCGATTGTTGCTCTGTTGATTGTGCAATAAATACAAAGTTCATTAAATCAAGGCTCAAAAACCCCAACTGACAGATAAATTAGAACACATATTTGCATTTGAAATGAACTCACCATGTGCTTCTTTTGAATGGGAAGATCTACTAGAGGACTTAAAATATAACTCTATTTTTCTCCAAATTCCTCCACCCTAGACTTTCCAGTTCAAACCACTGCATAAATTAAGAAGCCGTCTCCAGCTCCCTGGCTGTGTGGGCTTCCAAGGTGCAGCAGTCTGCGGTCTGGTCCACACATGGTAGGTGTTTAACGTGGGCCGGACTTTTCCAGGCATGGGGAGGCTTCAGGACTATTGAAGCACTGTTCAGAGGCCCCACAACTCACACAGTGACTCAGGTGTGCGGCGGGAGGTCAGGGTGATGAGGAATCTACCCTGCCACTCACTGCTGTGGGGCCTGGGGCAGTCACTCAACTTCTCTGGGCTTCCCTCTCTTCATTGTCTCTGCCCTGCCTTCTCAGATGACCCAATGGGTTAATACACAGATGAGGCTTTGCAAAGGGGCAGACTCTGCTTCCTGTTGTTTCCCAGGGCCTAGAGTCCCCCAGCAGGTCATCTAGCTCTTGTCAGATGCTAAATGCACTGCCAGCGTTTGGGCCTGTGAATCAGGGTCTCTTCTCTTTTCTGGCTATATAATGCGGCAGGCTCTGTGGTATTTCTGCAGCAGGGTGAAGGTTGCCTGGGAATCTTAGCTTTTTCCAAACTCTGTGCAGGAAGAAGGCAGCCTCTCTATTCAGGCCAGGAGGCTCAAAAGTCCTGGGGCATCTCAGCTGCTTCCCACATAGGCATATCCTGGAAGCTCCTGCTTGCAGCTGGTTCTGGGGGAATCTGGGGAGGCTTCACAAAGAAGGTGACACTGGAGGAAGAGTTGGAGCTCCTGGAGTGATGAAGGGAAGGGTCAGCAGGTGCTAAGGGCATGGCAGACTCCCTTGTGGCAGACTAGGGAGTGAGGGGAGAATGGGGATTGGGTTGCAAACAGGAACAAGGCAGGAGCCTTGGGAGGGATTTGAACAGAATCCTGCTGGGGTCAGATGAGGAAGCTCACTCTCCCTGTCCCATGGAGATGGGTTTGCTGGGCTGAGGCTGGAGGCAGGGGCAGGGGCTAGGAGGCTGTTGCAAGTCGTGGAATAACACACACCATGTAATCCTATTTATGTAGGATAAAAACACATGGAGAGGCGCATATGCCTGTGTGTGTAAGGGTACAGCTGTCACTGTGGGGTGGAGGGCACACAGCTCTCATCCCCTAATTCAATTCTGATTCCAGGGCATTTATTCTGGGTTTCAGCCAGGTCTTGGGACTCTGGAGGACTCATACTTGGTGGCTAACCTCAAGAAACAGTGTTAGTGCGGGAGGCTTGTGATCAGATCTCCACCGTTGAGTGTGTAGACAGAGTGCTATGATAAAGGAGGGGCAAAAGAAGCGAGGGAGTCAGAGCAGGCTTCCTGGAGGAGGTGACGTTTCCACAGGGTGACATGAAGCCAAGGGTATGGGTGAGACCAAAGCAGACTCCATGAGAATCAGCCACACTCACATTTGTCGAAGGCGCCCTCTGCTGTGCCCTCGTCCTGAGCGGGACCTGAGTCGCTGGTGACTGGGAGGTCTCCTCCACCAGGAACTGGGCCTCGGAAGGAGCGAAGCCTGTGGGAGACGGGCTGCTGCCTCTGAATGAGACCCTGCTCCTTGGGGAGTCAGATTCTGTATGGGACCCAGGGGCTGGAATGGCCCAGGACAGAGCAGAAGGCTGCCTGGCGCGCCCCTGGAGACACCCACAGCCTCTCACCTCGAATTCTGGGACCATGCCCTGCTTATCTGGGCTGTGTGGCCAAAGGGAGAGTCCCCCTTCCTTCTTCCCCAAATGGGAGGGCCTCGGGGGCTCGATCTGGCCGTGTGAAGCACATTCAGGTGTTCTGCTGAGCTGACCTCTGCCGGAGGGAATGCACCCTCCACAGGAGCCGGCTCCGCCTGACTTCCAGGCTCCGTGGCCATGTTGAAGAACAGGACAGGAGCATCCCACTCTGCCCAGAGGCAAAAACGGAGCCACCCCTGGAGAACGGGGGAGGAGGACAGAAATAAACTCCTCTGTGGGGGATCATGTTGGCAATTACATTTGGGGCTTGAGTCCACCCAAAGGGAGAGCTAGACCACCTCTCCCAAAAAGTGATTCATGCTTTGCAGGCGGCAGGCACTTCCTTTGTGTGCCAAAGAGAAATGTGTGCCAGATTGCTGGAAGTGAGCAGCAGATAAAAATACAACTCAAGTCCCCGGAGCCACACCTCCTGGCTGCTTTGCAAATAGCCTGCTCTGGAAAAACCCGACTTGGAGAGTCCTCCGGAGTCAAAACTCGCCGCAGTCTGGTGGAGGCATGGCCTGCCCCCTGGCGGTCTGGGTCCTGCAGAGCGACACCGCTTTCCCACCCTTCCGACGCCGCAAGTTTGGCACAAAGTCCAAGTGAGCATTTATTTGAAAATAAACCTGCGTTCTTCCTCAACTTCGGGACTTTTTGATGGCATGTCTAACAAAGAAATATTTCATCTCCATTCCCGACACAGGCTGTGCTTTCTATAGCATTTACTGACTTCTCTCCTGTTCAGCAAAAACAAGAAAGTTTTCCTGTAAGGATGAACTCTACAGACAGAAAAGTGGTTTTGTCGTTAAACCGTAAAGAGAAGAAAGGTTTAGAAAAGCAGAGAAACTCCAAGCTGATGTGCGTGCGTGCTGTTTGGTTCATTCCCTGGATATCAAGTGTTATTGAAGATGCTGAAATTTAATGTCCGACATGGCAGCATAACACAGGCTTGAGAGGACCAGGCTCCCAGGGTTCAAATTCCCACTCTACCTCTTACCAACTGTGTGAACTTAAGCCAGGCATTTAAACTCTCCATGCCTCAATTTTCTCACCTATAAAGGGGGGATATAATAGAATCTATTTCGTGGAGTCTGTGCGGGGATTAAACGGGTTGATACACATAAGCTATTTGAATGATGCCCTGCACGTGCGTGGTGTGTGCTATACCTGCATTTGAGATTGCTGTTGCTGCTGCCATTGTTAGTTTAAAGCGCAACAGTAAACAATTTAACAATCAGATCTTGATATACAAATAAGAAGTGTGGCAAACATCTGTCACTTTTAGCCACCAGTCTCCAAAACCCGTTCCACTTGGGGGCTGGTCCCTTTCTGCACTGTGGACATAAAGAGCGCCAAAATCTCCTTTTCCATCCTTTTCCATCCTTGGGTAGGTGGGTTGTTGGCCAGGTAGCCTCCATGCAGGGCAGGAACCTACCGTGCAGAAAGGGCACACAGATGCAGAGACAGCCAGGTTAATCTAGGGTGGCAGAGGGGTGCCAGAGTCCTTCAGCAGAGCTGGGAGTAGTCAGTGCAGGTAGGAGGGAGAGAGGTGGCCCCGCAGGCCAACAAGTGCCAGGTGATCTTGCTGGGCCCTGGGGTGACAGCCCCCTTGTTTCTTGTTTCATCAATTCTCTGCCCCTCCTCTGAATTCCATGAGCTGCCCAGTGGCTTCACTTAGTCATAGTTCTGTCACTTCTACCCAAGAATCCTGAGAGCAGCAGACTAGGGCCCAGAGAAGGCAAGTGGCTTACTCAGGGTCACACAGCAATTCCATGGCAGAGCCAGGCTGTACCTGCTTAAGTTGGCCACCCCTGTCCTAGTGAGCTAGTATGTCCTTCCCAGCTCTGCCATATCCAAGGTCAAGGACACAGGTGGCTCTTTTAGAAGCCACAACAGTAGTGACAAATTCTTAGCTGCTGTGGGACATGAGAAAAGCTCAAACCGGTACCTACTAAGGCACCTCGTTTCTTCCCCTGCTGCCAAGTTTCTTCTTAGTTACAGATCCCTTCTGGCCAGGCAACATCTGTGGTTGATGGCTCACGGGCTCCCCCGAGTGGTCATTGGCTGGCAGCAGAAACCCTGCAGGCTTTGACTAGGGACTTTCAGAACTGAAGACAGAGACCCTGAAAAAGAGGAGGGCAACTGTGCCTTGGCCTCTGACTCTCATGCATGGTCAGGTAAGGTCAGGCCCCTGGAAGCAGAGGGGGCTCAGACCAGAGCAGTGTTTCAGAGAGTGAATGTGTTCCTGGGACTGGATTCTCACTGAGGCACTCACCTGGAGGTTTCGGCCCCTGGAGGCCCCTGCCACGCTGGTCTTGGTTATTCTGTGGATCTGTAACCCAGGCTCCCCATGTTCTGAGTTCAGTGACATGCATGGGGCTCATCTCCACTTTACGGGCTCCAAAGGTAGTTCACAAACTGCTGAGTATCACGCAGAAAGAGAGACGCATGTGCTCCAGGGCGGGGGTGTGCCTGAGCATGCCTCACTCACACGCACACACACATGCACACACATATGTACATATGCACACGCATGCAGGCACGTGCACACACACCTGCACACACGCATATATGGACACACACGTGCACAGGCACAACCACAAACCACTTTGTCAACATATCATTAGCTGAGCTGTCACTTTGTTTTTCTTTTCCACTTTTTCCTCAGCTGCTCTGGTAGAGCACACAGGAAAAAACAGAACTGTAGAGTCATACAGAATAAAATTAAAACGGAAATGCTCATTTTTCTTGCACAATTAATTTAACCTCCTAAGCCTCAGTTTCCTTCTCTGTAAAATGGGGCTTAGAATGGTATTTACCTCTCAAAGTGCTGTGAGATTAAAGAAGATACTGTGTTCAGTTTGGGGAACAGAGGAAGGCTCAGTGGATGAGTGGGGCTTTCTGTCCTCCAAGCTCCCAAGAAGAGGTGGAGGGAGCAGGTGTCATCATGGCACCAAGTCCTGCTCTTGACATTCAATTCTGTAAACATGCAAACCTCCCCTAAATGCCTGTGATGAGCCAGGTCCAAAGGTGATGAATAAGACAGCATTCTCCATGTCAAGGAGAGTACAGCTGTGCAGGGGAGGCAGACACATAGACAATTACAGGTCAGATGTGTGTCCTGACAGAAGTCCAGAGAAGGGGCAGAGGGGAGGGGTCATAAGGTCACATGGGGGTGGAGGGAAGGAAGAGAAGTGAGTCTAGGAGCTGAGAGTGAAGAAGTGTTACAGAGAGAGAGAAGGAGAGTGATCGAATACATATACACCATGTAGATATAGTGTGGCATGTGTGTGTGCATATGTGCCTGTGTGTGTGCATGTGTGCCTGTCTGTGTGTGTGTTTGGGATGAGAGGATGGATGCTCTCTAAATGGAGAGACTTGGAGAGAAGCCAGTGATGGAAAAGTCTTCATGAGAAACTGAAGAAAACATGGGCTCCTTGGAGAAGGAAGTTCAAGAAGGAGGAAGTGGCCCAGGTGAGGCTGGAGGGGCAGGTAGGGGAGAAGAGGCATGGAGTTGTCACTGAGGGGGACATTGAAAAATGCAGAAAGGAGGCCATGCTAGGGAGAAATGGAGAAAGAAGACTTGGCTAGGAAGCTGCCATGAGCAGAGAAGCACATGAGTGGATTGAGAACTGCATAGGGCATAGGATCAGCAGGACCTGGTGAAGGCTGGGTTGAGGACGTAGAGGAAGGAGGTCAAGGCTGACTCCCCGGCTTCTGGATTGGGTGCCTGGGCAGCTGGAGGGGGCAGCCACAGTAAGGAGCACAGGACGGGAGCCAGCCTGCTGGGGCAATGGGAGGAAGTTGGAAAGGCAAATCTACTCGAATGTGAAATTGAGATAGCTGTGAGAGGAGAGGAGGAAGGCAAGGGGGTAATCAATGGAGCCCTGGCCCAGGAAGAATTTCTTGTAAGGTGAGAAAGTCCTGGATGTGTGCATCCTCGGGGAGTAAAGGGCCACTGAGCAGGGAGAGGGTCAGGGAGGTGGAGAGGACTTCTGATATAGGTCACATTCTAGAGAAGTTGGGATGGAGAATGATTTAGAGTCCCATTTAAGGAGCTCCCTCCCCATCCTTCTACATACAGGAGGGAAAGGAGGAAAGACCGCCAGAAAAAATGTCTATATCCTGGTTTCTATGCGCAGGGGTCAAGATTACGGTTTTGTAGAATCCAGAAAACCCTGGAGGAGCTATGCAATTCTTGGTCACTTTTATCTACCAGCATCCAAAACCCTTCCTACTGGCTCTGGTTCCTTTTCACTGTGGAAATAAGACACAGAAATTCCTTCTCCTCACACCTGTGCAGATGGAGGACAGCCATGTGACCTCAGCACTTGAGCAAGTTGCTTACCCTTGGACTCTCTGTGAGATGGGTGATGGCAGAACCCATCTTTACTGATTTGTAGTGAAGATTAAACATGAGAAGCAGGGAAAGAAAGGCAGGAAGCTCCCTCTGCCCCACCCCATTGCAGTCCAGTTCTCCCCAGATGTTGGCAGTTACTGTTGTGCTGTCTAAGCCCCTTCTTGCTGTGCAGGTTTGCACGTGCACCAATATTTTCCAGGGGTCCTCTGACACGTTCCAGAGAAAGAGGGACACTGAGGAGTGCTGCCTGCAGTGACACGCTCTGGGACCTCGGCGCACAGCCTGGCAGCTTATGAATATGCTGAAACAGCTTCCCATCAGGTGAAGCAGCCAGACTCAAGAGAAGCAAGGAAGTTGCCTTGAATTTCTAACAATCATCGTATTTTTTTGGTAAAAATAACCTATATTCACTATGAAGTTATAAAGAAGCTAAAAACAACTCCAAATCCCGATTCCAAGAAACAACCATCACCCACTGTGGTCGGCAGGATAGGGATCCCCCACTTCTCAGAAAATGTCCTCATTCTAATCCCAGAAACCTGTGAATATGTTACTTTATGTGACAAAGGGGGCTTTGTAGGTTTGATTCCATTAAAGATCTGGTGGTGGAGACATTATTCTGGTGGTCCCAGGATAATCATATGAGTCCTTCCAAGTGGAGAACCTTTGTTGGTTTGGGCAGTGAGATGAGATAGATGGTGTTCTGTTCTTGTCTTCAGAAACACAATATTGTGTGTGTGGGTCTTCTTGGTCTTTCATGTCTACTGTCTTCTCTAAATTTCCTCTCAGGCCGTATTAGTCTGATTTGCATTGCTGTAAAGGAATATCCAAGACTGAGTAATTTATAAAGAAAAGAGTTTTATTGAGCTCGCCGTTCTGCAGGCTGTGCAAGCATGGTACCAGCATCTCCTTGGCTTCTGGTGAGAACTCAAGAAACTTTTACTCATGGCAGAAGGTGGAGAAAGAGGATGCACGTCACACGGTGAAAGAAGGAGCAAGAGAGACGCCAGGCCTTTTTAAACAACCAGGTCTCGTGTGAACTCATTGCTGTGGGGCGGCACCAAATCATTCATGAGGCATCCACCCCCAGGACCCAATCGCCTCCCACCAGGCCCCACATCCAACATTGGGGATCACATGTCAACATGAGATTTGGAGGGGACAGACACCCACACTCTATGGCATGCCTTTGTTCTTTTCCATTTTTTCCATCTGTCCTCTGTTACTCCTGTGTGACACTAGTTGTCAATTCTGTTCTTTGTTGTTTCCAATATGGCTTTCAATGCCTCAGAAGGGTAGGGAGGAGGGTGCTGAGGTGGCCTGGGAGAGACTGCAGCTTCAACTAAGTTGCATCTGGACACCCCTTCACCAAATGCTTTCTCTTTCTGCTGCAGAAGCC
The DNA here is from genome assembly GCF_000001405.40 of Homo sapiens. Classification (NCBI taxonomy): domain Eukaryota; kingdom Metazoa; phylum Chordata; class Mammalia; order Primates; family Hominidae; genus Homo; species Homo sapiens. The sequence goes on along the minus strand of NC_000010.11, from coordinate 123,578,605 downwards.
TGCCTTCGCTCAGCTTTCAGAGTTTAAAAAATGGTGTGGCTCACAGTTCATCCCACTACACCATGGCCCATCTATGCTGTGATTCTGTGCTCTCAGCCTCCCTCCCTTCTCATACCCTCAGCTCTTCCCTTAGGAAAAGGGTAGATCAGCAGGGGCCTTCTTTTGTCTCTGCCCTCTCTGGGTCTTTACGACTGCATAACAAATGCAGCAGTCTTAGTGGCTTCAAACAATCATCATTTGATCATATCTTATGATTTTGTGGATCAGGAATTTGGGGCAGGCTCTGCTGGATGCATCTTCTGTCTCACATGGCAATGGCTGGAGCCATCAGTGACATTCAGTTGGTGACTAGTCTGGTCTTGGAGGATCCCAGATGGCCTCAGATTCCTGGGGCTGTGGTGAGGACAACTGGAAGGATGGGCTGTCTGGAGTGCCCCCTTTCTCCATGGGGTCTCAGCGCCCCTTGACATGGTTTCTCCAGCAGGGCCGTTAGACTTTTCTCATGGTGGCTCAGGGCTCCAATGAAGGAGCCTGGCTGTGTGCCAATGAAGGAGCCTGGCGGTGTTCCAATAAAACTTTACTCATAAAAACAGCCTGCAGGCCATCATTTGCCAACCTCTGTTCTAAAGGAACACTGTGAGTTTCTTTGGGGACATTTCCCCTGTCACCTCTAAGTCTTATTCCAATCTACAGATCATTTGATAGGCCTTATAGGACCACATCACTTTCACTTTCTCTCAGGACTCTGCATCCTACCTGTGGCCTCAGGAGGTTGTGTGGACACCAGTGGCCTGCTTTGCTTTGGCCCAGATGTCACAGAATGTGTGGCCCATGCATGTCACGGGCTGTAGTTTGGTAGTTTGGGGCCATGGCCATTTCCTTGTTTGATTGATGGGGTTGGTTTGGGCCTTTTTTCCCTTCCTGTGTGTGCATGTGTGTGTGTGCATATGTGTGTGTGTGTGTTGTTTTGTTGCTGTTGAGAGAAAGGAATGCCATTTTTATCTGGAAGTGAAAATTGCTTTTGAATGTGTCTGGGGGAAGTTTTCAAATGTGGTTGGAGGCCACAAACAGCCCACTGGTCTTCTCTTCCATCCGCTCTCTTCTAACCCGCCCTCCTTTTCCACTGTTTCTTAAAAACCCTCCCATTGTGGAGCCACATTATTTTTTTGAGTGGGTGTAAGACACAGACACAGACGCAGGGTTAGGACCTGGTGTGGCAGCTGCAGGCAGCACATTCTCAACTACCCATTTCCCTGCAACTACCAGCATCAAGATGCTGGCACCTCCTCCATGCCTGGGCTCCCCACACTCCAGTTTTCAGCTGCCACCTCAGGGATACTGCAGAAAGTAACGACAGCGGGTAAGGGAATGGAGCAAGTGGGCATTGCAGGTCCTGCTGGCACCCAAATTCCTTATCATTAGGGTGACAGCACAGCACAGCTTTCTCTTGCCCTCATGATAGGGCAAGAAGGCTCAGAAGGGTGGTCAATGTGCCCGGCAGAAGAGGTATGACCTTTTGCCTTTGGAGAACATTGGATTTCCCAAAGCACAGCTTACAAGGTGCTCTGAGCTAGAACTCCTGCCTGCCTCGCCAGTGTCATCTTGACCAATCCCCTCTCATTCTGTTCACTCTGCCAGGCTGAGTGAACCCATTTTCAGCTCATCAAGTGGGCCACCCTTCATCTTGCTTCTGGGACTCTGCTTCTCTGGTCTCTTGGCCTGGGAGGGGCTGTCCTTTCCGTGCTCTGTCTGGCTAACTCTGAACTTGTCCTTAGAGCTTAGCTCATGCATCACCTTTTAGGGCACCACCCCCCCGCCCCCAGGCCATCCTCAGCCCAATCTTCATGAAACCCTTTCCTGGGATTTCTTAGCCCTCCCATTGCCTTTTCACCTTTTCTATCTATCTTTTCTACCCATGAGGCGGTAGGATTTCCAGAGGTGAGGACATTCTATGCTGTGTCCCTGTGATTGGCACAGTGCCTGTCATACAAAAGCCACCCAGTAAATATTGGTTAAGGAAATACATGAATGAGACATAGTGATATGCACAGACATGTAGAGCTAGAAGAACTTATTTTTGAGTTAAGCCTCCCCAACAAATGATCTAATTTTAAAATGCAAACTTGGAGGCAGATAGAGCAGGGGTCTTTGCAAGCGGGCAGGTTTACACATCACTTGTAAAGCAGGACAACTTTGTGCTTTTCATGTGCATTTGTCTTTGCCCCCCCCCCCCAAACACCATGCTCTCTCCTTTTGGGGTATTTCTCCTCCATCACTGCATGCCACCTGGGAGCTATCAGTGTAGGAGCCCTGCCCTCCCTTAGGTCAAGGATGGATGTGAGATCAAGCAGGACCAATTGAAGTTTCTCCTAGGATTCAAAATCTGGGGCAGAGAGACTTAAGGATGAAATTGTATTGATTGTTGGTAACTCATTCACTGCAGTAGTCAAACCTCAGCAAAGTTCTGAATAGTTCCCATTGCCTGTGGCAGAAATAACTAGTGCTGTCCAGAGTTCCACCTCTACTTCTTCCTGGGAACAGATTTAGACTACATTTCCCAGGCTTCCTTGCACTTAGTGGGATGTGAATGGAAGTGGTAAGTCCATTTCCCAACGTGGCCCATTACAAAACTTCCATGCATGGGCCTCACTCTGTCTCATCTTATATTGGCTGAATGGAGAGGATTCCATTCAGCCAATATAAGATGAGACAGAGTAAGGACCTAGAACTGAGAGGAGCTACAAGATGGAAGGAACCTGGGTGGCTAAATGACTGTAGAGCAAAGAGCCACCCTCCCACCCACCCCTGGCCTGATAAGGCTATGACACATTGAAGTGTATTAAGCTACTGAAATGTTGGGTTTCTTATTATGGAAATTACTCTACCTGCATTAATTCTGGTTGTGCCCACTTCGGAGCCTCCAGCTGTCCCATAGATTCTTTCCAACAAATTTATTTTATACTCAAGGTTTTCTACCCATGGTCACATTTTGTTGTTTGCAATCAAAGGACCCTCATGTTATGACTTGGTGGTGGCTATAGAGACCATTTTCCAAAAGTAAGGTCCAGAGAGGTGAAGTAAATAGCCCATGAACAAACACATGTAAATGGCAGATCTGAGCCTGGAACCCAGACCTCCTGACTCCTCATCAACCCCCTTTCCATTGCCCTGGGATCTATCTTGCCCAGAACATAAATCTGGATTCCTGTGATGGCAGCAAAATGCACAGTGTCACCTCCATGCATCGATTTTGCCCAGAGGACCCCGCGCCTGCATTGGGGGCTCAGAGCAAGGATCGATGTGGGGCCCAGATCCTTGGCTGTAAATCACAGCAGAGAGAGCACAGCAGAGCTATTTTCTGGCAATAAATTCACCTCCAGCCAGCAGCCCAGCTTTTCTCCTTTCATGATTCTACCTCGTAGATCACACTGTTTGAAAGAGAGAGTGGGACCATTCCTTGCTTCGTTTATTTTCCCCTAATACTTTTAAAGAAACTTTTAATTTTGAAAAAGAATTTAGATTCACAGAAGAGTTGCAAAGATAGTACAGAGAGGTCCAGTATACCCCTTACCCAGCTTCCCCGCACGTTATCATCTTCTATAGTACAATAATTAAAACTAAGAAATTAACATCAGCACTAGTAGTAACTCAGCTACAACTTGATTGGGTTTCCCCAATGTTTCCACTGATGTCCTTTTCTGTTCCAGGATCCAATCTAGGATATGATGGTCATCATATCTCCTTCATATCTGCCAATCTGTTAGAGCTTTTCAACCTTTCCTTGTTTTTCCTAACATTGAGAGTTTTGAAGAGTATGTGTCTGGTTTTTGGTAGACTGTCCTTCAGCTTGGGTTTGTCTGATGTTTTCTCATTAAGAGAGTGTTGTTTTGGATTTGGGAGAAGAATAAAACAAAGATGGAAACGCTTCCCTTTGCACCATGTCAAGCTGCACATGATGCCAACATGACTGACTGGAAGTGATGAGAACTTTGGTCACTCAGTTGAGGTGACACCTGCCAGTTTCCACCATCATGCAATTTACTTTCTTTCCCTCTCCATACTTGATTTGTCATGAGTGAGTCACTAGGTCTAGCCCACACCCCAGGAGAGAATTTTCCCTCAACACCTTTGAGACATGAACGATGCCCCCTGGGGTCTGATGACCTCCTGCTCAGACCTGGGGAGAGGGGAGGGCCAAGCCAGTGGCCCTGGCTCAGCAGGTCCTACCTTCTACAATTCTGCTCAGCTGCCCACTTGCCGCTCAAGGACAGGAGAGAGGCTGGCTGAGAACTGGCCTCTTGTTAAGAGCCTGGTGAAGGCTGGCAGGTTGGGGCCAGGTGGGGATGCTGACGAGGTTTGGGGGTGATCGGGCTGCCGCTTCTCCATCTCGTGGTTCTTCCCTACCTGCAGCAGAGAGAGAGAGGCCCATCTTCCCTCTTTGGGAAGCTGAGAGGTTCAGAGAGCACACAGACTTGGGGTTCTAGTCTTTCAGAAGTCTGAGATGTTGGTACTCCTCCATCTGGCAGGGCTCTGGATGATGGAGCCAACACAGAAAGAAAAATGGCCAGGTGGGAAGTATAGGGCTGTTTTGTCTGGCCAGATGCCCAGAACCTCCAATGTGAACCTTGGGTAAAAAAGCTCCATTGAAGAGAAAAGCTTCCAGTCAAGGGCAACTCATATTTTTGGAATGTGGAGTCTCCGGCGTGCCCTGGGAGAAGAGGAGGCAGAGGCTGGATCTGTCAGGCAAAATCTGGGCACACTTACCTAGATCAGCCCACTACCTGCCTGGTCACAGGTGGGCAGAGAGAGGCAAGCCTGCTTCTAGAACAGTAGTTCTCAACTTTAGTTGCATGTTAGACTCTCCTGAAGAGCATCAAAAATCATTCATTTCCTGGGTTCTGCCTCTAAACTGACTGTAATTTAATATTTCTCAGTGGGGTTTGGAAACCAGTATTTTTAAAATAATCCCCAGGTGATGGTTTCCCCAGGTGTTGAGCTAAGATTGTAACCCATTGCTTTGCTCCTCAAAATGTGGTCCTCTGACCAGCATCAGCTGGGAGACAGACTAGCCCAGCCCCGGGCGCCCCAGCACAGCTGAGTCAGAAGCTGCCTGTTAACAAGATCCTGGGGAAGTTTGGGAGGCGCTGGATTAGCAGGTAGGGTGTGCCTCCTGGATGGGAGCAGGAGAGCGGCTGCCCCCTGGTGGAGGAAGCACAGAGCGGGGCTAGAACATGGGCATCCACCTTTGAAACACAGTCACCATGCCCTCCAGCAAATGCTGTGGACGCCGACCAAACAGCTTAGCAACCCTCCTCCTGTGACAGGGACAAGCATCAGGCAGGTGCTGGGAGAAGCTGCCAGTGTTTCTCAACATGTCTGCCTCCCTGGGAGGTGAAGCATGGGCAGAATCCCCCAGCTTCCCACGGACAGGACAGAAACGTCAAGGGGGAAAAACACCTTCTCGCCAGTGGGTCCTGCCTCCTTACCTCCCGCTGCAGGCCTTCCTTGGTCAGGCCCTGTTTAAATCCCTCTGGGCCTCAGCTGCCTTCTCTGTAAAGTGGAAGCAATAATGATTTTCTTGTGGGTTGGTCACTGATGAGATGGCCCAGGTGAAAAGCTGGACCTGGTGTTCAGTACTGGTGAAGGCACAGTCAGGGCCTGCTTGGAACAATGTATTCAAGCCAGGGGCACTTCTCTGGGCCCAAATGAGCCCATTCCTCCTGCCTCCTGAGCAGTACCTCCTCCCTCTCCTCTCCTCTACCATCCCCTCCCCTCCCTTCCCCTTCTCTCCCCTCTCCTCCTCCTCCCCTCTCCTCCTCCTCCCCTCTCCTCCTCCTCCCCTCCCCTCTCCTCCTCCTCTCTTCTCTCCTCTCCCCCCTCCTCTCCCCTCTCTCCTCTCCTCTCCCCTCTCTCCTCTCCTCTCCCCTCTCTCCTCTCCTCTCCTCTCCTCTCCCCTCTCCTCTCCCTTCCTCTCCCCTCTCTCCTCTCCTCTCCCCTCTCTCCTCCTCCTCTCCTGTCTCCTCCTTCTCTCCTCTCCTCTCTTCTCCTCCTCCTCTCTCCCCTCTCCTTCCTCCTCGTCCTCCTCCTCCTCTTCCTCTCCTCTCCTCTCCAGATGTCGTCTCCAATGAAGTTTTGACCTTACTTTTGAGGGTTCCAACTCTGCCAAGACAGCACAGCCCTCCTCTGATCAGGAGGCAGAGCGACTGTCACCAAGGCTCATATCACACTGGTTTCATCAACATCTCTACTTTTGATGCGTTTGGCAAAGTGGCTCCTGAGAGGTACTTAGGAACAAACGCCAGCACCTGCTCTGTGCTACCACCTTGAAATCCACTATTTCCTGTCATCTTCCTGAGAACACTGTGATGTGTGGCTTATCATCCCCCAGGCAGATGTGTGAGGAGCTGCAGATCAGAGAGGGGAAGTAACCTGCCCACGCTCACACAGCACTGGAGCCCACTGTGAAGCTGGGGTTCGGATCCCGTCCTGGTTCTGTGAGACTCCGAAGCCTGCTCCTTTCACAAACCCTGCCACTTTCCCTTTTCCCTTTCTCCCTTCTCTCCGTCGTGTTTTTGGTTAAACAAGACAATTAATTTTTACTCAAAGTGAAAAATAACAGAATAGGAAGATACAGTTCCATAAAGAAATATAAATCAATGCATCTGCTAGAAAATAGCTGCTGCTTTACCCGGCCCTGGGGGTGCTACTCCCCTGCCTGTGATTTGCAGCAGACGCTGTGATTTTAAAAAAAGTTCTGAATCCCTTGAGGAAGAATCAGAGATGAGAAGGGTTGAAGGCTTCTGTGCTCCCGTCCAGCTTCCTTCACCCCAGCCCCCACCACCCTGACAGGTCTGTCCCTAGCAGAAAAGCCTAAATCAGGGGTAGGGGACCTCAGGGGAAGGCGATCCCCACCCCAACCCACCCCTTAGCATCAGTTTCTGCTGGATCTTGAAGTTTGGAAATTTGAGGAGCATGAAGTCCATGTTTCTCTGGGTCAATGGGAACAAAATTCAGGATTTTTTTTAGAAATGTCCCCTAAAATAAGCTTTTCAGACCGACCCCTCCCACTTCCTAAACTGCTTCCTAGCCCTGCTCTCACGTGACACTCCCCGCACTGCATGACAGAACTTGCCCCCTCTTGGTTGAAGCTGTGGTTTCACTGAGGGATATTAAGTCCGAACTCGGGCCAGGTCCCCAAGGGAGAGACGTGCATGAAGGAGGCAAAGGAGGCAAAGACACAGTGCGCCATGGCTGAGACTGGGCCTCAACTCCAGTGGGAGGTTTGGGTAAAATACAACAAACTCGGTCAGCTGGAGCTACCGCCCCCGGGACCGCTCAGTGCACCTCCCCAGAAACCCTCCCTGTCCCTCCTTCCCACTCCAGTGGGAAGAGAGGCCCCATGGGCCATGGAAGCAGAGCAGAGGGGCCCCCAGGCAGGCTTCCAGAGGGAGAAGTGAAGGGGGTGGCTTCATGGCCTCAGGCTACCCTGAGAAAGCCTGAGACCTGCTGCTAGCTGCTAGCTGCTAGCTGAGCATGGGGACCTGTTTTGTAGCCCAGCCTGGTGGAATCTGGGCATTTGTGATAGGAGGGGTTGTTTCAGGGTCCCGAACAGGTCCTGATGAGGTCAGCCATCCTGGGTCTTGGGGATCTCAGTGTGTGTGCAGCCACCAAACACACCTTGGACCGGAGTCTCCTGCATGATTAGGTTGTTGCGTCTATGATACAAGAGAAGACGCTGGAACCACTGTGAAACACGGCCCCATAGACAAATACGTGGATTTTCAGATCTTAAAGAAGTTGATCACTTGGGCCCCTGGAGTCTGCTCATCACCGTATTGGCACATCCAGGCCACAAAGGCGGGAGAGGGACCTGGGACTAGAGACTCCACTACCTCCGACACCTCCCCAGGAGCACAACTCTCCAGGTTGCTGTGGGCCAGGAAACGGGCAGAAGAATATTGGCAATCCTCACCTGCTCTCCCTGGTTTTTGACTCACTCCCCAGCTAGCATCTTGCTCTAACTTAGCCTGAGCGCTGCTCTGTGAGGTGCTCATTTGACAGACTAGGACCCTGAGGCTTGAGCCTCTCAGGCCTGGACTTCCTGCCCCATGAACAGCCTCCCAGGACTCCCATCTCGCAGACCCTGGGCACAGAGCACAGCTAACTCTTCCAGCGCAGAGCAGGCTCTGGGGAAGGAGGAAGGGAATCCTGTCCAGCCTGCAGCGCTGGGTGGAACACGATGGCGGGCAGCACTGGAGGCCTTGACTCAGTGGGTCTGAGGAGGGCACTGGAATCCGAATCCATCTTTCTAACACATTCTCAGGTGGACCTGCTGCCATCCATGGCCAACTTAGGGGACCAGGGCTCTGCAGCTGTGCTCTGTACTCCGGTGTGCATGGGCGTCAGGGGCTCTTGTTTGGATTTAGGGGTCTGGCAAGCCCTGAGATGCTGCGTTTCTAAAAGGCTCCTGGTGCGGCCAGGGCTGTTGGTCCGAGGACCACACTTCCCACCCCAGTGGGCAGGCCTCTGTCACTGCAGGTGGGAGGATGCAGGGAGGGAGCTGGACCAGCTCTCCTCCTGCCCCCTGCTGCTGGGCCTCTCTGTGAAGCAGGGAAATCAGATGTAAAAGCCACTGAGAAAGGCACAGCCTAGGACATCTTGCCCATCCTCCCCCATCCCAGAGGCTGGCCCCACATGAGCCTCCCTTGGAGCTGCCGTTGCCCATCAGGAGAGTTAAGCTCCAACGGGCCCGGAGCAAAGCCAATGACTCACCCTGAGCATGGAGCCCCCGGTCTATCCCAGGACAGCCTGTGCTTGCTTTTTGAAGGACTGCCCCTAACTTTAGTTGCCATGGAGAGGGGTGGCACATCCCTGCACACCACCCCCCCGCCCTCAGAGGTGGATGTGGCCTTCTGCTGGCTGCTGGGCACACCCCTAGGCCTGGCTGGCTCCCTGTGTTACAATGGAGGTCTCATCTTCCCTCAGAGCCCTGCTCAGCCCCGGCCTGGGTGGTAAAGCCCTAGGACCTAGTATGCCTAATCCCTGTGGGTGCAGTGTGTTAGCTTCCGAGGGCAGCCATAACAAATTACTAGACATGGAGGGACTTCAAACAACAGAATGTTGTTTCTGGAGGCCAGAAGTCCAATCCTGTGGGTCCATGCTCTCTCTGAAGGCTCCCGGGGAGGATTTTCCTTGCTTCCCTCTTCGTTTCTGGTGCTTGCCTGCAATCCTTGTCTTGTAAATGCATCACCCCACTTTCTGCCTCGCTCCACATGGTCTCGGTCTTCCCTCTGCATATCTGTATCTCTGTGTCTGAATCACCCTCTCCTTTCTCTTAAAGGACTTCATTTATTTGATTTAATGACCATCAAACCCAATATGACCTCAACTTAACTTGATTACATTTGCAAAGACTGTATTCCCGAATAAAATCACATTCACAGGTATCGAGATTAGGACTTGAACAGATCTTTCAGGGAGACACAATTCAACTCACAGCTGCCACTCTGTCCCCCGATACCCCTGGAGTCTAGCTGGAAAGGATCCAGCATGAGGCTCTACCTGGAGCCCGAAGCAACCCCCTCTCCTGATGGTCTAGACATGGCCAGATGCCCCAGTGCTGCTAATTCTCAGTGCTCCATCACCCTCCCTCCTCCTGGCCTCCAGCAGAGCCTCTCCAGGTCAACAGGTTTGCAAAAAGAGGAGGGAGAATTTGCTCTTCAGTCCTCTGTGTGTGGTCCTCCCATGGCTCCCTGGGCACGTTCCGTTTTCAGAGCATGTTTGTATCCAGGTCTCCATCTCGTTGTGAGCCAAGGATCACTGAATCTATTGTACAGATGGGGAAACCGAGGCTCAGAAAGGGCAAATGGCTGGCCCAATGTCACACAGCTAAAAGGCATAGCTGGGACTTGAAACCGGTCTTCAGATGCCAAGTCTAAGAGAACTATTGATCAACTCCTTCAGTGACATCAAATGGAGGGGTCCTGTACATGTTGGGGACAGGCCTATGACAAGGGGACCTCCGATTGGAGCAGGACTGGCTCTCACTGATGTGCTGCAGGGGGCGAAGTGGCCACTTCTCCCACCATCCGCCCGTCCCGCATGCCCTGCCAGATGACACATGGATAAGATGTTGTGAGAATGATCTCCCTAGGGACATAAATATTCCTCTCTTGATAGCCCGGCACCCTGCTTTCATATTGTTATGGCAATCTTTTTTCATTTTTTAGCATCTGCTGTTCAGAAAGTTTCATACCTTGAATAGAGAATGAAGTGGAGGCATAAATCAGCAGCACAGCGCCCGCCTGGCCTGCTCCCGGGTTCTGTGCTGGGCCGCCTCTGCTGCTTACTGCCGCTGATCTAGGAGCTATTGCAACTGCTGCTCTGTTTTAAGGCCTGTTGATGTATTGGTGGCTTTTTTATATGTGGTGGGTCATTTGTGTGACTGATTTCGTGACTCACGCGCCCGCTGCAGGATGCCCTGGAAATAGATCTACCAGCTGCGCTCTCAGGATGAAAACGTGGAGAGCAGACTGGCTAGAGCGGGGCCGCCATCACAGTCCCCTCCTCGACTGCTTGCACAGGCCAATTGGACATGGTTGGCCCAGAAAGAAAATGGGAAAATTGATGGAATTCAGGTGTCAGTCTTTGACATCAAAATTCTTTCTCAGCCGGTATGGAGTAAATAGTGTGGACAAAGGTAAATAGCAGCTTATGCTCTAAATAGACTCCGAGTGAACGTTCTTGTGCCACCTGTTAGAGTTTCAGCAGGCGGGGCAATCCCTGTGTAGACTTTTCAAGACGACAGTGAAAAAAAGAGAGGAGTCGTTGTTAGTTTCCAGAAGCCAAGTAGCTGAAATAGCTGGATAATGGGGTTTATGTGTGCTTCATCACCCCGCCGGGATGAGTCTGGTCTGCTGTGTATTGCAGGCAACGTTCACTGTTGGAGTGGATTTGCACAAATGCCTAAGTTTACGGGTACTGTCCGGAGGTGTGGACATAGGCAGACGCTCCTCTGCTGCAGAGAATACTCCATTGCTCTGCGTCTGAACAATTCAGCAGTTAGAGAAGGTGAATCTGTTTCTGATTTTAACATATTCCCTTTTCCTTTTTTTTTTTTGTTTTTTTCTCCTTCTTACCTGTCTTTCTTAAAACAAAAAGGCTATACTTTATTCAAGATACTAAAAGGTTTAAGAACAAATATAATAAGTAAGTACAAACCTATCACCCAGCATAAGAAATAAAACATTGCATACGCATTAAAACCACCAGTGTTCCTACACCAGCCACCTCCTGCCTTCCACACCGCAGATGACCTCTTTTAACCTGAATCAGATGCTATTTAATCCCACACATTTTTGCAGCTTATTATAAATAATATACATTATTTCATAACTAGGTTTATTTTATTTTTTATTTTTTTTTAGATGGAGTTTAGCTCTTGTTGCCCAGGCTGGAGTGCAGTGGCGCAATCTTGGCTCACTGCAACCTCCGCTTCCTGGGTTCAAGCGATTCTCCTGCCTCAGCCTCCCGAGTAGCTGGGATTGCAGGCATGCGCCACCATGTCCGGCTAATTTTGTATTTTTAGTAGAGATAGGGTTTTTCCATGTTGGTCAGGCTGGTCTTGAACTCCTGACCTCAGGTGATCCACCCGCCTCGGCCTCCCAAACTGCTGGAATTACAGGCATGAGCCACCACACCTAACTAGGTTTTCTCTTTCAACATTGTTTATGGGATTGATCTCAGTAGATACATGTAGTTCAAGTTCAACCATTTTTACTGCAATAAGCATTCCATTACATGAAACTCGCAAATTATCCATTCTCTTGTTGATAAACTTTCATGTGTTTGCTTTAGAAACCATGACTGTCAGCTTATTTCTTCATCCCCAGCCCTTCCCACCCAACCTCCAGGATGGCAGCAACACCATACTTAGCTCATCGTGGGGAAATAATGCTCTCGCTGCCTGTCAGGGAAGAGCATAGCACCTCAGCCACCCTCTGCCTTTCAAAGAGATGCCCTAAATGTCAGCTGCAGGGAGGGAGGCCTCCCTTGACTTCCTACAGGGCGCAGAGAATGCGTTGCCCTGGCCTCAGCCTTGCGTTTTGTCCCTAGGTGGGCAAATGCACCAAGTCCTCCAACCCTACAGGCAGTTGGCCAGGTGCTGCCCAGGTGGGGAAGGTTTGCCTCCCCTCTGTCCAGAGGCCACCTCCCTCAGTGGGGATGAGATGACAGGTGGGGATCAGGAATTATGGTCATTAGGAGTGTGCAGGGCATAGAAGGTGCTGGCAGAGCTGGCGGGGAGAAAAAGACACCCTATATGGAGCTGAAAAGAGCTATTAGGGATTTTATCAATGTCAACTTTTAAAAATCAACCTTTACCCAAGAGAATGGGTACAATGTGGAAATGTCATATAATGGAATACTATACAGCAGTAAAAATGCTGGAACCAGAACTACACGTGTCAACTCAGATAAATCTCATCAACAATGCTGAGTGAAAAAAACCTCATGGTGGAAGAATGCACACGATCTGATGTCACACACAGAATTTAAAACGCAAGCAGAGAGGGTTTCCTTTGCAGAGCTAAGCTGGTGAGATGACACAGGACAGTGCTGGAGGGTGGTGGGGTGGGGCAGGACGGGGGGCTTTCAAACTATGTTCTGAGGACCTCGGAGCTGCCATGGTGGGGGCGGTTCCAGGGTAGCCCCTCCCCCATGATTTCAGGAAAGCCAGCCCCTCGAAGGGAATCATTTGACTGTGTTAGGACCCCAGCTTTGCTTCTGTGCTCTTGGGCAAGTTTCTTGCCACTTTGGGCTTTCCTGTCTCTCTCTAGAATGGGGATAATGATGGTCCCCATGCATGGGGTGGCAGTAAGGAGGACTCGACAGTGTCCGGCACATAGCATCCACCAAATTCATTGGGCTCTTTTATGATCATTTACCATTATCTGGTATATTACTCAGGGTTCTCCACAGGAACATAACCACAGAATATATACAAGGTTGACCTTTGAACAACTCCAGGGTGAGGGGCACCAATCCCTCTTGCAGTTAAAAATCTGCATATAACTTTTGACTTCCCAAAAGCTTAACTACTAATAGCCTACTGCCAACCAGAAGTCTTCTCAATAACATAGACAGTTGATTAATACATAAATAGCCTAGCATCTACATATATTTTATACATTAATATACCTGTGATGGTTAATATGAGTGTCAACTTGATTGGATTGAAGGATGCAAAGTATTGTGTGTCTGTGAGGGTGTTGCCAGAGGAGATTAACATTTGAGTCAGTGGAGTGGGAGAGGCAGACCCACCCTCAATCTGGGTGGGCACCATCTAATCAGCTGCCAGTGTGGCTAGGATAAAAGCAGGCAGAAGAATGTGGAAAGACTAGAGTCTCCACATTCTAAAGGCCGAGTCTCCTGGCCTACATCTTTCTCCCATGCTAGATGCTTCCTGCCCTCAAACATTGGCCTCCAAGTTCTTCAGCTTTGGGACTCTTGGACCTTCAACCATCGGCTGAAGGCTGCACTGTTGGCTTTCCTACTTTTGAGGTTTTGGGACTTGGACTGGCTTCCTTGCTCCTCAGTTTTCAGACGGCCTATTGTCAGACCTCACCTTGTGATCGTGTGAGTCAATACTCCTTAATAAACTCCCCTTTATATATACATCTATCCTATTCTGTCCCTCTAGAGAACCCTGACTAATACATACCTCACTTTATCTGATTTTTTTTTTTGTTTGTTTTAAAGACAGGGTCTTGCTCTGTCACCCAGGCTGGAATGCACTGGCGCGATCACAGCACACTACAGCCTTGACCTCCTGGGCTCAAGTGGTTCTCCCTCCTTAGCCTCCCAAGTAGCTGTGGCTACTACAGGCATGTGCCACCACACTCAGCTAATTCTTGTATTTTTTGTAGAGACAGGGTTTCATCACATTGCCCAACCTGGTCTCAAACTCCTGGACTCAAGTAATTGTCCCACCTCAGCCTCCCGAAGTGCTGGGATTACAGGCATGAGCCACACTGTACCTGGCCACTTTTTCTTATTTTTTCCAATATTTCTAGGCTATGTGGTTTATCTTCCAGTTTTTTCACATTGTCGTAAATTCTCCAAAAATTTTTTCAATATATTTGTCGAAAAAAAATCTGCAAGTAAGTGGACCTATGCCCTTTAAACTTGTGTTGTTCAAGGGTCAACTACAGACACATAAGAGGAGACTTATTATGGAAATTGGCTCATGTGCTCATGGAGGCCGAGGAATCCCTTAATCTGCCATCTGTAGGCTGGAGAACCAGGAAATTGGTGTGGAATTCAGCTGGGTCTGAAGCCAATGATGCAACTCTGTCAGAAGCCTGAAAACTGGGGCCACTGGTGTAAGTCTTGGAGTCTGAAGGCCCAAGGTCCTAGAGCTCTGATGTCTGGGGCCAGGAGAAGGTGGATACCTGAACTTCGGAAGAGAGAGAACTTACTTTTCCTCTGCCTTTTTTGTTCTGTCTGGGCCCTCAACGTGTAGGATGCTGCCTGAGCTGAAGGTGGAGCTGCCTTACTCTGTCCACTGATTCACCTGCGAATCTCTTCTGGAAACACCCGCATAGATGCACCCAGAAAGTATTTTACCAGCCAGCTGAGCATCCCTTAACCCAGTCAAGTTGACACATAAAATTAACCATCATATCTGATTTGTAGATTCGCTTTCATGTTAGTTTTACTTTGAATAAAAATGTTCAGCTGCTTAAACAACACTTTTGAAAACTCCTGACCTCATACCTCCCCTCATGGACAGTAGAAGGTACGGAGAGCAGAGGAGTGTTATGACCCAGTCACTCGGGGGTCCAGCCTGCCCAGCGCTGGCCCTGGGGCTTCTGGCTGGTCACTTTGCTTCTTGGGGCCTGGGATTCCTGTGGGCTGGAAGATCCTGCAGGCCCCTCTGGTGCTGGCATTCTGAGGCGTGCCCTCTCCTCTCCAGCGACCACAGAGCCAGGAAGGGCAGGACAGACAGAATGAGTAGGGGGACTCAGAAACTTGGAGTATGGTCTGGGAAAACAGACCCAACAAGGAGACCGAGCCCAATGTCCCATCATAGGCTCAGTGCCTGCAAACCAGTCCCAAGCCACATGCCCTTTGGCAGGCAGGAGTTGATGGTGCAGGCCAATACTGCATGTCTACAGGGACTGCCGGTAAGATGACATTGCAACATCAAAGGCACTGCAGAGCTGCCTCTTCTTGCCATTTTGGGTCCAAGGGGCGAGGCCCAGGTCTCCCAGACACAGAGGAGCGAGTACCTGGGCCTACTGAAAAGGACTGGTCCAGTGTTTCTTGGAGAACAAGATCAAGGTCCTTTGGCATGGGCAGCGCTAGACCAGGAAGCTAAAAACCCACCCTCAAAGTCCTACAGCCCTTGGGGAGGGTCTTTCATAGGACATAGGAGACGGACTCTTTTGTAGCTAGAAAGACCTTAGAACATCCCCAGGTGTGTAGGGGTCTAAGACTCTTCCCAGAGCCAGGCTGGTCTTTAGTTCTCAGGAGTCTATGATTATCAGGACCTGGAGGCAGCCTTGCCTTCCAGTACTGGGGCCCTGGAGGATGCTGGGGGAGTGGAATCTGGCACATTCCTTCCCTGGCAGGGGCAGCTGTTCGAGTGACTCAATCACCTTGGGCAGCTTCCTGGTCTCCAGGCTGGGCCAGCAGATATGGGCCAGCAGAAGGGTGCACACTCGAAACAGCATCATCAGTTTGGGCCAAGGTCCCTTCCTCAACTGTTTAATTATGCACAAATAATTACTTCCCATGTTTACCGCTGTTCTAGGTCTTGGAGATAGAGCTTACAAATAACAAGAAAAAGAAGTGAAATCTGTCCTCTCAGGTGGTGATAAGAGCTAGGCGGCAGGGGGGATGGGGAGCCTGGTGAAGGGGTGGAGCATATGAGATGGAGAGGCCAGAATGAGCTCCCAAGGAAGGCAGCAGCTTAGTAAAGATGGGAGGGAGGGAGGCAGCCATGTGGAGATGTGGGAGAAGAGCAGTCCAAGCAGAGGCACAGCACATGCAAAGGCCCTGAGGCAGGACCTGCCTGGCCTGTTGAGGAGTATCAAGGAGGCCAGCATGGCTGGAATGTGTCAATGAGCATGAGAGTTGCAAGAGAAGAGGCCTGGTGGCAACAGACTGAGGGGCACATAGAGTCTTAGGAGCCATGGAGTTCTGCTCTTCTATGAAATGGGCCATTGAGGGAATTTAGCAGATAATTACAAACATGAAAGTCCCAAATTATGAGCATATGAGTTTAATCTTCTTCTTTTTTTTGTAATTCGATTTAACCCAATTCTTCTAGTGTGGTGTACTTTTGTATGGGGTTGTATTAGAGTTCTCTAGAGAAACAGCAATAGGAAATACATTTAAATGAGGACATTTATTTTAGGGAATTAGCTCACATGGTTATAAGGCTGACAAATGCAAAGATCTGCATTGAGTTGGCAAGCTGAAGACCGAGGAGAGCCAATAGTGTGGTTCCTTTCCATGTCTGAAGGCTTGATGGTGTAGTTGTAGTGTAGAGGCAGGAAAAAGCCAATGTCCCAATTCTGAAGTAGTCAGACAGGAGGAATTCTCTTACTTGAGAGAATTGAACTCTTTGTTCTATTCAGGTCTTCAACCAATTAAATAAATGTTGATTGTATCCAAAAACATTGTCACGGAAACACTCAGAATAATGTTTGATCAAATATCTGGGCACACTGTGATCCAGTCAAGTTGATGCATAAAATTAACTATTACAAAGACTGTAATAAAGAACACAGATCTCAACTTTGCTGTTTCCTAGTTGCATGACCCCCAGGGACATTACTTAACCTCCTTGAGCCTCAGTTTCTTCATCTTAAAATGGGGACAGAGTTTACTTCATAGGCATTCAACCTGCACAGTCATACTTAGATGGACCCATGCTTGCTTGAATGCTCTGCTGTTGAAATTCTTAATAAATTTTAAATAATTTGTTAATAATTCTTAACAATCTTTAACAAGGGGCTCCACATTTTTATCTTGCATTGTCCCCAACAAATAACGTACCCAGTGCTGAAAAGGATAATATCCTTAACTTCCTCTCAGGGTGCTTGTGAAGGTCAAATAAGACACCACAGGTAAAGCACTCAGCACCTTGCGTGACACAGTACCTGCATCATAAGCCCAGCTGTCATTATTGCTAACAACACGTGCAAGCCGCTACTCAGGGCCAGACCCTCAAGTCCACAGAGATGAACACGACTCCTGCCCTGGGGAATTTGTGGTTTATGGTTCAGGAGTTAATGGATTCAGGTAGAACAGCCTGAGGCAGGCCCATCCAGGTAAAGGCATCCCCCAGGAGGAAGCCTCCTGATTATTCACTCCTGTTGGAAATTGAGGAAGTTGGAAGGGTCCTAGGCAGGGAGCGGTGATGAGGGAAAGGGCCCAGAAGGTCTCAGTAGCTGGGGAAAGAGCTGCATGGAGAGAGGCATGGGAGGTGTGGAAAGGAAGCCCAGAGCTGGGTGCTGATTAGGGACTCTGACCAGCCAGACCCTCCAAGACCACGCCCCACTGGCCTGGAACCTGAGAGACTGAGTGTCTGCTCACTGGCTGTGTCCCCTGAGCAGGCTCCACAGTATCTCTAAGCCCCAGGTCGTCACCAAGTAAGTGGGAGACATGACCCAGATGAGGATGAATGCACACAGAATGATACCCCACAGAGGGTAAAGGTTATTGTACAATCAGGAGCGGGAGGAAGCGGCGTCTGGAATGCCTGAAGATGTGAGGCACCCATGTACCTTAAAGCCTCCACTTTAAATGTCAGGAAACCACAAGGCACTGTTCTCCCCTGTTCACTTAGCAGAGGGGCCCCGACCTAGCTCCCTGGGCTCCTGGCCCCACCTCACACACCCTCCTCTCCAGTCTTTTACCCCACAGGAACTCAGAAGGATTATTTTAAATGGCAAATCAGATCTTATCACTTTGTTCTGCAAAAGCCCCTGGGGCTGTCCATACTTTGAGACTGAAACGCTCACCCCATGTATGCCCCCTCCGCGTCTGTGACCTCACCTCCCACCACTGGCCACTCAGTTACAGCGCTGGGGATGGCTGGCTTTTTCTATGCGTGGAGCCTCTAGTACATGCCGTCTTGGGCCCCTTGTCCTTGCTGTTCCTCTGACTGGAGCAATTCCTGTCCTCCATGGCTTGCTCCAGCACTGCAAATGCCCCTCCTCAGACAGGCCAGCCCTCACCCCAACCCCTCCCCATCTTGAACTTAATGACCATCATCGCCTTTTCACCTGGCTTTGTCATCATTGCATGTATTATGACATGACATATCATTATAGTTCCCTTGTTTGTCTCCCCACCAAAATACAAGCTCCACACAGGTGGATACTTTTATCTTACTTACGTTGTATTGTATCCTCCACACCTAAGATTGTGCCTGCACAGGATATTTCATAAGTGATAGATTCCTGCTTTACAGATACAGAAACTGAGGCTCAATGAAATCACATCCTTTACCAATAACCCACAGCTCTGGAGCTGAGACTGGTCCCTGGGCAGTGGTGTGCTGGCAAATGTCTTAAACCCAGCTCTCCAGGGTAGCGGGAGGTCTTGGTTGCATTTGCTGATGTCCATGGTGTAAATACTTCCACCAGGGCCTACTTCAAATCACCAAGGTGACGTCACTGAATGCGAGGTTCGGAAGGATGCACCCCTGCGCTCTGGAAGGAAGCCAGTGTCAGCCAACTCAGCACCCACTGCCCGGCTACCTCGTGTTCCTTCATCTTCGTCACTCCGCACTTTGAGTGAAATAACTCCTTCTTCGCTTTCCCCTCTAAATCCCACCTACCTCACTCCGCACTTAACACATCAGGTGAAATAACTCCTTCACTTTCCCCCTTCAAATCCTATCTCACATTGAAGAAAACAGTCCGAGCCAAGTCTCTGCATGTCTCTGGGCCTCAGTTTCCCCGTCCATATGGTGGGATGACTTCTAAGCCGTGTCTCTCCGCCATCATCCTTGCCTGAAGTCTGGGAGCCCTGGTCATGCGCACTGCCCCTGTGGACCACCAGGGAGCAGCCTTTCCCCACCAAAGACACTGGCCTCTCCGAGTTCCCGTCGGTGTCCTTCTTGGACACAGCCTGGGTATTGTGGGGCCTTGCCTGGCTTATGAATCGGCGATTGTGCCCAGCCCCGAGCGGGCATCTACAGAAAGGGCCCATTGTCTGCAGTGAGGCTTTTTGTTCCAGCAGTGGCCTGGGGAAACTGGGATTGGGCTGGGGGCCTGACTGGTTCCCAGGGGCTCCTGGTGGGTGTTGGGGTGTGAACCCAGGCGGACCCCTCTCCGCTCTCCCCCGCTGTCCGCCCCGATCCCATCTACCAGGCTGCTGTGCCGGGCACCGCTCACCTGTGCCTCGGCTCTGTCCGAGATTCTCGCCCCTGCAGACCTCCTCTGCCACCCTCTGAGGCCCATAGCACGTGCTCCTTCCTCCAGGCCGGGGTTCCTGTTACTTCCTTTAGCCTCATTCAATCCAACTGCACTTTAAGAGGGTAGGTGTCGGGAGCTGGGCTTCTCCCTGAGATTTTGGCTCCAGGCATTACCGCAGCCCGGTTTTCTTTTCCCTTTCACTGCAGCGGAGGGACGCCCAGGCTTTGGGCGCCGCCTGGGTCTGCAGCAGAGGCAGTGGCCTAACCCTGAGAGGTAGCCCAAGGTCAGGCCAGGGTCTGCGTCCTCCCCTCAGCTCTGCTGTCACAGACGACTGTGAACCCGCGGAGCTCCCATCTCTGGAGCCTGGCCTGGGCCAGCGGCTCACAGTGCTGCGTGCGCAGTGCCTGGCTCAATCCCACCTGCAGCCTGGGAAGTCACAGGGTCACCCAGGGCTCCACGGCCTCCCTGACCACAAAAGGGGAATCGCTGCAGCTCCTGGCAGTGGGCGTGGTCCCCTGTGAGGCTCCGGGGCTTCCAACACCTGAAAATGTAAGCTAAGTGTGTTCTGGGAATGGTGAGGCCTCATCTTACTCTTTTTTTTTTTTTTTTTTTTAACTATCTCTTGCTTCAACCCAGGGCAAGATCTGGAACTGAACCTTCAAAGGAAAGAGGGAGGAGGGTGGGAGGGTGCCTGTCACCTCCCCGAGGGTAGACCTGGGTTTCAGTCCCTGTTCGGCTGGCCATGGGAGTCAGGGATCTCCCTGCTGCCATCTCTGAACCTCGGCTTCCTCTACTGTTAAATGGGGGTTAAAAAGATGCTCTTCTCATTCTGGGGGTGGAGGGAGAGTCAGGATTAGAGCTATTTTCAGTCTCTGACATGTGAAGCTGGGGCTGCATAAGAATCTGTAGGGTATTTTATTAGCAGAAAAATTGTTGTATATAAATGTCATCTGGCTGTACCTAATCCTGTCCTTAGTGCATCAGAAGTGACAGTTAGTACAGGCAAGGAAAGCTCTAGCTTTCCATGACTACTAATCCCACAGAAACTAAAGCAAATTATTCACTGCGGGACAAGAATTTATTGTTAAAACATTTGACCCTGGTGTTTAAAAATATAAGCAGCTTTTTTGGAGGACACTGGTGGGTTTGAAAGTGACCATTTGGGGCAACAGCATGGTGAGTCTCTCTTGGTCCTTAAACCTGAAGCCAAGCCTGCTTTTTCACCTCCTGTGACCCCTGAAATGCCCGTGCGTAAGTGGGCCCAAGATACCCCCGGCAGCCCCTGATGCCCCTGGGGAGGGAGTCGGCCTGTTGATTGCAGCTTCTAGAATTCAGTCTCTTGTATGCTGTCTCTATTATAACACCATGCCTAATGCTGAGATTGCATTTTTCGGGGGCTTTGTTTTTCTAAATTGTTTATCCCCTTGACTCAGGTGAAGAGCAGATGGCATTAGAGAAACTGAGGCAAATGGTCAGTCTGCCATGCTGGGCTGAGGGATGGTGACATGGGGCACCCCTGCCCTGGCCTGGGGCTCAGCCCTCCCAAGACATGCTGGTGCCCAGGCTCCCCCAACCCTGCTGTTCTGGGTGGAACAGTCCTGTGACTTCAGTCAAAGGAGACACACCAAGCATGGCCCCTGGCTCAGGAGGGCTCCCCCCTTGCCCCCCTTCTGGCAGGAGGTCAGGGGACTGCACGGAGGAGCCAGCAACTGCTGGGGCCCCATCTTCCCACCTGGCAGCAGCGTTACCCCCTCCCTACTTCACCTCTCAATGCCTTTATCTGTCAGAGCCCAGAGGAAAAGACCCCGCCTCCATGAGGCCCTCCATGGTCCCATCAGCATGTTTCTGAGAGACACCCTGGTGGATGTCATTGCCCCAAATCTTCTGTTCCATTTAAGATTCTTGGTGGAAACTTAAGGCAAATGTTGGGAGGATACTGGATAGTCCATGATGAAACTGGGCTTCAGAGGGCTGGGAGCTCCTGGGAGTCCACCCACCCTCCTTCTCTGGGTGGCTGCTACAGATTCAAACTCCCAGAGGAGAGTCCATTTGGCCAGTGAGGACCACAGGCCGCCTCATTGTTGAGAGTGGGGCGGTCACAGAGCTGGACAGAACAACACCAACAGGGAGGCAGGGTGCCCCAGGTGAGCCAGGAGGACACACACGCCAGGGTCAGCTAGGCACCCCTTCCCGGGCCTGGGGCTCAGCCCTCCCCGAGGCATGCTGGTGCCCAGGCTTTCGGCGAGCCTGGTGGGGCTGCAGGAATGGAGTTCCCCCTCGGACACCTGAGACGTCACCCGGTTGGGGAGTGTCAAGTGCGGGGCAAACACCTGCACAGGCCAAGGCTCTGGAGGCTACGCCCGCTACCCCCGGATAATGGTGCTCAGAAGAAGTCCAGGAAACTTAACTCTCGCTTGCCTTCCAGTGAACGGGAGCATGGGGTCTGTCCACACTCCCCCACAACACAGGGCGATTGTTGTAGAGCAGAGCTGGACATGCCCCCGGCCCTGTTTACAAGGTGGCATCCAGGGGTCTGCACTGTGTTTCCGGTACACTGGGGCTTGTTCATTTTCAAAGGACCCTCGGAAGGGGAGAATGTTCTCAGCGGTTTATGCTTTCTCGGATGAGCTGTGCATTGCTGCTCCTTTGGGGCTGCAAATCTTTTCAGCCACGAAGACAAAACAGTTCCTCCCGCTTTGTTCTTCTCAACCCTCAAAGAAGCCCCTTTCAGGGTGAGGCTTGTCAGCTGTGTCTTTGGGAACCTGGAATCAGCAGAGGCCTGGGTCACTTCCCCCATGGCTTCTAAGCCTCCAAAGGCCCACAGCATGCGGTTCACACTCTGAGGTTGGCACCAGCCCTGGACCAGGCCCTGGCTCCTCGCCAGCCTCCCTCCTGCCATTCTCCTGTCTCCTGACCTCCCTCTGTACCTGGGGACAACTCAAACCAAGCACTATTCTGCAAAGGTATCTCGGTCCCTGACCCCAGCCCTGGACAGGCACTGCACTGGGCAGGTGCTGGGTGCCCCAGGAGTGTCTCCCCGTGAGTACGTAGTGAGTGCATGGGGACAGTGCAAGCCCCTGGGGCACCTGCGCAGGAGGCAGGTGGAGACGGTGGTTTGCTCATCAGCCCTTGAAGTAAATGTGGAGGTCCATCTCTGGGTAGGAAGAGAAGAGGTTTAAACAGGACAGTTTGAAGCGGTAAATGATGGAATGCGATGACGGAGCAGAGTGATCACCCTCCTTCTCCCCCAGCCAGATGTCTTATGTGGGAGAGAGGATTACACCCCTGGGTGAGTTACTGCCAACTGTACTTCCAAGCAGATTCAAGACCCAGGTTGGCAGGAGCAGGGCACAACCCACAGAAGGCAGCCAGTGTGCTTGGTTCTGGTCCAAGCCCCCATTCCACCTGCCCACTGAGCATCCCTGGGCAAATCAGGTCACTTCTCCAAGTCCAATTTCCTCATCTGCAAAAGGTGCATCTGTCTTGAGGAACTGCCAAAATAATCCACCATGAGAAGGCAGCAAAGTCCACCTGGCCCACGGTTGGGGCTCAACAAATGTCAGATGCATTTTTATGAATTGGAATCTTATTCAAAACAACTGAGAAGGTGCAAAAGGTGGGTGCTTAACTCCAGGTGCACTTTGCCAGTTCTAAAAGTGCCCCGGGTGCCGTCGTTTATTTTATTCAAAATCCTTGATGTGGCCTTGAGCAGGGATTCAGTACAACAGGTCAGAGCTCATACCTGGGAGTCCCATACACTTTCATCCTGAGGCTGCCTCCCCCAGCTCTGTGATCGTGGGCAGTTTTGCCTTGTCAGTTTCAATCCTGTGGTATCCCCTGTGCCCAAGACAGTGCCTGACACACGTAGATATTCAATAAATGTTTGCTGGTTGAATTTAAGTTACTCAACATTACTGGGTCTCCACTTCTGCCTCTGTGAAATAGAAATTATAAAAAACCTGCCTCAAAGGGCTGTTGTGAAAATTAAATGAGATGACCCAGAAAATGCGCACAGCACGCAACTTATTAAAAGCTACCTGACAAGGAGTCAGCTCTGATCTAAGGATCATTCCCCTTGAGTTCATAGAGGCTCTCGGATAACCAGAATCCTCAGTTATGCAGAGCAATCATCACATCCATGAGCTTGTTGCCTCTTCACGAACCACAGGAATTTTACCTTTCAATCGAAACCTCTAGAAACCTATTTGTTAAAATAAAATTCAGTCTGTCTTGGCAAAACCCTAAGAGCATGTGGAGGAGAACACAGAGGCAAGTGTTGGGATGGATATTTGGCCTCAAGTGTAAGGATACGGCCCCGGGGCCCTGGCGAGAGGGCGCACATGCTGGGAGTCTGGGTGGCTGTGACTTGAATTCTCAGAACAGACAGTTCAGGAAAAGCGAGCAAGTCCAGAGATGTTCTCTCCGCCAATATTGAAATTGCCTTTGGAAACTTTTCACAGGCTGCTAAGCCAAGTGAGAGAAAGAAAATTGAGGGTTTATGTATTTTTTAAATCAAAGAATCCTAATTCCAATAAAAAATAATGCCCTTCCATGGCCAATTGCCATCTCCTCAGCTTCTTCGTTTCTTTTTAATAAAAATTTTTATTGTGCACATTAGGTTAACCAGACCTATGCACACCCTCTCTCTGAAACTCTGAGTCACTCAAGGGGAACCACTCCTGGCTTATGCCTGGATTTTGAATCAGGACGGCTCCCTGGGAAAGAAGTCAGTTCATGTGAGCTCTCCAGAGATCAAGTTGGGCAGCTCTTCTGATCAGAAGCTAAGGGACTAAGCATTTTATTTATTTATTATTTTGAGATGGAGTCTCTCTCTGTCACCCAGGCTGGAGAGCAGTGGCGCAATCTCAGCTCACTGGAACCACCACTTCCCGGGTTCAAGCGATTCTGCTGCCTCGGCTGTTTAAAGTAAAAGATGCTGGTTTTGATGGCACTGAAGCCATTGCATGCACTGCCCGCTGGTCCCCAGTTAGATTCCCAAGATCCAAAGTCAGGAGGAAGCTTGGGACCTGGGGGGAGGGAGCTGGGGCTGCACGGTGCTCTCTGAATATATTTTTCATGAGAATATTTCATTTGCATGAGGCAGACAGGAACGGTCTGAATTCTGTGACTGCTACTTGTTGTCCGTGTGACCTCAGGCAAATTAGTTAACTTCTCTGCATCTCAGTTTCATCACCTGTCAAATGTGGAGGAATAATACCTGCCTCCCAGTGTGGTTGGGAAGGTCCAAGCATATGCTATATGTAAAGTCTCTAGCACGGGGCTGCGGGAAGCTGATGATGCCCAATACATGGTGTTAATAAGATGATTATGATCATGATGCATATGAATGTTGTCAGTAGCAAACCCCAGCATTTGTCATCCCTCAAACCATTATTAAGTGTTGGAAGTGGGTGGGTAAGTTCACAGGTGCATCAGCTATTGCTGCATAACAGCCAATCCCAAAATCCAGTGGCTTAAAATGATAATCATTTATTATTTATAGCCATGAGTCAAGGCTGAGGGTTGGGAGATCTCCTCTGGACTCAACTGATTTTGGATGAGTTTGGTTGTGAATCCAAGGGTGTTTGGCTGTTGGCTGGTGTAGGCTGGTCTCATCGAAGGCTACTGCAGCACACCAGTGGTGCAAGAGAGAGCAGGCAGACTATGAACATCCTCTTGAGAGCTAGGCTCAGAACGAGTACACCCTCACACCTGCCACTGGCTATTGGTCAAAGCAAGTCCTGAGGCCAGTCCAGATTCTCAGGTAGGAAACAGGCTCCACCTCTTCAATGTGGGAAACTTCTGTCACAGAGCAGTAAGCGTGGGCACTGAAATCGGTGAGGAACTGCGGCCACTGAGGCAGCCAGCCCCACTGGCTTTGTGGGCCTGAGTAAAATCGAGAGTAAAATCGAGGCACAACCCCAAGGGCTTTGTGGGCCTGAGTAAAATTGAGGGTATCCTGTGAAAGCTTGGCCTTTCCAGCATCAATCATGCAGAGATCTGTGCCTCTGCAGAGCGCCTGCTTGACACCAGCCCCTGCTCCACCCATGGAGGCCTTTCCTGGGGCTTCCGGGCCTTGAGGGGCCAGGCCTATAGCACTTTTCAGAGGTACAGAGTGTTTTTTGGGACAGGAGCTAAGCCATGGCTGATCCAGAGAGCCAGGTGTTGGCCACAGAGGCTAAGTTTCCTCGAAGCCCCTGAGCCTTTGGCCAGTGACCGCTCTATTCTGCTGGGTGTGTAGTGAAGGGTGGGGCAGAGTCAGCAGCCTCCAAGGTTGGGGGAGGTGGCTCTGGCTGTGTGACACAGTCACAACAAATATCCCTGAAGTCCTGCCACTGTCCGAGCCTTATCTCTGCCTCCACACACTGACAGAAGCACTCCCTCCCTGCAGTGCCCTTCAAGGTGGCCAACAGCCTGGTGGCCTCATCTACAGCACTTACCTGGTTCAGCAGAGAAGCTGGTTCTCTATGGTCATCCAGCTACAAGGACTGCACCTCCCTCAAAGGGACTGTAAGGGATGCCCCCAGCCTCCTCATACAACTGTGACTGTCCTGGTCTTCATTCACTGACACAACCAAAGCTGAGACCTTCCATAACCAGACAGCAGGCTCTTGGTCACCTGTAGATCCTGGAGGGCTTCAAGGGACAAACATGGTGGCAAATGTGGGGCATCTTCAAGAGAGGACCACACTGTGAAGGGGACATGCAGCTGTGGCTGCAGATTTGCCTTGTCATGGGGCGAAGGCACATGCAGTGTGGGGGCTTTTTAAAAATCTGAGAGTCAGCCGGGCGCGGTGGCTCACGCCTGTAATCCCAGCACTTTGGGAGGCTGAGGCGGGCAGATCATGAGGTCAGGAGATCGAGACCATCCTGGCTAACACAGTGAAACCCCGTCCCTCTAAAAATGCAAAAAAAAAAAAAAAATAGCTGGGCATGGTGGCGGGCGCCTGTAGTCCCAGCTACTCTGGAGGCTGAGGCCGGAGAATGGCGTGAACCCAGGAGGTGGAGCTTGCAGTGAGCCGAGATCATGCCACTGCACTCCAGCCTGGGCGACAGAGTGAGACTCCGTCTCAAAAAAAAAAAAAAAAAATCTGAGAGTCAAGAGAGCAGAGTGGCTTTGGGGCCAGACAGCCATTGGATGTGGGCTCAGCCACCATTCACCAGCTGTGTGACATGGCTGAGTCAGTCATGGAAATGGGAGTATGAGATCACCTACCTCCTACAGGAAGTGGGGTACCTTGAGGACAGAATGGGCACACAGCTCTGGGCACAGATAAGGCGGCTGTGAAACGGTCAACGTTACCATTGCCAACCCAAGGGGAGGCAAGAAGAAGCCATGGAAACCTAGGGGCCTCCTGAGAACGTTTCTGTCTTCTCGGGAAACAGGGCAGTGTATTTTGTAGACTTGCGCTCCTTCCTGAACTCTGTTTCTGTCCTTGTCCCTGGATTAACTCTCCACCCAGCAGCCAGAATGACTTTTAGGAAGCCAAGTCAGCTCACGCCACCCTTGTGGTCAAAACCTCCCAGTGACCTCCCAATGTCAAGGCACTTAGAATAACATTCCCATTCCTTCTGATGGCCTGTACGATGGCCCTGTCACTCTCCTCCTCCTCTGCTCCCCTTCCCTTGCTCACCTGGCTGCAGGTCAGGGCTCCTTGCTGCTCCCTGAAACTGCCAAGCTCATTCCTTCCCTCTGCATGGCCTTTGCCCGGCTGATCCTCCCCATCCCTGCCTGGCATGCTCTCCCCTCGGAACATGGCGTGGCTCACTCTTGTACATCCTTCCGGTCTCTGCTCAAACATCACTGTTGGGACAAGTCTTGTCTAACCCCAGCCCTGTCATCACCTCGAACCCCATCCAGCTTAGCTTCAGTCACAGTGTTTCACTTTCAGAAATGATACATCTATAGTCGATTGTTTGAACGATTTTTAACTATGGCAGGGGATTTCTCTTGTTCCCTAGTGCTAGGATGATGCCTGCCACACAGGAGGCCGACAGCTGGACACACGAGTCTGTAATATGAGGCTTATAGGTTCTTTGAAGGCTCAAAGGGCTACCTCATCTAACCCTTACAGGGATCCTCTAATACAGAAAGAATAGTAGTCCCATTCTACAGATGAGGACAGCAAGGCTTAGGAGCTGACACAACTTGCCCGGACCACAAGACTAGTGGATCCGAGACAGGAACCCGGTCCCCTGGCTCAGGCTTAGTGTTCTGCCCAGTGCCTCCTGGGTGTGCCTGCCTGTGTGAGGAATGCCTGGCGGCTGCCAGAGCCAACCCGCCTCCAGGGCCCAAGGCCAGGTGCACTCCCAGGTTTGCCCACTACAAACAAAGGGAGACTTTGGGTGCCAGTTGTTTTAGGACCCTGGGAATCACAAGAGCAGTTGTTGTAGACGATGCAGCAGGCACTCCCAGTGAGCACATTATATGGGGGTTGTCACGGTCACAGGGAGCCGCATCATTTACATGCTAATGACAGAGCCGGTGCAGGAGACCCGGGTTGGAGCGGGATGGTACCCACCAGAAATCGCACACTTTGTCTTATGGCCATTTCCATTTTCACAAATTCTGAAACTAAAACAGGACTTTTCTCTTACTTGGAGCAGATGTTAATTTGCAATGCAGAAGCCTCCATTTGTCGATGATTTTCCATTATCCCTATAATTGCCCCCACATACAGTGCTCGATAAAGTTTTAAACCTGTCCTCTGGGAACACCAAGTCAATAATGGGATCATTGATTAGGTTGTGAAAATGGTCTCCTAGCACTAGGAAGATTCACTGCGGAATCCTGGGACAGGGGCCTTGATGTGGCTGTTTCTGTCCCGTGCCTTGGGTCTCCCTGGATCTGCAGATTAGGAAGGGGCCGAGGCAATCAGAGGCCATGTTTTTACTGAAGATGAGCCTGGGAGGCAATTGGACACCAGAAGACTTTTCCAAGCATCTGTAGCCACCGCCCCCCAAAAAAGTGCTTTGGTGGCCCTGGAGTGGGTCACTGTAGTTTATGTGTGGCAAAGACACCCTCTGGTTTCTAGCTGTGTGACCTTGGGCAAGTCACCTACCATCTCTAAGCCTCAGGTTCCTTGTGTGTATGATAAAGGAAATAATAACGCCTTTGCCTATCTCCCAAGGGGGTTGGGAGGATGAAAGGACAGAAATCAAAGATGTGCTAAATGCATTTGCAGACTCTGACACACATTCTGTGCTAGCTGATGTGGTTAGCTCTTTGAAACTTGAAGTGAACTTTCCAGGTTACAGTTTGCGGGATCTGCCTTCCTGATGTCAGTAACTGACATTTTAACAAGCATTACTAAGCACTTCCCATGGTGCAGACACTGCGCAAGGGAAGGACTGAAGAAACAAAGCTGATTAAAACATGGGCCTGTCCTCAAGGAGCTCCCAGCACACAGAGAGGAAGCAGGTCATTGCCATAAGTCATGCTCAGTATCCTGTCAAGACCAGCCCAGGATCAGGGAGCCTGAGAAGGCCAGGGGAGGGGAGACTTTAGGCTTTCAGGATGGAATGACTACAGTGTGAAAAATGCCTATGAGTATGATTATTATTACCTCCACTTTACAGACTATATAGAATCAAGTCTCTGAGAGTTAAGTTATATGACAAATGAAGGATGAAGTTGGCCTTGAGCTAGGGTGACCAACAGTCCTGGTTTGTCTTGGACTTACAGGGTTAAAAATAGTTAAGTTCCAGGAAAACGGAGATGATTTGGTCACCCCACTTTGAGTTATGCCCGACTCTGTGGTCTTATCACTGCTCTGCTCAAAGCACAGGGACAGGCTGTTTCTGTTGGCGAAACACCTTGCTGAGCTGTAGTTCCCTGTTGGAGGTTCAAGGCCAATCTCGGTGTATCTGTATATTGTTGCTCTAATACCTAATACCTTTCTACATCCTTCCAACATCCTAATCTCAGTGCTGGTTGGAGGAGGGAAGCACAGAGGCTATAGGCTTCAATTATGGGAAAATAGGGGGTTGTAACTTGCCCAAGGTCACAGGCTGAGATGGGGCAGAATGGGGATGCCAAGTTCAGCACTCTTGCCCTTTTGTCCTTGTTCTCCACCTTTGGTGAAGGCCTCCTGAGAGCACCATAAGAAATACAAGCTTCTATTTGAGTTTGTGTGAGATACTGTTTGGGTTTCCCATGAGTTGCTGGCTCAGCACTTGATTGGCATGTGAGCAAGCCAATGAGATTGAAGTGAGAGCTGGCTGGGTGGGCCACTCAGAGTGGTAGGCAGAATTGGCAGTTAAGGAAAGAAGCAGAAATGTATAAGTTTCCATGTGCTTCTCAGGGGCCAGGCTTCCTCAGAACCCTTCCCTTCCAGCTTGATTCGCTGTTATGATCCAACAGCGACATTGTGAAAGGCAACACCAGACATTGTGAAAGACATGACTAAGAGGTGTGCTAGACGGCACAGCTCTTTCCGGGGCACCCTTTTGGATCCATGTATCTCAGAACAAGTAGTTCCTCTGGAACCCACCAGGGGAGGGCTATTCTCTGTTAGGAAGACAACTGATGGTGTGGCCAGAAGAAACAAGGAAAAGCCCTGGTCTAACTTCTCTGCATTCTTCTTACTCCCATAAAGCAGGATGGCCTTCAACTCAGAATCGCAGGCTATTCCAGCAGGATGGAACCCTTGGCCTCAACATCATGGGATGGTTGAAGACATGAAAGTCCTGTTTTGCCCCTTCCAGTTTCTTGGTCACCCCCTAAAACCATACGGTTGAGAAATAAAGGAGACGAGGATGTACTGCATTCCCTTTTCCTCTCATTGCTATCTAGCATGGTTGAAAGCACTGCTTCTTACTTGCTAAAGCCCTTTAGGAAGTTTCCACACTTACGGCCTTAGGCCCTAAAGCAGCAGGCCATTTGCAAACTTTAGTGTTTATCAGCATCACTGCTGATTTTGAACACAGACTTCTGGGGCCTACCAGCTATGTTTCTGACTTAGTAGGTCCAGGTGAAGCCTGAATTCCCAGGTGATGTTGTTGGGGCTGGTCAGGGACTACACTTTGAGACTCATACTGCTCCAGGCTATTCCATGACAAATGCTTTCACCCCTTTGGAACCTCACTTTCCTCAGCTGTCAAAGAGGGCCAGTACTGACTTAGCAGGAGCATAAGCTGAGTTATAGGAGATGACAAAGGGGGAGGGCATCTTCTTGTGCCTGGTACTCATAGCAGAGTCTCAACTATTGTGAAAGTCCCTTCTTGCTGGACCCGGAAGAGTTTCTTCTCACAATCCAGTGATAAAGTAGGTAAAATGTCTTCTTTGTCCAATGCTCAAGTTTAATAAATGGAGGGCTTGTCACCATGCAAAGGAGGCTGTGAGATCCTGGCAAAATAATTACTGGAGAATTTGTGGGAGGCAGCAACATACGGATGCTCAAAAGCACTTTGAGCCTCCTTTTTCTGAGTCCTCCCTGGGAGGTGCTGGTAGAAACGGCTATCAGCAAACATGATCTTTGCACCATGGCCAACGTGGGGTTAAGTCAGTCTGCTCAGTCTTCCATCTCCCCTCCTCCGGGTTTTTCTTACTCTCGCTCACACCCACCCCCAACCACTCCTGCTTTCTCTTCCAGGGCAAGTTTAATAAGCTAGTATCAAAACCATCTAGGCTTGGAGCTTTCAAAGATTTAAGACTTTTAAATGTGAAGCACCTCATTATATCCGACTATTTTCAATAAAAAAGACCTGATAAGTCATTGATATGACACCCGTTATCAGTGGGATTTGTTTGACGTCGATTTGAAATGTGCACTGCTTGCTTTTGGGGGTAATGGAATCAAACACTTAGGAGCTGCACGGTGCAAGTAGATCACTTTTCAAGTAAGAACATTAACATGGAGAGAGACTTTGTTTGGGGGTTTATAAAAATAAAGCAGTATTGTACAGTATGGCATATAGCAGTGGCTACATGGACAATTGACTTCCTTCCTATTAATCAACTACAATGTTTACCTTCTTACTCCAACCATTTCCAAACCATTAAAACTAAGAGGATTAGCATCGCATTTCTGCCAAGGTGTATTTTTATTTCAGCAAATACTACTTTCGCTCTCGGAGGAGATTAAAAGCCTGAAAGAAACGGTTTCTTTATCTGGCATACTGTGTCATACAGGTAAAAAAAAAAAAAAAAAAAATCCTGTTAAAAGAATACAGTGTCCTTGTCCAGAGAAAGCTGATTGTGAAAAGAGTTAAATTTCTGGACAAACAACATAAATTGTGAAGAATAATCCAATGTCAGGACTGAGTATTTCTTGCCCTGTAAACAGTGCTTATGAAAGCATCATTTAGGAACCAGCAGAGAAGTGGTTACCTTCCCTGTGGTTAGGGTTGCTGAGCCATGTTTCTAAGGGAGCTTTTAAAAATATGTAAACCCTGGAGTTGAAATAGGATGAGTTCCATTTATGTAGATTTGCCTACTTACATTATTCCTGAGATGTTCAAGACATATTGTTTTCTACCTCCTTCTTTTTAAAAATCTGTTAATTTTTAATAAACCTATATTAGTCCATTTTTATGCTGCTGATAAAGACATACCCGAGACTGCAATTTACAAAAGACAGAGTTTTTTTTTAATCTTACAGTTCCGCATGGCTGGGGAGGCCTCACAATCATGGCAGAAAGCAAGGAGGAGCAAGTCCCATCTTACGTGGATGGCAGCAGGCAAAAAAGAGAGAGCTTGCACAGGGCAGCTCCCGTTTTTAAAACCATCAGATCTCATGAGACCCATTCACTATCACAAGAACAGCACAGGAAAGACCCACCCCATAATTCAATCATCTCCCACCTGTTTCCTCCCACAACACATGGGAATTATGGGAGCTACAAAATGAGATTTGGGTGGGGACACAGAGCCAAACCATATCAAAACCCAACTTGCAAAATTTACCATTGCATCATTTGCACTGCCAAAAGCGCCCTTTAAAATTGTGTGTTCTCTCTGTCTTAAGTTTGTTGTTGCACAGTTTATAGTTATCTTAAAGGTCTGCACAAGTGGTTTTTGCAAAGTGTGCTCTCTGGACCAGCAGAATAAATATCATCTGGGAATCACCACAAATGTAAAATCCAAAGCCCGATTCTAAAGCTGAATCAGAAACTTGGGACAGGGCCCGGGAATCCCGCCTGGGAATTCTGGAGTTTAAGAACCACTGATCTAGGGCTAATTAATTCTCTCTGCTATAGTCTGAATTGTGTCCCCTCAGCATTCACATGTTGAAGCCCTACTCCCTAATATAACTATATTTGGAGACAGGATCTTTAAAGGTGAGGTGAAAATTAAACTGAGGTGAAGTGAGGTCATAAGGATGGGGCCCTAACCCATTAGGACTGATATTCTTATAAGAGGGAGAGACACGAGGGATGCATGCATACTGAGAAAAGGTCATGCAAGGATACAGGAAGAAGATGGCCTTCTGCAAGCCAAGAAGAGAGACCTTAGGAGAAACCAAGCCTGCTGACACCTTGATCTTGGAATTCTAGTACTCAGAACTCTGAGAAAATAAATATCTCTTTTCTACGGCATCCAGCCTGTGGTGTTTTGTATGGCAGCCCTGGAAAACTAACATAATCTCCTATGTCAAAGAGTGAGGCCTAGAGAGAGGTATTAACTTGCCAAAAGTCACATATTCTGTTAGTAACAGAGCCTAGGCTAAAATCAGTAAAGAGTGAATCAGAAATAAAATGCAGGCAAGTCTCACTCCAACAAGGTAATGTAAACACTAATGTGCAAAAAAAAAAAAATTTAAGTTTAGAAAGAGAATGATATGATTTGTTGGTGTCCCCACCCAAATCTCATCTTGAATTACAGCTCCCATAATTCTTAGTAGTAGTTAATGGAATCATGAAGGTGGATCTTTCCCGTGCTGTTCTTGTGATAGTAAGTAAGTCTCATGAGATCTGATGGTTTTATAAAGTGAAGTTCCCCTGCACATGCTCTTTTGCCTGACACCGTGTAAGACGTGACTTTGCTCCTCCTTCACCTTCCACCATGATTGTGAGGCCTCCCCAGCCATGTGGAACTGTCTTTCCTTTACAAATTACCCAGTCTCAGGTGTGTCTTTGTTAGCAGCATGATAACTGACTAATACAGAGGAAACAGCAAGAGAATATTTCCATAATAAAAGGCTTAACCTCAGGACTTCTTTAAATAGTTTCAGTCACCAAAGGCATTGTTCCAATTTGCAAATAAATTGATTTGCATAGAGCTATTTATGACCATATTGACATAAATTGAAGTGCACATATATAGGGACACACATGGTCAGTGTCAGGCCAAGCATCCCCTTTTGAAACATCAACAACCTATGACAGAAGGCCATTGCCAAAGTCTCTTAAAGAGGGTCCTATAATAAATATCCCCTAAGGGGGAAATGTTGAACAAGAATGCACTTTCCATGGCTCATCAATACTGGACATTTTCATCTTATTTTTAATCTTTACTAATTTGATAATCAATAAATCATATCTCAATGTTGTTAACATCTTATATCCTTTCTTTTTTATATAGATAATTATAAAAGTAATGTATTCATACTTTCAAAATTCTGGAAATTACAGAAAAGTATAAAGGAGGTATTAAGAATTAATAATTCTACCAACCAGGTAAGTCCACTATTTACATTTATGTATTTTCTTCTAATATTTTTTCTGGGCACATTTTAAACATATTTAAGGTCATACTATACCTAAAATGTTATACCATGATTTTTTTTTCATTTTACAATAAAGACAGTATTTTATTACACAAAGAACTCTTTGCAAGATTAGATATTTCTGAAAAAATAGTAAGTTAGAAGACAAAATAAAATCAAGAGATGAAAAATACTTAAAAAATTAACAAAGCATCAGTGAACTGTGGAACAATGTCAAGGGGCCAAATATACATGTAATTGGAATCCCTGAAGGAAAGGAGAAAGAAAGGGACTTAAAAATGTTTGAAGTAAAAATATCCAATATTTTTACAGTGTGAAAACTATGAACCCGTAAATACAAGAAGCTCAATGAATCACATGCAGAAGAAACATAAAGAAAATTAGACTTCATCATATATTCAAATTGCTCAAAATCAACAATAAAGAGAAAACCTTAAAAGCAGCTAGAGAAAAAAAGACACAATGTGTCCAGAAGGATAGAGATTGGGGTGATAGCTGATTTCTCATTGAGAACCATACAAGCTAAAGATAGTGAAGCACATCTTTAAAGTACTGAAAGAAAAAAATGACAACTTAGAATTCTTTATCCAATAAATATATTTTTCAAACTTTCAGGCAACAAGGTCTTTTGAAGACGTACCAAAAAAATCAATTACCACTAGACTCCAACTACAAGAAATATTCAAGAAAGCTTTTTAAGCTGAAGAAAAATAATACTAAATAGAAACATGGAGCTACACAAAGGAATGAAGAGGACCAGAAATGGAGGCTACATTGTCAAGCATAAATACTTTCTCTTATCATTTAAGTATCTTTAAAAGATGGTCAATTGTGTAAAGCAAAAATGATAGGAATGTACTCTGGGGCTTATAAAATATTTAGAAGTAAAATGTATGACATAATAGCATAAAGGCCAAATGAAAGATCCTTTTGGACACACTGTGTCTTTTTTCCCTGCTGCTTTGAGGGTTTTCTCTTTTTTGTTGATTTTAAGCAATTTGAATATGGTATGATGAAGTCTTATTTTCTTTATGTTTCTTCTGCTTGTGATTCATCGAGCTTCTTGTATTTGTGGGTTCACAGTTTTCATAACATTTTAAAAATATTTGAACACTTTTACTTCAAATATTCTTGGTCTCTTTTCATTCTCCTTTTCTCAAAATATAATGCTGTAAAGTCTTTATAATATACATGACGTGGTATACAATTGGTTGAAAGTTGAATGTGATTAAAGTTGTGTACTATAAGCTATAAATTTCACTAAAATAACACAGCACAAAGTTATAGCTAACAAGCCAACAAAGAATATTATGAATAACTTTAGGCCAATAAATCCAACAACTTACATGAAATGGAAAAGTTTCTTACAAGACAGAAACTACAACACTTCACTTAAGAATAAATAGATAACTTGAATAGCCATGTATATAAAATAATTTGAATTTTTACTTAAAAACCCTGCCACAAAGAAAACTTTAGGATCAGAGGGCTTCACTGGTGAATTCTACCAAACATGTAAGGAAGACGTAATACCAGTTCTGCATTGTCTACCCCAGAAATTTGAAGAAGGAGTAAGACTTTCAAACTCATTTTATAAGGCAAGCATTACTTTGATATCAAAACCAGACAAAAATGTTACAAGGAAAGAGAACTACAGATGCATATTCCTCATAAACATAGATGCAAACATTCTTTATGAATTTGAGCAAATCAAATGCAATTATATATATGTGTGTATCTCTATGTGTGTGTGTGTGTGTGTGTGTGTATATATATATATATATGAATGAATGAGTGATGTATCATGACCACGTAAGGTTTATCCTAGGGCTTTAATATTCAAAAATCAATTAATGAAGTACACTATATTAATAAACTAACAAAGAGACATGTGATTATTTCACTAGATACAGCAAAAGCATTTGACAAAATCTAACATCTATTCCAGGTAAAAACATTTTGCAAACTAGGAATAGAGGGAAATTTCATTGACATTTTAAGGAGCATCTACATAAAAACTTACAGCTAATGTCATAAGTAATCGTGAAAGATTAAATGCTTTTCCCTAAGACTGGAAACAATGCAGGGGTGACCACTCTCATCACTTCTATGTAACATTTTATTGGAGGTTCTAGTCAAGGTAATGAGGCAAGAAAGAGAAAGAAAAGAGATCCAGGAATAAAAATAGAGAAGTAAAAGTGTCTTTATTCTCAGATGACATAATTGTCTTCATCAAAAATCTGATGGAATCTACAAAAAATGCTATTAGGACTAACTAATAAGTTATTTTAGCAAGGTTACAGGATATTAGATTAAATTACAAAAGTCAATTGTATTTCCATTTACCAGCAATGGACAATTGGGAATTGAAATTTAAAAATACCATTTACCTATAGCACAAAAACATAAAATATTTATAGATAAATCTGATAACATATGTGCAAGACCTGTACACTGAAAACATGGCTAAATGAAGTTAAAGAAGACCTAAATGAAGTCATAGCTGTATTGAGATTACACATCAGAAGATGCGATATTGTTATCTATTTTTTCCTAAATTGATTATAGATTCAATATAATCAAAATTCCAACAGGATTCTTTTGTAGAAATTTGTAAGACAATTCTAAAATTCATATGGAAATGCAAAAGGCTGAGAATAGCCAAACAACTTTGAACAAGAACAGAGTTGGAGAATTTACATTGCCTGACTTCAAGACTTATAAAGTCATGGTAACTAAAACATGATGGCATTGTTCAAGCTCGACAAATAGATGAATGAATCAGAATACAGAACCCAGAAATAGACCCATGTGTATATGGTCAATTGATTTTCAACAGAGGCACAAAGACGATTGGAGAAAAGATAGTCTTTTGAACAAAAGATACTAGAACAATTGGATATCCATATGCAAAAATAAACTGATTCATACCTTTTACTCTATAAAATTAACTCAAAAGATATCATAGAGATAAATGTAAAACCTGAAATTATAGAACATCTAGAATAAAATATAGGAGAGAATCTTTGTGACCTTGAGTTAAGCAAATATTTCTTAGAGACAACACAAAATGCACAATCTATAAAATCAAAAACTGATACAGTGGACTACGCTGAAATTAAGAACATCTGCTCTTTGAAAGACACCAAAATAACAAGCCACTGTCTTGGAGAACGTATTTGCAAATCACATATCTGATAAAGGAGTTGTATCCACAATATATAGTTTAAAAAAAAAACTCAAAAATTCAATAATAAGAAGACAACCCAATTTAAAAGATGTGCAACAGGTTTTCAAAAACAATTCATCAAAGAAGATATACAGATGGCAAATAAGCACATAAAAAGGCACATCATTAGTCATTAGGGAAATACAAATTTAAAATGCAATGAGATATCACTACTCACCTATTAGAATGTCTGAATTTAAAAATGACCAACCCTCCCAATTATTAGCAAGGATGTGGAGCAGACATGCACAGCTGGTGGGAATGTAGAATGGTACACCCACTTTGGGAAAGTGTTTGGCAGTTTCTTTAAAGCAGGGGTGTTCAATCTTTTGTCTTCCCTGGACCCCATTGGAAGAAGAATTGTCTTGGGCCACACATAAAATACACGAACACTAACGATAGCTGATGAGTTAAAAAAAAATCACAAAAGAACTCATGATGTTTTAAGAAAGTTTACGAATTTGTGTTGGGCTGCATTCAAAGCCGTCCTGGGTTGGACAACCAGCTTGCTTTAAAGGTTAAACATATGTCTACCACACGACTCACGCATTCCACCACTAAGTAGTTATTTACCCAAGAGAAATGTAAGCATATGTCCTTACGAAGGCTTGCACCTGAATATTAGTAGTGGTTTTATTTGTAATAGTTCAAAACTGGAAGCAACTCAAATTGTCCATCAACATCTGAAAGGATAAACAAATTGTGGTATACCTGTGTAATTAAATACTACTCAGCGATTAAAAGACTTGAACGATTGAGAGATACAATTGTGTGGATGGTTCTCAGAATCATTAAATGCTAGATAAATAAGCTAGAAGCCAGACAAGTAAGAGTCCATGCGGCATAATTGCAAATAAAATTCTAGAAATTGGAAAGCATAGTGACAGAAAGCAGATCAGTGGTTGCGTGGGGATGAACAGAGTTGGGAAGGAAGGAGGGACAGATTGGAAAAGGAAGAGGAGAGTTTTGAGGGATGATTAATGTGTTCAATATCTTGATTGTGGTGAGAGTTTCATAAATGTATACATAAATCCACACTTCATCAAATTGTACATTTTAGAAGTGTGGTTTATTGTATGTCAATTATACCTCAAAAAGCTTTTTAAGGAAAACTCTCAAAAGATTTATAACAAAGAGTATACAGTAGTTTTTGATCTGATTATTTAGTTTTTAAATTTTTTATTTAAAAACTTTAGAATTTTTTATTTTAAAGTTTTTTTATTTTTTATTCCACCTTGGTTCATGGGAATTTTAGGATATTCCCCAGGAACTGGATATTTTTGTAGCTTCTTTTCTGTTTTCTCTGATAAAGAATACTACAGTACACATCTCCGATCATAAAGCTTTTCTTTTACATTCCTTAGTACTTCCTTGGGATACATTCCCAGAAGTGGAACTACTGATTGAATGCATATGAATATTTTAGATACTGCTGAATTGCTTTCCAAAAGAAAAGATCGGGCCAGTTTCTATCAGTACATATATGATTTCACAGTTCTCTGCACCTTTGCCAGCCCCACAACTCTCATTTTAAAGTGCTAGCTCGATGTTAAAATTTGTTTCATTGACGTTTTAGTTTTTACCTATTTGATTTTTAAAGTAAGTTTAAATACATTTTTCAAAGTGCATACCAGTCATTTGTATTTTAAAGGGCTGTAATTATCTGTTTTTCAAAAGACAAGATCATGATAATTTCTTATCAATTTGAATGAATGCACAGTATATTAAATCTCACAATCTTTTGTCATATTTTGGGAAACTTCTTCTTAAGTAGTTTTGGTTTTGATTTGGTTTTGTTTGCCACATGTAAATTTTATTTTTAGTAATTAAATATCTCACTCTTTTCCCCTTTTTCTTCATTAAATCGGAACTTAGAAATCCCTCCTCATTTACAAATTTTGTTAAATGTTTATTGTAATTCTAGTTCCTTTTTATGATATTGTGTTTTTTAAAAACAACAACAACAACAACAACAAACCACTGAACTCTTTAATCCCTCTGGGATTTTCACGGGCATAGAGAATATAGGTGTTTCACACTGGTATTTCCCTTCCTACAGTAAACCACTCGCCCAATCACCATTTCTGCATATTCCTGAGGGAGGAAAGGAACCCTGGGTCTCGTCTGAGCAGGAAGGGCAGTAAACAGGTCACTGGGAGCAGAAGCTGAGTGAGGTGTGCGAGGTGGGGAGGATGGGTTAAATATCGGAGCTACTTGCCTGGGCATGTTTACTGGGACTATGCATTTGACTTCTATTGCAGAAGAAAGCATTGGTGCTCTTCGAAAAAAGAGAGGAAGATACTGCCATTTTTAGGGAGCGATTAACACTCATCAAGGTCCCTGCAGGAGTTCAGAGTCTCCTATTAACTCCACGCAAGTTTAGCCACATGGAACAAAAAACCCCAGAAAAGCAAGATCGAGGCTGATTTCTCTCACATAAAGTAAATCCAGAGCCCTGTCCAGGGAAGCTCAGTGAAGTCGACAGAGATCCAGGCTCCTTCCAGTTCTCCTCTCCTCCATTCCCAGGGGCTGCCCAGTCCCTCTGGGCTAAGATGTTGCTGAAGCTTCACACTTCAGGCAGCAGGATGGGGCGGTGGTGGTGGGGTCATTAGAAAGCAAATGGGGCATAACTCCTCTCTTTTTCAGAATTCCTGGAGATCTATGTCTTACTGGCCAGAATTAGTTGCATGGCCACATCTGCAAGGGATGCTGGGACATTTTGCCTGGTGGAAATGGGTATTGGGAGGAACCCAGCACTCACCACACTCTCAGCCTTGGGCACACCGTCCCCTCCTGCTGGGCCTCCTTTCCTAGCTATAAAATGAGCAGATTGCTCCAGCTGATCTCCAAGGGCCTTGCTAGTCAAGAATCCCTACATTCAACGGTGAGTTCTCCTAGGGGTGGTAGTACATTCCATCGTGTTTGTATTTCCTCCCCTCACTCCCAGCACTCCTCCCACCTCCCAGTGAAACCAGTCACCTTATTCATTTCTCAGAGCTAAAGTATCTTCAGGGGCAAAATAGACAATTCTATCTGTACTGTGGCCTGATTATTTGTGCCCCCTGCAAAATCATAAGTTGACACCTAATCCCCAGTGTGATGGTGTTAGGAGATGGGGCCTGTGGTAGGTGCCTAGATCCTGGGGACAGGGCCCTCATGAATGGAATTAATGCCACAATAAAAGAAGCCCCAGAGAGCTTTGAGAAGGGGTCATCTATGAACCAGGAAGAGAGCCCTCACTAGACTTTGAATCTGCTGGTACCTTGATCTTGGACCTTCCAGCCTCCAGAACTGTGAAAAATAAATGTCTGCTGTTTATAAGCCAGCCAGGTTGTGGTCTTTTGCTAAAGCAGCCCCAATGAACTAAGATCATCCGCCTACTGAGTTCCTCGGAGGAGGACTAAGTAAAATAATGTATGTCATCGCCCACTACATAACAAGAAGGCTGGAGACAGTTATTTTTATGCAGCACAATAAAAACAGACAACGCTTTCCTGTTCTGGGCAGGACAATTTTCTTATTAACATGATTAAAAATAGTTTAACCACAGTTTCAGTTGGCCAAGCCAAACCTACTCAAGGAAGAAATTAAAATACTTCTACAGATGTTGAAGTAAATCTTCTGAGGTTCTGAGGGGTGGCTTATTTCTTCCCAAGCGCAGATCCTGGAAGGGAACTGAAAACAGCTTTCAAAAAACCAGAAGGCTGTTTATCCATCTATCAGAGCTCTTTACTCCAGCAGTTGACAAACTCATGCCACAAACCCCCAGTGTGCCTTCAAACTGACTTTTCATCTGGGAGATGACTTCTTCAAACAAAAATACAAAATAGAAATAAGAAGAGTGTGGCTGCATCCTGCCCCAGCCCACCAGAGGATTGGGGTGCAAATTCTTTACACTTCCCCTCTTTAGTCTTATTAGCAGAAGACAGACCCGAGAGGCCACTTGGCATCTAAGTGTCCTCATTATCAACAGTGCTGGTGGCTTCCCAAGGACTCCTCAAGCTGGCACAGGAAGGAAGCTTTCTTGCTGACCTCCTGCCCCACATTTTAGACATTTCTTTTCATTATTCCCTAAACAATACAGAATAGCAACTATTTATATAGCATTCTTAGTGTATTAGGTATTACAAGTAATCTAGAGATGATTTAAAGTCTACGGGAGGAAGAGTGTAGGTTCTATGCAAATACTACACTGA
Organism: Homo sapiens; assembly: GCF_000001405.40. Taxonomy (NCBI): domain Eukaryota; kingdom Metazoa; phylum Chordata; class Mammalia; order Primates; family Hominidae; genus Homo; species Homo sapiens. The sequence goes on along the minus strand of NC_000010.11, from coordinate 123,537,078 downwards.
TTTCTATAAGGACATTGAGCATCTGTGGATTTTGATATTGGGGGATCCTGGAACCAATACCGGGAAACGACTGACTGCATTTTTGCGGAAGAGATAAAACCAACCCTGCAGCTCCATAGACCATGATTCCTACCAAAATTCTTGCCTGAAGGTTGTTAGAAAGATTGAAGGAAACCCAGGTGTCAGTCTTGGTCAGCCCTTTCTTAGCATATGGCTTGAATCGTCTTTTTTCTCAGAGCCTCAGGCTTTGTCATCTGAAACAATTCTCGCTGAGTCTCCATTGGCCTTCCAGTCACTCGATCCAAAGGGCATTCTTCATTCATCATTTTTCCTCGGCCGATCACATCCTCCTTCAATCACCCTTGCTCTGCCCTCCAGGGCACAATACTCCTTCAGTATCACCTCTGGTCTCTCCTGCTCTATTCCTTTGCAAGCCTGTCCTCTCCTAAGTGTCAGGGTCCTTCAGGCCTTCCTCTCCTCCATCCTTACCTCTTTCTGTGTCATATACTTCTAGGCAACCTCATGCATCTGAGGGCTTAAGGAGCACTGAGGGCCCAAGGAGCACCTCTTAAGAGGGGGATTCTCAAGCACACTTCTCCAGGCTCCATGTTGCAGGCCACATATCCACAATTCCCTGGATCTCTCAAAGCCAGCCTCACATTCAACATCTCCAAAGCAGGACCCAAGGTCTCCCCTTCTGACCTGGTCATCTTCCATGTCTCACTGACTGGACAACCACTCATTGAGCCCCAAGATAAGAAAGGTCTGAATTATCCTCGATAGGCCTCTGTCCTTTGACCCCTCCACTGATCCCTCATCAAGCCTTGTCTACCCCTCCTCCTAAATCTCTCCCCAGCATGTCATTTTCACTCGACCTGGCCCACCCTCACCTGACTCCAGGCTGCCATCTCTGTTCATCAGGACACTGCTAGAGTCTCCACGTGGCCTGCCCCCTCCAGCCTCCCTCTAGTCTGGAGTCCACTATAATCAGGGTAATTTTTTGGAAATTGAAATCTAATATATCATTATCTGGCTTAAAATCCTGAAATGGCTTCTCATTTTTTTTCTTTTTTTATTGAGACGGAGTCTTGCACTGTTGCCCAGGCTGGAGTGCAGTGGCGCAATCTCAGCTCACTTCAACCTCCACCTCCCAGGTTCAAGGAATTCTCCTGCCCTAGCCTCCTGAATATTTGGGATTACAAGCATCCGCCACCACGCCCAGCTAATTTTTGTATTTTTAGTAGAGATTGGGTTTCACACTGTGTTGGCCAGGCTGGTCTCGAACTCCTGACCTCATGATCTGCCTGCCTCAGCCTCCCAAAGTGCTGGGATTACAAGCGTGAGCCATGGCTCCCAGCCGCTTCTCATTTTTCTAAGGATAAAAACAAAACTCCCTGCTGGGTTGTCCTGCTTCTTCTTGCACTGCCCCCTCCTCTCTACTTCTCTCTCCTGGCCTTCTCACAGGTCCTAACATGCACTCTCTCTGCCCCATGACCTTTCCACAGCCCACCTCCTACCTGGAATGCTCTGCCCTCCCCTCTTTGCCCAGTTACATCCTACTCAGCCTCCAGACTTCGGCTCCATGTTTGCTCTGCAAGGAAGACTCCTTCCCCCTGTTTAGATCGAATTTCTGGTTTCTCTGTTATAATTAATACGCTGACTTGTGTGTTTATTTGATGTGTCTCCCCACTCTAAGTCCCATAAGGATGGGTGTGATGCTGTTTGGTTTTTGCTTACATCTGTATCCCTAGCTGCCAGCACAGTGTACAGCAAGAAGCAGATGCTCAATAAACACTCATTGAAAAAATAAATGAATAAAATTGAGACACATAGATTTGTAAGTACTGGTAAGTGGCATAGTGTTTTACTTGGATATAATTTTGCTAGTAAACCAAGATTCTTGTAGTTTCAGAAAGGGCTAGCTGATCTATTTCTTCCTGCATGCGGCAATAATAAAGTTGCTTCTGAAGGGACATCGTCTCTATACAACAGTTAGAAAATAGCCCTTATCACGAGAAACTTGGAATTAGAGGCTACACTGGACCTGAATAAACCTACTTCATGACATAACCCTTATCTTCCACCTGTTTTACACGCCCCCTCCCCCTTGTGACTTCCCTAGAAAATTTTACCACCCTAGCCAGATTTTCTTTGTCAGACTTGTTCATCTTCATATTTTCGGCACTTTGGCCAGAACCTGGTGTTGAAAACTTGGTGACTGAATATAGGAACTTACAGCTGTAAGCCATTAAAACTGGTATCCAACTTGTTGATTTAAGTTCCTTACAGATCCTGGATATTAGACCTTCATCAGATGCATAGTTTGCAAATATTTTCTCCCATTCAGTAGTTTTCTGTTTACTCTAAATTTCTTTTGCCATGCAGAAGCCCTTTAGTTTAATTAGGTCTCACTTGTCAATTGTTGTTTTAGTTGCAATTGCTTTTAGGGACTTAGCCAAAAATTATTTGCCAAGGTCAATGTCAAGAAGGGTACTTCCTAGGTTTTCTTCCAGGATTTTTATAGTTTGAGGGCTTACATTTAAATCTTTAATCCATCTTGAGTTAATTTTTATATTTGGTGAGAGGTAGGGGTCCAGTTTCATTTTCTGCTTATTGCTAGCCGTTATCCCAGCACCATTTACGAAACAGGAAGTCCTTTCCCCATTGTTTGTTTTTGTCAGCTTTGTCAAAGATCAAATGGTTGTAAGTATACAGCTTTAGTTTTGGATTGTCTATTCTGTTCTGTTGGTCTACAGGTCTATTTTTATACCAGTACCATGCTGTTTTGGTTACTGTAGCCTTATAGTTTGAAGTTGGGTACTGGGATGCCTATGGCTTTTGTCTTTTTACTTAGAATTATTTTGGCTATTTGGGCTCTTTTTTTGGTTCCATATAAATTTTAGAATTTTTTTTGTTCTAATTCTGTGAAAAATGACATTCATAGTTTGATAGGAATAGCATTGTATCTGTAAATTGTTTTGGGCAGTATGGCCATTTTAACAATATTTATTCTTCCAATCCATGAGCATGGAATTTTTTTCCATTTATATGTGTCATCTCTGATTTCTTTCAGCAGTGTTTTGTAGTTCTCCTTGCAGAGATAGTTCACCTCCTTGGTTGGCTGTATTCCTAGGTATTTCAATGTTTTGTGGTTGTTGCAAATAACCACAAAAAAATCAAACAAATTTTGATTTGATTCTCAACTTGAATGTTATTGATGTATAGAAATGTTACTGATTTTTGTACATTGATTTTGTATCTAAAAACTTTATTGAAGTCATTTATCAGTTCTAGGAGCCTTTCAGCAGAGTTTTTAGGATTTTCTAGGTATAGAATCATGTTGTCAGCAAAAAAAAGATAGTTTGATTTCTTCTTTTACTATTTGGATGCCCTTTCTTTTTCTTGCCTGATTGTTCTGGTTAAAATTTTCACTATTATGCTGAATAGGAGTGGTGAGAGTGGGCATTCTTGTCTTGTTCCAGTTCTCAAGGGAATGGTTCCACTTCTGGCCTGTTCAGTATGATGTCGGCTGTGGGTTTGTTATAGGTGGTTCTTATTATTTTGAGGCATGTTCCTTCAATGCCTAGTCTATTGAGGGTTTTTATCACAAAGCGATGTTGGATTTTATCAAAAGCCTTTTCTTCATCTTTTGAGATGATCATATGGTTTTTGCTTTTTATTCTGTTTATGTGGTGAATCACATTTATTGATTTGCATATGTTGAACCAGTTTTGCATCACAGGAATAAAGCCCACTTGATTTAACTTTTTGATATGCTGCTGGATTAGTTTTGCTAATATTTTGTTGAGAAGTTTTGTGTCTATGCTCAACAGAGATATTGGCCTAAAGTTTTCTTTCATTGTGTCTCTGCCAGATTTTGGTATCAGGCTGATGATGGCTTCATAGAATGAGTTAGGGAGGAGCCTCCTCCTCAATTTTTTAGAATAGTTTCAGTAGGATTGGTACCAGTTCTTCTTTATACCTCTAGTAGGGTTCAGCTGTAAATTCCTCTGGTCCAGAACATTCTTTTGGTTGGTAGATTTTGTATTACTGATTCAGTTTTGGAACTTGTTATTGATCCGTTCATGATTTCGATTTTTTTCCTAGTTCAATCTTGGGAGGTTGTGCATTTCTAGGAATTAATCCATTTCCTCTAGGTTTTCTAATTTGTGTGCATAGAGTTATTCAAAATAGTCTCTGAAGATCTGTATTTCTGTGGGATCAGTTGTAATGTCATCTTTGTCATTTGGATCTTTTTTTCTTTGTAAATCTAGCTAGTGGTCTATTGATCTTGTTTATTCTTTAAAAAATCAAATCTTGGTTTCATTTATCTTTCGTATGGATTTTTGCAGGTCAATTTTGTTCATTCTCTAATTTTAGTTATTTCTTTTCTTCTGCTAGTTTGGGGATTGGTTTGTTCTTGTGTTCTAGTTCCTCTAGGTGCAAAGTTACACTGTTAATTTGAGATCTTACTAATGTCTTGATAAGGTATTTAGTGTTATAAACATTCCTCTTAATACTGCTTTAGCTGCATCCTAGAGATTTTGGTAAGTTGTGTCCCTATTTTCATTAATTTCAAATAATTTTATTTCTCCCTTAATTTTGTGTTCACCCAGGAGTTATTTGGGAGCAAGTTATTTAATTTCCATGTATTTGTGTAGTTTTGGGAGATCTCCTTGATATTGATTTCTATGTTTTAATTGCAATGTAATCCAAGAGTGTACTTGGTATGATTTCAATTTTTTCAAACTTATTGAGGCTTCCTTTATGACCTGGCATGTGGTTAATCTTAGAATATATTGCATGCGCAGATGAGAGAAAAGAGGGTATATTCTGTGGTTGTTGGGTGCAATATTCTGTAGATATCCATTAGGTCAATATTCTGTAGATATCTATTAGGCCCAATTGGTTGTCAAGTTTAAAACCAGAACTAGTTTGTTAGCTTTCAGCTTAAACAAATCAACAAGCAAAAAACAAATAAGCCCATTTAAAAATGGGCAGAGGACATGAACAGACACTTTTTAAGAGACATACAAGCAGCCAACAAACATACGAAAAATATTCATCCTCAGAGAAATGCAAATCAAAACCACAAGGAGATACCATCTCACACCAGTCAGAATGGCTATTATTAAAAACTCAAAAAATAACATGCTGGCAAGGCCACAGAGAAAAGGGAATATTTATACACTGTTGGTGGGAATGTAATCCTCAGCCACTGTGGAAAGCAGTTTGGAGATTTCTCAAAGAACTTACAACAGCTACTGTTTGACCCAGCAATCCCATGGCTATGTATATACCCAAAGGAAAATAAATCATCTGCCATAAAGACAAATGAACTTGCGTGTGTTCATCGCAGCACTATTCACAATAGCAAAGACGTGGAATCAACCCAGGTGCCCATCGACGGTGGACTGGATGAAGAAAATGTGGTACATTAACTCCATGGAATACTATGCAGCCTTAAAAAGAACAAAATCATGTCCTTTGCACAACATGGATGTAGCCGGAGGTTATTATCCTAAGCGAATTAATGCAAGAACCAAATACTGCATGTTCTCAGTACAGTACTGAGTACACATGAACGTAAAGATGACAACGATGCACACTGGGAAGCTCTAGAGGAAGAGGGGCCAGGTGGGGGTTGAAAAGCTTCCTATCAGGTACTGTGCTCACTAAGTTGGTGTCAGGATCCATACCCTGAATCTCAGCATCACTTAACATACCCAGGTAATAAGCCTGGACATATACCCCCTGGATCTAAAATGAAAGTAAAAATTATTTAAAAAATAAAAAATTTATGTTTTTAAAAAACTGGCATCTAGGTAAACTTGAAGTGGAAATGCGGATCATAGAGGTAGTATTACTTGGGAAAGCTTTGGAAGCACACAGACTGGTTGGAAGCGCTGCCTCTGCCAACCAGCAGCTGTGTGACTGTGTGCCAGGTGCTTTACCTCTCTGAGTACCACCAGAATCCAGGAGTTAGATGCAGACTGTTTTGCTTTGCTGTTGTTGTTTTGTAGAAACGGGGTCTTTCTATGTTGCCCAGGCTGATCTCAAACTCCTGGCCTCAAGCGATCCTCCAGTCTCAGCCTCCCAAAGTGCTGAGATTACAGGTGTGAGCCACTGCACCCGGCCTGATGCAGACTCTTAAATGCACCCAATTGTTAATGGACTAGAGAAGCCAATGTCTGTGCCCCTGTGTGCCTGTGTCTGAATCAAGTTTCTCCAATGTCTGATTTCCCTCTTAGAGGTGACACCACATGGTAACATCCAGACCGAAACAACAACCTGTCTGGGTCCCTTCTTGAATCGCAGCAGTCAGCCCTGCATGGAGCCTGCTTCAGGAAGGGGGCAGCCCACAGCCACATTTCCTGCAATACCTGGGGTTCCACAAGGTGGGGTTTGTGGGAGCAGCTCCCCTCTCTGCTCACCCACACTGACATCCCAGATAGAATGCCGACAGACCCACAACAGGTTCTAAGTCGTATCCAGTAAACTGGATTCTCCCCCTGCAGTTTATCATCTAAAAGCAGAACCTTTTAGAGCAGAGGGATGCCCGCTTTCTTCTCGTCTGCCCCCTAAGCCCAGGAACACTAGTGGGGAGGAAGAAGTGACACACAGGCAGATGGAGAGGCCCAGATCTACGAGGAAATCAAGAGATTTTATAACCGAGGATGACCTCCAGCTCTGGCTGGAAGAAGCTCAAAGGACAAAATAATAAAGACGCTCATTCATTGTATGCTCCCTCTGTGTCAGATGCTTTGCAGGCCTCATCTCATTGACTCTTCATTACAACCCTATGATAACAGTGCTATTTGCTAGGTATGAGCTGACAGGCAAAAAAAAAAAAAAAAAAAGAGCAAGAAAGAGAAAAGTGCTATTTGCATCCACATTAAAGAGATGGGAAAACAATCTCAGAACAGTCAGTCAACTTGTCCATGATCACACAGCTGATTTGCTGAACCTGGACTCATGTCCAGGAGAGCTGGTCCCATTCTGAAGGTTAGAATGTTCCTGATGGCTGCCGTGTGTTGATCATGCAGGCATACATGCATGCTTTCATTTCATTATTGGGAGCCTACTATGTGCCAGGCTCTGTGCTAGGCGCTAGGCAAACAAGTGTGAACAATACTTAGTCTTATCGTCTAGTGGGGGAAACAGTGACCAACAGCCATACAAATAAATGGATAATCACAAACTGTGATATGTGATGGGAGGGAGGGGTGAGGAGTACTAGACTCAGGGATGGGAAAAGTGCTGTGGAAAGATGTCTCCAGGAAGGGATCATTGCACAACACAGTTTGCTCAGAGAATACCAAGGGCCTGAGGTCCCACAGAAGAGCTGGCAGCCTGAGTTTCTGGGGCACAGAGTTCCAGGGCTGCCTGGGTAGGGGCAGGGGGGTGCAGAGAGGGAGCAGGCAGAGCCTGTGCTAAGGCTGACAAGCCCTTGATTTTGCCCAAATGATAACCTGCTGAAGGAAATGATCTCCCAGGCCCCCAGACCTCTCGTCTAATTGCAAACCACGCAACCTTAGCCGAAGCAAGATCTGCAGATAGTCAGTGCTGTCATCACCTCCACCAGCCCTGGCTGGCGTCCACCCCATTCTATGCCCTAAAGCAGAGGCACATGCATGCCTTCAGGAGGACACTGGGCCGTGGGGGGGTCGGCACCTGGCCTCTGTGGATGTCAGAGAGCCGGGGACCCTACAGGGATGCCAGTCCCGGGTAGGTGGCCTGTCCTGTCCTATGCCCAGCATTCACACCCCTCAAGGACTGCAGCAGCACAGGACGGAGCAGCATTGCCTCTGGGGGCAAAGTCACCAGGACACCCTCCCTCTGAGGCTCTGGAAGAGATGTTCCAGCTGCTCAGAATCACGGAGAACTCCAGAAGGGCCCCAAGTTTGGGGTTCCCAAGAAATGGAGTTTCAGAGAGGGCAAGTCGCTACCTCCTGCTTTCGCCCCGGAAGGTAGAGGCAGGTCTAAACGTCTTTGCCCTTTGCCACACTTCCGTCCCTGTCCATAACACACAAATGTGGCCACCTTAGGCCGCTGGCTGCGGACCTCATGGGAGGCAGGGTGGTCATAATGAGGGGCTGGGGCTTTGGGATATAAAAACTGGGTGCTCCTTATGTCAACAGCCCACATTTCAACAGGAAGGAGACCTCCTCCTCCTCTGCACTCATTTCATAACCTTTTACTTCTTAATTACGTAAGAAATATATGTGTATTGCTGAAAAATTAGAATGAAAAAGATGAGCAAAAGAAAATAGAACTCACCAGCAATCTCGCTGTCAAGGAAAAATGACTGACATTGTGCAAGGTCTCTCCTAAGATCATGTGTTTATTTATACAGCCACAGTATGTGTGTGTATATATATATACACACACACACATATATGTGTGTATGTATACACAGTATGTGTGTATATGTATATATATACACACATATATATATACATATTTACAAATATGCACATACTATACTATAGAGATTTTCATGGCATGGAATATACTTCTGCAATATCATTTTCGTGCATATCATTTTCGTGGCTGCGTAATCTTCTAATGAATATATCTGCCACAGTTTATTCAACAGATCTCCTGTTATTGAGTATCTAAGTTGTTTCCAATATTTGCCATGAAAAGAACCCTGCAAGGAGCATCCTTAAAGCTAAACATTCAGATATACTCTGAGCACTTTTTTAGGAGCCCTGTAGTTCAGCTGCCAATTTCATTAATCAATAATTATTGGGGCATGGAAAAATAAAGGGGAGCAATGTCTGTCTCTGCATTTAGAATCACAGCTGGGGGTCTGTATCTGAATATCTGGGGGTGGTTCTAACAGAGAAATTTCTTTATTTTAGAGCTACTGTTAACTCTGAAGATAATTGCTATAAAGAACAGCAAAAAGTTGTCCTGAGGGAGATTTAGTTCTTCTTGGGTGAAGGCCAGCATTATTTCACTATTAATGAATTACTTGGCTGGGCACGGTGACTCATGCCTGTAATCCCAACATTTTGGGAGGCTGAGGCAGGTGGATCACCTGAGGTCAGGAGTTCGAGACCAGCCTGGCCAACATGGTGAAACCCCGTCTCTACAAAAAATACAAAAATTAGCCAGGCATGGTGACACAGGCTTGTAGTCCCAGCTACTTGGGAGACTGAGGCAGAAGAATCTCTTGAACCCAGGAGGTGGATGGTTGCAGTAAGCTGAGATCACGCCACTGCACTCCAGCCTGGGTGACAGAGCAAGACTACATCTCAAAAAAAAAAAAAAAAAAAGAAAAGAAAAAAAATGAACTACTCTTGATTGACAGTTTCTACCTTAGTACAAATTGCTAAATATTAATGCAATAGTGTTAGAAAGGGGAAACTATGCAAAAAAAAATCCTCGTTCAGACTGAGTACAAACCCAAAACACCTTAGACTTTGGCACCCACAAAATCAAAGCTAACAATGGGTTCATTTTCATTTTTAAAAAGTCCTTTACTATATACCCATAAAAAGTAATGTTTTTAAAAAGTCCTCATTGGTTCTTTTGCCTTGGGTGGGGCCAGAAACTGCAGTGTCTCCAGGATAACTTTGTTTAGTTATTAATAGCAATCAGTGGACTTCTCTTTACATTCCATGTAAATAAATGTGGTATCACTGGGCAGACTAGCCTGAAGCCTGGAATTCCCCTGAGCCCTGGATCAGTTAGGTAGGAGGGGAAGAGTGCAAATTTCTAAATGTCAGTGGCAGAGAGAGAAATGGGGAAGAAGGTTGTGTACTTACAGAGAGCAAGGAACTGTCCAGAAACCTTGGGTGATGGAACAAGTCAAATTCAGGGCTAGCTCAGACTGGCTTCAAACACTGCCTTAATTGTGCAGGTCATTGTACAACTCTTTCCTGGGACCATCTAGATGAGGCCAGTAACCCCTGCCAGCCCCAGCCCTGGAAATGTGACCTGCAATTGAGCTCATGTGATTTCAAGGTCTTTCTAGGGATTCTCTACTTCTCTTTGAGAAGTAGCACTTGGCTATTTGATATCTACTGTTCGATCCTTTCAAGAAAGTAAAAAGGTCACAAGTAAGAATAAAAGTAGGGAGGAAGCAGAAGGGGCTGACTATCTTCAGGAGCAGTGGTAAGTGAGGAGGCCCTGAATGCAGAATGAGGCCAGAGCCACCCAGAGCTGTCTTCATGGGGCAGAGGAAAGCTTCCTCTTTCCAACGGTGAAGGCGTCTCTGAATTTCAGTCAGGCCTAGGCCTCAGAGGAAGTAATAGAATACCTGGAAGAGATGGATCTCATTCTAATGTACTGAGCTTCCCCTGCTGTAGTGGACACTGTGGTGTGCTGTGGTGTGCTCCTTCAGGACCAAGGCATTCATTCCCTTGGATTCTAGGAGTGTTGGCTGCTGACGGCTCACAGCTGAGGCCCTCTCCTGGACTTGCCTTCTGCCAAGGGAACTGCCTTGCCCAGAGTTACATCCTCTCCACAGGGGCAGTTCCCGTCCAGAAACTGGCTGATAAGGTGGCACAAGACCAGCCCTTTTGCCTCAATTCAGGATCACTTTGGAGGGCTCCCCAGCTCCAGAGCTCCCTGCCATGGGCTGAGTCCTCTGTCATGACTGCAGCACAGTTCAGTTCCTCCATCTGCCTAATTCAGCATCCTCCAGTAGCCCACAGGCGTTGTTCCCAAGAGCATTCCCAGTAAACCTCCATCTGACAGTATGCTTTCCGGGAACCCCACCTAAGACTTTTGCTCACAATGTTTTTAATACCATTTATTGATCCTAGTGCTTGCCAAGCATGTGAACCACTTTAGTCATTGACCCTTACAAGGTCCCACAAGGTTGTTTTAACATCTTCTTTTTACAAATGGGGAAAAAAGCACAAGAGAAGCACTAAAGGTTAAATCATTTTGTCTAAGGTCACAAAGGTGGAGTTGGGATTAAAATCCAGATCAGCTCTAAGACTTGGCTTTTTGTAATTCACCGTGTTCTTCAAGGCCCTGCCAAATGCCCCGCCAAACGCCCCTCTGCCTGCACCTTCAGGATGCCATTCATGATCTCCTTATGATATTCTCATTCTCATTCTTTCTCTCTCTGTATATCTTCTTGTTTAGCCTCTCTAGGCATTTGCATTCTACATTCCATATGAATTATAGATCAAGGGCACTTCCAAGCTCCCTGGGAGAGAGCCTGCATCATGCAGACTGGGGATCCACTGTACTGCCCATCACATTCATTGCCTGGCTCATGACAGACACACAGGAAATATTTAGCATGTTGAGTGGACTTTTCACACAAGTAGAATCTCTATTTTCTTAGGGTTTCTGGGTATATGGTTTATGAAACTATATGTCTACACTGGGGTCTGCATGACATATTTAATCCTTAGTAGGACACATATCAATGTGATATCTAAGGACTATATAATACCCTGATTCAACTTTGGGGTTTTAATAGAGATTTCTAGAAAAAAGAGTTCTCATTGAGGCTTTGAGTGTGACATGATTTCTGAAGACATATGTAAACAAATCCTGGGATATTAAATTCTGAAACAGAGTTCAATCCTAAAGGCCCAATGTGACCACTACATTGAAGAATAAAAAAATCTCTCCATCTCCATCTCTGGCATCAGAGGACCCAATCACAGCTTATTACCTGGTGAAGCCACCAATCTCCAGCTGGTTTCCTGTAACTCATGTTTTTCCTTGTGGAAAATCATCATCCCCACCATCTTTACCATCATCAACCAAGTCCTTGCCATGTGCCAGGCATGGAGCTAAGCACTGTTGAGACATTATATCATTTGGTCCTCCTAGTAGCCTTCTAAAGTGAATACCATCGTGAGTCCCATTTTAAGGATAAAGAGGCTGGGCACGGTCACTCATGCCTGTAATCCCAGCACTTTGGGAGGCTGAGGCAGGCGGATCACTTGAGATCAGGAGTTTGAGATCAGCCTGGCCAACACAGTGAAACCCTGTTTCTACTAAAAATACAAAAATTAGCCTGGCATGGTACTGTGCACCTGTAGTCCCAGCTACTTGGGAGGCTGAGGCAGGAGAATCACTTGAACTCAGGAGGCAGACATTGTAGTGAGCTGCGATCGCACCACTGCACTCCAGCCTGGGTGACAAAGTGAGACCCCATTTCAAAATAATAACAATAATAATAATAATAATTTAAAAAAGGATAAGGAAGTAGGCAAAGCAAATTGCCTAGTTACACCCTTGGAAAAGTGGAACAGCTAGGGATCAAAGCCAAGACTACTAGAGCTGAGAACTAAACAGACTCCCTGAGATGGCAGAAACACAGCAGTTCCTAAGTGATGAGCCGGGATTCTTACCCTCAGAGTCCCTAAATAACCAATAAACACCAAATGAATAATGATTCTGTCACACACTTTTTTGCTAATTCTTTTTTTAAAAAAATCTTTGGTTTTTTGTTTGTTTGTTTTTGAGGCAAGGTCTCACTCTGTCACCCAGGCTGGAGTGCAGTGGTGAGATCTTGGCTCAACACAACCACCACCTCCCAGCCTCAAGCGATCTTCCCACTTCAACCTCCTGAGTACCTGGGACTACAGGTGCAAGCCACCACCAACCCTGGCTAATTTTTGTATTTTTTTGTAGAGACGGGATTTCGCCAAGCTTTGGGAACCTGGAGCTTTTATAATAGACAATAAGCCTACCTGAACTTTGACTAGGTGGACATCAAAAGTAGGAAAAAAATCTCAGATGCTCCACAGTTCTTGAACATTTCCTCCATCCTGGAACAGCAGAAACTCCCCTGGACTGAAAGTTCCAATAAGCTCTTTCTGGGAGGTGTCACCCATGGCAACGACAGCTGTGAGGTCATTGCCTCTGACACTTCCTTCACCACTAGTCATCCCAAGAGGAAAACAATAAGAGGGAGGAAAAGAAACTCTTACAGGTGGAAGAATAAAAAATAAAAATAATGCTGTTGATGGTGATGAGGAGGATGAGGATAATGATGTCAACAAGGAAGAGAACAGCAAGGTGGATGATGATGATGACAAAGGGCTGATGATGACAGTGATGAGGCTGATGATGACGTTGATGAGGCTGATGATGACACTGATGAGGTTGATGATGATGACAATAAGGCTGAGGATGTCGATGAGGATTATAGTGATGACAATAATTTCCAGACCAGCCACCATTTGCTGAGCTCTTCCTGCCTGGTGAGCACACACGTTGTTTCACTGAATATTCATAATATGCCTGCAAGGTAAAAAAACTCCATATTCTCTCACTTCCTTTAAAAATCTTTATCCTACTCTGTCTTTTTAAACTGCCACTCTTTGCCAATTACAATATGTAATCTCGACCCCAACAACACATTCCTAGGCCCCTTACCTTGGTCTACTTTTTCCCCACTACACTGATCACCTCCTAACATGCTATGTGGCTTACTATGTTTATTGTTGATGGTCTCTCTCTCCCAGCTGGAATGGAAGCTCCATGAGAACCTGGATTTTTGTCTGTTTTATTCACTGTTGCATGCCAAATATGCAAAAGGGTACCTGGTCATAACAGACCTTCAACAAATATTAAATACATGAATGAACTTAGCTTTATGTGTTTTGGGGAAATGTCACAACCTCCCCGGACTTTAGATTCCATGGCCTTAAAATGAGAGCTTGGTGGCGTCTATGGCTTGACCCATTCCTGAAATCCTGGAGCTCCACAGATGTCTGTGCATTAGTCTTCCTATATCATTACATGACAGAGTCATCATTTTACTTTTGTCAACTGTTTCAGGTTGGATTTTATTCCTTAATCAGTCACTCGTTCGTTTAACCAATTAAGCATTTTCGAGTTCTTCTGGACCTAAGCACTGTCAGTGAGCAGTTCCAGCAGACACCAGGAGCACGTGGGGTGGAAGTGGTGCTTGTCATAATGAGGTTCTGAAATTCTGACAGGTGAGAGAGAGCTGCCACCTCGCCAGCTGGCTTCAGCTGTGCAGGAAGTGTAGAGCCAGGAGGCCCTCAGAACCTTTTGCTTCCATGGATTTGAGGTACTCGAGAGTCACGGGGCCTGGGTTTTGTGGGGTCTTTGGCTCTGGGTTCTCTTTCTTTCTCAATCCCCCACTTTTATTGCCCCCTACTGACACACATTCATCTTACTTTTAAGCAGATGTCTATCTCATTGACACACTGAATTTGCATATGGTTGCACACTGGAGCAGAAGGAGGTGAGGGTTTAGGGTTCTGGTGTGCAGTAGGATATTCAATTCAACCGTCACATAGATAAAGAAACTCCTGAATGCACGGCTCTGTTCTGAGTGTTGGGAATACAAAGATGGCTCAAGGTGCAGTATCAGCCATCACAGGCTCGTAGTGGGAGGCAGGTTTATAAGTAAAGAATCCACTTTGGGAGCCTGAGACGGGAGGATCATGAGGTCAGGAGATAGAGACCATACTAGCTAACATGGTGAAACCCCGTCTCTACTAAAAATACAAAAAAATTAGCTGGGCGTGGTGGCGGGTCCTGTAGTCCCAGCTACTCAGGAGGCTGAGGCAGGAGAATGGCGTGAACCCAGGAGGTGGAGCTTGCAGTGAGCCGAGATAGCACCACTGCACTCCAGCCTGAGCAACACAGCGAGACTCCGTCTCAAAAAAATAAAATAAAATAAAAAACAAGTAAAGAATCACAAAACAACACCGTGAGTGCTTGATCTTGCAGGGGGTAATGTCATTCAGAGAAGAGAGACAGCCAGGGAGCATGCTTCTGCCAGGACATCCACCATAGTCCACAAGAAGGGATTTTCAAGATAGGTCTCAAAAAAGTGATTCGCAGATTGCCAAGTGGGGAAGTGTGGTGGGGAGGACAAAAAGTGGTCCGATAAAAGGAGTCAGTGGCTGTGAAGGCCTGGAGAGAGGAGGGCTTGCCAGGCTCAGAAGATATGCACTTGGTGTGGAGCTGGAGCACAGGGGAGGTAAGAAGGAGGCTCCATCCCTGGGATTCAGCCCAGCATGTGTCACATAATGGTGCCTAATAAATATTGATTGAAAGAGTAGATGAAGAAATAAAATGGGAAGAAAATACCTGCCACACAGAAGAGTTGCAAATTTTAAGACCTTATCTTGTTTACCCATCAGGCTCCTCTGTTGAGAATTCAGGTCCCTTGAGACAAAGTCTGGGTCATGCTCTCTACAGAGCCTCAGTTTCCAGCTCAGGCCTGGCAACCTGGGCCCTTGCACAGAAGACACAGGGAGGGTGACGTGTCTCCCTCTGTGCCTGTCCATGCAAAGCTACCCTTAGCAGGCCTGGGGGCTTTCAGGGGCCTGTGGAGCAGGGAGTAATGCCATTCAGTGAAGAGACGCAGGCAGCAAAGTTCTTGGTTCTGCCACAGTTCACTTGACAGAGACCACACATTTTATGGTGTCCGGGGCCCCGCATGGTCAAGCTCTGAGCTGGTTAGGTTGGCGGCTGCAGCAGCTGCACTAAAAACTGGGATGCGTGATGGGTTTTCCAACCCCCAATTTCCTCTCCCCTTAAATGAGACAGAGACTCCACCTAGCCCAGAGTTAGTCACCATTTGGATTGGAAGCCTAACTTAAGGGACCCCCAGGCTAGGAAGCAGGTTACATTCTATTTATTGCTCACTGAGCTCCTCTTAATATCCTGGTCAGTACAGAACAGAGCTGGGTATGCACTCAGGGGAAATGGCAACAGATGGAAATCTCTACCCCCTTGTGGAGGCTGGAATCTCTTTGGCTGAAAATAGGAAGGGATGGGATCCTGGGTGGTTATGGGTTGTCTCCCCACCACCCAGCAGGAGGCGAGCTAGCAGCTGTCCCCACCGGCCCATGTGCCCCTGGGAAGGGGAGAACAGCGCTGGGAGGACAACAGCCAGAGGACTCAGGCTGCCTGAGTCTAATCCTAGAGCTGCCTCAAGCTGGATCCCTGGATAGTCACTGCCTATGTTGGGCCTCAGTTTCCCCCTCTGTGCAATGAATGGGTCAGGTTAGACAACCTCCAAGGCTCATTCTGGCTTTGGAATTGAATGAACCCTTGGGCAGTGACTGAGGTGCTAGAGAGTATTTGGTGCACGGAGACAGCACACGGTCTGCTTCTCAGCAAGGGCTGCCTCTTGCTTTCACCAGGTGTGACAGTGCCACTGAATGGGGCTGCACTGGCTGGAATAAGCCACCATGGAGGTGGAGGGTGATGGCAAGATGGTGTGCTGCCCAAACCTCCAAGCCTGGCATCTGTTGGAGCCTGGGGGAGGGGTGAGCAGCAATCAGGCAGGTGGAGAAGGCACTCGGGAAGACCGGGGAGCCCTGGGTGCTGGCTCCAGGAACCCATATCGGCAGCGCCTCTGACTTGGGACAACAAAGAGTGGGGGCAGGCCGGGCACGGTGGCTCAAGCCTGTAATCCCAGCACTTTGGGAGGCCGAGGCGGGCAGATCACGAGGTCAGGAGATCAAGATCATCCTGGCTAACACGGTGAAACCCCATCTCTACTAAAAATACAAAAAATTAGCCTGGCGTGGTGGCGGGTGCCTGTAGTCCCACCTACTCGGGAGGCTGAGGCAGGAGAATGGCATGAACCCGGGAGGTGAAGCTTGCAGTGAGCCAAGATCATGCCACAGCCTGGGCGACAGAGCAAGACTCCGTCTCAAAAAAAAAAAAAAAAAAAAAAGGGGGGGGGGGCAGGGGGAGACTGCTCCTGGGAAAGCATCATGGGGAGGGGTCGCCATTAGTTACCTAGAAAACAAGTTGGCTTTGGGGCCTGTGTCAGGGACTTTCTAGGCCCACCGTCCCCACCTCTGGTGGCTTCCCATGTGGGGAAGCTGTGTTCTACTCAACAGCATCTGCACTTTCTGAAATGTATGTCTAAAAACTGGGCACCCCTCATTAGAAAGCCTTGGGGGAGAGGAGTAGTGGAGACTCAGCTGCCTTTCCTTGCCATTAAACCTTGAGTCCAGGTAGGAGCACAAGGCCCACTGGCCGAGCAGGTTCTGGGGACCGCCCTGCGTGCAGGAGCTCTCTGTGTAGCATAAAGCCATGCGGGTGAAGCCTGAGCCCCATCCCGCCTTGGTCTTCCCATTCCATTTGTTCTCACGTTAATTCTGGGCCAGGGGTGCAGGCAGGAATGTGTTCCCTGGTGGAATGTGCTGGGGGCCCCCTAGGCTGCTGGTGTCCACCCCCAATGTGAAGGGCCTGGTTGGGTCTGCAGTCCCCTCTTTCAGTGGAAAGTTTCTTCGTCTTCACCTCTGCTCTTTTCTGTCACTGTTTTGATCAAACACATGTAATTTATGGACTATGATATACTGCACTTCAGAATTGATTTTTGTGCTCAACTGGTGTAAAACATTTTTGGTGACTAATGCCTCCGGGTGAGATATTTTTTCGTTATTGATGTGTGCATGGGGCTTTTGTCCCCACGTCGTGGGGACTTCTGGCCAGGGTCACTCCCTGGTTCCCCGCAGCAGGAACACTCAGCCAAAGGCAAGGCAGCCTTTTGAACTAAAGAAAATATTAATTTAAGACATTGTTTCAACATGAAACTACAGGAGCCTTCAGAACTCCCCGTTAGTTTGATTCAAGGCTGAGTTGCGCATAGTGTCTTTAGGGCGAAGATTGGCCAACTTACAAAAAGTTTGTTGCCAGTGAACTAACAGAAAGAATTCTGCAAGGGCCCCCAGAGCTTCAATTCCCTCACACAATCATTTCCAGTTGATTTGCCTGGAAAATCTCTTGTTGGAGAAAGAAAAGCAAAAATAGCCCTGCTGCATCTTTGCTATGAAACCCAGCTGGGCAGTTACTGGTTTGTTATTCCTGAAGCAAGAACTGGGCCTCGTGGTCCGCCAAGTGTGAATGCACTTATGAGACCATAGGAACAAATGGATGTTGAGGATTCCTGGAAAATATGAATCCTGTGGTCATGATACATGTGACATTCCAACAAGAGCTCCCACTAATCCAGTGCCATGTACCTTGGGAAACCTGTGGTCAAAGTGGCATTAGTCCCATTTTACAGATTAAAAAACTGAGGCCCAGGTCCTTCAGATAGGAAGGGGGTGGTAGAGGTGAGAGTCCAAGTGTTCCTGACCCCAAGCCACACACTGTCCCATTGCACCAGGCTGCCTGCCTGCCTGGGCTGGGCTGTCCTCTGATGCCAGGATGGCCCAAGCTTCCCTCCCAGCTGAGTTCATATACACAACTCAGCAAACAGTTCCCATCCCCTTCTGCTCCTCTTACTGGGCAGGGGTTAGTCATTGGGAATGCAAATCTGAAGGGTAGGTTTGCAGCTTCTAAAGGGGTCGGACTTCATAGGGAGTTTGGTGAGCAGAGTCCACGTATTCATCAGGCACAGGGCTCAGGACAACCTTTAAGGGTCCATGAAAGTGTTTTCATTTTTATTTATCTTAAAATTCAAAGAAAGAAAGAAATATAAGAATAATGAATGCATAATAACACATCAAGCCTGGGTTATATTCATCTTTAGACCAATGCAGTTGTAAAACAAAATGCTAATTTTTTTATGGAGAAAGGGTTTCTGAAGACAAAAATGTCTAGGGCCCCTAAGTCATAACACAGCCCAGACCAGGAGGCAGGACAAGTAGAGGCATGGCCCTGGGTGTCACGTTGAGCACTTGGGGCAGGTGCACAAAGAGGTTTGGTAAGTACCAAGGATCTGGGCTCCTGAATGCTGGGCTGGCCTCCCATTCCCCAAACCCTTCTCCTCCCCCAGTGCTGAAGAGCTTCCCTGGATAAAGGAGAGAGGCCTAGAGCCCCCACAGAGCAGACAACCTCTGCACAGGGTCTTTGGCATCCTAGAAGGCCCTGGTTCCTCACCCTCTGGCTTTTCCACTCACCAATCCCACCAGGAAATGAGGTTAACCTTGAGGGGGGCTGAGACAGATGCCTCCAAAGAAGCCAGTCCTGACCCCATGCAAGCTGCTCACCCCCACCATAGGGACAGTCCTTCCCCCACGAAACCTGCTCATCCCCACCGTAAGGGACAGTCCTGACCCCACACAAGCTGCCTATCCCCACCATAAGGGACCATACGGCACTTCATCTTCTTAGCTAATGGCAAATAACAGCATCTTAGAGATCACCTACAAAACCCCCTCATTTCACAGATGGGGAAACTGAGGTCCCATGGGGAAAGGAACTCAGTCAAGAGGAGGCGTCTCTGCATTTCTAGAAGACCCTCTCCTTTCATATCCCTGCCTGCAGAAGATTAGCCTCCATTTCACACGGATCTTTTAGTGATGGCTGCTTGGGCTCATCAGAAAGGCTTCCTGGCAAACAAAATAAAACAAAGTGAGTCACTGTCTTTTATCCCCTGCCCGCATTCACATCTTCCTGTCAGGCAGAGTGCTGAGCCCAGGGCCCTCCAGCCGGTGTGGGGACCAGAGGCTCCGATGACATAATCAGGGATGGGGCACTTTCTCCACAGGTGCCATTTATTTTCAAGCATCCGTTCGATCCCTGCCGAGGGATGAAAACCACAGTGTCAACTGCCTTCAACTCCACTCCTTTGGAGGCCTGTTTGGTATTAACATCAAAGCATTCTGCATATTTATCATTCCTCCCTCGGCATTAAGCAAGACGTCTGACAGGCACACAAAAGCGCCATAGTTTCCACTTGGACTCCAGAAAGGCATCAGCAGGTTCAAACCCAAGTTGAAAATTCCCTCAAATAGGTATATTTTCTTTACTGGAAACCTGGGAAGGATTATCACTTAGCATCCTCTCCAAAATCAATTTACGTCCACTTACCAGTCGCTTCTGGTATAAAATAAAGGAGCTTACGATTCATCATTCAGGATTTAATCAATGACACCCAGCTAGCTCTGATGAGAACATTTCTGGGGTGGAGGATGGGATAATAGACAAGACCCTGTCTTTGGTCTTACGTTTTTTTCAAGAGCAATCATGCCTACTCTTTGAAATATAATGGGAACATGTTAAAATATAGATTCAAGTAGTATCTGACAAAGGAAAATATTCAACACTGGTTGTGCTCAAAGTACTTAAGTTTTCTTTGAAAAGTTAAGAAAAGGGCAGCAATCTGGAACTTTGGGGAAAAAAAACAAGCGTGCATTTGTTCAAGAAAGAAACATGAATAGAAACAATTTCTATCACGAGTGATAATTTTCTTACTTCACATCAAAACTTTATCCTGATTATTGATATGTCCATGTATGTGTTGGCTTTGCCTCCAGTGACAGCAAACAAAGCTTGTATAACTTTCAGGTTTTTTTTTTTTAGTGTGCTGGTGGACTCTTTAATGTACTAGAACCTAGCAGGGGGAGCCCTAACGAGGGGCTTCCCGGCTCATGCATCTGAGCACTGATCCTCGATGCTATGGCTTTTATCCTCTGCTCATGGTGGGACCCATGATTTCCAGGTGATTGACAAGAGCTGTGAGTGTTTCAGTAAGGTGCTTGGGTTTCCTAAGGAAGCTGAGTTTGAATGTGGCCCAGCTGTAGACTGTGGCCACAGTGGCTTTTGCCAGTAATGCTGCCAGTGGCTGAGTGCAGCACCTTCACTCTAAAGATGAGGGAACAAAAAATCAGAGCAGAGATGGGACCACCCAGCTCACCTTGCTGGAGAGAAACAGACTGAACCTACTCCCACTTGCAGCCCTGACCATCAGAGAACCCTCATCCTGCATGAGCACCCATCCAAGCAGCTCCCTGGGCAAGATGTTTTGGTGTACCTTAGAGATGAGGAAGCAAGAGACCCTGAACGAGTGATTTTCCCAAAGCCACAAGCTAAGTTGGCTGAAGAGCAGGGCTAAATTCCATTTGTCTGTGACCCTGTTGGGAGCTAGTTCATGACACCAGGCTCCACAGGCTCAGCCACGAATGTGGAATATCCTAACAAGGGAACAAGGGAGGCAGGCAAGGCTCAGAGAGCAAAGCCACCAAGGACCCCAACTCCAGTTGTTCACTCATTCATTCATGCAATAAATATTAACTGAGCACTTGATATATACCCAGCACTGGGTAAAGCCCTAAGGCTATGAAGAAGGAGAGGACATGGGCCTTGCCCTTGTGGACATCCCAAATTACTGGGGGAGACAGGCACATAACAGAGAGCGCCAGTGAAGTTATGCATGAACCAGGGGCAGGAATGTTTCTCTGCAGTAATCCTGGGAAGAGCACGAGGAACTTGGCCGTGGTCGGCCAGAGAAGCCACACAGCACAGAAGGGAGCTGGGGCTGAAGGGGGAAGGAGTTTGCCAACAGCAGGAAGGGAAAAGCATTCAGGAAATGGCCTGTACAAAGGCCCAGAGGCAGGGATGGACTCAGCTACCCAGAGAATGAGCAAAAGTTCTGTTGAGACCCAGTCAAGGAAGCTCAAGCAAGGAGCGGTTACAGAGAAATCCCCAAATCTCAGTGGCTCTGCCCAGCAAGGTCTTCCGTCTTGGTCTGATCTGGTGGTTCTCGTCCGCCTGAAACATGTCATGGCCTTTGAGGCTTCTGTGGCAGGGGCTGGGGACACAGCTCTCAACTGCCATGGCCTGGAAGTGTCATGGGTCACTTTCTCCCATCGCCCATTGGCCAGAGCTAGTCATATGACCCAATCTAACTGCAGGAGATGCTGGGAAATGCAGGCAGTGGGTGCATGGATATTTGGTAAGTGCCGCAGTTTTCCAGCAGAATGTGTTAGGAGGAAGGCACAAGGGGGATAGAGGGGGGCACGTGGGAAGTGGTGAGAACTAAGCCAGTCAGATCGTAAAGCGTCTTGAGGAGAAACTGAGCCCAGAGAGGTAGCTCAACCTGCCCACAGTCACCTAGAATGTGGCCTCCTGACCTCCAGGCCACTGCCCTTTCCATATCCACAAGAGTCCAAAGCCAGAGGAGCAAGCCCTCTGAGTGGGCAGCACGGGTGTCACCTGTCACTGCAGACAGAGCAAAGGACGTGACAGCATCTCCTCTCCAGAGCAGCCTCGGGGGCCATGGGCGGATTTTGGATGTCTTCCCCCACCAGGTGAAATGGGCCACGGATTGTTTCCTGGTCCATTCTAGCACACTGCAGTTTCACTTTCTCCCATAGGGGCAGCCCAGACCCTGGAGCCAGGCGGTTTGGGTTCAAATCCCAGTTTTGCCACAAACTAGCTGGGTAAATTTGGGTAAGTTGCTTAACTTCTCCGTGCCTCAGCCCTTCTTCGATAAAACAAAGGTAATTGCATCGCCTACCTTCAAGGAGATTTTATTATTTGCAAAGCAATAGCTAAATACCTGGCTTCCATGGCATTTGAGTGCTCTAGAAGGTACCTTCCGTGCATTGTTTCATGTAACCTTCACTTCAAATCTGAGGCAGGTAGTTTAATAGCCCATTTTGCAGACAAAGAGACAGAGCCATATCAGGCCAGTGGCAGCTGAATTTGGAACTTGGGACTACCTGATGCAAAGCTATTATTCTTTCCACAAAGCCCCAAGACCCGGGGACACTGGCTGGCTGGGAGGTCAAGCTTGTCTGGGGTCTTGCATCTTTCTTGTATGGCCTGGTGCAGCCCTGGGCCTCTCTGAGTCTCAAATCACAGACTTCCTAACACTCCAGACCAACTTGCTCTCTTTCTTCTTCCAGCTGAGGTACCAAGCGTTGCCCCTTAAGAAGGTTTCAGAAGTTGACTTCTTTACAAAGCACATGAATGACCCCGCTCCTCATCCTAACCTCAGGCCCTTGGGTCTTACTGAACAAAATCCTCTGCCATCCTTCCTGATTTTTGTCCCATGATCCCCTATACTTTGCTGGGCTTTGACCTGCCTCTTTAAAATTTGCAATTATCGATAATTCCCTTTGTTGCACCCAAATGTGAACCACCGTATTAAATTATTAAATATAAGTGTTTCTGAAATATTTTATCTTGACATGTATCTCCGGAGTCCAATGACCCCAGGCAGTGTTCATAATTAATTTCATCAAAAGGAAAAAAAAAAAGTGCCGGCAAGGGACTCCCTGAACGACTCCCTGTCCTGGAGAAATACAGCTGACACTTGGCTCGCTTCTCCTTCCCTCCCCTTCCCCAGGACTCCAGGACCAGGGAGGCTGCAGCGCTGCTATGTCCACAGGAGCCCGGAATTTCAGGCCTGGGGGGAACCCGCGTGATAATTTTGGCAGCTCTTTCTTTTTCTGGCCAAAGAAACAGGCCCAGAGAGGAGCGGTGACCTTCCCAAGGTGGCAGAGACCGAGGGCAGCAGAAAAAGCCATGGGGCTGCCCCCAGCCAGGTCACCCACCCCTCACTGTAGCTTGGCCCCCGCAAGACTCCGAAGCCACCAAATAAGGCTTCTTCCTCCTTTGTGACCTTCAGGACCAGACAGGTTCATTTAAAGGAGTAGGGGAGCAAAACTGCTTCTTAACATAAAAAATGCCCTGAAACAAAGGGCTTTTTGTACCCCTCCCCCACCAAGCTCAGAGAGAAAGGGAGATTAAGTTTGAGGAGTCACTTCCAATCAGAAAGCTACCATTTAATTACAATGCGCAGGAAATTACAGAGTGAATGGGCAGACGGGTGATAAGGGACTGCCCTGCAGGATGACAGGCTTGAAATCCAACCACTTCATCACAGAGCTACTTATCACAAGAGGCTGTCTGGAAGGCTGACAATCTGATTGTACTGTCAACTCAATTCATAATTAATATATTTATCAAATTAATTACTGAAAATATCTCCCTGGCGCTCGCCATAAAACAGTGGCTAGCTTCATGGCGGGCTGGCTTCGTTTTCTGCTAATAACCGTGTTGTCAGTTTAATGAGGGCAGGGAGCGGCCCCTGTTTTGCCTGCCTGACAGACAAATTGCCCTCTTACAGGGAATGATCCCTAGAATTTAAGAGAAGAAAAGAAATATGGCATTGTTTGGTGACAGCCGCAATCGCAGGCTTGTCTCGGAAACTTTGCATCAATTCTAACATACAAGAAAGGGAGGGTGGGGGTGCTTTTGGCAGTTAAATAAATACTTTATGAATTCCTGACTGATCCCTTCATCAGAGCCTCTGGTGGAGCGGTTTCTCTGAGTCCTGAGTTAACCCCCAGCCTGGCCGGAATCTGCCAGTTGAGGTTTAGATTTGAGGACATAAAATGTAGGAGACTCTCACTCAAGGATTTTTTGTGAAGCAGAGAAGTTCCCGTGCCAAGGATTCCCAATGCACAGTGAAATCCCTTCGATGACCCCCTTGACGATTTGATCTCTGGGTGGAACGATCGTTTTCCTCCCTTCCTAGGGTGGGGAGCCAGGCCTTGAGAGGGTTTCTGAGTTGAGATCTTTCCCAGGGGAAGTCTGCTTCCCTTAGGGCTCCCGAAGAGCATCTGGTGAGCCCCAAATGCATTGCACTGTGCTCTCAACTCCCAGCATCTGGGCCAGCACCAGTCACTGGGCAAAGTTGACTCTGCCAGTCACTGGCTTGCCTGCCCCTGTGGATGCCCACCAGCCCAGGTGAGCCAAGACACGTGGGCCCGGGAAACGCGCAGGCAGCACGATGTAGAAAGTCCATCACTTAGCTGAATGGGGCAGTGACCCCAAGGCAGCCTCATTGATCTCTGCAGAACTTGCACCCGGGTCAGAGCCACCATGGAGAGCCACAGCGAGCAATGTTCTAGCGCAACCAGCAGGATTCCTGGAAGAGGCAGCATTTCAGGAGGTTAGCGGACTAGAAGAAACAGAGAATCTCGTTGTTCACCGTGGTCAGCCAGGCGCTGGGTGGGCACTGGGAAGAGAATGGTTTGGACAGAGGACAGGGCCTCCGGGTGGGGAGGCTGCCACAGACTGGAGGGTGCTTTCGGAGGCCTGGGGGAGGAGAACGCTCACTCTTAGGCCCTGCAGGCCCATTTCTATTCTGGCCCCATCTGCATGCACCTCACTGAGCCACGAGGCCTATGGTTTCAAGGCTTCTTTGGTGCACCGTGACCGTAGCCTTGCACTTGTCCTGGTCTCTGCTCTAATTGCCTCACAAACGCCAGTCTTCTTGGCTCTCCTCATCCCTCTGTGCCTTGCTTCCCTCCTGCTCCCCAGCCCAGCCCCTCCCCTGCACAGTTCCCCCAAGCCCGTACTCCCCTCCGGGCCCATTGCTCTTTCTCACTGGAGGGAAATAGCAATTTTCCTCAATAAGCAGGAAAAATAATCACTCGCTTTTGCCAGATGCCAGGATGAAGGGTCTCAAGGACCCTGGAGGGGCTGCACCTGCCTCTGTGGCCAGGCCTCGCCCCCTCAGCCCAGCCCTCAGCTCTGTTTCAGGGCCAGTTCTGGTACTGGCCAGCTCCTTGTCCTCAACCGCCCTCATACCTCTGAGCTTCTGTCTCAGCATGGGGCTGCCATGTTCCCACGCTTGGGTCTGGCCTGTTGGCGTCCACTCACCAGTACTCCCCCTTAGAGCAGAGCAGAGAGTCCCCCTTAGGGACAGCCATGGGGGAAGGTGGTGCCTTTGGAGCTCATGCCACTGACATGAGCAACCCACTTTGAGGACAGAAGGTGCTCGGGCCAAAGAAATCTCCCTATCCGTTTAAGCCACAGGTGAAAAACCAACCTGAAGGAAAGAAAAGAAAGAAAAAAAAAAAAGAGCTCAGCCTGGTGGGCAGGGGCTAGAGTTCGAATCAGCTTAGACGGTACCCATGTCCTGCCCCAACAAGCAGCGGGCAGTGGACAACCCCAGCCTGCATCGGTGTGCATTCTCATTCTCCTAGAACCCAAGTCAGGCATGAGAACAAGCTTCCAAGCGACCAATGAATTAAACTATCGTGTTAATACTTCGATTAACTTAAGTTTAATAATTGTTTAGGGTACTTAAATATGTGCGTGTGTTCCCTAAGATGTTTGAAGAGCTCCAAAAAAGGATGTTATCCTAATTTGAAATTGTAAAATTGTTGAGGGAATTGGTTATCTCTTGTCAATATACAAATACATGAATGCTTCATTTTCACAATGTTGTTTATTAGACAAATAACTCACAAGAACTGATAGAGAAGTTTTTTCAAAATAGCTTGCTGTGTTGGGTGGGAATGCAGGTCGAGACAGGGAAGGGCCTGGCCCTGCCCTTCTCACCAGGCCAAGTCAGCGGACACCAGAGGAGCCAGTCTGTGGGGTCAGCAGGGGACATCCAGCAACATCGTCTTAGGAGGCCTTCAGTAGCAAGAGATATGGATAATTTATACAATGTTCAACTAGCTTTTAAACAGCCAGGTTTTCCTATACAGTGACTGGGTTTCCATAAAACAGAGACAAGGCCTGCCCACTTGGCTCGGGCGCGGAGGGGATGGTGTTGTAAAGTTAATGCAGTGAGAAATGTATGGCACTCTGACATTAAACTCAACATAGGACATAAAGAACTGGGCCTGCTCTAAGCAATGGCAGCAAGGAAGGAGATTAAGCGATCTTTGCCGATAGAAACCATGCCTGCTGAATGGGAACGAGCCTCCTTTTGCTGCAAAGCTGGGAGCCAGAAGGGAGAGAGGTGGTCTGGTGGCTGCTTGGCCAAAAGGTCTGTGCTGCAACCCCTATGTGGGTCTTTGAAAAGCCAACCATATCAGCCCAAGTAATTGACCATTCCTGGACCCCAAAAAGTCAGAGAGGAATTGAGAAAGAGAAGAGCAAAAAAGAGAAAAAGTTTGAAGCAGTGACAAAGGCTGCTGCATGGGGGTCTTGGGGAGCAAGTAAAACATCTCAGGGGGCAGAATGATGCCCAAGATTGGAAGGAGGAGAGGAAGGCGGGAAAGAAAGAATAAACCAGTGGAACTAAAGCAACCTCAGGCTTTCTTCTGAGGTTGAGTTGTTGGCCACAGACAATTTTTACTTTCAGAGGAAAATGATGAGGTTGCCTGAGTCAGGAGATAGGGAAAAAACCGTCTGAGTGAAAAACTGGTTGGAAGTGAAGAGAGCAAAGACTATCTGAGGGTCCCTAACATCCCTTGCATCATTCTCACTAACACAGACTTTTAACTGGGACAAAGAACAATGACAGGTCTCAGTAGAGGGGAAGAAGATGAGTAGAGCAGACCTCAGGGACATGTGACAAAGCTTTCCCCAAGCCCACAGTCTCAAGCTCTAGGTGCTTAAGAATCACCTGAGAAGCTTAGACTGCAGGTTTCTGGGCTCCATCCTCACAAAGTCTGATGTGTTAGGTCATAGATGGGGCTCAGGAACCTACATTTTAAAACATATCCCAGACCATTCAGATACAGAAGAAAAAGACATATGAGGATCAGGCTTTGAGAAACACCAGCCGGGTGGGAAATAAGAAAGGTCAATAAGTCAAGGGAAGGGTGCCAGGAATTTTCCAGAGATGCTGAAGTCCTGGAATTAAAAGTTCTTATATGTAAGGGGTAGAACATGGGGCCTGTGTTTTCTTTTCCTTCTCCTTTTCCTCCTCCTTCTTCTTCATCATCATCAAATCAGACAAACTGGGAGAAAGATTGTGCTATCAAGAACCAGTGCCAGGTGAATCACATTTTACATTTCCTGCTGGAATTCAGGAAGTCCAAGACCCCTGTTAGGGCTGGTGAGGAGGTACAGGCTGGCTGCCATACTTAGCAGGTGGGGAGGAGAGTGTGGTGGCCACAGCATGATGGCTGCCCAGGAGGAAAGGAGAAGGGAATGAGGCAGCCTAGGAGGAGGCCTTCTTCAACCAGACAGTCAGTCAAACACCAGCGCTCGCAAGTCCTGGGCCCAGGTACTGAGGTGGGGCCATGGCAGAGTCAGGAGGACCTAAACTGTGGTCCCCATGCTCTTGGGTCAGACCACTTCTTCAGCCACACACCAGACTCATCACCCAGTGGCAGCACAAAAGACAGTGCGATCTGACAGAGCGATAAAGGGAAGTCACAGGCCAGTGTGATGAATTGCTACCATGGTCCTTGGTGGTCCAGAAAGTGCTGGAATCATCTGGAATATGTTCAGAGCCGCAGCTGACTAACTTGCAGCTGGGCCAAAAACAAACAAACAAACAAACAAAACTAAAAACAAAAAACAGAAAAAGCACACACCTAACTCAGAAGTTGAGAGCATGAGTCCCTAGACAGAGGCCAAATGATAGCAAGAGAGGCATAACAGGCAAAACCCTGGTCTAAGTAGCAACCACACAGCAGTGCTGTGTGACCTTGGGAAAGTCACTTCCCTTCTCTGAGCTTCAGTTTTCTCTTTGGTAAAATGGGGGAGCTCAATATGATGTCTTCAAAAGCCCTGGTATCTCTGAAAGCCTATAAAACCATTCTTATTTTAAAAAATAATAATCCCCCTGAACTTTAGTAGCCTTAAAGCCTTCTGGACAGTAAAGACATTATAATTTAAGAAGTAAAGAAGAATAAACCTCTTAGGAGATGTTAAATGTACTAAAAATAAGATTAAAATGAAAACCTGGCCTCTATCAGAAAGCTTATATATAAACTGAGATGAACTCTGGTGACCTATGACTCCCTGGCCCACCCCATATTGAAGAATCCTACTCCAGCCTGAGTCTCTTTATGACAATAGAATTTGGGGTAGTGATTTAATCAGTTTGCTTTGGAGAAAAGAGCAGAGCAAATGCTGAAGTTGCTCCTCCATTGAATCTTGTTCTGCTGGCTTCTCAGATTTCCTTGTGGACAATGACTTTCTGAGAATAAAACCCTGCACCAGGAATCACAAGGGAGTTTGAGACTGTGTGGAACACCAGCCTTAATTACCAGCTCATCACTGTCATGGTGAGTTAATAAATGTGTCACATCCAGCATCACTGTTGCTGCCTCCCACCTTAAGCAACAGCTGAGCCCAGCTGGAGAAGGAAGCCCGGACCCCAAGTTTCATGTCTTCTAGACTCTACCAGAATGTATCTGTGTTTCTCTCATCAAAGAACAGGGAACTCCCTAAAGACATGAGGATAATGGAGGCACCCAAAGCATGGTTTACATGCAGTTAAAGAAACGTCCCAGGATGAGGCAGGGAGGACTTTGTAAGCCAGACAGACCTGGGCTCGGTAACTTTTGAGGAGTTAGGTAAATAAACTGCTTATCCTCTCTAAACCTGAATTTCTTCATCTGTGCCAGACATATGGCAGAGACCCAGGAAGGGGAATGTGACAGAGAAGATATCCCAGAAAATGGGCCCACATGCTCTTCCAGATGATCACCACTTCCCATTGTGACATGGAGTCCATTTTGACTCCCTTGAACCTGGGCAGGACTCTGTGACTACTTCAATGAATAGAATGTGCCAGAAGAATCCTATGTGACTTCTGAGGCTAGATTGGTGTCTTAGTCCATTTTCTGTTGCTATAACAGAATGCCAGAAAATTAGTAAATTTATCAAGAAAATGTGTTTATTTCTCATGGTTCTGGAGGCTGGGAAGTCCACGATCAAAGGGCAGGCATCCTGTGAGGACCTTCTTGCTGTGTCATGGTGGAAGGCATTACATAGTAAGAGATCAAGAGTATGCACATCAGCTCAGGTCTGTCTTCCTCCTTCTATAAAGCCATGAGTCCCGTGCTAAATCAAACTAAAATTGGCACAAAGAGGCCTCTGTATGAGTTTCTAACTGCAACCTAATTCAGTATGTAAACAAACAAAAAACCTGACTTAAGAACAAATAGCTGAGTCTCAGCCAACAACATGCAGCCAACAGTTCAAACCATGTTTACATAAGACAGATGGGTGCTGTAACCAATTGGTTGTCTCTGTACCTCACTTCCATTTTCTGTATATCACTTCCTTTACTCTGGGCTATAAATACAATCTGAATATGTGGTGGGGCAAAGCATTATGAACTATTTTTGATCAGAACTACTGCCCAATTCTAGAATCACAAAAGCCAACTGAGAGCTACAAAACTAGGTGTGTTGTAATTTAGCCTCTCAACATCCATCATGGGGGCCCCACCTTGATGACCACACCTAATCCTAATTAATTCTCAGAGTCCTCACCTCCAATCAACATTTGAATTTGGGAATTAAATTTCTAATACATGAAATTTGGGGACACATTCAAGCCACAGTAGCCATAAAAGGTAACAAGGCTTTTTGGCTCTTCTGGGACATGCACCTTGGGATCCCCGAGTTGACATTAGGAAATCGGTAACCCAGAAGCCACCATTCTGAAGAGACGGTGTGGAGAAGGTTAGCAGAGATGGAAATCCAGGGGAGGGCTGGGCATGGTGGCTCACGCCTGTAATCCCAGCACTTTGGAAGGCTGAGGCAAGTGGATCACTTTAAGTCAGGAGTTCAAGACCAGCCTGGCCAACATGGCAAAACCCCAACTCTACTAAAAACACAAAAAATAGCTGGGTGTTGTAGTGTATGACTGTAATCCCAGCTACTCAGGAGGCTGAGGCAGGAGAATCACTTGAACTCAGGAGGTGGAGTTAGTAGTGAGCCTGGAGATTGCACCACTGCCACAGAGTGAGACTCCATTTCAAAAAAAAGCGAGAGAGACATCCAGGGGATCCTAGCTGCCCCCCTGCCTGCCTTTGGAGCCTTCCTGGCCTGGGTGCCAGACAGTGAGTGAGTGAGTCTTCAGAGGATTCCAGCCCCCAGTCTTTGAGCCTTGCCAGCTTTTGCCAAGTAGAGCAGATTACAGATTCAAGAGAAAAGTTAGTGCTGTTGTCATTTGATGTTTGTCAATGGTTTGTGATGCAGCCTTAGCTGGCGGGAGGAAGACTATCTGGGTTGTCATTGTTCTGCATGGGAAGATGCAGGAAGGAAATCAGGATTGAGATTGGAGGAGGAGAGAAAGCCCAACCAGCGGTATATGGAGAAGACCCGAGAGAGCCAGAGAAGACACTTGGCTTATCTCTCCCAGCTCTAGTGGATATGGATCATTCTTAGAATGACCTGGGGCTAGTTATCTGGGCGACAAGACACAAAAAGTACTGAGAAAGCTACCTGGAGGGTCAGAAGAAGATTCTGAGGCCCTTCTTTTTTTTTTTTTTTTTGAGACTGAGGTTCGCTCTTGTTGCCCAGGCTGAAGTGCAATGGTGCGATCTCGGCTCACCGCAACCTCCAGAGGCCCTTCTTATGATTGCTCAAAGAAAAAGGAGAGAGTAAGCCAAGTGTAAGACACTCGTCTGCCCTGCCCTGGATCCCCCTAGCAGCCATAGAGACAAAAGCCAACCGACAAGGGAAAATCTACCTGCAGTCATAGAAGATGGTTCCATTTCAAACCCTCAGCCAGAGATTGGCAGACTATCCCTGCGCTGGGCCAAATCCAGCTTTCTGCCTGTGTTTGTAAAAAGTTTTCTTGGAATAATCATGCTCACATGTATATGTATTGGCTATGACTGCTTTTACACTACATGGCAGAGTTAAGTAGTTATGACAGAGACTGGCCCACAAAAACTAAAATATTTGCTTTCTGACTCTTACAGAAAGAGTTTTCCAACCTCTGCTTTAAGCTATCAGAAGTGAAATTCTGAGACACAAAGAATCCTGCCCTGGCACGGTCTCTGCTGAGAAAGGCCCACTGGGGTGTGTTCATGCTGTTCCATGCATTCTCTCCATCATTAAATCCTCAGAAACACCTAAGACACAGCAGGCTCCCAGGGCCACCTTGGAAACAGAAAGGTGAATCTGCACAGTCCTTATCCTGTAAGAGATCACAATGCTATGCAAGAGATGGCAGCACCATCACGGAATTCAAGTCCAGGACAGTAAGAACCAAAATGGAGGCACAGCCTATAGGAGTCTGGTAGCTTAAAGAAAGGCAACCAATCCCATGTAGGAGTGGGACGCCACGGAAGGCTCCTGGAGGAATGATGGTGGTCCTAGGTTCTACAGGAGGAGCAGGATATGGTGAGCATACAGGGGCAAGGTGAGGCTATTGGGGCAGAGGGAGCAATAGGTACAAAGGAAGAACTGAGTTGGGGGAGCATCCAGAAACAGGCACTTCAGCTCACCGTGCTGGGAGAGCCTGGTGCCAGACAGGCAGGGGCAGGAGAAAGGGCCAGAGATGTAGGATGGGTCAGGTAATGGAGAGCAGCCAGGATCTGTGGACAAAGTAGACACACAGATGCCAAGTACAGCTTTGTCGCCACAAAGGACCTGAAACGTACAACTTTCTTAGACTGGGGAGAGAGCAAGATCCCATGGGCTATGCCTACCTGCACCACAACAGGGATTTCTATGCTGACTGTTTTCCTGTGTTTATTGTAGTCCACCACCCTGGGACTCTGGCCCTTCTAGGGGTCAGAGTGCAGGAGTAGCCACAAGGAACTGTCCATAAGCGGTCAGGGCCAGAGGTCCCCCACCATGTTGGGGGACACCCTTGAACTGATGTGTTCAGTATCATTTTTACCTTAGCAAGTTTCATCTCAGGTCAACTTTCAGGTGGGGAGAAACAAGTTGCCAGGTAGAGCACATGGATGGGGAGGGGGGCACAGCGACATGCCATGTGCCATCTTCAGGTGAGCTGCAGGTGACTGGTGCCCTGGAAACCTCTCTTTGAGAATGCATCAAGACACAAATCCCAAGGAACAAGTGGGCCTTTGTTGATGAGTCTGGCATCTGGGAGTGAGCAGGGAGCAGGCATTTCAGCTTTGGCAGGATCATGGTGGATTTAAACTTGAGGGCAGCTGGGAACAGTCAAACCCCTTTGTTTCTGTATAACACACACTTTTAAAGTTGTGTGGTCCTCCCACTTTGTCTTAATTAGAAGCAGATACCTTCACTGCTGTTTTCATAATATTGTTGCTACATGCAGAAGCGTTTCATGAACACAATACTGATTATAAACTCTGTTCCCCCCACAACCTTGCTTACGCAATTATTACTGTTATTTTCATTATCATCATTATCATTATTATTTTTCCCTAAAGAACTAAGGAGAGTCACTGCTATAAAGAGGGAAAATTCTGGCCGGGCACAGTCACTCATGCCTATAATCCCAGCACTTTGAGAGTCCAAGGCAGGTGGATCACCTGAGGTCAGGAGTTCGAGAGCAGCCTGGCCAACATGGTGAAACCCTGTCTCTACTAAAAATACAAAAATCAGCCAAGCATGGTGGCGGGCTCCTATAATCCCAGCTACTCAGAAGGCTGAGGCAGAGAGAATTGCTTGAACCCAAGAGGCAGAGGTTGCAGTGAGCTGAGATTGCACCACTGCACTCCAGGCTGGGCAACAGAACAAGACTCCGTTTTTTTTGTTTTTTTTGTTTTTTTTGTTTTTTAAGAAAAGGAAAAGTCTGGAGTTTGAGACCATCCTGGCCAACATGGTGAAACCCCGTCTCTACTAAAAATAAAAAAAATGAGCTGGGCATGGTGGCAGGTGCCTGTAAGTCTCAGCTACTTGGGAGGCTGAGGCAGGAGAATTGCTTGAACCCTGGAGGCGGAGGTTGCAGTGAGCCCAGATCACGCCACTGCACTCCAGCCTGGCAACAGAGCGAGACTCCACCTCAAAAAAATTTTTGTTTTTTCCCCTCAGGCCTCAGGCCCGCCTTGGCCTCCCAAAGTGCTGGGATTACAGGCATGAGTCACTGTGCCCAGCCAGAATTTTTCTTCTTTATAGCAGTGACTCTGTAGCGTTGGTGGGGAAACGCAGCTGCTATGGCATCAACTTGGGCTGTACTCCATCTGTGGTGCTGGCACCCCTCTGCCAAGAAAGCCTTGTTTCCCTGAATCAGGAAGGCGGGGATACCTGGGAAATAAACATTCAGCTTGGCTGCAGGTCCTAGCTCTGCCCCAATGTCCTGGATGATACCAGAGAGCAAGTCTCCGACATCTGCAGGCCTCCGTTTCTTCATCTGCACAAAGGGAAGCTAGACAACCCTTATGTCTTTCTTACAATAAGCATTTTGAGCTTCTTTGCAAAATAAAGCAAATTAAATTAGAAATAAAAGCCTGTCAAAAACCTAAAACCCTAATCCTCAGAGTTAAAAGATATAAAACTCTTAAAGGCCTATAATGCCCCTGCTGCTTTAGTCTCTGAAACCAGTGTGCAATTGGGTCAAGGATCTATAGATGGCAGCCTCTTGCTAACTAAGATCTGAGGGGAAAAAAATGTTTCCATTGATCTACACATTCTCAGCAAATGGAATAGGGCAAGAAAGGCAACTGAAACTAGGCAATTTATTATTTATCTTCAGAAGTCAAATAAATCTCCCATAGACCAACGTGGCCATTGGGAATGTTTAATCTTGAAAATAAAAAGTGAGTGTGTTTCTAAAGTAATTATCTACAAATCATATTTTCACTAGGAGAAAAATATTCCATAAGCAAACATGTAACTTGTGAAATATTATCATCTGAGCATTTAATCTCGTGGCATAAATTCTACAAAAGCAGGTGAGTCCTCTTTGAGATTCTCCTCAAACGATTCCTCTGCTCCACTTCAGTGGCCCCTTCGATGCTGCTCAGGTGTGAAACCCTGATCCAACGGAATAAGAGATGTGATTTGAACATCGATCTTAAAAGAATCCATTTTGAATCTTTACACCCATTTTGTGAGCCTCATACAACGAGTTGACATTTGCATTCAAAAGTCTACACCATTTAAGAGAGTTAGGCTTCACTGACAATCAAAGACATTCTCATTAAAACAAAGAGATACTATGTTTACATTCTCATTTGACTGAAATTTATGAATGACAGGTATTAGGTTGAGCCATTCAAAACAGTCATTTTTATAGGCAAAAAAATGGTTGGTAAAAAATCAGCAAGTTTATATGATTCAACCACTATGACAGGGTCGTTGGCATCACTGAGAACCAGGTCAATGGGTCCTGCTTTTGTAGGGTGTGGTCTGGTGATAACGGCCAGGCCAACAGGCAATTTTGATAATGGAGGGCAGGTGCTATATTAAGGGCAAAACAGGCTCCTCCAGGACTGGAGCCAGGGAGCTGACCCAGGAAGGTGGGACATGACTTCTCAGACAAGAAGGACATGTTTCCTTTGCAGGTAAAGCAGGGGCACCTCAGGCCAGGCCAAGGAGATGGCAGATGCAAGGCCTGGAGGTGTGAGTGCACAGCAGTGTGAGGTCCTGGAAGAAACCCAGGGTGTCGGGTCAGGAAGGGGAGATGAAGCACAGTGAGAGGCGGAATAGGGAATTGCAGGAGACGGATAGGTTGAGGGCCCTCTGAGCCGTGATGGAGAGAAGCTCTCCATCTGAAGCACAATGGGAGCCACTTGGGCTGACAAATAGGAAGACTGGATTGGCCATTTAGAAAACAAGAAAATCCCTCTGGCTTTAGTATAGTGAATTAAGTAAGCCAAGCAAGAAATGGGGTGGGGAACTTTGACCAGCTGAAGTGAGAGATGCTGACAGCCTACTCCAGGGGAGTGGTAATGGACACGGAGGTGAACAGAAGGCGTGGAGATGTTTTTTGAGATGGAATCTCAGGATTTAGTAGCTGATTGGATGCCAGAGAAAAGAGAGAGGGAAGTTTGTGTCATAGGTGATGCCCACACAGATGGCGCACATGGGGTAGACAAGACTTGGGGAGGAGGTGATGAGTTTGCCTTGGGGCATGGTGGGTTTGGGGTGTTTGTGGGCCATCCAAGGGGCTTTGCAGCAGCTGCTGCAGCCACAGATCTGACACTCACTGGGGAGGCCTCTGCAGGAGCCAGCACTAACTTTGGGGCTGGATGGGGCTGTTGAGGCATAATGTGTAGAGCTTGTCCCCCGACTTTTCTGTGCATAGGAACCATGGCCCCATCTCGGCCCTACTAATCAGAATCTCAGGGGTGGTTGCTGAGACCCTGCATCTTTAACCACCTCCCTAGGAGACAGAAGGAGACAATCTGTGGGGCCAATTTTGCAGAAGCTACACAAGAGAAAGACAATAATAGCAACATGTGAAAGAACCTAGAATTCAGTGTCTAAATTTAAAAAAAAAAAACCACCACTGTTGAGGGTAGTGAAAAAGATTTTCATATGCTGATGTGAGAGCACACGTTGAACTTGTGAGTAAAAAGACCTGAAATGTTAGTGAAAATCCCAGGGAAGAAAATCCTAGAAATAGTGTTGAAAGTAGCAAAGAATTAACTTCTTCACACAAAAATGCTCTGAATGATCAGAGCACAGATTTCACATTCCAACTTGTGTTCTTATGTTTAGTGAAGCTTTTGTCATAAGGAGCATTTAAGGATGAGAACCCAAGTTAGGCAGGATAAACGTACAAAATGTGCCCAGGAAAATGGAATTTACCATTGTAAGGGAGAAACAGATTTAATACATTTGTCTTATTATTCGAAGGAAACTGTAAAGCAGCTTAATAAAACATCAGAGTTCCTTACTTGGTCAAATGTGTGAATATGCATTCATTGTCTAAGCCAGAACTAAAAGGTGCAAACCAAGATTATCAATCTCTCCCCGGCCCCGAACATTCCCATTATGCTCTGTTTATGCCTCTATTAGAGCATTCAGCTCAGCCGGTCTGGGACTGAATGATTTATGCCATGTCTGCTCTCCCACCCCACAGTGCCCTGTCCTTTAGGGCAGAGATCTTGTCTTCCTCACCTCCATGGTCATTATTGGTTAACTTGAACTTTCATCATTATATAGAGCTTCCCCATCTTGATTTGCAATTCCACAGTTTCTCTATGTCAGAGCTTGATTTGGGATTCTCCCCAAGGTTGGGCTCTCAACATGAAAGGGATCTTAAAACACCAACCATAAAACAATTTTAGGAAAAGAAAAAAGGCACAACAGAAGCAGAGGAAGGAGGAAGGAGATCCTAACACTCAGAGCAGTGTTGCATGACAAAGAGTGGGTTGAAGAGGAGAGAGATCCCTGAGCAGCCCACTTATTTGGGATTCACCAGCTCACCCGCACTCGCGCAGTGCTCTCCTGATAAGCTGCAAAATCTAAAACTCCTTATTAAATGTCAGATAAATCGGCTAGCCTGGGGCGAAGCCAATGAATGGGCAGCGTGTGCTCCAGTCCAGTTCTGGGTAATTGATGGGCTCTGAATAAGCAGAACCAATCCAGGCTGATTGCGGATGAAATGACTGCAGCCAGCAAAGTTCAAATAAGAAATATGTGAACTTTAAAGTACTTGAACACAAATCAAGACAGTGAGTTTTTATAAAAATCTTTACTAGCTCAAACCGCTGAAGCTCAGAATGACCTTTATCCTTGGGGTGAGAAGCTGGTGGGGTAGGGAATGTGAACACCATATATCAGGCTCAGAGCCATGGGAAAAGCACAGCAGGGAGGGAGAGTTTGCTGGATTCACTGCTCCCAGGCCTCTGAGTCTGTGCCCGTGTGGGCAAGGGAGGCAGTGACTTTGAGATGTTCCCTCTTCTCCATCATCATCTTGCAGGACATGGGCCAGGACTTCATGTTTTCCTTAACCTTAGGGATAATGACGTCCTTGCCTAATGGAATCAGGACTCTCAGCTGCAGGCCCACCTTCTATTCTGTGGTCAGACATGAACAGGAGCCTTTTGTGGAGCTCCCCCAGGCCCAGCGTCACAGAGGCCTTGCTGATGCTAGACACTTAAACATTTGTAGAGCACCTGGATTAGTCTGTTTTCACACTGCTGATAAAGACATACCCGAGATTGAGAAGAAAAAGATGTTTAATGGACTTAACAGTTCCACATGGCTAGGGAGGCCTCATAATCATGGCAGAAGTCAAGGAGGAGCAGGTCGCGTATTACACAGATGGCAGCAGGCAAAGAGAGCTTGTGCAGGGAATCTCCCATTTTTAAAACCATCAGATCTTGTGAGACTCATTCACTATCATGAGAACAGCGCAGGAAAGACCCACCCCCATTATTCAATCACTTTCCACCAGGTTCTTCCCACAGCACGTGGGAATTGTGAGAGTTACATTTCAAGATGAGATTTGGGTGGGGACACAGCCAAACCATATCAGCACCCTTTGTGCTAAGCCCTTGTAGTTGTTCATCTCTCTTCCACACCCAAGCCCTCCCCCATCTATTCCTAAAAGGAAGGTTCTGGAGGTCTTCAGCTGTAAAAGAATAGAACTGGGTTTTCACCTGCATCTATTGGACTCGATCCCCTACTTTCACCCCTACCAAGCTGTGTCCCTTCATGACAGACCCCAGAGGTACCATCTGCAGTCTGATTCTATTGGGGGTCTCCCTCTTTCCTTGCACAAATCTCTCAGCTAGTTGGTGAGAGCATCAGATAAAAACACCTCCTAGGATCATGATGCCATACTCTAACTTGTCTGGGAATTCTTTCCTATAGCAAATGTGTGTTTTAATTGATTTATTACTTCACTCAATCAACACAGATGCCTTGGGCCTCCTCTATGCACCAGACAATGAGTAAACACCCAGGTGATCCTTCCCACAAATAACGTGCAATCTGTAGGACAGCAGAGAAATAGCCACAGTTCATTTGTATCCAAAGCACTAAGGGGAGAGATTGTTTTTACCTGTGGAGTAGGGCAGAGGATCACCATTGAGGCTTCATGGAGGAGGTGGCCCTTGTATAATGGTTGGGATTAGGATTTGCAGATGGAATCTCATAAGAACCTTTATAATTCTAAATAATAATGACATCTATGCATTATCTCATCTCACAACTGCCTTAGTAGGTTTTATTGTTTACCCCTTTTCATAGATGAGAAAACAGAAGCACAGAGAGTTAAAAGAAATTCTCCAAAAGGACACAATGGTAGAAGCAGGAATCAACCTCAAGCCATTTGGCTCCAGTGCTCATGATTCTACCCACTGTGCAATGCTGCCCCTGTCTGACGAAAGTTGGCTCGTAGGGCAGGAACTATCTTGAACGAAGGCAGAGTGCTCTGGAAAGGATGGGGCATGTGTCAGGAAGACCTGGTAGCTCTGTTAAATGGAAGCATGTATTACACGAAGGTCATACAAAGGTTGAAATGTGCCATCCATTCATTCATTCAGCCAGTACTCATGGAGCATCTACCAGGTACCATGCACTGAAGACACGGTCACCAAGCAATGTTTCCAAAGACATGGGTTTGGGCTTGAGTACAAGTCAGGGAAGATACATTTTCAGAATTATCTAGACATTTCACACTTATCCCTTGCTTGTGGCTACCAAAAGCCACTGGATAGCAAAACCAAAAATATGTATCTCAAAGTATGGATTCAGAAACTACTTGAGGTAAAAGCAACATGAGGAGAGTGAAATATAGTATGCTCAGTTAAATTTGAATTTTGGATAAATAATAATATTTAAAGTGTGTCTCTGATGTTGCAAGGAGCATAATTTATGCTAGAAAAAGTATTCATTGTTCATCTGAATAATATTCAATTATTCATTGTTCATTGGAAATTCAGATTGGACTTGGCATCCTGTGTTTTTATTTGCTAGGTCTGGCACCCCTAAACCTGAGTGATCTTTTAACTAGGCTTCCCTGTTTCGCAAATGGGCCGAGGGAAGGGACCAGGTCAAGGTCACCCCCAGAGTAAGTCAGTGACACAGAGAGGAGAGGCCAGGTTCCAAGGAGCAGTCCAGGGCTCTTTCTGCTCCACAGGGCTGCCTTCCATGTCTCCAGTGAGAGGCTCCAGGAGCAGGGACAAACTCACAAATGACTGAATCAAACCACTTGGTCTTCCAATCCCAACGGGTCCATTAAACCTTCGTGTCAGCAGCAGTACAGGCTACAAAGCAGTTCTTAATCGTGGTGGGAAAAGTCAGAATTTTGAAAGTAAAATCCCCCAGCAGCAAGGGTTGCTTTGACCCTGGAATCAAAGGCTGCAGCCACAATAGGAAGCAGTTAAGCCCCAGGGGTCCTCCCTGCCCCACCCCCTGGCTGTAATTGTAGACAGGTGTGCAATGGCCAGGCGAGGCATGTTGGGTGAAATGCTTCAGGGAAAATAAAAAAGTAATATCGGCTGCAGCTTAGGGGAAATCAAATTTTCCCTTTAGAGCAACATCTCAGGAGACTGTGGCCAACTTCAAGGTGCCTTTATCTAAATACATTCCATTAGGAAAGGGGCAGGAAGAAGCCCTGGCCTCTCCAGGTAACTCAATCAGACTCCGTGGCATTCACAGGGATATCAGTTACCATAAGCCTTGTGGGGCAGTGAGGAGATTAGGAGGAGGATTACCTGCCACTTACTATGTGTCATCAAGGCAAGAACGGCTTCAGCTACAAGCTCTGTTTTTAATCGGGTCCTGGTGGGCTTTTCTCAAAAGGATGGCTGACAGCCGTTCTAAGCATGTTTTAAACTGTCCGTCACATCAGTGATAGGGACTCGCCAGTAGAGAGTGACAGCAATGTCAACAGTGGACACTGAAGGAATTTCTGACAAATGGCCTTTTGTGAAATGATGAGAAGTTGGACCAGGAGGTGCTGGCCCTGTTATGGAAACTCCAGGCCCACTTACATGTGCCCTTAAAGTCAACGTTTCTGGGCATATTTCTGCATTCTATTACACTCCTCAAACAGTCTGTGTGCTTGGACCAAGTCAATATGGTTGTCAAGGTGGCATCATCAGGTTTGACACCCCTCTGGGGACAGGCGAAGCCAGCATTAGCCCCCTCTCTGAATCTCAGCAGCAAGACAGGCCTGTGTAGGAGCCAAGAGGCAAGGTGGCTTGAAAAGACAGTTGGGACCCAAGCCGTTTGACTGTCTACACTAACAGTCGTCAGGCTATGAGAGGCGGGCCAAATCCAGCTCACCAGCTGTTTTTATAAATAAAGTTATGCTGGAAGCCAGCCACGCTCATTCATTCATGTATTGTTTATGGCTGCTTTCCCACTGCAGTGGCAGAGTTGAGTAGTAAAGGCGGAAACTGTATGGCCCACAGAGCTTCAATTATTTACTATCTGCCCTTTATAGAAAAAAAAAAAATGTGGGGGCTGATCCTTGGTCTGCACCTTTCCTTAAAGGAGGTCCACAGTCCCGTTAGCCCCAGATCTGCACAGAGTGGTGGGGGGAGGAGGACTGGGAATGAGCGGCATGTCTTAATACATTCTAAATTCCAAGATGTCAAGAGAATAATTGTGGAAGAGGAAACAGTGCTGAGGCCCAAGAACCAAGAATTCCAGGAGGAGTCATCTCAACTAAGTTGTCTCCACAAAGAATTCAAGTTGACCAGAAGACATAGAGTACTCACTTTTGATTAATTTTCCT